>NC_000023.11:103087542-103712542 GCF_000001405.40 Homo sapiens
ACTGCTGGAGGCCAAACAAGAAAAGTCAACATATGGAGTGTATAATACTTTTACCAGAGGAAAGATGGGCATTACACCCGTGCTCTAAGTCCGATCCCACATATAGCATGAAGAGAAGAAAGAATATTCATGCATATACAATCTGTGGCAAGATGTTTCCATCACAGTCAAAACTGGATAGGCATGTACTTATTCATACTGGTCAGAGGCCTTTTAAATGTCTCTCGTGTAGTAAATCTTTTTGACAGTCACCTCACTTAAAAATCCACCAACTTACACATTCAGAAGACCTTTTCAATGTTGTTTTTGTCAAAAAGGTTTTAAGATTCAAAGCAAACTTCTGAAGCATAAACAAATCCATACTAGGAATAAGGCTTTTTGAGCTCTTTTATTAAAGAAGAGGCATACAGAATATTGCCCCCTGCCTAATAAGTTAAATGCAAATCAGGGTGGTTTTGAAAATGGTGATATTGGTGAATCTGAGTAGAATAATCCACTTTATGTCCACTCAATTTATATTGTCCCTTTTCAATATCCAAAGTGTGAAAATGTTTTGAATCACAGCAGATTCTCAATGAACACATGTGTTTTCCTGCTAGAGGTGGCAAAATTCCAAGCAGGTTCAAAAGAAGCTACAACTATAAAACCATTGTTAAAAAAAATATTGGCCAAGCTTAAACGTGCTAGGAGTAAAAAATTAGATAACTTTTGATCCTAGAAAAAAGTATTTAAAAAGAGATTCTTGAAAAATTGTGATCGTATTTCTGGTGAGCCGTGCTCTGAACAAACCCAAAGAACATTTGTGGGTTCTCTTGGCAAACATGGAACATATAAAACAATTGGCAATAAAAAAAAACATTGACTTTGCGATTTTCTTGGCAAAAGCAGTTCCAGAACCAAAATGTGGGAAAAAAATGAAAGGTATCCTTACTACAGCAAACTTATTAAGCATTGATAATTCAGTGAATAAGAAAGACTTGTCAATCTGTGGCTCATCAGGTGAGGAATTATTTAATAACTGTGAGGTACTTCAGTGTGGTTTTTCAGTTCCAAGGGAAAACATACGTACTAGACATAAGATATGTCTCTGTGACAAATGTGAGAAGGTATTTCCTTCTGTATCCAAACTAAAAAGACACTATTTAGTTCATACTGGACAGAGGCCTTTTTGCTGTTAATATTTGTAGGAAATCTTTTAGACAGTCAGCTCACTTAAAAAGACATGAACAGATTCATAATGAAAAGAGTCCTTATGCATCCCTTTGCCAAGTAGAATTTGGAAACTTGAACAATCTTTCTAATCATCCACGTAATAATGTTAACTATAATGATTCCCAACAATGTCAGGCTCCTGGTGTTCAAAAATACGAGGTCTCAGAGTCAGATCAAATGTCAGGAGTTAAGGCAGACTCACAGGATTTTATTCCTGGTAGCACCAGGCAGCCCTGTCTTCCTAATGTACTTTTGGAATCAGAGCAAAGCCATCCTTTTTGCAGTTATTCAGAACATCAGGAGAAAAATGATGTCTTCCTGTACCGACGCAGTGTTTGTGCTAGGAGTTTCTGATCTCCATCTATACTGGAAAAACACTAACTAATTCATGCAGGGCAGAAACTATTTGAATGCTCAGTTTGTGGCAAAACATTCCGACAGGCTCCTCACTGGAAGAGACATCAACTTACTCAATTTAAAGAACGACCACAAGAGAAACTGGTTGCCTTGGATTCGGTTATGTAAACTGTCACAACCACTAACAATTGTGGTCTCTGGTGATCTTATTTTTAAAGCCTGTATTATTTAAAATGCGTTTTTATCAAGAGGCCTGCATTAAATTGAATGGTTTCACAGGCATTTGTTTGTCCTGCATAGTAAGGAGGTAAAATACATAGAAAATTAATACAATGTTTTAGAAACAGCCAAATTAATTTTTAGAGGCAAGAACATGATTTGATGCTATAAAGTAGGCATTTTAATATTGTAAACATATGCTGTGTCTGTATTGAAAAATATAAATTCATGATGCTGTATAAATAATTTAGTCTCATTCATTTTTAAAGGAATTATTCCTTAAGACATGCCATCTCTTTTTATATATACTCAAAAGACCGAGAGGCAAAAATTGGTTTTTAGCTGCAGCACATATCCCTGCTATATTTCATTTATCTTACATTTCATATGAAAGCATAATTTTGTCCACATGTGGCTCAAATTGCATTGGAAATTTTTTGTAAATTTAAAGAACTACAGAGGCACTAAAGGTGAAAATGGATGAGAAAATTATAGTATTTTTTCATTGGTCTTTTCAAAGCTATTTATTTTTAGGACTATGTGGTAATTTCACTTCTTCAGGTGATTAAGGTTTTTTTTTTCTTTTTTTTTTCCCAGCGAGTGACATCTTTCTCAAAATAATTTAAAAGTAGGCAAGAGGCTAGGATGTATCCATATACATTTACCATGTTTATTTACCAGGAATATTTTCCAAGTGCCATAGTCTTTTTCATAATATGTATGCAGTTTTATCTTTTCAGAGGAATAATTTCAAGTCATTCATTTGCTCATTAATTATAGCAGTAGTCATAGATTTAAGACTCTATTCTAGAGATCTTCATCTCCATAAGACTTTAACATTTATTTTAGTAAACTTTTCTTTTTATGCCTCTTTAATGGAGTGGTCCTATTATTTAAGCCTGTTCTAAGTTTGATCAAATGGCAATGACTAGGTCTAGTTTTAGTTTTTATTTTTGCAAGAGTCTAATGCTAAATAATTTTATTTTGATCCTTGTTAAATTTTTATTTTGATTAGTAAGGTAGTCATTCCTGTAGAGGGATAAGATGCTTGTAGAGTTGTGGGTATCATTCCAAATAGAACTGTTATGATTTGGGAAATATTCTAAACTACAAAGGACTTATTTCATAATGACAAATTGTCCTTCACCTTTGCCTTTGTTTATAAAATCTTCAGGAATGACATTTTCTAGCAATAAAAGGAATTAACCATTATGTTTCTAAGCTGAAAAGAGGAACAGGTGGGTAATTATCCTACCATACTTAAATATAGTGGAAAATCCTCTATTGAGAATGTGGATAAAAGAACAATTGTAAATTTTGCATCATAATCTGAGAACTCCCTTTTGGGGCAGGGGGAGGCGGGAGGGATAGAAGGTGGGGGTGATCTGCTTGCTTCTTTTACCACAGGTGATTTTTAAGTAACTTGGGTTTAATTTACAGAGATGAAACATGGCAGTCTGAGTAAAACACCCAATGATGTAGAAGTGTGCCTGTTTATTACGTAGAGACAGCCAACAAAAACAGAGGAGAATCACATGCTTTAAAAAACACTTTCTCTTAGGTTTCCTTGGGATATGTTCTTCCAGTGCAGGCAAGATAGTGGTTTACAGAATTTGCTTAATACAAAACTTTTCAAGAACTCATCTGTTACACAAAAGCAAGGAATAGCTAGTTTATATTTTCCAATAATGTTCAAGGTTTTCTCCTTATTATGTCTGAAATTATTGATTTTGGCATTTTTCTAAGCAATTTATGTAATTTTATTTGAAGGAAATGTTTTATATACTCTTTTTCCCGACCTAAACAGGGAGAGTCCTAACAGTGTTGTGTTTGTATGATTATGAGGCTTTATTTGCCTAAGTGATGCTACTATACTTTTTTTTTGACCCATGCCTTTTTAAGCTGTTTCATATTGAAAGTTGGAATATTGTAAAAATTTTGTCAAAGATGTACTGAAGTGCTATTTGAAGTACCTATAACAAAACACAGTTGGTCCTCCGTATCCACGGACTCTGCCTCTGTGAATTAAACCAATTGCAGATCAAAAATAATAGGAGAGAAAAATATAAAAATAATACAAATAAAAAATACAATATAACTGTTATTTAAATAGCATTTACATTCCATTAGGTATTAGTCTAGAGATAAAGTATGCAGGAGGATGTGCGCTGGTTATATGCAAGTATGCCACTTTATGTAAGGGACTTGAGTATACTTGGATTTTTGGTATCTGTGGGTGGGCAGGGTAGGGGGGGTCCTGGAACCAATACCCCATGGATACCAAGGGACAACTGTACTTATTTACCTTTATTATTATTGCAAGCTTCTTAAGGAAACTTTATAGGAATGAAAATACACATGTTAAGAAGATTAGGCCAGGCGCGGTGGCTCATGCCTGTAATCCCAGCACTTTGGGAGGCCGAGACAGGTGGATCACGAGGTCAGGAGATCGAGACCATCCTGGCTAACACCGTGAAACCCCGTCTCTACTAAAAATACAAAAAATTAGCCAGGCATGGTGGCGGATGCCTGTAGTCCCAGCTACTCGGGAGGCTGAGGCAGAAGAATGGCGTGAACCCGGGAGGCAGAGCTCGCAGTGAGCCGAGATTGTGCCACTGCACTCCAGCCTGGGCGACACAGCAAGACTCCATCACAAAAAAAAAAAAAAAAAAAAAGAAGAAGATTAAACATTAGATATTAGATGGTCTGTTGCATGCTAGAACTGTTAGTATTGTTGGATCAATTACTTTGGTTTTATGAAAAAATTAATGATAAATATCTTTAAAGAGAACTAGAAGAATTTTTTGTTTGATTCTAGGCTGTAACATGATTATTTACGGACATAGTTTGATTGGCTGGCTAACTTAGTAGAATTAATTGGCTGGCTAACTTAGTAGAATTATTGTTTTTTTTTGTACTGCAATAGGGCTTATAATTGTAAGATAAAAATGTGTGTGTGCTTAAGGGAAGTAAGTGCTGGTTAAAATTATTGAAAAAATTTCAGAATACTTTAAAAATAAAGTTTCAAGTTATACAAAAAAAAAGAAATTCTAAATTTGTATGCATGTCTTAACATGGACCAATCTATGTTTAGATACAAAGCAAAAACTGATCTAAGTAAATAGAGAAATAGTTAAAACCACTGTGATGTGGGAATTTAACACACCTCTCTGAGTAACAGATAAAACTAGCAGACAAAAATTCAGCTACATATAGAAGATTTAAATGGCATGAGTAATAAGTTTGCTTAAATGACATAGAACACTGCACAGAAAACCTTCACATGGAACATTCCAGAATAAGTCATATGCTGGGCCATAAGGCTAGCCTTGATAAATTTCTGGGGCTGGGGTGGGAGGTAATACAATCTACCTTGAATGGTTAGTGTGAAGATTAAAGATGTATTCCCTGCCCCACTACCACCTCTAGTGTACATCCAAGGAATGTTAATTTTTACCAACCCCTGCCTCAGGTGACCCTCCTCATACCTCAAACCCTGGCCCTGAGAAGGCCACAAGACTCAGGCCTGGGCCCTTGCCACTGCCCACCCCCATCTAAAGGGAGATTGGCTGGGTGTTATGTGGGTTAGGGTAAGGTGGGGAAGGGGGCTCAGTCCCTTTTGCCCTGTGAGACCTGAGACTCCAGCCTCATGCTGGCCAACTCACCCGTAGTGTGTCCTGAAGGCAGTGACATTTTACCAATGTCCTTATAGGGCTCTCTTGAGGAGAATCTGTGTGGCCTGGGGACGGGAGTTTGGAGAAGATTGAGGAGGGCTGCTGACGAAGGCGAGAGCAAGCCTCAAGCCTTGCTTACAGGAAGTTCCTTCCCCAAGCATAGAGAGGAGTGTCCTAGGAGTCACAGAATTAACTTCCTGTTCTTACCACTCCCCAAAGTTTGCTGCCAGCCTAACACCCAGGGAGATGTTTCTAATGTAGCCACTCCTGCAAAGGTGGTTAGCAACAATCACAATCATGAGGCCTAGGACCCAGATACTTATTGAAACAAACACGGAAAACTCAGCTTGCTGGTCATCTCCAGTGCATTACATTGTATTCATTTACTCTGCAGACTCAGAGACTCAGAGACTCAGAGTGCCTATGGTAGCTCAAGCTCTGTACTTGCTACATTACTTTTTTCTCCATGTATTCCTCACAAGGGGACTCTCAACTCAGAATCACCAGCTTCCTGAAGGTGCTGAGGCTTAATGAGGTATAGGACCTTGTCTGGAATGATTCAGATGTGACCTGGAGAAACAAAGTGGAAATGAGAACCATGGAATAGTGGGTGACCCCTCTATGCACAGCTTTTCTAAACTCTTATAATATTTGGGGTTTACTTAAGTTAGGGCAAAGTAAGACAATGTTCTGCAAATACTCGTGTGACTGGAATTAACTACAGCCCATCCTAGAGAGAGAATACAAAAAACAGACCAGGAAAATATAAAGTAAAAGTTTAGTGTGTCACTGTAATGAAAGTAGAAAAGAATCAAGTATTGTCTTAAAGACAAAATAAAGTATAGTCAATGTAGATGGATACTCCTAATGATTAGAGCCAGAAATGTAGCTCTTAAAGTCTCAGGCCAGAGAGAGGGAATAAACTAGTGAGAGGTGACAGCTTGCTGGCAGCTCTCACAGCCCTCGCTCGCTCTCGGCACCTCCTCTGCCTGGGCTCCCACTTTGGCGGCACTTGAGGAGCCCTTCAGCCCGCCACTGCACTGTGGGAGCCCCTTCCTGGGCTGGCCGAGGCCAGAGCTGGCTCCCTCAGCTTGCGGGGAGGTGTAGAGGGAGAAGCGCTAGCGGTAACCGGGGCTGCGCGTGGCGCTTGCGGGCCAGCTGGAGTTCTGGGTGGGCGTGGGCTCGGTGGGCCCCACACTCGTAGCAGCCGGCCAGCGCTGCTGCCCTGGGCAATGAGGGGCTTAGCACCTGGGCCAGCAGCTGCTATGCTCAATTTCTCTCCAGGCCTTAGCTGCCTTCCCGCGGGGCAGGGCTCGGGACCTGCAGCCCGCCATGCCTGAGCCTCACCCCCACCCCCGCCTCCGTGGGCTCCTGTGCCGCCCAAGCCTCCCCAACGAGCGCCGCCCCCTGCTGCACGGCGCCCATCTATGAAGGTGGAGCTCTCGTGGCCTAATTACTTCCCTAAAGCCCTACCTCTTAATACTGTTGCACTGGAGATTAAGTTTCAATGTGAATTTTGGAGGAACACAAACACTCAAACCATATCATTTACCGTTTTATAAAAATGTTCACATAATATTGTTTTATAAAAAAAATAAAGATTTAGGCTGGGCATGGTGGCTCACGCCTGCAATCCCAGCACTTTGGGAGGCTGAGGCGGGTGGATCACTTGAGGTCAGCAGTTTGAGACCAGCCTGGCCAACATGGTGAAACCCCCTCTTTACTAAAAAATACTATTAACTGTGGACATCAAGTCTGAAAATAGCCATTATTAAAAACCTGATGAAAGTCTATTATAATAGTGATGCAATTGACAAAAAAATTTGGTTATTTCTGAACCAACATTGTGACTGATAGTATTTATACCAAGACATATCAGAGTTCTAGGAATGTTATACAATTTCGGAACACACATTAATAATATATCCATGTAAATATAACTCAGAGAAGATTAACCATCATTCCTTATTTAGACAGTGCTTCTCATATAAATGAACATATCAGATAAGCTGATGGTGTAATATCTCTTTTACAACTACTTTCAGAAGTTCTAGGGCTTGTCATAATATCCCAAAGTTACTTCAAGGTCAAAAATACTTAATTTTGATATTTGAGAAGTTTGTCAACTATCAGTGGTCTAGAATACTTGATCAAAATAGGATCACAGGTCACTATGAAATAAAATGGAAGTGACAAAAGATTTCACAGGCACAAAGCCCACGAAATTATCTTGATTAAACACAGAATCTCTGTTCCCTAGGCCAGTTACCTAAAAGGTAAAGAAAAACCTCGCACAATTTCCTTTTAAAAACAGCTTAATGTTCTGAGAAAACCCAGTTATTCCAACACAGGAGCCCAAAACCTTGCCTTCACCAGCGCATTTTTTATTAATCGTCAATTTTTGGCAAAACTTTGTATTATTTATAATTAGCTTCTATTTTAGGCAACTTGATGACACAAAAAATTTCTTTCATGAGATTTCTATTCTGTGAACTTTCTATAACTTGCAGTTTACTTTCCTTTTCCCTATATCATTTTGACCACACAAAGTTCTCTTAAGCAAAAGAAAAAATTACTTTTTTCATCTTTCTTTACCAAAACTACATCTTCATACTTATAACTTTTTTTTTAATCTCTTCTGCTTACCAGTTCATTCCCTGCCTTGTTTGTATTTCCTTCTGTAAACCAAAAATAAAATTCTAAGTCCCCTCAACCATCTGAATGGACTTTCTCCTCAGCCAGCGTTCTTAAAATTGAACCTGAGAGACTGTTTTAGGTCATGATGTGAAGTGGGGGTTGAACAGGCCTCATTATACCTCTTCAGCATTAACATCAACATAGGCTTTAAGTCTGATAAGAAATATTTCACAACCTATTCTCTCTGAAGCCTGCTAACTAAAAGCTTCATCTACATAGTAAAACTTTGGTCTCTACAACCTCTTATCACAACCCAGACATTCCTTTCTATTGGTCACAGTTCTTTAGACAACCTCAACGAATTGTCAACCAGAAAATGTTTAAATTTACCTTAAATTTACTGATAGCCTGGAAGCCCCGCCTTGGAATTGTCCCACCTTCCTGGACCAAACCAATGTATTTCTTAAATGTATGTGATTGACGTCTCATGCCTCCCTAAAATGTATAAAACCAAGCTGCACCCTCACCTCCTTGGGCACATGTTCTCAGGACCTCCTGAGGGCTGTGTCAAGGGCCATGGTTGCTCATATTTGGCTCAGAATAAATCCCTTTAAATATTTTAGAGTTTGACACTTTTTGTCGACACTTCCTAAATCTATATTTTGAAATATCCTTTCAAAAACCTCCAAATTAGATGAAATTTGCTCTTTTAACAAAAATATATTCTCATGTCTTTTTACAATTTCTCTTGCCAAAATGAGAGACAGGACTAGCTGGATTTCCTAGGCCGACTAAGAATCCCTAAGCCTAGCTGGGAAGGTGACCGCATCCACCTTTAAACACGGAGCTTGCAACTTAGCTCACACCCGACCAATCAGAGAGCTCACTAAAATGCGAATTAGGCAAAAACAGGAGGTAAAGAAATAGCCAATCATCTATTGCCTGAGAGCACAGCGGGAGGGACAAGGATCGGGATATAAACCCAGGCATTCGAGCCGGCAACGTCAACCCCTTTCGGTCCCCTCCCCTTGTATGGGAGCTCTGTTTTCACTCTATTTCACTCTATTAAATCTTGCAACTGCACTCTTCTGGTCCGTGTTTGTTATGGCTCGAGCTGAGCTTTTGCTCGCCATTCACCACTGCTGTATTGCAGCTGTCGCAGACCCGCTGCTGACTTCCACCCCTCCGGATCCAGCAGGGTGTCCGCTGTGCTCCTGATCTAGCGAGGTGCCCATTACCACTCCCCATCTGGCTAAAGGCTTGCCATTGTTCCCACATGGCTAAGTGCCTGGGTTCGTACTAATCGAGCTGAACACTAGTCACTGGATTCCACGGTTCTTTTCCATGACCCACGACTTCTAATAGAGCTATAACACTCACCGCATGGCCCAAGATTCCATTCCTTGGAATCCGTGAGGCCAAGAACCCCAGGTCAGAGAACATGAGGCTTGCCACCATCTTGGAAGTGGCCTGTTGCCATTTTGGAAGTGGCCCACCACCATCTTGGGAGCTCTGGGAGCAAGGACCCCCAGTAACAAAAACACACCTTACTTTCCTTGTACACTTTACATACATATATTTTTTTTATTTCTAGTAATTTTAATTACATATTTAATTAAAATTTTGAATTCTTAGTAAGCTTATTTTTTATGAAAATGTAAGAAATGGCAATTTGAACTGTCTTATGCCAATATTTTATGAATATACTGAAGAGAATCAAAATATTTCATCCCAAAATATACTTCTTTGACATGTTTTGAGATGGCTATCCAGACAGCCAACTGAGGCAGGGAAATAGGATCTGGAGGTAGGGAACATAAGGCTGATTCACACTTCAGCCATGACAGGAAATATCCTCTCCATAGGGCACAGGCCAAGTAAATGACTTTGTAACTTCATCCTCTCCATTTACATAGGGCATACCCCAAGTAACCAATGGAATCCTCTAGGGGATATTTAAACTCCCAAAAATTCTGTAATGGGGTCTTTGAGCCCCTATGCTCAGGCCCGCTCCCACACTATGGAGTGTACTTTCATTTTCAATAAAACCCTTCATTCCTTCCTTGCTTTGTTTGTGCGTTTTGTCCAATTCCTTGTTCATGACGCCAAGAACCTGGACATCTTCCACCATTAACACAATGAGCAGAAGTAACCCCACAAAACTCTTTTCTTGTGGAAGATTTTGCATCTATAAAGAATCTGCATTGATGCAACCAAAGTTTCTCTGAAGCCCTTCTTTGTCTAGATCTAGGAAAGATTAACTGAGAGTCTGACACCTTAAAGGTCTATGAAAAATATTTATCATCTATTGTTTCTGATGGCTGCTACCTGTCATGTTTCATCTACATAACAAGACAACCTTTGCCAGCCAGGTCTCCACTTCTCTCCCTCCCATAACCCATCTTGCAGCTATAACCTGATTTACCACCACAACCTGTTTTTGGCTATGCTCCAAGTCCCCATTCTTTCTGTAACCTCGAAATAGTATATAAGCTTCCGTACTCCAATAGGGGGCGGGGGGGAATCACTCTGTGATTCTCTCCACGCAAGCCAATAAATGTGCGTGCCATTTCTCCTATTAATCTCCCTCTTGTGAGTTGATTTTTCAGCAAATCTTCACAGAGTGAAGGAGAGGTCTTCCTTTGGCCCCTACAGTTTATTTCATAATTTCTAGAGGCATGTACTTTCTCATAGAACAAATTTTTAAGTGTTTACTAACAGACCCAAATATATTTTGCTTCTCTATACCACATAAAAGCAAGATGCCAACGTATATAAATTTTAAACATGTGATTAGTAATTAATGTTTTAGTATTCTAACTTATTTAGAAATAACCTGAACATTTAATGACTATTTATTACTTAAGGATTTAAGTTACCAAAAAGATTTCTGAAACTATGAAGAGTTCATTTATAAACATTTGTGCCTAATTTACATATTTAATACCTTTTTGTGATCTATAATGTTTGTGATCCTAAATGTCTCAAAATGGAGTCACTTATGACAAGTGACTCAGCTGATAGTGAAACTACTGAGCTCTGAGAGTGATAAGCATATGTATGGTGGAATGAGGTGATAAGATGACACTTGCTGTGGCCAGACACTGTTAGGGGTGGCGAATATTCGTTACTGACAGCTAATCCATACTGGTCTGCAGCAACTGCAGTTCCTGCCTACTCAGAAGAAAGAATTTGACTGAGGGGCATAAGGCAGAAGAAGAGACTGAGGCAAGTTTTAGAGCAGGAGTAGAAGTTTGTTAAAAAGCTCTAGAGCAGGAGTAGAAGTTTGTTAAAAAGCTCTAGAGCAGGAACGAAAGAAAGGAAAGGACACTTGGAAGGGGCCCCAATGGGCAACTTGAAAGACAAGTGCAGCATTTGACCTTTTGACTTGTATATGCTGGACTACTTTTGGTGTCTTGCATCCCTTTCCCTTTATTCTTCCTTTAGGGTGGGCTACCCACATGTACAGTGCCCTCATTGCACTTGGGAGGTGAGCATGTGCAGTGTGTTTACTGCAGTTGTACACATGCTCAACAGAGGCTTTCTTCCCTTTTCCAGTGGAATGCCCCCAGAAGGTCATACTCTGCCTTTTTGTCTCTTAATGTGCATGCCCAGGCTCACTTGCCCAATACCTGAGATTTTACTGGAAGCTGCTGATTACCAATTTCAAGTGTTTTTATCTATTGGGAAATTGCCTCTCCCTGGCACCTGTGACCAATTACATTTTAATGTGACAACTGCTGGATCATCAGGAAATTGCCTCTCCCTGGTGCCTGTGACCAATTCTCATTTTTAGAGAGGCAGTGTGACAACTGCCGAATCATCACCTGATGGTCACCTGACATTTCTGGTGCAGGGGTGGGGAGCCCTCTCCTGCCCCACTCATGCCTGACTAGCTACCTGCTGTAACAAGACTTGACAAGACAGTGAAGCCAAAAGGTAGCTGAAGAAGATGGGTATGGATACTGGACACTTTTACAGAGGACCATAAAACCCACAAAGAAACGGACCACGACAGAGACACCTGTAGAAACTCTGCCTGTGAGAACTCAGAGGCCTCTTTTCCATCCATTGCAGTTACCGGAAGCACTGCTGAGAGAAAAGAAGCATCCCCCCCGCCCCCTCCCAGTCAGTAGGCTGGTCTCCTGAACTACTTGCTGTGTTCCTTCTCTCTGTCTATAACTGTCTGTGTCTTTGAATATATTTGCGTGATTGGTGGTGTGTGAACGCCTTGGAGTAAACTATGAATTTGTAGGAATTTAATTAGTCACTGAGTCATTTTGAAACATTCCCCTCACCACCCTCATAAGAATTTGCCCAACCAGACTGATTTGACCTGACACAAGATCATGAAAATTCTATGAGACATTGAATAAAACTAACCACCATCTCCAGTTATTCTGTTAATCATTTTTACAGCATAAAAATGTTAGGCATTGGCCACTTAATCAAAAATCCGAAAGTTAAATACATGGGTATTTTTGCTGATCAGAAGACACAATTGTTTCCAGTCTTATTTACCAAAAATTTACTCAAGTCACATAAGCCAAAAGGTATTTGAGTTAGGTTCTATTTTTTGATAAAATATTTGATTTAAGCACTTTTTCTTTAAGTCAATCAGTCAGAGTCTCTTACACATTTTGGTTGAGAAATATTACATAAGCATAACACACATAGGCGTGGAAAAAGAAGCAGATTTTATAGCTTTATTAAGATTCTTCCTTTGCCAGTTTTGAAATACTTTCCCCCCTTTAGCCCATCAAACTTTCAATCACCCATTCCGTTGCCCGAAGCAATTGTTAGCCAGGCAACTCTACAATTTGCACTTCCAAAAAAAAAGATGACTTTCAGATAAAACAAGACAATTTACAGTACTTAGAACAATATAGAAACTTCATTAATAGAAACCCTATTATTTGTCAAAACAAAAAAAGGCATAGGTAAACCTCCAATTAAGACAAGATGGCTAGAAAAGGCACCTTAAACATTGGTAAGACTGTTAACGTAAACTAAGCCACCACCTTTCCCGTTGTTAAAGTTTCTAGTGGTTTAGGTGCAGAAAGGGAGACAACCTTACTAATGGGGATTTCCTTTACAGATGCAAATTTCTTTTACAGAGAGTTTCAAAATAGCCAATTAAATGTCATAAAGTTGTATTTTATTTTATGTATATTTTTAGAGACGTCTCTCTCTGTCACCCAGGCTGTAGCGTACTATCACCATCAAAGCTCACTGCAGCCTAAAACTCATGGGCTCAAGCAATCCTCCCACTGCAGCCTCCCAAGCAACTGGGACTACAGGTGCAGGCCACCAAGTGTGGCTAATTTTTTTTTTTAGGGAGGGGGTCTGCCTATGTTGCCCAGGCTGGCCTTGAACTCCTGGCCTCAAGTGATCCTCCCACCTTAGCCTCCCAAAGCACTGGGATTATGGGTATGAGCCACTGAGCCCGACCAGTTGTAAAGATTTCATTTCATAGTTAGTCTTTTCAATTTAGATTTTTTGTTAATTTGATTACTGACTTCAGGGAAGAGCCCTTTAATGAAAAGGACAAAAAATAACTGGTAGAAACTTAACCCTGAGTATTCCTTGGGGGCCTATAAATCCTGGTGTTAACATGAAGATTATTATCAGAGGGAGTGGGCAGCCTGTTTTCAGGGGCTTTCTTGGAAATCTTTGGGGGCACTCCCTTTTTCAGTGTCCTAGTTGTTTGCACAAATGGCAACAATACTTCAGAAACTGCTGTTTCAGGGGTCCCTTATTGGAGAAGTGCTCTAGGACAAGTCTAGAAGTCATTCTAGGTTGTTGGTTGCCATGGAGCTGAAACACTTTGGGAATGGCTTTCAAAAGGTCATCTGAGTCTTTCTGGCTTTGCCTGGCCCATAAGTAGACCAGATGGGGCTTGTGAGGTCCTTGATATTGACAGAGCAGGAGCACCATCATCTCAGACAAACACTGCCATTTTAAGTTCCAGCTCCTTTTCCAGCCTCATGCATTTCAAGGAAATCACTTTTCTTCTAACTACAAGCAGCCAGAAAGAGCAGACAGTAAAATACAGATAAGACAGCTCGGGCACAGAGGGAGGTGGGAGGAAAGTCTCTTGGGTAACTGCCAAACTTCACCCTCATACAATGGGCCCCAGTAAAATAGTGGGCCTTAATAAGCACATTCCTTTCCCTTTGGGTACACTAAGATAAGGAAGCTAAAAGCAGACTCAGGGAGGCGGCGGGGGGTATGCCTGCAGCTGCAGAAAGATATATGGGAACAGACACACAATTGTCCCTCCCAGATAAGCACAACAAAGAGACACAGAAGCAGTCCAAGCCTCTGATAAACTTTCCCACCCTGAATCCTTGAAAACTCTTAGTCTGTAAGAGAGTGTGCCTCTGACCTAACTTGGCCAGACACCCTTCTCAGATTTGTTTTCTCTAAAATAAACTTTTTGTGTTTCTTTCCTCTTTCTTTAATTCTTACAGATACCATTCTCAAGAGATTATTCTACCTCTTTTACCTTTTTGGGTCTCCCCAGGTCCCACCAAATGTATTAGGTGGTAGAGGTCAAGTATCATAAGGCATCATAAATTACAATTAAGGGCCGGGCGCGGTGGCTTACACCTGCAATCCTAGCACTTTGGGAGGCCAAGGTGGGTTGATCACTTGAGGTCAGGAGTTGGAGACCAGCCTGCCCAACATGGTGAAACCCCTTCTCTACTAAAAATATAAACATTAGCTGGGTGTGGTGGCACACGCCTATAATCCCAGCTACTCTGGGGGCTGAGGCACGAGAATCCCCTGAACCTGGGAGGCAGAGGCTGCAGTGAGCTGAGATAGTGCCACTACACTCCAGCCTGGGCACAGAGTGAGATTCTGTTTAAGAAAAAAGTTACAATTAAGACTTTGAATTTTGTTTTGTCAGGCACAGTGGCTCATGCCTGTAATCCCAGCAACCTCAGGAGGATTGCTTGAGCCCAAGAGTTTGAGGCTGCAGTGAGCTATGATCAGGCCATTGTACTCCAGCCTGCTGAGTGACTGAGCAAGACTTTGTCTCTAAGACTCTGGCCTGAATTCTTCAGAAAACTTTTGAAGATCTTAGGAATTTTTTTTTTTTTTTTTGAGATGGAGTCTTGCTCTGTCGCCCAGGCTGGAGTGCAGTGGTGTGATCTCGGCTCACTGCAAGCTCCGCCTCCTGGGTTCATGCCATTTTCCTGCCTCAGCCTCCTGAGTAGCTGGGACTACAGGTGCCCACCACCGCGCCCGGCTAATCTTTTGTATTTTTAGTAGGGACGGGGTTTCACGGTGTTAGCCAGGATGGTCTCGATCTCCTGACCTCGTGATCCGTCCACCTCGGCCTCCCAAAGTGCTGGGATTACAGGCTTGAGCCACTGCGGCCGGCTGAGTTTGGAAATTTTTAAACTGTGGTCCTGGCCTCCATTTTTTGTCCAGAAAGTATAATCAAATAGTGGACTATCTCCAGAATTTTGGAGTGTTTCTACCTTATAAGGAAACTGTTTAACTTTCCTTTTTTTTTTTTTTTGAGACAGAGTTTTGTTCTTGTAGCCAAGGCTGGAATGCAATAGCAGGATCTCAGCTTGCTGCAATCTCTGCCTCCCAGGTTCAAGCGATTCTCCTGCCTCAGCCTCCAAAGTAGCTGGGATTACAAGCTTATGACACTATGCACTGCTAATTTTTGTATTTTTAGTAGAGACGGGGTTTCACCATGTTGACCAGGCTAGTCTCGAATTCCTGACCTCAGATGATCCACCCGCCTCAACCTCCCAAGGTGCTGGGGTTACAGGCATGAGGCACTGCGCGCCCAGCCGAACTTTCCTTTTTTTTCAGAAAGGAAATGCAATTCAGACACTGAATTGTTTAGTACACTGGGAATATTCCAGGCAACGTAAATTAAAGGGAAGCACTAAGAGTTAGGTAAGTTTTACGGTCCTTTATATAGGGGATATCTTGCATTTTTAGCTTTTTACTAACTTTTTGCAATTAGTCTTTTAGAAAAGCTATTTTAGAGTCCTGTTGTCTACTCCAACCTTCTACATGCCAATAGGAATTCCATTTTCTCTGCCTTCAAGAGGCTGAGAATTCAAGTACACTTTCTTAGATTGCATTCCACATAATGGCCATCATAATACTAGATTATCGATTATCTTTAGTAAAATTTTGTCACTTTTGTAAAAATTTGTTGCTTCTGGGGCCAGAAATTTTTTATTTATTTTTTTTTATTGATCATTCTTGGGTGTTTCTTGCAGAGGGGGATTTGGCAGGGTCATAGGACAATAGTGGAGGGAAGGTCAGCAGATAAACAAGTGAACAAAGGTCTCTGGTTTTCCTAGGCAGAGGACCCTGTGGCCTTCCGCAGTGTTTGTGTCCCTGGGTACTTGAGATTAGGGAGTGGTGATGACTCTTAACCAGCATGCTGCCTTCAAGCATCTGTTTAACAAAGCACATCTTGCACCGCCCTTAATCCATTTAACCCTGAGTTGACACAGCACATGTTTCAGAGAGCACAGGGTTGGGGGTAAGGTCATAGATCAACAGGATCCCAAGGCAGAAGAATTTTTCTTAGTACAGAACAAAATGAAAAGTCTCCCATGTCTACTTCTTTCTACACAGACACAGCAACCATGCGATTTCTCAATCTTTTCCCCACCTTTCCCCCTTTTCTATTCCACAAAACCGCCATTGTCGTCATGGCCCGTTCTCAATGAGCTGTTGGGTACACCTCCCAGACAGGGTGGTGGCCGGGCAGAGGGGCTCCTCACTTCCCAGTAGGGGTGGCCGGGCAGAGGTGCCCCTCACCTCCCGGATGGGGCGGCTGGCCGGGCGGGGGCTGACCCCCCCACCTCCCTCCCGGACGGGGCGGCTGGCCGGGCAGGGGGCTGACCCCCTACCTCCCTCCCGGATGGGGCGGCTGGCCGGGCGAGGGGCTGACCCCCCACCTCCCTCCTGGACGGGGTGGCTGCCGGGCAGAGACGCTCCTCACTTCCCAGACAGGGTGGCTGCCGGGCGGAGGGTCTCCTCACTTCTCAGACGGGGCAGCTGCCAGGCGGAGGGGCTCCTCACTTCTCAGACGGGGCGGCCGGGCAGAGATGCTCCTCACTTCCTATATGGGATGGCGGGCGGGCAGAGACGCTTCTCACTTTCCAGACTGGGCAGCCAGGCAGAGGGGCTCCTCACATCCCAGAGGATGGGTGGCCAGGCAGAGATGCTCCTCACTTCCCAGACGGGGTGGCGGCCGGGCAGAGGCTGCAATCTCGGCACTTTGGGAGGCCAAGGCAGGCGGCTGGGAGGTGGAGGTTGTAGCGAGCCGAGATCACGCCACTGCACTCCAGCCTGGGCACCATTGAGCACTGAGTGAACGAGACTCCGTCTGCAATCCCGGCACCTCAGGAGGCCGAGGCTGGCGGATCACTCACGGTTAGGAGCTGGAGACCAGCCCGGCCAACACAGCGAAACCCCGTCTCCACCAAAAAAATATGAAAACCAGTTAGGCGTGGCGGCGCACACCTGCAATCGCAGGCACTTGGCAGGCTGAGGCAGGAGAATCAGGCAGGGAGTTTGCAGTGAGCCGAGATGGCAGCAGTACAGGCCAGCTTCGGCTCGGCATCAGAGGGAGACCATGGAAAGGGAGGGAGAGGGAGACCGTGGGGAGAGGGAGAGGGAGAGGGAGAATTTTTTTTTTTTTAATATTGGCTCACTCTGTTGCCTAGACTGAAAGGCAGTGGTGCAATCATAGCTTACTGCAGCCTCGAATTCCTGTGCTCAAGGGATCCTCCAGCCTCAGCCTCCCTAGTAGCTAGGACTACAGGCATGTGCCACCAGGCTCATCTAATTTTTTTATTTTTATTTTTTTGTCTTAGAGACAGCTGGTTTCAAACTCCTGACCCAAAACAATCCTCCCTCCTCAGCCTCACAAAGTGCTGAGATTATAAGTCTGAACCACCAAGCCCTGCCTGGGGCTAGAAACCTTATGCATAACTAAGGCAGGTCTACTGAAATGTGACGTACTCAGATCTTTAGAAATTAGGGATCCCAGCCGGGCGCAGTGGCTCACGCCTGTAATTCCAGCACTTTGGGAGGCCGAGAGGGGCAGATCACGAGGTCAGGAAATCAAGACCATTCTGGCTAACATGGTGAAACTCCGTCTCTACTAAAAATACAAAAAAATTTGCCGAGTGTAGTGGTGGGCGCCTGTAGTCCCAGCTACTTGGGAGGCTGAGGCAGGAGAATGGCATGAACCTGGGAGGCAGAGCTTGCAGTGAGCCAAGATTGCGCTACTGCACTCCAGCCTGGGCAACAGAGTGAGACTCCGTCTCAAAAAAAAAAAAAAAAAAAGAAAGAAAAAAAAGAAAGTAAAAAAAGAAAGAAAGAAATTAGGGTTCCCACTTTCATGTTGGATCTTGGGTTTCCCAGAGCCAAGATGGCTTTGGCTACAAGATCTTCTTGACCAACTTAGCCAATGATTTTACAGTTTCTGTCTGACCCAGTCAGACACCTGAGGCTTCCCTTACCTAAGTGCAGAAGAAAAAACCCACATACCCATGAATTCCAAAAACCGGAGATCACTCCCCTGCATTAATAACCACTCACTGCCACTACTGTCAGTTACCTTAAAACTGCAGCCCTTTATGCTAGTGTGTCCAGAATTGGTGGGTTCTTGGTCTCACTGACTTCAAGAATGAAGCCACGGACCCTCGTGGTGAGTGTTACAGCTCTTAAGGTGGCACGTCTGGAGTTTGTTCCTTCTGATGTTCAGATGTGTTCAGAGTTTCTTCCTTCTGGTGGGTTCGTGGCCTCGCTGGCTCAGGAGTGAAGCTGCAGACCTTCGCGGTGAGTGTTACAGCTCTTAAGGCAGCGTGTCTGGAGTTCTTCCTTCCTCCTGGTGGGCTCGTGGTCTCGCTGGCTTCAGGAGTGAAGGTGCAGACCTTCGCAGTGAGTGTTACAGCTCATAAAAGCAGCATGGACCCAAAGAGTGAGCAGCAGCAAGATTTATTGCAAAGAGCGAAAGAACAAAGCTTCCACAGTGTGGAAGGGGACCTGAGCAGGTTGCCACTGCTGGCTCGGGCAGCCTGCTTTTATTCTCCTATGTGGCCCCACCCACATCCTGCTGATTGGTAGAGCCAAGTGGTCTGTTTTGACAGGGTGCTGATTGGTGCATTTACAATCCCTGAGCTAGACACAAAGGTTCTCCATGTCCCCACTAGATTAGCTAGATACAGAATGTTGACACAAAGGTTCTCCAAGGCCCCACCAGAATAGCTAGATACAGAGTGTCGATTGGTGCATTCAGAAACCCTGAGGTAGACACAGGGTGCTGATTGGTGTATTTACAAACCTTGAGCTAGATACAGAGTGCCGATTGGTGTATTTACAATCCCTGAGCTAGACACAGGGTGCTGATTGGTGTGTTTACAAACCTTGAGCTAGATACAGAGTGCGGATTGGTGTACTTACAAACCCTGAGCTAGACATAAAGGTTCTCCAAGGCCCCACCAGAGTAGCTAGATACAGAGCATCGATTGGTGCATTCAGAAACCCTCAGCTAGATACTGAGTGCTGATTGGTGTATTTACAATCCCTGGGCTAGACATAAAGGTTCCCCACATCCCCACCAGACTCAGGAACCCAGCTGGCTTCACCCAGTGGATCCCACACTGGGGCTGCAGGTGGAGCTGCCTGCTAGTCCCGGTGCCATGCGCCCGCACTCCTCAGCCCTTGGGTGGTTGATGGGACTGGGCACCATGGAGCAGGGGGTGGCGCTCGTCAGGGAGACTCGGGCCGCACAGGAGCCCATGGAGGGGGTGGGAGGCTCAGGCATGGCGGACTGCAGGTCCTGAGCCCTGCCCCACTGGAAGACAGCTAAGGCTTGGTGAGAAATTGAGCGCAGCGCCGGTGGGCTGGCACTGCTGGGCGACCCAGTATACCCTCTGCAGCCACTGGCCTGGGTGCTAAGCCCCTCATTGCCTGGGGCCGGCAAGGCCAGCTGGCTGCTCTGAGTGCGGGGCCTGCCAAGCCCACGCCCACCTGGAACTCCAGCTGGCCCGCAAGCGCCGCGTCCAGCCCCCGTTCCCACTTGCGCCTCTCCCTCCACACCTTCCTGCAAGCTGAGGGAGCCGGCTCTGGCCTTGGCCAGCCCAGAAAGGGGCTCCCACAGTGCAGCGGTGGGCTGAAGGGCTCCTCAAGTGCTGCCAAAGTGGGAGCCCAGGCAGAGGAGGCGCCGAGAGCAAGCGAGGGCTGTGAGGACTGCCAGCACGCTGTCACCTCTCACTAGCTGCAAATGTGGTGAAACCCACATTTCTGTATAGCCATAATCTTAAGAAAACACATGAGACATATCCAAACAGAGCAAAAAAATGCAGCCCTTGCCAGTAACTTGTCAGCTACTGCAAACCCTGCCCTGCCACAGAACAAACTAACCCTTTTTACTCCATAGTCAAATGCTTTCTCATAGCACAAGCCAACCTTGGTACACACAAAGCCAAAAATACCAGGGAACTCAAATGCCAAAGAGAGCTGAGCTCAGACCTGAAAGGGACTTACTCAAGACTTTCAGGGCTTCATGGGGAAGACTGTTCACTTCATGGTTGCCAGATATGTCAAAAGATAAAACTACAACAAATTTATTTTAAAGACCTCAATTGGCTTTATTTGTAATTCTAGAATCTGGTCACACATCACACCAGAAAATACAGTAAGTGCTCCAATGGGCTGAACAGAAGAGGTTAACTTTATAGACAGAGACAGGCTGAAGAATGCAGAAAGAAAGAACGAAGATCATGTTAGTGATTTTGAAGATACTTTTCTTATAAGAAAGGGACAGAGAGGCAGAACAGTAGAAAAACAACTGATTAGTTAACCTCAGGTAACTTCAGGGTACATTTTTTGTGTGAGAATTAAAGCAGAAGGAACTTCTTTATCATGCCAATTGAAGATTTTAAATGGGCTAGTGTGTAGTAAAATAGACTGTTATCTCTTTCGCTGGAAGGTCATACAGCAACTTAGTTTGGGTTTGGTTACTTAGAACTTTAGCATGAGTGGGCCGGGCACAGTGGCTCACGCCTGTAATCCCAGCACTTTGGGAGGCTGAGGCGGGTGGATCACCTGATGTCAGGAGTTTGAGATCAGCCTGGCTAAATGGCGAAAACTGTCTCTACTAAAAATACAAAAATTAGCTGGGTGTGGTGGTGGGCCCCTGTAATCCCAGCTACTTGGGAGGCTGAGGCAGGATAATCACTTGAACCTGGGAGGCAGGGGTTGTAGTGACCTGAGATTGTGCCATTGCACTCCAGCCTGGGTGGCAGAGCGAGACTCTGTCTCAAAAAAAAAAGGAACTTTAGCATGGGTGACTCCATTTTGATTTTTAGTCTATGCTGTTGAGGCCTAGTGCAAAAGGTTAGTCCGAAACAATGGCCTCCTATAATTTTTATTTGGCATTCCTTAGCCTCAGGTCTTTGTTTAAACATTACTTCCTGTGAGAAGTCTTCTCAAATATACTCTAATGCTTTAATTATCATTAGCCACCTAACTCCACTATCGGGGGAACCAGCCCCCAATATTTCAATGTAGGTTCTTTCTATTTTCCCTAAGTGTTGGCCGGTCTGAGAAATAAAGAGAAAGAGTACCAAGAGAGGACTTTTACAGCTGGGCCTCCAGGGGTGACATCACATATCAGTAGGTCCATGATGTCCGCCTGAGCCGCAAAACCAGCAGGTTTTTATTAAGGACTTTAAAAGGGGAGGGGGTGTACAAACAGGCAGTAGGTGACAAAGATCACATGCTTTAAAGGGCAATAAAGATCACAAGGCAAAGGGCAAAGCAAAGATCACAAGGCAAAGGGCAAAGCAAAGATCATAAGGCAAAGGGCAAAATTAGAATTACTGATGAGGGTCTATGTTCAGCTGTGCACAAATTTTCTTGATAAACATCTTAAACAACAGAAAACAGGGTTTGAGAGCAGAGAACCAGTCTGACCTCAAAATTACCAGGGCGGGATCTTTTCCCCACCCTAATAAGCCTCAGGGTACTGCAGGAGACCAGGGCATATTTCAGTCCTCATCTCAACCGCATAAGACAGACAATCCCAGAGCGGCCGTTTATAGACCTCCCCCCAGGAATGCATTCCTTCCCCAGGGTATTAATTATTAATATTCCTTGCTGGGAAAATAATTCAGTGATATCTCTCCTACTTGCACATCCATTTATAGGCTGTCTGCAAGAAGAAAAATATGGCTCTATTCTGCCCGACCCCGCAGGAAGTCAGACCTTTGGTTGTCTTCCCTTGTTCCCTAAAATCGCTGTTATTCTGTTCATTTTCAAGGTGCACTTATTTCATATTATTCAAACACCCATGTTTTACAATCAGATTTCATATTGTTCAAACACACATGTTCTACAATGAATTTGTACAATAGTGGTCCTGAAGTGACATACATTCTCAGCTTATGAAGATAATAGGATTAAGAGATTAAAGACAGGCATAAGAAATTATAAAAGTATTATTTGGGAACTGATAAATGTCCATGAAATCTTCACAATTTATGTTCAGAGACTGCGGTAAAGACAGGCATAAGAAATTATAAAAGTATTAATTTTGGGAACTGATAAATGTCCATATTAAAATGAAATCTTCACAATTTATGTTCCTCTGCCATGGCTCCAGCCAGTCCCTCCGTTTGGGGTCCCTGACTTCCCACAACATTCCACCAGCTTCACCATTTCCAAATGTTACAGGTAGTTAGATAGGCATGAGCAGGGCAGGAGAGGACTCTCCCCCCACCCACTAGGAATGTCAGGTGATGGTTTGACAATTATCACACTGCCTCTCTAAAAATGATAATTCAGCAGCCTGTGCCAGGGTACCAGGGAGGGACAATCTCTTTTTTTTTTTTTTTGAGACAGAGTCTCTCTCTGTCGCCCAGGCTGGAGTGCAGTGGTGCAATCTCGGCTCACTGCAAGCTCCGCCTCCTGGGTTCATGCCATTCTCCTGCCTTGGCCTCCCAAGTAGCTGGGACTACAGGCGCCCACCACCATGCCCGGGTAATTTTTTGTATTTTTAGTAGAGACGGGGTTTCACCATGTTAGCCAAGATGGTCTCAATCTCCTGACCTCGTGATCCACCCGCCTCGGCCTCTCAAAGTGCTGAGATTACAGGCATGAGCCACCATGCCTGGCCTGGAGGGACAATCTCTTGATGATACACAGCTATTAACATTAAAGTATTCATTGAAACCAGATTCCAGGGAGAGGAAGATTCCTGGGTATGTGCACTAAGAAACAAAATGGTGATTCATGACCTCTCAGGGACCTTCCATCAGAAAAGGGAAAAAGGCCTCAAATGGGCTTGCGTACAGCTTCCTAAGCACACTGAGCGTGCTCAATTCCCAAGGATTAGAAAGGCACTGCACATGCTTCCCTTAGGGAAGCCCACCCTAAGGGAAGAATCATAGGAAAGAGGAGCACCTGTAAAGTCCTAGGATCATGGTTAAATGCTGTTTTTGTCCTTTAACACCCTCTTTGATCTCTTCCAAATGAACTTTCCTTTCTTTCTTGTTCTAAAGCCTTTTTAAATAAACTTCTCACTCCTGTTCTGAAACTTCCCTTAGTCTCTTTTCCTGCCTTATGCCCCTCAGTTGAATTCTTTTTCTGAGGAGGCAAGAATTGAAGTTGCTGTAGACCCATACGGATATGCCACTGGTGGTAATTCAGGGTAACTCGGATCTCTGTGACCGGTAACACAGATACAATTTTTCATTTGAAAGGGGTCCAATGAGTGTGAGTTCATAATTTCTCATGGTTGTGACTTTACACAATGGACTGAAGGCTCTACAGCTTTCAAATGTCTTATCTAAAGATTGGCCCTAGGATTTGCCTCTTCCACTCTTGAGGGGGATGCCTGGGACATAAGTCAGATGAGCAATGGAAACACAGAGTTGTTCCATAGAGGACAAGTGAGCATGTATTTCTGAGAAGCTGTTGAAACTGAAATTCAAGAAGACCATGGATCAACATTTCCTTCTCTAAAAGATCTCATGAGAGGAATAAAATGACAATATCTTCTTTTTAGCAGACATGGTTTTGCATGATAAAGTCCATATGAATCTTCTAGAGGTAGAATTGCAGGTTTGAAGGTTTGAAACAATTTACTTTGTGAAATATTCTTTTAAATATATTTCTAAAATATGTAAATATATTCGAAAAAGAGGACAAACTGAAGAAGCAAGTAAAAATACTATTAACCATTGGTTAGATATCATCATGGTTTATATTCTCATTAAGCAAATGCTTCTGGGGATAAAAATCACTATTGTAAAACCTAAGACCAGTGCTTGAGATATTTTGCAGACCCTGCACTTGATGGATCAACTGGCACTACCCAGATGGATAAACTGGTTCATCTGATCTTGTGGCCCCCATCCAGGAACTGACTCAGTGCAAGAAGACAGCTTTGACTCCCTATGATTTCATCTCTGACATGACCAATCAGCAAATCCCGGCTCACCAGTTTCCCCTGACCCACCAAGTTCTCCTTAAAAACTCTGATCCCCAAGTTGTTCCTGGAGATAAAATAACTATTGTAAAACCTAAGATCATTGCTTGAGATATTTTGCAGACCCTGCACTGAATGGATCAGCTGGCACCATGCAGATCGAGAAAACTGGCTTGTCTGGTCTTGTGGCCCCCACCCAGGAGTTCCTGACTTAGTGAAACAGAACAGCTTTGATCCCCTATGATTTCATCTCCCATCCAACCAATCAGCACTCCTGACTCACTGCCCTTCCTCCCCCGAGTCAAATTATCCTTAAAAACTCTGATCCCCAAATGCTCAGGGAGACTGTTTTGAGTAATAATAAAACTCTGGTCTCCCACACAGCCAGATCTGCCTAAATTTCTCTTTCTCTATTGCAATTTTCCTGTCTTGTTACTTGGCTCTGTCTGGGCAGTGGGCAAGGTGAATCCATTGGGCTGTTACAAAACCGACATGAGAGATAGTAGGACCTGAAAGAAACCAAAGTATTTTACTCCAGACATATTCCTTTAACATATGGCCATTTTGAAATGGCCCTGCACAGCTGTCTCTTGGGAAAATCTACATTTTGTAGAGAATCTCCTTCTCTTTCCAGATCTTTTTCCTGATCCAGGAGAGAATTAACTAAGAGTCTGGCACTTTTTTTTTTTTTTTTTTTGAGACAGAGTCTCGCTCTGTCGCCCAGGCTGGAGTGCAGTGGCATGATCTCAGCTCACTGCAACCTCCACGTCCTGGGTTCAAGCAATTATCCTGCCTCAGCCTCCTGAGTAGCTGGGGCTACAGGCGTGCACTACCATGCCCAGCTAATTTTTGTATTTTTAGTAGAGAAGGGGTTTCACCATGTTGGCCAGGATGGTCTCGATCTCTTGACCTTGTGATCTGCCCACCTTGGCCTCCCAAAGTGCCCCTTTTTAAGACTGATAGGAAACATTTACAATCTATTCTCTCTGAAGCCTGCTACCTGGAGGCTTCATCTGCATAATAAGAACCTTGCTGTCCACAACCCCTAATCTAACCTAGACACTTCCTTCTATTGATCCCAAGTCTTCAGATAAACTCTTAACCAATTGCCAATCAGAAAATCTTTGAATCCACCAATAACCTGGAAGCCCCACCCCCCGGACACACACCCCCATCACCCTCCCCGTGCCCTCGACTGCCGGTTATTCTACCTTTCTGGACTGAACCAATGGACATCTTACATGTATTGATTGGTGTTTTATGTCTCCCTAAAATATATAAAACCAAGCAGTAGCCTGACCACCTTGGGCATATGTTCTTAGGACCTCCTGAGATTGTGTCACAGGCATGTCCCTAACCTTGGCAAAATACACTTCTAAATTTATTGAGGCCTATCTCAGATCCTTTTTGTTTACAAGTAAAAAGCCCAAGTTTGTTTGGCTCCAAGTATGCTCCTGGTGATCTTTCAGCTAGAGAACACTGACAGTGGCAAGGTTCTAAGTTGGCTGGCCACCTTAAGATGGTAATGCAAGGTTCCATAAGCCTTGTCATTCCTTGTTTCCATAGTATCTGGGCTCCACATTGGTTAAAAATCTGTGAGGGACAGCATCCACCGTAGATGCCTATACCAAAGTGCAGATAGATTACCTGTGGTATGGTGAGGAGTGTGGAATGGGAGGGCTGATTGGGACAGAAGACAGCAAATAGCAGCCACAGCCAGAGGGTCCAGTTACAGCTGCTCTGTTCATTTCCCTGGCCCTGGCACGCTCTGCTTAGGGATACAGTGGCAGGGAGGCTGGGGCTGTGGAATTCACGAGGGCTTAGCTCCGAGAAGAGGCATTATTTCCTGTATGTGGCTTTCCTTCTTTCCCATCATGTACGAGGGCATCGAGTACGAGGGCATTGAGTTCATAAACACCTCCAACAAGGAGTGCTTCTCACAAGGAGCCTCTGTGGAGGATAAGCCCAGAAGCAACCGTAGGAACTCGTGAGGAGAGTAGCCTTCAGGCCCTTTTCCAACCCTCATCTCCAACTAACTTGTGTGCCTTCCCTCAGAATACCTCTGGCTCCTGTCATTACTCTGCACTCCTAACAGTTTGTCCCAGAACAGTCTGTCCTCTGAACTGATGCCCTTACCCTGGGGTCCCTGCCTATAACTCCTGCCCTCAGCCCTAGTACATAACTGCTTCTGATCTTTGCAAATATGGATTCCTTTCATCCTAGCTGTCTGCTCATGAGGCTTTAATGGCATCACTCCCTTAATGATCTCAGAATTCCCCTCCACGCAGCACTCCTTATGATCCTGCCCTCCTGTAACCTCCATGCTAAAGAAAGCCAGTGGTTGGATGTAAACCCTTCACCCCTTCAAAGGCCATATCCAAGGGCAGGAACCTCAAACCTAGATCATGTAAGGTTAGACACTGTTCCTCATCTCCACCAAAATAAAATAAAGCGAGGAGAAGTGGTATCTGAGTGTTCTCAGCACCCTAACCCACAACAAAGAATGGTGGTGATGTAATGGTGGGAGGCCACACTTCTGAGCAAGTATCTCCTAGGGTCAGGCAAGGCCTTGATCCCTCCCAGACTTCCTGGAAATGCTCAAAATATCACAAATAAGCAAGTAAACGATAATCTTACATTCAATCCCAGATCTGGATGGCTTCAGACCTAGAGTATCCTGTCAGTTATCTCAGAGCCCTGACTGTTCCCATGGGAGGCCCCCACTCTTCACTTCAGTCATAGTGGACTCCCTGTCTCCTCCTTCCCATCCAGCACCCACAAGTCCTGCCCATTGTACCAGGCCCAGCTTCTCTTTAAGGACTCTCTGGCGGCTCCAAGGAGGTCCTCCTCCTCTTATATAGCAAGGTGGTTCTACAGAGGTCACCATAACTTCCACAAGGACCTGGACCTTGTGCAATGGTTACCAAAACCTCTGCATCCTCTGGGCTACTGGAGGTGTGAAGATGTTACCAGGGGTCCTTGTTCTTAGAGCTCCCAAGATGGCGGTGGGCCGCTTCCAAGATGGTGGCAAGCCTCTTGTTCTCTGACCTAGGGTTCTTGGCCTCATGGATTCCAAGGAATGGAAACTTGGGCCATGCAGTGAGTATTATAGCTCTATTCACCTCGATTAGGCACTTAGCCCACATAAGAACAATGGCGAGCCTCTAGCCGGATTGGGAGTGGCAATGGGCGCCGCCTCGCTGGATCAGGAGTGCAGCGGACACCCTGCTGGATCTGGAGGGGTAGAAGTCAGCAGCGGGTCTGCGATGGCGGCAAACAGCAGTGGTGGATGGCAAGTGAAAGCTCAGCTCCAGCAGTAACAAACACAGACCAGAAGAATGTGCAGTTGCAAGATTTAATAGAGTGAAAACAGAGGTCCAAAACAAAGAGAGGGGACCCAAAGGGGGGTGCCACTCCCTGCTCGAATGCCTGGGTGCATATCCTGATCATTGTCCCTCCCCCTGTCTTCTCAGGCGATAGATGATTGGCTATTTCTTTACCTCCTGTTTTAGCCTAATTAGCATTTTAGTGAGCTCTCTTTACTACCTGATTGGTTGGGTATGAGCTAAGTTGCAAGCCCCATGTTTAAAGGTGGATGTGGTCACCTTCCCAGCTAGGCTTAGAAATTCTTAGTCAGCCTAGGAAATCCAGCTACTCCTGTCTCTCAAAGAGGGATGGATGATTAGTGAACACCAGTGAGATGGTGCAGGTCAAGGTAGGAGAAGGAACTCCACCTGGA
Source organism: Homo sapiens (assembly GCF_000001405.40). NCBI lineage: Eukaryota > Metazoa > Chordata > Mammalia > Primates > Hominidae > Homo > Homo sapiens. The sequence continues at coordinate 103,115,873 of NC_000023.11, forward strand.
TGGTTCAGGCACTGGGGTCTAGGAAGAGCTCCTGACTCTCCTTCCAATGTTCTTCCCTGCAGACTCACAGTCACCTCTTTCTGGAGCTCCAAAAAGTTCCAGAACCCCATATCATGGCACACCTGATGAGGGCCCCATCAAACAGGAAAAGCACAACTATTCAATGGAACGGGATGCTTATTTTTCCTACCCCAACTCCATAACACTGCACAACAGAAATGGTACTGAATTTTCTACACAATATAGATGAATGTGTGTGGTTCCCTTCTTCTTACAATCCTAAATACTCACTAAAATGTAATGATGTTGTGTCCGGAATTGGTGGGTTCTTGGTCTCACTGACTTCAAGAATGAAGCCGTGGACCCTTGCAGTAAGTGTTACAGTTCTTAAAGGCGGCGTGTCCAGAGTTTGTTCCTTCTGATGTTCGGAGGTGTTCGGAGTTTCTTCCTTCTGGTGGGTTCGTGGTCTCGCAGGCTTTAGGAGTGAAGCTGCAGACCTTCGCGGTGAGTGTTACAGCTCATAAAGGCAGTGTGGACCCAAAGAGTGAGCAGCAGCAAGATTTATTGCAAAGAGCGAAAGAACAAAGCTTCCACAGTGTGGAAGGGGACCTGAGTGGGTTGCCACTGCTGGCTCGGGCAGCCTGCTTTTGTTCTCTTATCTGGCCTCACCCACATCCTGCTGATTGAACCCTTTTACAGAGCGCCCAGTGGTCTGTTTTGACAGGGTGCTGATTGGTGCATTTACAATCCCTGAGCTAGACACAAAGGTTCTCCACATCCCCACTAGATTAGCTAGATACAGAGTGTAGACACAAAGGTTCTCCAAGTCCCCACCAGAGTAGCTAGATACAGAGTGTTGACTGGTGCATTCACAAACCCTGAGCTAGACACAGGGTGCTGATTGGTGTGTTTACAAACCTGGAGCTAGATACAGAGTGCAGATTGATGTGTTTACAATCCCTTAGCTAGACATAAAGGTTCTCCAAGTCCCCACCAGAATAGCTAGATACAGAGTGTCAATTGGTGCATTCACAAACCCTGAACTAGACATAGGGTGCTGATTGGTGTGTTTACAAATCTTGAGCTAGATACAGAGTGCCGACTGGTGTATTTACAATCCCTAGACATAAAGGTTCTCCAAGTCCCCAGCAGACTCAGGAGCCCAGCTGGCTTCACCCAGTGGATCCCGCACAGGGCCACAGGTGGAGCTGCCTGCCAGTCCCACGCCATGCGCCTGCACTCCTCAGCCCTTGGGTGGTCGATGGGACTGGGCACCGTGGAGCAGAGGGCCGCGCTTGTCGGGCAGGCTTGGGCAGCACAGGAGCCCACGGAGGTGGGGGTGAGGCTCAGGCATGGCGGGCTGCAGGTCCAGAGCCCTGCCCCATGGGAAGGCAGCTAAGGCCCCCTGAGAAATTGAGCACAGCAGCTGCTGGCCCAGGTGCTAAGCCCCTCACTGTCTGGGGCCAGCCGGCTGCTCCGAGTGTGGGGCCCACCGAGCCCACGCCCACCCAGAACTCCAGCCGGCCCGCAAGCACTGCGCGCAGCTCCGGTTCCCACTCGCGCCTCTCCCTCCACACCTCCCTGCAAGCTGAGGGAGCCAGCTCCGGGGCCTCGGCCAGCCCAGGAAGGGGCTCCCACAATGCAGCGGTGGGCCGAAGGGCTCCTCAAGTGCCTCCAAAGTGGGAGCCTAGGCAGAGGAGGTGCCGAGAGTGAGTGAGGGCTGTGAGGGCTGCCAGCATGCTGTCACCTCTCAATGTCATTGAGGTTAAGAAAAAACATCTCTCTGTTAAAGACCAGAGCAGTTAGCCAAGCATGGTGGTGTGCACCTGTAGTCCCAGCTGCTTGGGAAGCTGAGGCAGGAGGATCACTTGAGTGAGGACTTCAATGTCAGCCTGGGCAATGTAGCTAAACTCTGTCTTAAAAAAAAAAGAAAGAAAGAAAGATTAGAGCACTTGGGATGGCCAGGAAGCAAACACTGGTGTTATGGATGATGTGACAAATACCATGTTGGGATCTTTACAATGGTTTCTATTTGAACTCCTCAGAAGCAGGTAAAAATTATTGCTTTGACATAGTATCTGTGTGTGTGTTTGTGTGTTATTGTGTGTGTATGTGTTTCTATGGCTGAAAAACAACAATGTTGTATGCATCTTTGTTTTTAGGGCTCAAACTATTTCACCCCATATACACACTCACAGGTGCAACTTTCTCTCCATCTCAGACAGGGCCTGGGCTTCCTTTCCTGGGACTTAAAAATGCCAAAAGTGGCCGGGTGCGGTGGCTGTCGCATGTAATCCCAGCACTTTGGGAGGCCAAGGCGGGTGGATCACAAGGTCAGGAAATCGAGACCATCCCGGCTAACAAGGTGAAACCCTGTCTCTACTAAAGATACAAAAAATTAGCCTGGCATGGTGGCAGGCGCCTGTAGTCCCAGCCACTCGGGAGGCTGAGGCAGGAGAATGGTGTGAATCCGGGAGGCAGAGCTTGCAGTGAGCCGAGATCGCGCCACTGCACTCCATCCTGGGCGACGGAACGACACTCCATCTCAAAACAACAACAACAAAAAAGCCAAAAAGTGATGGATACAGAGGAATTGCTGACAATGTGTGGAAAATTCCAGAAGGCCATGGCTGATGCCATCCAGCCTGGGTCCCTTTCTCCCTCCTATCACTTTTGGCAATTCCTCGTCTGAGGTTTCTAAAGCTGTAATTCTGGATGCGATGAGCAAAGAGGCATCAGTCTCCATTTCACTTTTGGTTTTTCTTTCCTAAAAGTTAAAGCCCCTAATTTTTCTTTTTGTTTTTGTTCTTTATTAATTTTTATTTCAATAGCTTTTGGGGTACAAGTATTTTTTTTGTTACATGACTGAATTAAATAGTGAATTCTGAGATTTTCGTGCCCCTGTCACCCAAGTAGTGTACATGGTACCTAATATATGGCTTTGTATCCCTAGCCCCTTCCCACTCTCCCCCTTCTGCGTCCCCAAAGTCCACTATATCACTCAGCCTGCCTTTATGTCCTCATAGCTTAGCTCCCACTTATAAGTGAGAACATATGATGTTTGATTTTCCATTCCTGAGTTATGTCACTTAGAATAATGGTCTCCAGTTCCATCCAAGTTGCTGCAAAAGACATTATTTCATTCTTTTTATGGCTGAGTAGTATTACATGGTGTATATATACTACATTTTATTTCTCCACTCATTAATTGATGGGCACTTAGGTTGGTTCCACATCTTTGCAATTGTGAATGGTGCTGCTATAAACATATGTATGTAATGACTTTTTTATATAATGACTTATTTTCCTTTGAGTAGGTACCCAGTAGCAGGATTGCTGGATCCAAAGGTAGATTTACTTTTTGCTCTTTAAGGAATCTCCATACTGTTTTCCACAGAGGCTGTATTAATTTGCATTCCCACCAGCAGCATATAAGCGTTCCCTTTGCCACACATCGATGCCAACATCTATTGTTTTTTGACTTTTTAATTATGGCCATTCTTGTAGGAGTAAGGTGGTATCGCTGTGGTTTTCATTTGCATTTCCCTGATAATTAGTGATGTTGAGAATTTTTTCATATGTTTATTAGCCATTTGTATATCTTCTTTTGAGAAATGTCTACTCATGTCATTTGCCCACTTTTTGATGGGATTCTTTGTTTTTATTTTTTTTATCCCTGAGTTGTTTGAATTCCTTGTAGATTTTGTATATTAGTCCTTTGTTAGATGCATAGTTCACAAATATTGTATCCCTTTCTGTGAATTGTCTGTTTACTCTGCTGATTGTTTCTTTTGTTGTGCAGAAGTGTTGGGGTGATCAGACCCAACACCAGGTCATGGGGGCGATGAACTCCTGCAGAGTCAAAAGAGTGAGAAAAAGACAGTTTGAGAGAGAAAGTGGGACTAGGAGGCCATTGCAAGTGTGGAGGCTGTGAAGGCCCTGAGCTCTGAGAACCCACGCTGTTTATTGGTGCTCAAACAAACGAACAGGTGATGAGGATGTGGGGGTTGAAAGGAAACAGTGTATCAAGTGAATGAGAAACCTATGGCGGTTTGAGATAATGGGAGTGCTAGAAGCAAGGAGCGAGCAAGTCTAGCAGACATGCAAGCCCTGCCTCAGCTTGTCTCCCAACACTCAGCTTTTCTCCCAACACAGATTTTTGGTTTAATTAGGTTCCATTTATTTATTTTTGGTTTTGTTGTATTTGCTTCTGGAGTCTTAGTCATAGATTCTTTGCCTAGGCCGATGTCTATAATAGAGTTTTTCCAATGTTGTCTTCTAGAATTTTTATAGTTTCAGGTCTTATATTTTAGTCTTTGATCCATCCTGAGTTGATTTTTCTACAAGGTGAGAGATAGAGATCTAGTTTCATTCTTCTACATGCGGCTTGCCAGTTTTTCCAGCACCATTTATTAAATAGGTTGTCCATTCTTCAATTTATGTTTTTAAAAAATTTCTCCTATTGCACACCATTTAAGTAGAACAATTTATGCTTTTGTATGCTTTTTGAAGATCAGTTGGCTGTAAGTATTCAGCTTTATTTCTGGGTTCTCTATTCTGTTCCATTGGCCTTTGTGCCTACTTTTATACCAGTACCATACTGTTTTGGTAACTATAGCCTTGTAGCATACTTTGAAGTCTAATAATGTGATGCCTCCAGATTTATTCTTTTTGCCTAGGATTGCTTTAAAGCCCCTAATTATCGAAATCACAAAACATGTTATTCTTCAGAGTAATTTATGAAACATTTTGGAGAGTCTTTTGCCAGTTGTGTTTGGAAAATTCCTATGTATATTAAAAGACTAAACATAAATTTCATTTTATGTTAACTCCATATATTTTGTTCGTTAATCCATCTCCTTTGCTTGCTCTGTCCCTCACCAGTGTTGACTGACATGTCTACACTGTAGAGATGGCCCCTCCCAGAGAGTAGGCCGTTCCAGACCCTAGGACCTTACTCCTGTACAGACTTCCCAGACCTTCTCCCACCCCTCTTTGTCGTCCCCTCTCCAGGACTCAACGCAGCTGTCCAGATCAGTATCCCTGAATCATGCGCTGAGCTCAGAGGAGCCTATTGCATAGCAACAGAGCCTCAGAGCCAAATATAGCCCTTGAAAGAAAGAATGGTTCCAGATAACGTTGGTGCTATTAGGAAAGTGGATAAAGATAATCATGCCTTCAAAACATCCTCAAAAGCAGCCCACCTTCTCTCCCTGCCAAGGACACCTCCTTCCCCATGGACCCAGCCTACATTTCTAGCCCTGTGTGCCAAGCACTCTGTGCTCTGAGCAAACTGCACCATTGGCTGATCCCTCCATTTTCCAATCACCCCTGAGTCTCATTAACATGAATGGGATTATATTTGCACTTGGCTTATTTTCTGCACACACAAGATGGCAGTTTACCTTCAGGACCACTCTTTAAGGGAGTGGTGTCTATCCTCTTTTTTGAGATGAGGAAACTCTGTCTTCAAGATGGCAAGAAACAAGTCTGCTTTTCCTTCGAAAAGGCAGCTTGCAGTAATTCATGAGGAGAGTGCAGAGTTGGGAATCAGCAGGCCTATGTTCTAGCTCCAGCTCATGAAAGCATGTAAAAGTGCTCTAACATCTCAGGCCAGCATCTCACTTAGCCACAGTTGATGGTCCAGGTCCTCATATGCCACTGTATGGTTCCTGCTTTAAGAGGCACCTGCTGCCCACCTAGCTGTCTCTCCTGCCTCCTCGCAGCCAGAGGAGGCTGTTCTGTTTCCCATCAGTGGGGTCTTGAAAGTTGCTGTGACTACCTGTGTCCTCCAAAGGATTCAATCCTCTCCCACAACTCCCATTCTCATGTCACCACCTGGCCTTCTGAGAACAACACTAATGCTGTCCTTACTCACAGTGTCAGAAACCAGTTTCCAAGGCACACAAACAGGGTCATAGCCTGACAGGAAATTCAGATGCCTCTGAGGAGGAGAAATGTAAGATTATTATTAGACGTCACATGTGGCTGGGCGTGGTGGCTTATGCCTGTAATCCCAACACTTTGGGAGGCAGAGACAAGATGATCGGTTCAGCCCAGGAATTCGAGACCAGCCTGGGCAACATAGTGAGACCTCATTTCTTTTTTGAAAAAATAATTTCTCTAAAAAGAATTTAAGGTTGGGCACCAGTGGCTCATACCTGTAATCCCAACACTTTGGGAGGCCGAGGTGGGTGGATCACGAGGTCAGGAGATTGAGACCATCCTGGCTAACACGGTGAAACCCTGTCTCTACTGAAAATACAAAAAATTAACCAGGCATGGTGGCGGGCGCCTGTAGTCCCAGCTACTCAGGAGGCTGAGGCAGCAGAATGGCGTGAACCTGGGAGGCAGAGCTTGCAGTGAACCGAGATCGCACCACTGCACTCCAGCCTGGGCGACAGAGCGAGACTCTGTCTCAAAAAAAACAAAAGAAAGAATTTAAAAAGACTAAACCTGACTTAGGGCCATGGTTTTCACTCCTTTCTTACTTCAGGATCCCTTCCTCTCAGGGCTTCCCTAACAGCTGACACCTCCCTAGCATTCCTCCCCATTCCTGCTTCCCAGAAATCACACATCAACACCATCAGAGCCAGAAACAGAGCACAAATCTTAGTCCACAGAAAATAATTCAGGGAGTGAGGGAAGTAGAGGCACCCCCAGGAGCCTGCACTGGGGCTCCATCTCCAGCTGATGGCATCTTGTGAAGAATAGAGCATCATCAGTCACTTGCCATCTCATCACCTCATTCATGGCGTTTGGGGTCAGGGATAAAAATCAACATCTGGCTGGGCGCAGTGGCTCACGCCTGTAAACCCAGCACTTTGGGAGGCTGAGGCAGGTGGATCACCTGAGTTCAGGAGTTCAAGACCAGCCTGGCCAACATGGTGAAACCCCATCTCCACTAAAAATAAAAAAATTAGCTGGGTGTGGTGACGGGTGCCTGTAATCCCTGCTACTTGGGAGGCTAAGGCAGGAGAATCGCTTGAACCCAAGAGGTGGAGGTTGCAGTGAGCCAAGATCGCACCACTGCACTCCAGCCTGGGTGACAAAGCGAGACTCCATCTCAAAAAATAAATAAATAAATAAACATCCTATTTCCAGATAATAAGCTATTTTGTGTCCTCTCATTTTACCTTCAGGCTTAACATCATAGAAGCATGCCATGTTTTCACATTGAGCTCTTGTAACAGGAGACACCACAGAGGAACAAGAGCTGTGAATCTCTAAGTTAATGATCATCTGAGAGAACTCTTCCAATGGGCAGGTGTAAGGAAATGAGTGATCAAAGTGTCAGTAAAGGCAAAAGCTGGTCATACCTGGCACTGGTGGAATGAAGGGGAAATGAGCTTTCACATAACACTTCAGGTGTCAAATGGAACATCTACTTTCTGAGGCCCATATTACTGTGGCTTAATCAATTGAATGGACTTTGATATATAAGTCCTATTTCCAACAACAAGAGAGTTTCTGCTAAAAGTTTTTAAAAGGCTCTCCAAGCTAATTTTGATGTGCATGCAAGTGAAGGGGTCCTACCTGAGGGGTCTGGTTAGAAGCCACATTAGTTCCCTGATCCAGAGAGGAAAGGCAACTAATAATATTGATGGAGCACATTGTTTAGAAGGTCCAACTCCACGTTCTTCACTTTAGTGGTTGAATTTAATCCTCATGACAACCCTACTAGTGAGGTATGATTATGCTCTTTTCATGGAAGTATATGACTACAACACACTTGCTGCTAAGCACAGAGCTGGGTGGCAAAGAGTTTGCTCACCACACAAACTGATGGAGCCCGGGATAGAATCAAGCAGTTTGGGCAATGGTACAAATAATGATCAGGGTTCATAATATCTAAATATCTCCGAAGTCACCTTATTAGATAAATCTCAGAAACACTATTTTCAGGGGGAAAAGGGTGCAAAGGGGCACTTACTCTAAGATAGCACAAATATTTACAGCCAAAAATGTGCAATTACATATTTTGCATCATTCTCTCACAAGAAGTCTGTGAGGAAGGCATCTTTATTTCCAGTTTACAGATGACCAATTCAGACTCACTGATGGAAAATCAACTTTGCCGAGGCCTCTAGTAATGATGAGGACTGGGGATGTAACTCTTACTCTCCTCAAAGGACAAAACATGGTCTCCTTTTATAGAGGATGACCTTCTAGGACTTAAACACCTGTAGTTTTTTATGTTGCTAGGATTGTGCCCTTATGTGTACTCACTCAACAACCTGTTTCTCTTTGAAGAAGCTGATGGTGCAGATGAAATCCCAGCACAAGGTCCTGTAAGCAGTAATGTGTCTGGTATGAGGGTCAAGGGTTTGTGACTCCTGCCTTTTCTTAATCTGCACTCTCTCTTCATTTGAGACTCAATGGGAAACTGCTTTTCCAATATCAATCTAGAAGATCAAAGAAGGGGGCAGAAAATGACAAATCTTCTCACCTCACCCCAATACCTCAACAAACCATCCTGCAACACAGAAATGGCCCCAAAGCTTCATGTATAATGTAAGTGTGAGCACATGCTCCATCTTCCTACTCCACTTCCAGATGGTTTCTGTGATAGTTATGCTGCTTGGTTTAGATAACAGTCATCACTTCTCTGGGAGGGAGAAGAAAGGTGGGCCTGGATGACCATTTGTTGAAATCCTACTAGGTGCCATATACTCTGTGTGGGATTTCTCATTTATCACCACAGAACAGTTTTCTAAGAAAGGCATCATGAGTTCCCTTTTACAGATAAGCAAGGGCAGGCTGACAGAGGCTGAAAAAGGATTCCAGTGTCACACATCAAATAAGGGACAGTAATGGGGTTCCAGCTTGTACTTTCATAACATTATTTTATGCATTCCCAAGAGGGGTGATATTACCAGTAAGGGGCTGAAAATAGATTTTTGAGGATAGAGGGATGATAGACTTTGGAATGATTTTTGGTACTACAAAGGTCCATATTACATAACAAGTTAACATTTCATCTGTGGTATTAAAATTTCATTATCTGGGCAGAAGGTAGTTGATAAGGAAAATATGTCTAAAAATCCTCCTAAGGGAGGTGGTATTGAGAGAAGATTGAGAAATGTTTTATATACCCAGTGACCTCTCCTACAGATGATTAACCACCAAGACTTAGGGACTAGGCATTTTATACTCCCGCATAGATGCTCACCAAATAATCCTGTTGTTGATGACGATAATAGCGGGGGAAGTGAAATCATCCCCCTAGGACCAGGAGACCTTGGTTTGAGGACTATGTGAATTGACTGTTTTGTTGTTGTTGTTGTTGTTTTCAGACGGAGTCTCACTCTGTCGCCTAGCCTGGAATTCAGTGGTATGATCTCGGCTCACTGCAACCTCTGCCTTCCAAGTTCAAGAGATCCTCCTGCCTCAGCCTCCCAAGTAGCTGGGATTACAGGCGCCCACCACCACACCCAGCTAATTTTTTTATTTTTAGTAGAGACAGGGTTTCACTATGTTGGCTAGGCTGGTCTCGAACTCCTGACCTCAAGTGATCCGCCCGCCTCAGCCTCCCAAAGTGCTGGGGTTACAGATGTGAGCCATCATGCCTGGCTGAATTGACTGGTTTTTAAGGTGGCAGACAGACAGAGGTTCAGTCAGAGCAAGAGGTGTTTTCTCTGGGATAGATGATCTGAAGGATGGAAAATTAATGTTAACAAAACTAATGTAAGCAAACGGTACTCAAAATTGTAACCCCTTTAATCTTAATCTTTATTTCAGCAATCTTATATTAAAATTCATATTTTTTTTCTGTGTTTGTTTATTTGAGACGGAGTCTCACTCTGTCACCCAGGCTTGGGTGCAGTGGTGTGATCTCGTCTCACTGCAACCACTGCCTCCCAGGTTCAAGCAATTCTCCTGCCTCAGCCTCCCAAGTAGCTGGGACTACATGCATGCACCGCCACACCCGACTAATTTTTTTTTTTTGTATTTTTAGTAGAGACAGGGTTTCACCAAGTTGGCCAGGCTGGTCTCGAACTCCTGACCTCAAGTGATCCTCCCACCTCAGCCTCCCCAAGTGCTGGGATTACAGGAGTGAGCCACTGTGCCCGTCCCATAGTTTATTTCAGAGTATAGAAATTAGGAGAGGTTAAATAAATCAGGGAAACAACTTTGAATGGCTGATCAGTAGCGAAACCCCGAATTACTCTCAAGCTTTTACTACTGCATCCTGAAGCCACCAGGGCCCTGGTTGCCCTAATCTTTTTTGGCACTGATATTTGAGGCTTCCCAGGCCACTGCTTTTTGTTTGTTTTTAATAGTGAGCTGTAGTAGTTTTAAATTATAATGTTGAAAATTTGAAAACATTACGAGTGGCATATTTCTTATTCTTGTTGCTCCCATTCGAGACTCTGGGGACCATAGGGAAACAGTGGCTGTCAGGATAGGATTCAACAGGTTTCCACAGGCGGGAAAATGTTGGAAACGCACAGCCCTGTATGTACTACAATTCCAGTAGACCAACCTTCTACAGTTCTGAAATATGGCAGGTCCTGAAATACTGTCATTTTGTTAAATTTGACAGTGTTATTATAACACTGAACAGGGGAAAAAATGGATTTCTGGCCGGGGCTGATATCTGTGTGAAGTTTGCACATTCTCCCCATGTCTGCCTAGGTTTTCTCTGGGTACTCCAGTTTCCTCTCACATCACGAAGATCTGCACGTTAGGTGAACTGACGTGTCTAAATGGTCCCAGTGTGAGTGAACGTGGGTGTGTGTATGTGCACCCTGTGATGCAATGATATCATGTCCAGGACTGGTTCCCGTCTTGCACCCTGAGCTTTGAAGATAGGCTCCAGCAACCGGTGACCCTGAATTGGAATAATTGGGTAGATAATTATCTTACTTGTTCTTATTAATCTTTCTTAAGTGCAGGTGTATTAGGCAGTTCTCACACTGCTATAAAGAAATACTTGAGGCTGGGTAATTTATAAAGAAAAGAGGTTTCATTGGCTCACAGTTCTGCAGGCTATACAGGAAGCACGATGGCATCTGCTTCTGGGGAGGCTTCAGGAAGCTTTTACTCATGGTGGAAGGTAAAGCAGGAGCAGGCGTCTTACATTGCAGGAGCAGGACCAATGGGAAGGGAGGAGGTACTGCGTACTTAAATGACCAGATCTTAGGAGAACTCACTCACTATCACTAGAATAGCACCAAGGAGGAAATTTGCTCCCATGATCCAATAACTTCCCACTAGGCCCCACCTCCAACATTGAGGATTACAGTTGGATATGAGATTTGGGCAAGGACATGGATCCAAACCATGTCAGTAGGTATAGCTCACATTTATTTCAGTGTTTAATTTTAGAAGTGTTATTATCTTTACTTAAACATTTGGTGATGCTTTTATAAACAGATTGTTATAAAAGCAAAACCTTAACTTTTGTTTATATCAGTTAGCTTGTGGTAAAAGGAGTTTCATTATACATCATTTCACTTAAAGTTGCCATTTCCAAGAACCTATGGACAAAAAGTGAGTATTTACTGTAGTCTCAATTTTCATCCCTATCGTAAACCATTGTCAGAGAGCACTGGAGTATTACAAGAGCCTCTAGGGTTTGAGTCGTGGAAATAGAACCATTGTCCTCTGATGAGAAGAAAGATAGATGAGGGCTATGTAGAACGTGAGACTGCTTGTGGGTGGGTAATATCTTATGGACTGTGGGAATCATTCAGTAGTGGTGGATTTCCCTCTTTGCCTATGATCAAAATCCTTGGTAGAACCATAGAGTTGTGACAACAGAGGCTATGAGTATGTCAAGCTGTTTCCCTCTTCCCTGTCCCTGATTCCTTTTCCCCTTACATCTTTCTCTTCTTCTAAACTCATCCCATGCCAGAGAACTGAAGTGAGCAATCTGTAAGGACAGCCATTGTATGTCTAAGTCTATGTGCACATGGTTAACCACTTCCTTAGGAAACATTACTAAAGGAGTGATTGCAGGCTCAAAGGGTCTGCACTCTTTCAAATACCTTTTCATGTTTATTGACAATGTAATAATACCCAGAAAGGTTTGACAATTGCTATTCTCCGTTGGGATGATTGTTTCCAGTGTTGAGTCACGGAAAAGCATGGCCTTCCTGAGATTGGCGCACAAAGTGAGTGAACTGACTCTGGTGCAGAAGTGAGGAGTAGACAGGGACTTTACTCAGTATGAGAGTAACAGCATGGAAGGAAGAGCATAGGACTGGGAGTCAACAGGCCTGGGTTCCAATTCAAATTTTACCAACTGTATGTGAAAACATATCAAGGGCTTTTCTCTGAAGACACCAGTCATTCCTGTGGGGCAGAGTCCCAGACCAGCATCATATTAGCCAGCCTTGATCCAAATTTCCATCAAACCAATATAGGGCCCCTGCCATGTAAGAGACAGTGAGGGTCCTTACCTCCTGTGTCATTTATACCTGGCCTCCTGAGGGTAGAGAGCTACTCTTACTGAGCGGTGGTTTTTACTTCCCTCTGCAGAAGGTACTCTTCAGAGCTTCATTTGCCTCCTGGGGGAAATCTCTGAATAATCTCAGAAAAGTCTACAGCCATACCACCCTGAATGCACCCAATTTTTGTGTGAACAATCTCACAAAAAAAGAAAACACCCCATGTTCTAGCAGGAGATGAGTAGACTGATACAGAAAGCTGTTAAGCATTTCCAAGTGTGCTGCCTTGAATCCTTCCTTGCAATTGTTTGATGTGTATCAGATTGGCCTATAGAGCTCCATTATTACTTGCAAGATCTTGTGGGCACTTACCTGTACCTTTCATAACACAAGACCACTGGAAGTGAAGCATGGTAGAAACTCAGTAGACACCTACTGGTTGATGAGTAGATAACAGAGTGGGAAGATGATTAAACCATTAGTCAGAAATAGGAACACAACACCAATTTCTCTCCTAACTGTTTTGCAGGTTCCACAGAGGAAAAAGCACAGTCTATGAGGGCACTCAGGCCTGGGGTTCATTTTGTGTCCTGCCACCTAATGTCACTGGATTTTTAATCATACTTAAAAAGTTTTCTCTGCTTCCAGATTACAGAGGAATTCACTCTTTTTCTTCTAATACTTAGATGGCTTCATTTTTACATTTAAATCTGAACAATGTAGAATTTATCTTGATTTAAGATGGAAGAATGAGTTCATTTTTACTTTTTTGTTTTGACAGAGTGAGACAGTCTCGCTCTGTCATCCAGACTGGAGTGCAGTGGTGCGATCATGGCTTACTGCAGCCTTGAAATCCTGGGCTCAAGCGATCTTTCCCCCTCAGACTCTTGAGCAGTTGAGACTACAGGTGCACACCATCACAGCCGACTAATTTTTAAATATTGTTATAGACATGGGATTCTCACTATGTTGACAAGGCTGGTTTTGAACTCCTGGCCTCAAGTAATCCTCCCACCTTGGCCCCACAAAGTGCTGGGATTACAGGCATGAGCCACCATGCCCAGCCCATTTTTAGCTTTTTAAACACATGGTTATCTATTTATCATAATATTACCATTTAAATAATCAATTACATCTCTAATGATTTGAAATGCTGCCTTAATCACATACTAAATTTCCAAATATGATTAGACCTATATCAGTATTTTCTCTTTTGTTTCATTCGTTTTTTTGTCTATTCATGAGTCAGTACCACACTCATATTGTACATATTTTATTATTATGTCTTAGTATCTGGTAGGACCAGCTGTAACCCCCTTCCCTCACTCTCTTCTTTTTCAGGGTTTATCTGACTAGTCTTGCTTTTCTTTTTTTTTTTTTTTTTTTTGAGACAGAGTCTTGCTCTGTCGCCCAGGCTGGAGTGCAGTGACGCGATCTCAGCTCACTGCAAGCTCCGCCTCCTGGGTTCACGCCATTCTCCTGCCTCAGCCTCCCGAGTAGCTGAGACTACTGGCGCCCGCCACCATGCCAGGCTAATTTTTGTATGCTTAGTAGAGACGGGGTTTCACCATGTTAGCCAGGATGGTCTGGATCTCCTGACCTCGTGATCCGCCTGCCTTGGCCTCCCAAAGTGCTGGGATTACAGGCGTGAGCTACCGCACCCAGCCTAGTCTTGCGTTTATTCTGCCAGATAACTTTGATAATCAACGAGTCTAAGTTCATAAAAAGAGCTAATGGTATTTTTATTGGAATCTCATTTAATTAATAAATTAATATAGGGAAATTAACATTTCAATTGTATTGAGTCTCCTTACTCAAGAATATCATGTGTCTTACTTGTTCAAGTCTAATTTTGTGTTTTAAGTATTGGACATTACTTCTTAAGTTTATGCTAATAATTTCTCTTTCATTATAAATTTGAATTTTTGTTTGTATATTGAAAGTTATTGATTTTTGATGTTGATAGTGTAATCTGCTACTTTGCTAAATTCTCTTTTTGTTTCTTATAATTTTTCGATTGTTTCTTTGGATTATCCAATGTATAACCATCATATCAGCAAATAAAAAGAATTTTACCCCTTCCTTTATTTCTAATTGTTTACTCTTGCTAATTGTGTCGGATAATACTTCCCACACAATGCCAAATATGAGAGGAGATAAGTGGGCATTATGTCTTGTTTTTCTATTAGCAAGAAAGCCTCTAGTGTTTCTCCACTAAGTAAGATGCTGACTTTTTGCCCCAGAGGATTGCGTGTGCATGTTTGTCTGTGTGTATGATCATGTTAAGAAAGTATCCAACAGGCCGGGCACAGTGGCTCGCGCCTGTAATCCCAGCACTTTGGGAGGCCAAGGTGGGCGGATCACAAGGTCAGGAGATCAAGACCATCCTGGCTAACATGGAAAAACCCCATCTCTACTAAAAATACAAAAAATTAGCCGGGCATGTTGGCGGGTGCCTGTAGTCCCAGCTACTTGGGAGGCTGAGGCAGGAGAATGGCGTGAACCTGGGAGGCAGAGCTTGCAGTGAGCCGAGATCATGCCACTGCACTCCAGCCTGGGTGACAGTGCGAGACTCTGTCTCAAAAAAAAAAAAGAAAAGAAACGGACAAAAGAAAGTATCCACCAAGCCCGGTGTGGTGGTGCATGCCTATAGTACCAGTTACACAGGAGGCTGAGGTGGGAGGATTCCTTGAACTTAGAAATATGAGGCCAGCATGGGCAACACAGCAAGACCTTGCCTCTAAAAAATAAAAATCAGGCTGGGTGTGGTGGCTCACACATGTAATCCTAGCACTTTGGGAGGCTGAGGGTGGTGGCTCACTTCTGCAGTCAGGAGTTTGAGACCAGCTTAGCCAACATGGCGAAACCCTGTCTCTACTAAAAACACAAAAATTAGCCAGGCGTGGTGGTGGATGCCTATAATCCCAGCTACCCAGGAGGCTGAGGCAGGAAAACTGCTTGAACATGGGAGGCAGAGGTTGCAGTGAGCCAAGATCACACCAATGCACTCCAGCCTGGGCAACACAGTGAGACTCTGTTTAAAAAAAATTAATTAATTAATTTAATTTAATTAAAATAAAAAAAGGAAAGTATCCACCAACACCCATTTTCTTGAGTTCTTTTAGAGAATGGATGTTGGAAAGATGGCCAAATAGGAACAGCTCCAGTCTACACCTCCCAGCATGAGCAATGCAGAAGATAAATGATTTCTGTATTTCCAACTGAGGTACCGGGTTCATCTCAATGGGGATTGTCAGACAGTGGGTGCAGGACAGTGGGTGCAGTGCACCGAGTGTGAGCTGAAGCAGGTTGAGGCATTGCCTCACCTGGGAAGTGCAATGGGTCAGGGAATTCCCTTTCTTAGACAAGGAAAGGGGTGACAGATGGCACTTGGAAATTCGGGTCACTCCCACCCTAATACTGCGCTTTTCCAACAGTCTTAGCAAACGGCACACCAGGAGATTATATCCTGCGCATGGCTTAGAGGGTCCTACGCCCACGGAGCCTTGCTCATTGCTAGCACAGCAGTCTGAGATCAAACTGCAAGGCGGCAGCGAGGCTGGAGGAGGGGCATCCTCCATTGCCAAGGCTTGAGTAGGTAAACAAAGCGTCCAGGAAGCTCGAACTGAGTGGAGCCCACCGCAGCTCAAGGAGGCCTGCCTGCCTCTGTAGACTCCACCTCTGGGGGCAGGGCATAGACAAACACAAGGCAGCAGAAACCTCTGCAGACTTAAATGTCCCTGTCTGACACTTTGGAAACAGTAGTGGTTCTCCCAGCACACAGATGGAGATCTGAGAATGGTCAGACTGCCTCCTCAAGTGGGTCTCTGACCCCTGAGTAGCCTAACTGGGAGGCACCCCCCAGTAGGGGCAGACTGACACCTCACATGGCCGGGTACTCTTCTGAGACAAAACTTCCGGAGGAATGATCAGGTAGCAACATTTGCTGTTCACCAATATCCGCTGTTCTGCAGCCTCCGCTGCTGATACCCAGGCAATCAGGGTCTGGAGTGGACCTCCGGCAAACTCCAACAGACCTGCAGCTGAGGGCCCTGAATGTTAGAAGGGAAACTAACAAACAGAAAGGACATCCACACCAAAACCCCATCTGTACATCACCATCATCAAAGACCAAAGGTAGATAAAACCACAAAGATGGGGAAAAAACAGAGCAGAAAAACTGAAAAATCTAAAAATCAGAGCACATCTCCTCCTCCAAAGGAACGCAGCTCCTCACCAGCAATGGAACAAAGCTGGATGGAGAATGACTTTGAGGAATTGAGAGAAGAAGGCTTCAGATGATCAAACTACTCCGAGCTTAAAGAGGAAGTTTGAACCCATGGCAAAGAAGTTAAAAAACCTGAAAAATGATTAGACGAATGGCTAACTATAATAACCAATGCAGAGGAGTCCTTAAAGGACCTGATGGAGCTGAAAACCACGGCACGAGAACTAAGTGATGAATGCACAAGCCTCAGTAGCTGATTTGATCAACCAGAAGAAAGGGTATCAGTGATGGAAGATCAAATGAATGAAATGAAGCAAGAAGAGAAGTTTAGAGAAAAAAGAATAAAAAGAAATGAACAAAGCCTCCAAGAAATATGGGACTATGTGAAAATACCAAATCTACGTCTGATTGGTGTACCTGAAAGTGACAGGGAGAATGGAACCAAGTTGGAAAACACTCCACAGGATATTATCCAGGAGAACTTCCCCAATCTAGCAAGGCAGGCCAACATTCAAATTCAGGAAATACAGAGGACACCACAAAGATATTCCTCCAGAAGAGCAACTCCAAGACACATAATTGTCAGATTCACCAAAGTTGAAATGAAGGAAAAAATGTTAAGGGCAACCAGAGAGAAAGATCAGGTTACCCACAAAGGGAAGCCCATCAGACTAACAGCTGATCTCTCGGCAGAAATTCTACAAGCCAGAAGAGAGTGGGGCCCAATATTCAACATTCTTAAAGAAAAGAATTTTCAACCCAGAATATCATATCCAGCCAAACTAAGCTTCATAAGTGAAGGAGAAATAAAATACTTTACAGACAAGCAAATGCTGAGAGATTTTGTCACCACCAGGCCTTCCCTAAAAGAGCTCCTGAAGGAAGCACTAAACATGGAAAGGAACAACCGGTACCAGCCAATACAAAAACATGCCAAATTGTAAAGACCATCGAGGCTGGGAAGAAACTGCATCAGCTAACAAGCAAAATAACCACCTAACATCAAAATGACAGGATGAAATTCACACATAGCAATACTAACCTTAAATGTAAATGGACTAAATGCTCCAATTAAAAGACACAGACTGGAAAATTGGATAAAGAGTCAGGACCCATTGGTGTGTTGTATTCAGGAAACCCATCTCACATGCAGAGACACATATAGGCCCAAAATAAAGGGATGGAGGAATATCTAACAAGCAAATGGAAAACAAAAAAGGAAGGGGTTGCAATCCTAGTCTCTGATAAAACAGACTTTAAACCAACAAAGACAAAAAGAGACAAAGAAGGCCATTACATAATGGTAAAGGGATCAATTCAACAAGAAGAGCTAACTATCCTAAATATATATGCACCCAATACAGGAACACCCAGATTCATAAAGCAAGTCTTTAGTGACCTACAAAGAGACTTAGACTCCGACACAATAATAATGGGAGACTTTAACACCCCACTGTCAACATTAGACAGATCAACGAGACAGAAAGTTCACAAGGATTTCCAGGAATTGAACTCGGCTCTGCACCAAGTGGACCTAATAGACATCTACAGAACTCTCCACCCCAAATCAACAGAATATACATTCTTTTCAGCACTACACCACACCTATTCCAAAATTGACCACATAGTTGGAAGTAAAGCACTCCTCAGCAAATGTAAAAGATCAGAAATTATAACAAACTGTCTCTCAGACCACAGTGCGATCAAACTAGAACTCAGGATTAAGAAACTCACTCAAAACCACTCAACTACGTGGAAACTGAACAACCTGCTCCTGAATGATGGCTGGGTAGATAACAAAATGAAGGCAGAAATAAAGATGTTTTTTGAAACCAGTGAGAACAAAGACACAACATACCAGAATCTCTGGGACACATTCAAAGCAGTGTGTAGGGGGAAATTTATAGCACTAAATGGCCACAAGAGAAAGCAGGAAAGATCTAAAATTGACACCCTAATATCACAATTAAAAGACCTAGAGAAGCAAGAGCAAACCCATTCAAAAGGTAGCAGAAGGCAAGAAATAACTAAGATCAGAGCAGAACTGAAGGAAATAGAGACACAAAAAACCCTTCAAAAAATCAATGAATCCAGGAGCTGATTTTTTGAAAGGATCAACAAAATTGATAGACCACTAGCAAGACTAATAAAGAAGAAAAGAGAAAAGAATCAAAGAGACGCAATAAAAAATGACAAAGGGGATATCACCACCAATCCCACAGAAATACAAACTACCATCAGAGAATACTATAAACACCTCTCTGCAAATAAACCAGAAAATCTGGAAGAAATGGATAAATTCTTCAGCACATACACCGTCCCAAGACTAAACCAGGAAGAAGTTGAATCTCTGAATAGACCAATAACAGGCTCTGAAATTGAGGCAATAATTAATAGCTTACCAACCAAAAAAAGTCCAGGACCACACGGATTCACAGCCGAATTCTACCAGAGGTAGAAGGAGGAGCTGGTACCATTCCTTCTGAAACTATTCCAATCAATAGAAAAAGAGGGAATCCTTCCTAACTCATTTTATGAGGCCAGCATCATCCTGATACCAAAGCCTGGCAGAGACACAACAAAAAAAGAGAATTTTAGACCAATATCCCTGATGAACACAGATGCAAAAATCCTCAATACAATACTGGCAAACCGAATCCAGCAGCACATCAAAAAGCTTATCCATCATGATCAAGTGGGCTTCATCCCTGGGATGCAAGGCTGGTTCAACATATGCAAATCAATAAACATAATCCAGCATATAAACAGAACCAATGACAAAAACCACATGATTATCTCAATAGATGCAGAAAAGGCCTTTGACAAAATTCAACAACGCTTCATGCTAAAAACTCTCAATAAATTAGGTATTGATGGGACGTATCTCAAAATAATAAGAGCTATCTATGACAAACCCACAGCCAATATCATATGGAATGAGCAAAAACTGGAAGCATTCCCTTTGAAAACTGGCACAAGACAGGGATGCCCTCTCTCACCACTCCTATTCAACATAGTGTTGGAAGTTCTGGCCAGGGCAATCAGGCAGGAGAAGGAAATAAAGTGTATTCAATTAGGAAAAGAGGAAGTCAAATTGTCCCTGTTTGCAGATGACATGATTGTATATCTAGAAAACCCCATTGTCTCAGCCCAAAATCTCCTTAAGCTGATAAGCAACTTCAGCAAAGTCTCTGGATACAAAATCAATGTGCAAAAATCACAAGCATTCTTATACACCAATAACAGACAAACGGAGAGCCAAATCATGAGTGAACTCCCATTCACAATTGCTTCAAAAAGAATAAAATACCTAGGAATCCAACTTACAAGGGATGTGAATGACCTCTTCAAGGAGAATGACAAAAAACTGCTCAATGAAATAAAAGAGGATACAAACAAATGGAAGAACATTCCATGCTCATGGGTAGGAAGAATCAATATTGTGAAAATGGCCATACTGCCCAAGGTAATTTATAGATTCAATGCCATCCCCATCAAGCTACCAATGACTTCCTTCACAGAATTGGAAAAAGCTACTTTAAAGTTCATATGGAATCAAAAAAGAGCCTGCATTGCCAAGACAATCCTAAGCCAAAAGAACAAAGCTGGAGGCATCATGCTACCTGACTTCAATCTATACTACAAGGCTACAGTAACCAAAACAGCATGGTACTGGAACCAAAACAGATATATAGACCAATGGAACAGAACAGAGCCCTCAGAAATAATGCTGCATATCTACAACTATCTGATCTTTGACAAACCTGAGAAAAACAAGAAATGGGGAAAGGATTCCCTATTTAATAATTGGTGCTGGGAAAACTGGCTTGCCATATGTAGAAAGCTGAAACTGGATCCCTTCCTTACACCTTATACAAAAATTAATTCAAGATGGATTAAAGACTTACATGTTAGACCTAAAACCATAAAAACCCTAGAAGAAAACCTAGGCAATATCATTCAGGACATAGGCATGGGCAAGGACTTCATGTCCAAAACACCAAAAGCAATGGCAACAAAAGCCAAAATTGACAAATGGGATCTAATTAAACTAAAGAGCTTCTGCACAGCAAAAGAAACTACCATCAGAGTGAACAGGCAACCTACAGAACAGGAGAAAATTTTTGCAATCTACTCATCTGACAAAAGGCTAATATCCAGAATCTACAATGAACTCAAACAAATTTACAAGAAAAAAACAGACAACCCCATCAACAAGTGGGCGAAGGACATGAACAGACACTTCTCAAAAGAAGACATTTATGCAGCCAAAAAACACATGAAAAAATGCTCATCATCACTGGCCATCAGAGAAATGCAAATCAAAACCACAATGAGATACCACCTCACACCAGTTAGAATGGCGATCATTAAAAAGTCAGGAAACAACAGGTGCTGGAGAGGATGTGGAGAAATAGGAACACTTTTACACTGTTGGTGGGACTGTAAACTAGTTCAACCATTGTGGAAGTCAGTGTGGCGATTCCTCAGGGATCTAGAACTAGAAATACCATTTGACCCAGCCATCCCATTGCTGGGTATATACCCAAAGGATTATAAATCATGCTGCTATAAAGACACATGCACAAGTATGTTTATTGCAGCACTATTCACAATAGCAAAGACTTGGAACCAAGCCAAATGTCCAACAATGATAGACTGGATTAAGAAAATGTGGCACATATACACCATGGAATACTATGCAGCCATAAAAAATGATGAGTTCATGTCCTTTGTGGGGACATGGATGAAGCTGGAAACCATCATTCTCAGCAAACTATCGCAAGGACAAAAAACCAAACACCGCATATTCTCACTCATAGGTGGGAATTGAACAATGAGAACACATGGACACAGGAAGGGGAACATCACACACCGGGGCCTGTTGTGGGGTGGGGGAAGTGGGGAGGGATAGCATTAGGAGATATACCTAATGTTAATTGACAAGTTTGGTGCAGCACACCAACATGGCACATGTATACATATGTAACAAACCTGCACATTGTGCACATGTACCCTAAAACTTAAAGTATAATAATAATAAAAAAGAATGGATGTTGGGATGTTATCAAAACCTTTTCTGTATCTATACAAGTGATCATGTATTTTTTCTTTTTTGCTTCATTGATACAATAGGTCATATTATTGGATTTAATGATATTGAAACACGTTTGCATTCTTGGAATAAGCTCTACAATGCTGTGATCTGGAGGGCAATTTGTGTGTGTGCTGTAGGACTGTGTTTGCTGATAGTTAAGAAACTCCCTTCGTATTCTTTGTGATTGATCTGTAATTTTAATTTTTGGTGAAATCTTTTTTTTTTTTTTTTTTTTTTGAGATGGAGTCTCACTCTGTCACCCAGAGTGAGATTGAAATTCTTGGGCTCAGGTGATCCTCCCACCTCAGCCTCCTGAGTAGCTGAGACTACAGTTGTGCACCACCATGCCTGGTTAATTTTTAAATTTTTTGTAGAGATGAGGTCTTGCTGTGTTGCCCAGGCTGGTCTTGAACTCCTGGCCTCAAGTGATCTTCTGCCTTGGCCTCTCAACGTGCTGGGATTACAGGCGTGAGCCACCATGCCTGGTCATTTTTGGTGAAACCTTTGTTAGGTTTTGGGATCAGTTATATACTTGTACATCTTTCCTTTAAAGGTTTAGTAGAATTCTCCTGTGGAAGTATCTAGTCTTGTGGTTTTTTTACTGGAGAGGTCTTGAATTAATTTCTCTATTTCTTCTACATAGTTGATCTGTTTAGGTCTGTTTAGACTTTTGGTCTCTAATGGAGTCAACTAGGGTAAGTTGTAATTTTCTAGAAATTTATCCATTTCATCTGTTTTTTTTTTTTTATTATACTTTAAGTTTTAGGGTACATGTGCACATTGTGCAGGTTAGTTACATATGTATACATGTGCCATGCTGGTGTGCTGCACCCACTAACTCGTCATCTAGCATTAGGTATATCTCCCCATGCTATCCCTCCCCCTTCCCCATTTCATCTGTTTTTAAATGTAATTGAATAGAGTTGTGCAAATTATTCACTGAAGAATCTTGAAACTCTCCATGTTTTGATAACTATTTCCCACTTGTTATTTTTAATGTTCTATATCTGCCCTTTGTTTTCCTGCTGTTTTTTTTTTTTTTTTTTGGACGGAGTTTAGCTCTTGTTACCCAGGCTGGAGTGCAGTGGCGCCATCTCGGCTCACTGCAACCTCTGCCTCCCGGGTTCAAGTGATTCTCCTGCCTCAGCCTCCCGAGTAGCTGGGACTACAGGTGCGTGGGACTACAAGTGTGTGCCACCACACACAGCTAATTTTTTTATTTTTAATAGAGACGGGGTTTCACCATGCTGGCCAGGATGGTCTCAATCTCCTGACCTCGTGATCTGCCCTTCTCGGCCTCCCAAAGTGCTGGGATTACAGGCGTGAGCCACCGCGCCTGGCTTTGCGTTTTCATCGTCATTATTCTCATTCAATTCTGCAGTTTTCTTCTGTATTTTCCATTTATTTCTAAGATTTGTTTAACAGCTTCTGAAAGAGCCAATTTTCATGAATGTTCATGTAAAGTAGATGTATTGTCTAATATCAGGCTTCCGAATTCAGCATATCTATCTACCCACTGCATTATGTTGTTTAGGTCTTCTGTATACTCAGCAAATTTTTTGGCAACTTTATCATTCTTTGGTAAAGGAAATTGTGTTTAAATAATTGATCATTAGCATGTTACTTCCTATTTCTCCCTGCAGCTCCTTTATTTTTTGGACTATGAATATTTCTGTTGTGCAGTTGAGTGCATAAATACTATTTATTTATTTATTTATTTATTTTGAGATGGAGTCTCGCTCTGTCACCCAGGCTAGAGTGCAGTGGCACGATCTCGGCCCACTGCAAGCTCCGCCTCCCAGGTTCACGCCATTCTCCTGCCTCAGCCTCCCGAGTAGCCAGGACTACAGGCGCCCGCCACCACGCCCGGCTAATTTTTTAAAATATATTTTTAGTAGAGACGGGGGTTTCACCGTGTTAGCCAGGATAGTCTCGATCTCCTGACCTCGTGATCCACCCGCCTTGGCCTCCCAAAGTGCTGGGATTACAGGTATAAGCCACCGCACCTGGCCTGAGTGCATAAATATTAATAACACATCTTCCTTGTAAATTGTATTCTTTAGCATTACCAAGTATGCTCTTTTAAACCATTTTGGTGTCAAATCTACCCTCTTAAATATCAATATTGTAATACATGCTTTTTTTAAAAAAAATTGCAACTGTTTGGTGCATATTTACTTAATTTAAATTTTCACCTATCTGAATGGCTTTGTTTGAGGTGTATCTATTGAAAAAAAATTTTTGAACTTTGCTTCAATTGGCAATATGAAAATCTTTTTCTTTTGATAGGTAAGTTATGCCCATTTATATATATTGTTTTTTTTTTTTGAGATGGAGTCTCACTCTGTTGCCCAGGCTGGAGTGCACTGGCACAGTCTCGGCTCACTGCAACCTCTGCTGCCCAGGTTCAAGTGATTCTTCTGCCTCAGCCTCCCTAATAGCTGGGATTACAGTTGCCCAGCTAGTTTTTGTATTTTTTAGTAGAGACAGGGTTTTGCCATGTTGGCCAGAATGGTCTTGAACTCCTGACCTAAGGTGATCCTCTGGCCTCGGCCTCCTAAAGTGCTGGGATTACAGGTGTTAGCCACCGTGCCCAGCCCCATTTACATTTTTTGATATAATCAGTATATTTGTATGTTTGGGCTGAGTTCTGTTATAATGTTTACACATACAAATAAATTCTATATATAATTTGACTAGGACTTTCACTATTGTCTGTTTCAACTGGTCTTACTTTTTTATTGGTATTTAGAAAAGTTATTACTTTTTTTCTAGTGGTTACCTTGACTCTTTAATATTCTACTTAATATTCTTAATATGGAATGAACACAACTCATGAATGAAGAAATGGACAAATGCTACCAACAGGTAAGTCACATGAAACAATATACATACTTATGAAACTTTGAAAGTATGCCAAATTACCGTAACTTAAGAAATGGTAATTAATATCCTGAGCTATCATGCTGAATGGAAAGGGCAAGTTGCTAGAAAAAATATATTTAATATTATATAAATTTTACAAAAGAATATAGGTATGTGAACATATTTTGTGTATTACACACACAAACACATGCACACACACGTGCCTCTAAGTAGATGTATATGAAGCTGGAGTACTGAATTCCCCTTCATCATGCCTGACCTCTGTCATCCGCAATACAGGCATATTAAATACTTACTTCACACCACTCTTGTGAGGAGAAAAGAGAAAATCTGTAGAAAGTCCTATAATGTTTAAAATAAATATATGTTTAGCATCTCTTGTATTCTCCCTTTAACAACATAAATGACTTAAATATGAACATCTCATAGAGATCATACAGATTTGAAGCAGCAGGAAAAGAAACACATACATATTTATACAATGGATAAGCTTTGGTGCCCTATTTTTTGTAGGATGAGATACCTGAGGATGGTGGAAGCAAGGAAGGACATCATCCCCTAATTACTTTTTTGTTTGTACTCTTGTATTTACCACAAACATGACACTCAAAGATCAGACCTGTTAATGTTTGCATCTGCATTACATTCTTCCAGAAGTTTTCTTATGCAGGTATTTGTATACTTATGCATGCATGTACTTGTATTTATACACAGAAAATAACATCTCATATTACATGTAATTTTGCAACCTCCTATATCACTGTAGTGGGTTGAATTGTGTCACTCAAAAAGGTAACTCCAAAATGGGTATGTTGGCTGATGCTTGTCATCTCAGTACTTTGAGATGCTGAGGTGGGAGAATCTGCTTGAGGCTAGCAGTTTGAGACAAGCCTGGGCAGCATAGCCAGACCCTGTCTCTAAAAACAAATAATAATAATAAAATAAAAAGAATAAAAAGGTATCTCTAAATCCTAACCCCCCCATATTTGTGAATGTCACCTTACTTAGAAATAAGAATTATGCAGGTATAATTAAGCTAAAGATCTCCAGATGTGAATATCCTGGATTGAGGTTGGTGCCTAAATCCAATGACTGGTGTCTACATAAGATAAAGAAGAGGGGGACTTGACACACATAGGAAGAAAGTCATGTGAAGATGGAGGCAGAGGCCAGGCATGGTGGCTCATGCCTATAATCCCAGCACTTTGGGAGGCTGAGGCTGGAGGATCACTTGAGGCCAGGAGTTCAAGACCAGCCTGGGCAATATAGTGAGACCCCCATCTGTAAAAAAAAAAAATAGAAAAATTAGCTGGGCATGGTAGAACGTGCCTGTGGTCTTCATTGCTTGGGAGGCTAAGGTGGGAGGATCCTTTGAGCCTAGGAATTCAAGGTTGCAGTGAGCTATGATTGCTCCACTGAACTTCTGCACTACAGCCTAGGCGACAGAGTGAGACCCTGTCTCCAAAAAAAAAAAAAAAAAAAAAAAAGAAGGCAGAGACTGGAGTCATGCTGCCACAAAACAAGTAAACCAGGAACCACTAGATGTGAGAAGAAGAAAAAAAGAATTCCCCCCTAAAACTTCGAGGGGGAGCATGGCCCTATTGACATCTTGGTTTCAGAGTTCTGGTCTCAAGAACAGTGAGAGAATAAATTACTGATGTTTTAAACCTGAAGTCTGTAGTTACTTGTTATGACAGCGTGAGGCTAAAATTTCTAAATTTTCTTATGCAGAAATGTGCTAATTACTTTTATGTATTTTTTTCTAAATGTGCTAATTACCTTTATGTATTGATTCATTTAATGGTCACAGTGCCCTTCTGAGATAGACATAATGTTATTCTTCTTCTTTTTTTTTTTTTTTTTTTGAGACAGAGTCTCGCTCTGTCGCCCAGGGTGGAGTGCAGTGGCGCGATCTCGGCTCACGGCAAGCTCCGCCTCCTGGGTTCACGCCATTCTCCTGCCTCAGCCTCCCGAGTAGCTGGGAGTACAGGCGCCCGCCACCACGCCCGGCTAATTTTTTGTATTTTTAGTAGAGACGGGGTTTCACCGTGTTAGCCAGGATGGTCTCGATCTCCTGACCTCGTGATCCATCTGCCTCGGCCTCCCAAAGTGCTGGGATTACAGGCGTGAGCCACCGCGCCCGGCCGGCATAATGTTGTTCTTATTCTGTAAATGAAAAACCAGAGAGACAGACAAAATAAAGACTTTGCCTAAGAGTGCACAATTAGGGAGTGGAACAGCGTGAATTTGTGTCCAGTACATCATGCTCCAGAGCCTAAAAAAATGTCAATGACTTGTTGTTAAGAGAAAGAGGCAGCCTGCAAATGCCACTAAAAGTAACATTCAGTATATCAATATCTGTATACAAAATAGGTGGATCTAGTGACAAAACATAGTCTGTGACGTTGGTGAGAGCAATTTTATTGCAGTTAGAGGTACAGGAGCCATAGTGTCGCTGTAGTGAAAATAAGAAGTCAGTATGATGTGAAGAATATTAACAGGAATGTAGAAATCACTTTCTGGAACTCTGTCTTTGAAGGGGAAGGGAGAAAGAAAGAAAGTAAGAGAAACACTGAGCGAGACACAGACCTGTGACTTAATAGGATGAGAAGTCCGAAAAGGGATTTTAAGAAAATCTTCAATTCTTTTTTAAGAAACAAAATGAAACAAACAAAAAAACAAGGTCTCTTTCTATTGCCCAGGCTGGAACTCGGTAGAGCCATCATAGCTCACTGCAGCCTACATCTCCTGCTGGGCTCAAGTGATCCTCCCCACTCAGCCTCTGGAGTAGCTGGGACTACAGGCAGGCAGCACCATGCCCTGCTAACTATTTTTTATTTTTTGTGGAGACGAGGGTCTCACTTTTTTGCCCAGGCTGGTGTTGAACTCCTGGCCTCAAGTGATTCTCCATACTCAGCCTCCAAAAGTGCTGGGGTTACAGGGTGAGACATCACGTCCAGCCACAATTCCTTGAAAGTTGAGCAAGTTTAAAAGTTAATGTGTGCTGGGTGCAGTGGGTCATTCCTATAATCCCAGCACTTTGGGAGGCCGAGGCAGGTGGATCACCTGAGGTCAGGAGTTCGAGACCAGCCTGACCAACATGGTGAAACCCCATCTCTACTAAAAATACAAAAATTAGCCAGGTGTGGTGGGCACCTGTAATCCCAGCTACTCAGGAGGCTGAGATGAGAGAATCGCTTGAACCTGGGGAGGCAGAAGTTGTGGTGAGCCGAGATCACGCCACTGCACTGCAGCCTGGGCGACTCCATCTCAAACAAAAAAGAAAAAAAGTTAATGTGAAAGAACCATCTCATCTCAGATTTAACCCTTGAAGTTGCCCATATATCCATTTCCCTTCTTGCTCTCTTATTTTCACTTTGGAGCTAATGAGATGCCTCCACAATGGAATAATATGGGTTTTGAGCTCAATACATATTTCATTATTAGTGACTGAAAAAAATGGGCAATTCTGTATCAAAGAAATGCTAGTAACTCCTGGATGCTTGCCTCTCAAGAAGGCAGTAAGTGGCTGAAATCCTGGTGTGATGTGGCTGCATAAGGCATGACCTGAGGACACTGCACTGGTGACTGAGATAGGTCCAGAGTTTTTAAAAAATAAATCTATTAACAAACAAAGCAGTCCAGGAGCAGCTGTTAGGCAAAAACCATGCCTTGTGTTCCTGGTGAGATCTATCACTAAGCTCCCCTGATGAGTTCAAAGACACACTTGTCTTCCCTGTGGGAAAATGGATTTGGGTGTGCTCAGAGGCATGATGTTGAACAGCATTTATGAGATTATGAAACATTCAAGAATATAGAGAACATTCTGCCCAACATTTAAGACACTCAAAGACAGTTTTTCTTGACTTATGGATGTTTGTGTCTTCCCCAAATTCACCTGTTGAAGCTTTAACCCCTGATGTGATGACATTTGAAGATGGGGACCTTGGGAGGTAATTAGGGTTAGATGAGATAATTGGTTTGGGGTCTTCATGATGAATTCAGTGCCCTTGTAAGAGAGACATCAGAGAGCTTGCTCTTGCTTGCTCTGTCTGTGATTGCAAAAATGTGAGCACATAGCATGAGATGGTAGACACCTGTAAGCCAGGAAGAAAGCTCTCACCAGAAAATGACTATACTGGCACCCTGATTTTGGACTTTCATCTTCCAGAAATGTGAGAAAATAAATCTCTGCTGTTTAAGCCACACAGTCTATAGCATTTTGTTATGGCAGCCCTAGCTACAGTCAACCGTTTCTACTTTGTAGGTCTTATAATATTTTGTTGAAAACTAGATGTATTTGCTACTCTGGCCTCTGGCTTCTCCTAATGAAGTTTGCCTTTATTGCTGGATTTGTCATTTCTTTGT
Organism: Homo sapiens; assembly: GCF_000001405.40. NCBI lineage: Eukaryota > Metazoa > Chordata > Mammalia > Primates > Hominidae > Homo > Homo sapiens. The sequence continues at coordinate 103,144,848 of NC_000023.11, forward strand.
TTAGTACTATAATACGCCTGGGCTAAAACTGAGAAGTTTGTTTTCTTTGTCCTACACAGCAGATGACATTTTTGTTCATTTGTGTACGCGTGTGTGTATGTGTCTACATGAGTTAGTTGTGTGTGTGTTTGTTTGCTCAGTTTTGTTCTTGCATCTATTTATAAGGCTGTCTCATTAGGGATATCCCTTGGTTCTGTGTAGCTTAAAAGCCAATAAACGATTGGACAGAATTTGCACTCAAACAATTCCTGCAAGTGAGGCTTCTATCTTCTGTCATTGTATCTGTGTGGGGCTAGGGGAGCACATTCAGAGTTCTGAGTTTTGTTACATCAAGGTGTCAAACTCTCAGTTAATCTTTCCTAGATCCCCACAAGGGAAATCCCCCAGAGAAAGATTACCTGCATCAAGGCAGACTTTCTCTACAAATTCAAAGCTCCTTCACAAAAGACAGCTTTTCAGCTATTCTTGTATTTCCAGTTCTTCTGAATAGCCATCTTCAAATACGTCAAAGTAGTAACATTATGGGGTGAAATATGTTGATTCCCTTCAAGTGGATATCATTGAGATGGCAATTTCCCTGAGTTAATTTATTAATTTAATGTGATTTAATAAAAATAGCATTAATTTTTTTTTTGAGGCGGAGTCTCGCTCTGTGCCCAGGCTGGAGTGCAGTGGCGCGATCTCGGCCCACTGCAAGCCGCTCCCGGGTTCACGCCATTCTCCTGCCTCAGCCTCCTGAGTAGGTCAGGAGATTGAGACATCCTGGCTAACACGTGAAACCCCATCTCTACTAAAAACGCAAAAAATTAGCCGGGCTTGGTGGCGGGCGCTTGTAGTCCCAGCTACTCGGGAGGCTGAAGCAGGAGAATGGTGTGAACTCAGGGGGCAGAGCTTGCAGTGAGCCAAGATCACGCCACTGCACTCCAGCCTGGGCGACAGAGCAAGACTCCATTAAAAAAAAAAAAAGAATAAATAAATGGATTTAGACAAGCTTATTATCAACTTTATTTGGCAGTATAAATAGCAAGAATTATCAGACAAACCCTGAAAAAGAAGAGTGGTGGGAAGGGGTGACAGCTGCTCCTACAAGATACTAAGACATACAATAAAGTATACATGCTATAAGAATGTGATATTGTCCCGTAAATAGAAAGACTAATGAAACAGTATAGAAAATACTGACATAGACCGAATTATATTTGGAAATTTGGAATATAATTTAGGCAGTAATTCTAATCAGCAGAGAATTGATGAGTGGCTTACAAAATGGTACTGTGATAACTACAAAACTATATGGCTAAAACGGTATAAAGGGGTCTACTTCTCCATCTTACATCATTATAAATTGTAAGGGGTTCAGATCTAAAAGTTAAAAAATCCATACAAATATTAAAAGGAAGCATGGGTGACTTACTCAAAAATCTGGAAATAGAAGACACTGACTCAAAATTCAAGAGTATTAAGAAAAAAGTGATAAATTTGACTACACAAATATGGCAAAGTACATGCTAGCCAATTAAAAAGACACTGAAAAATATTTTCAAATAGTCTCTGACAAAGTGTTGATATCCTTTAAATATAAAAGCTTTTTAATATAAGCTGGGTGCATTGGCTTACACCTGTAATTCTAGCATTTTGGGAATCTGAGGCAGGTGGACCACCTGAGGTTAGGAGTTCGAGACCAGCCTGGCCAACATGGCGAACCTTGCCTCTATTAAAAATACAAAAATTAGCTGGGCATGGTGGCGCACCTGTAATCCCAGCTACTCAGGAGGCTGGGGCACAAGAATTGCTTGAACCCAGGAGGCAGAGGTTGCAGTAAACCGAGATCGCACCACTGCACTCCAGCCTGGACGACAGATCGAGACTCCGTCTCAAAAAAAAAAAAAAAAAGAAAAGAAAAGAAAAAAGAAATAAGAAATATAAACAGGTTTTTCTGAAGTATAAAAAAAAAAGCCAAAGCAGTTAACAGAAAAAAATGCAAGGAGGTTCAAACTTGGTTTTAGTAAGACAGATACAAGTAAAGCTTATATCTGTCTCACTGGTCCCTTGGTCACTGGTTCATTTGGACCAGTGAAACTGATTTTGAACTTCTGGCTTCCACAACTGTGAGATAATAATTATCTGTTGTTTATAGTAACAAATTCTGTGGTAATTTATTATGGTAGACATAGGAAACTAATATAACCACTATGAAGGGAAATTTGATAATATCTAACACAATTATTTATGCTCTTACACTTTGAGTAAGAAATCCCATTTCCAGAAACATGTATCTCCTAAAGATATACTGGCAAAGACACAAGAAGTTTGCAGATATAGAGACAGATATTCATTGTGGTGGTATATGTATAGAAAAAGAATAGAAACAACTTAAATACCCATCAATTATGTGATGGATGAATAAACTGTTCTACAGCCTTACAATGGGTGAACTAAGTAAAGTATAAAGAATAATGATGAAAATCTCTACCTGGGTCTACAGAGGCATCTGCAGGAGATAATGTTAAGTGAAAAAGTCAATGAACACAAATGTGTGAATAGCATAGTACTTTTTAATCTAATAAAGGGGAAAATGCTAATATGTAAACTTTAATTATATTAGAAATAGAAGGAAAATACTTCTGTTTGGGGAACTAGAAGTAGTAGACATGCTTTTCTGTTTTACTCCTGCTCAGTTCATCTAAAATCCCTGGATGTTATAAGTAAGACAAGAAGACAGCAAAAGTCTGTATCTAGACAAATAACCAGAAATGTATCTAGTAAGAAAAAAAGCTTTTAGTACATAATTAGCATACTCCAGTGACACATCACAAAATGAAGCACAGCTCTATTCCCAACATGCCAGCAAAGGCTAAATGGGGAGCATAGATTCAACAATCACCTGTCTGTAACCAGTCTTCCCTCCCCACCTTCTGGGGTGGTATCAGAGAAGGCAACTTGGAGAACCTGAACTTACATCCCCATCTGGCTGTTATAAGATAATAACCCCCTTCCTCTACTGGAATGGTGCGAGAGAAGCCTTGCAAAAACATACAATTAAAATAAGACCCAGAGACTTATAACATAGTATCCAAAATGTTCTAGATACTACGAAAAAACATCCTCTTCTATCTAAGTACCAGAAAAATCTGAACCTGAATGAGAAAAGACAATCAACAGATAATAACACTAAGGTGTCACAGATGTTGAAATTATCAGACAATGATTTTAAATAAGTTATCATAAAAATGTTCTAATTAGTAAATATGGTTGTCCCCCCATATTTGTGGTTTCATTTCCCATGTTTTCAGTTACCCTCGGTCCACTGTGGTCCAAAAATATTAAATGGAAAATTCCAGAAATAAATAATTCACATTTTAAATGTTGCACTGTTCTGAATAGTGTGATTAAAATCTCTCAGCATCCCACTCAGTTCTGCCCAGGACATGAATCATCCCTTTGTTCAGCATATCTGTGCTGTATATGCTACCTGCCCATTAGTCACTTAGTAATTGTATTGGTTATCAGATTGAAAAAAAACATAATACATATAAGGTTTGGTACTATTTGTGGTTTTGGGTATATGTTCTAAGACTGGGGGTCTTAGAACATATACCTCATGGATAAGGGGGGATTACTTCACACACCTGTTTAAAATAAATGAAAAACCAGAACGTCTCAGCAAATGAATCGAAAGCATAAAGAAGAACCAAATAGAAATTTCATTTTTTAAATAATTATTTTATTTTATTTTTAAGAGATGGGGAATCTCACTATGTTGCCTAGGCTGGGCTCAAACTCCTGGGTTCAAGGGATTCTCCTGTCTCCACCTCCCAAGTACCTGGAACTACAGGTACATGCCACCACAGCCAGCTTGGAAATTTTAGAACTGAAACATGTTAGTCAGGGATCTCCAGAGAAACAGAACCAGTATGAGAGAGAGAGATTTATTTTAAGAAATTGGCTCACACGATTGTAGAGGTCTGGTAAGTCCAAAATTTGTAGGGTAGGCCAGTAGCCAGAAGATCCAAGGATGGTTGAAGTTTTGAGTCCATAGGAAGGCTGCTGGCATAATTCTTTGTTGATCAGGGGAGATCAATATTTGTTCTATTATGGTCTTTGACTGATTAGATGAGGCCCATTCACATTCTGGAAGGTAATCCCTTTTTACTCAAAGCCAGTGCTTTAAATGTTAATCTCATCTTAAAAACAAAAAACAAACCAAAAAATACTTTTGCAGAAACTTCAAGAATAATGTTTGACCAAATATCTGGTAATCATGGCCCAGTCAAGTTGACACATAAAATTAACCATCACCTGAAACATAGAATAACTGAAATAAAAATCGAATGGATGAACTCAACAGAAGGAAAGGAAAGAAAAATATATAGTGAACCTGAATGTGACAATAGAAATTACCCAATTAGACCAGCAGAGGCAAAGTAGACTAAAAAACTAATAGAATAAAGCCTCAACAACCTGTGGGACTATGACAGACTATCTAATTCCATGTCATTGTTGTCTTGGATAGAAAGGAGGAAAACAAAAAGAAAAAATCTTGAGAGCGGGGAGAAACAAATAATGCATTGAGAAAAACAATAGGAAGGACAGCAAATTTCCCATCAGAAATCATGTAGACCAAAAGGAAGTGGCACATTTTTAACTGCTAAAAGAACTGTCAATCTCTGGTGAGTGGAAGTCATTAACTGTGAAGAATGGTTTGTCTGGATGGTCAAGGACTTGGAAGGAAAATCATTGGAAAATTGGTAACATGAAAGTCTGGAGAAGAGATATGTGGATAAATCTCTATAAATCAGGGAAAATATGAAAATATTTTTTGTCCAATGTGAATGTTAATGAAAGGGTGCCTCAGCAGAGGAAGACTTTAATAATCAAGTGGACAGCATGACCCATTTTGTGGATACCAGTCAGCCTCTTTGCCTAGCCACTCCTGTCATTACCCAATAGGCTTATGAACAAAGTGCCCATGGTAGCAGGGATGGACTTTATGCTTGGCTTAGAAACATGGACTTCCACTCAGCAAGGTCAACTTGGCTACAACCACTGCTGAATATCTGCCAGCATACAAGATCAATCCTGAGTCCCCAGTATGATACTATTTCCCAGGGTGAACAGTCAGCTACCTGGTGGCAGATATATTACATTGGATCACTTTCTTCATGAAGGAGCAGCATTTTGTTCTTATTGTAGTATGTCCTTACTGGAATATTCTGGATATGGATTTTCCCTCCCTGCATGCAGTGCTTTTGCCAAAATTACTATCCATGGACTTACAGAATGCTTTATCCACTGTCATGGTATTACATACAGCTTTGCTTCTGACCAAGGAGCTTGCTTCATAGCAAATGAAAAGACAACGGGCCTATGCTCATGAAATTCGCTTGTCTTACCATGTTACCCACCATCATGCAGTGGCTGTATTGATAGAACAACCCCTATATAGGGGATGTGATACTATCTGGTAAAATTGCATAGGTATTTACTCTTGGAAGGAGATCTCTCTTTTCCAGGAATCTATTCCAAAGAAAAAATAAAAAAATGAAAAAGGGCATAAACACAAGGCTATTCCTGGCAGAAAATTTTTAACAGCAGAAAACTAAGAGCAAGACTAATGTTCATTAATAGGAGGATGATTGAATAATCTAATGTATGTCTATATTAGGGAGTGCTGTACTATGCAGGTATAAAAAGCAATAAACTTTCACTCTCTATAATGCTATGAATTAATCTCTAGGATATCTTGTTAACTGAAAAAAAGCAAGGTGCAAAAACGTGTGTAGAGCTGCTGCTTTCTAATACAGTAGTCATTAGCCACGCATGGCTATTTAAATTTAAGTTTGATAAATTTAAATACAATTAAAAACTCAGTTACTCTAAGGATGAAGAGCAGCAAGGATGGAACCCGATGATGTATAATCTTTTAAAATATAATACCTATTTACAGGATCCATGTACTGTAAAGGTAAGAAATAATGATCAAGTCAGCAGCAATGAGAAACCCTGTTACGCAGATTGATTCCTCTAAAATCATTTCCTGCTAAAAAGAACTGAGCTTCCTTAGAGAGACATATGATTCCAGGTCCAGCGTAGGCTTTGTTACAGATAATTCTGGAACAAACTATCATACCAGAAAGCATGTCAAAAAATACTTAGAAGCCAACCTGAAGGGGCTCCTACTGGCCAAACAGAGAACAATTTGGCCAAGAAAAAAATGACTGCAATGGATTATAGCACATCAAATACATAAATGTCTATGAACTTCTGATGACAATCTGAAAGAAAAATACAGAAAACAAGCTAACTGCTCACCTATGCAGGTTTCTAGGAAAATAACTCATTATCTTGAAAAGTGGAAATATACTGCAAAAGAATTAAAGCATTCATCCTTCCCTTCCGGTGCATGCCATTCCCAGCATAACCTAATAGTTGTCATTAATAAAAGAAAGTTTATTTTAAAAAGTAATTACAGTTTCTTCTTTTTAAAATTATTATTATTATTATTGAGACAGGGTCTCATTCTCTCACCCAGGCTAGAGTGCAGTGGCGTTATCATGGCTCATTGCAGCTTTGACATCCTAGGCTTAAGCTATCCTTCCACCTCAGCCTCCCAAGTAGCTGGGACCACAGGCATGCACCACTATTCCTGGCTAATTTTTATTTATTTTAATTTTTTCTGGAGACAAAGTCTCACTATGATGCCCAGGCTGATCTTGAACTCCTGGCCTCAAGCAATCCTCTTTTCTCAGCCTCCTGAAGTGCTGGGATTGCAGGTATGAGCCACTGCCCCCAGCCTATTATTATTATTTTTAGACAAAGATGGGGTCTCACTATATTGCCCAGGCTGGTCTCCAACTCCTGGGGTCAAGTGGTCCTCCTGCCTCAGCCTCCCAAAATATTGGAATTACAGATGTGAGCCACTGTGCCCAGCCAAAGAATTACAACTAATGAATAAAGAAAAAAACGTAGAATTACTACATCACCTTTGTGCAAACTTTAATAAAATGCAGTTCTGGCAACAATCTTCAAAGAATGCAAAAACACATGAGGTGAAAAGCACATGGGAAATTTTATAATGGATGATTCAGGCTGACAGCACCCGAACCCAGTGATCAATTATAACATCACAGGAAGAGAGACAAGCAGACAAGACGAGTCTCCTGGTGTAACTCTGTAGGAAGTACAGGTCCACTGCCAGTGGGCTAGATTATCTGCAAGAACTCTAGGATATCTCCTTGAATCTCTGTGTACTGATAATACTACTGCTCTGTCACTTTTAAAGCAAATAAAGCCCCTGAAAACAGGGACATGCTTTGTTCCAACCACCTGGACAAAGTTCTGCCTGTTGTCTGTGTCCTAGCCTAGTTCTTTTAACTAGTAAGCCTTCTTACATGGCAGTCTGAAGAATGAAGGTGTTTTGCTTTTAGAGAAAGGCACAGAAGCAGTGGGCTGAGCTGAGGCACTGTGCAGGACCAGCCTGCCCATGGTGGTTGCCATAGAAACTTGACCTCATGGCTGGGCATGGTGACTCATGCCTGTAATTACAGCACTTTGGGAGGCTAAAGCAGGAAGATTGCCAAGGCTCTGGTGAGTCATGATTGTACCACTGCACTTCCAGCCTGGGTGACAAAGCCAGACCCTGTGAGAGAGAGAAGAAAGAAAGAAGAAAGAGAAAGAGAGAAAGAAAAAAAGAAAGAAGGAAAGAGAGAGAAAGAAAGAAAGAGAAAGAAAGATAGAGGAAGAAAGAAAGAAGAAAAAGAGAGAAAGAAAGAAAGAAGGAAAGAGAGAGAAAGAAAGAAAGAGGAAGAAAGAAAGAGAAAAAAGAGAGAGAGAAGGAAAGAAAGAAAGAAAGAAAGAAAGAAAGAAAGAAAGAAAGAAAGAAAGAAAGAAAGAAAGAAAGAAAAAGAAAAAGTGAGAAAGTGAGAAAGTGATATGGTTTGGGTCTGTGTCCCCAGCCAAATCTCATGTGCAATTGCAATCCCCATTGTTGGAAGAGGGGCCTGGTGGGAGGTGATTTGATCATGGAGGTGGATCCTTCATGAATGATTTGGCACCATTTTCTCCCTTGGTACTGTATAGCGGGTGAGTTCTCATAAGATCTGGTTGTTTAAAAGTACAACCTCCTCCCCTGCAGTAGTACCTCCTCCCCTCAAGTCTCTCTTCTTCTTTCTCTTGCCAGGTAAGACATGCCTGCTTCTCCTTCTGCCATGATTGTAAGTTCCCTGAGGCCTCCCAAGAAGCAGCTGTGCTTCCTGTACAGCCTGCAGAACTGTGAGCCAATTAAACCTGTTTTCTTTATATATTAATGTTACCTAGTTTTTCTTTGTAGCAGTGCAAGAATGGACAGGAAAGAAAGAAAGAAAGAGAGAGAGAGAGAAAGAAAGAAAGAAAGAGAGAGAGAGAGAAAGAGAGAGAGAGAGAGAAAGAAAGAAAGAAAGAAAGAAAGAAAGAAAGAAAGAAAGAAAGAAAGAAAGGGAAAGAGAGAGAGAAAGGAAGGAAGGAAGCAAGGAAGGAAGGAAAAGAAAGAAAGAAAAAAGAAAGAGAGGGAGAGAAGGAAGGAAGGAAGGATGGAAGGAAGGAAGGAAGGAGAGAAAGAAAGAAACTTGAGATCATTGTGGTGACTGTGAAGACTTTTTAATAAAGATCATTGTTGTCTAGTTAGAAGAGCAGGAGCCCAACTTCAGGAGTTTGGGACTCAGATGAGGGTGTGGGTGCCCCACGGTGGGAGATGAACCTCCCTGGGGTGTGGTGAGATGAAGTGATCCCAGATGCAAGTCACCTCCTTTCCACTTTGGGACAAGTTGCCCTGGCTGTCTGGTGAGGTGTGGCAGGGAGATATAGGACTCTCCTGTCCCCAGTGAGTGTGGTGTCCTACACCAGTGTCCTGGAGCTACTTTCCATATACAGACAGGATGTGGGAGGATGAGACAGGTAATGACTCTCCCTGAGCCTAGCGTCCCCCTCTAAAATTGGGATAAAAATGCTCACCCATAGGATTGCTGGAATAGTGATAACACAGGTGAAAACTCAGAACTCTGTGGTTGTTGTACTCATAGGTTGTGGTTTTGTACTCATAGGCTCCCATCATCCTCCCTCCCTGTCCTGTCCTTAGGCAACCACCGATCTTCTATTACTATAGATTATTTTTCATTTCCTGGAATTTTATTTAATGGAAACATGAAGGTTGTATTTTTTATTGGCCTCACTTCTTTCCTTCCACTTATTTAATTTTAGATTTATCAATATTGTTGCATGTATCAAAATTTTATTTATTTGTTTATTTATTTATTTATTTATTTATTTATTGAGACAGAGTTTCACTCTTGTTGCCTGGGCTGGAGTGCAATGGTGTGATCTCAGCTCACTGCAGCCTCCGCCTCCTGGGTTCAAGTGATTCTCCTGCCTCAGCCTCCCGAGTAGCTGGGATTACAGGCAAGCGCCACCATGCCTGGCTAATTTTGTATTTTTAGTAGAGATGGGGTTTCTCCATGTTGGTCAGGCTGGTCTCAAACTCCTGACCTTATGTGATCCGCCTGCCTCGGCCTCCCAAAGTGCTGGGATTACAGGCATGAGCCACTGGGCCCAACCAATTTTATTGTTTTTAATGGCCAAATAGTATTCTAGTATATGAGTACACTACAATTTATCTATTCAACTGTTGGGAAAATTTTGGCTTATTTTCAATTTGTGGCTCTTGTAAATAAAGCTGCTATGAAGATTTGTGTATAAGTCTTACCATAGACATGTGCTTTCTTTCTCTATGGTAAGTAAATATGTAAGAGTGCTAAGCTGGATTATATGATAGATGTAAAATTAACATCCTAAGAAACTGCTGGCTGGACGTGGTGGCTCATGCCTGTAATCTTAGCACTTAGCAATTAGCTGGGCATGGTGGCGCGCATGTGTAGTCCCAGCTACTCAGGAGGCTGAGGCAGGAGAATCACTTGAACCCGGGAGGCTGAGGTTGCAGTGAGCCGAGATTGCGCCACTCTGCACTCCAGCCTGGGCGCCAGAGGGAGACTCCAAAAAAAAAAAAAAAGAAGAAGAAGGAAAGAAAGAAAGAAGGAAGGAAGGAAGGAAGGAAGGAAGGAAGGAAGGAAGGAAGGAAGGAAGAGAAAGAAACTGCCAAACTATTTTCCAAAGTGGTTAAACCATTTTTCATAACCACCAGCAGTATATGAGAGTCCCATCCTCCATGACCTTACCAACATTTGATATGGTTAGTCTTTTAAATTTTGGCCATTCTTAAGAAAGTGTAGTGGCCTCTTATAGTTTTCTTTGCATTTCCCTGATGAATAATTGTGTTGAGCATCTTTTCATGTGCTTATTTGACATTTGTATATCTTCTTTCTTGGAGTGTCTTTTCACAGTTTTGCCCATTTATTTATTGGACTGTCTCACTGATTTTTGTGATAAAAACAAACAAAATAAAATTTACCATCTTAACCATTTCTAAGCACACAGTGCAATAGTGTTAACTATATGCACTTGTGCAATAGAGTTAACTATATGCACATTGTTGTGCAATAGATCTCTGGAAATGTATTATCTGTTGAAGCTCTATACTCATTGAACAAAAATTTCCCTTTTCACAACTTCCCTAAGCCCCCAGCAATCACTATTCTACTTGTGTTTCTAATAGTTTAGCTACTTTAGTTACATCATATATTTGGACTAACGCACTATTTGTCTTTTTGTGACAGCCTTTTTTCACTTAGCATAATGTCCTCAAGGTTGATCCATATTATAGTATATGACAGGATTTTCTTCTTTTTTTAATACTGAATTGTATTTCTATGTACATTTTCTTTACTTATTCATTCACTGATGGACAATTAACTTGCTTCCACCTCTTGACTACTGTGAACAATGCTGCAATAAACGTGGCCATGTAATATCTCTTCAAGACTCTGTTTTCAATTCTTTTGGATATATATCCAGAAGTGGAATTGCTGGATCATATGATAATTCTATTTAAAATTTTTTGAGGAACCTCTATACTGTTTTACATAGTGGCTGCAGCAGTTGAACAACATGAGTTTGAACTGCACAGGTCTACTTATACGTGAATTTTTTTCTATCACCTCTTCCACCCCAGAGTCAGCAAAACCAACCCCTCCTCTTGCTCCTCCTCTTCAGCCTACTCAACCTCCCAGAAAATACCTTGAGACAAATGAAAATGAAAGCACAATATACCAAACCTTACGGGATGCAGCAAAAGATGTACTAAACAAGAAGTTTATAGCAGTAAGCATTTACATTAAAATGCTTTTACACTGTCAAATTTAGCAGTGAGGGGTGGATACCAACTTTAATGACATTAATGTTAATAAGTTCTGATAACCCACTACCATTGGACAAGCCAAGATTCTTTATTGTGGTTTCTGTCAGGAGAAATGGGCAAGGTAGGGTAGCCAGTCTTAGTGTTGGCTGGTTTGAACATTTTCAGCGGGCTTTGGGACACAGGGGTTGTCCCAAGTTGTCTGGTACCTGGCCCTTGGTTGATTAAGCAGGGAAGTAGTGGTGTTGATTGTGAGTGTGAGAAGACATGGAAGGGATGTGGACTCTGGATTTGTTGGTTTCCATATGAAAGGCATAATCCAGTGCTTTGCTACATATAGGAATTGGTTAGCCCTGGGAGTGACAGTCTCTTCAGTGTCAACAAGGTCCCAGACATTAAAGCATAAGAATAAAAAGTTACCTTTAATGCACAGCCTTGTCTATATAACCAGTCCTTCTGGCCACCAAAGAATATTGTAGAATATTGTTATCCCATTTGGGAAGACAATCCGTGGTCTTATGTGGGAGGGAAAGACCAGTACACTTTCAAGTAATTACATTAACAGAGACACTCCATATATTCCAGAATTCTGCATGATAGACATTAAATTAATAGTATACAAATGTCAGTTGTTTAGGTCAGAATGTTTCCAAGTGTGATTCATGCACCACTTCATCAAAATCATCAGAAAGTACTTGTAAAAACTGCAGATTCTAGGCCTATCCTGGATGTGATAAACCAAAACAAGGAAGGTGAGGTAGGAGGTGTCTACATTTTGAGTGATTTTGTCAACTGGTTTTCATTCTCATCCAAGTTTGAAAAGCACTGCTATAGATTTGCAACAAATACTTCTCAAAATTTTAAATCTTCTGATATTTAATTTTGTTGTCATTTTTTTCTGCCAGTCACACTCAGCTTTAAATAGTTCTCTATTGCAGTGTGTAAAATAGGTAACAATTCCTTCACTTAATACTTATCCAGTGATTTATATGTGAGCCACTAAACTAGGAACTGAGGATATGGCACAGGGAACAAAACAGGTACAAAACAAAACAGGTAACAAAATATGGAGCTTTCATTTTAATCTGGGAAAACTGGCAATAAGCAGGTAAACAAATCAATAAGCAGGGTGATTTCATATGGAGATGAATGCTTTGAAGAAAATACACATGCAAATATAGTATAAAATGACCAGGACAGAGATTATCACAGGTGGGGATGTCAGTGAAGCTCTTTCTCAGGAAATGGGCATTTGAAATAAGTCCTGAATGACAAGAAGCCAAGCATGGGCAAGCCCCCTTAACTGGGACAGGAAGTATTAAATGAAGCAGAAACTCCACATCATCACAGATGGGCTTTTTGCATAAGTAAATGGGAAGGACTCCCTTCCTAGGGATAAGGCAGACACACACTCAGAACTAACAAAGAAATAATGATAAAAGTAAAATCTCTACATCCCACCCGTGAGAAGAACAAAGATGAAACCATACAAGGGTTGCCTCATCCTTCATGCTGTTAGAGAGATCCTGTCAGGAGAAGGCATTAGCCTGTTGGCACTACGCAAGAGAATAAATATTTGCTTTACAAGTTGCCTCAGTTTTCCAAGGCAGTAACTTATCTCCACTCAATCACATCATTTCCTGTTTCTATGCTGACTTTCTAAGACTCAGGGGGAAACTTCAACTAAACTTGCTTGGAATGGTGTGTTTGATGCCATACCTCACCCCACCATGGGGTGGGCACTAACATTCATCTTGCTCCCTGTGGTGCAGGTCTAGATATCAAGAGAGGGAGGTCTGGGATGCAGATATAGAATTGGACTGATAGCATCTGCCACATAGTAGACATCCAATACATATTAAAAAGTTAGTGAGATGTAGATACAGGAGTAAGCAGAAAAAGAAACTAAGTATGTATCTCCTAAATATTTTTATATACATGCATTTTTCAAGGAGAGTTGGAATCACTGTGTACTTATTGTTTCATAATGTACTTTGAAGAAAATATTTTGTTTCTGTTTATTACAAATATGTCTTTTCACTGGGGGGAAAAACCTTAGAAAATGGATAACAATGCCACCTTGTGCTCAGAGTCAGAATTGCAGGAGTGAAAGTCAACCAGAGGACTTGGCAAGGGGTTGAGGATTTGGGGAGTGAGGGAGGTGAATGAATTCCATTGTACAGAACAAAGCTTTCTGGAATATTCCTCACACTGGCAGCAATTCTTCTATATCTGTGCCCATCCTGGGATCTTCAAACTCTAGGCCTGAAAGTTCGGTCCCTATTGAACCAAACAGAAAGCTTCACGAGTTGGTGTGTGAATAATTGTGCAATACAGACACTCACACACAGAAATACTGCCAAATTGTTGTGATCTGCTTCTTTACTCATAAAACATATATCGAGAATATATTTACAAAGCAGTAAATATATGAGCATCGTATTTGTAATCATTCCAAAGTTTTTATATTTCTAACCTTTTATTCAATAAAACTTCTATATTTTAAATCTTACAGAAATGCAAATTTAAATGAAAGTATCCTTTATCTCAAACCAACATACACACATTGAATTATTGTCAAAGAAATTTTTTTAATGTGCTATTCTGTGGAGCAATATTTGCATACTTTTTAGTCAATAAATGTATCTCTACCCTGTCACTTTGTGGCTTGGTTTGCAGATTTTCCTGTTTTACAAAACTTTATCTCATAACCTTGTCAGATTACCAATTATGACTTTTCATTGTTTAATAAGTATGAAACGATATAGAAATGCATATTTAGAAATTATTCTGTTTTCCCCTTCTGCCCCACCTTCTGCCCATTATTGTAAAAATGTAGTCTCTGTTAATTTATATAGGCCTATTTTCCAGAATTTTTCTCTTGTAATCATACACATACCTATACACTCATGTTGATATATATTCTTTTGCAAAATGCAATCATATCTTATGTTTTATTTTTATAACTTATCTGTTTCACATAATTATGATTCATTTTCATTTATTTTAATTTGTTCGGTTTGGCATATTTCCAGGTGTTTATTGGAGATTTGTATTGCTTTATGTCTAAGAGTATATCACACATATAGCATACAAACCCTATATCTGAGTATAAGTTACAATTTTACTAACTTTTCACATGCTCTTTTTTTTTTTTTTTTTTTTTTTTAGATGGAGTCTCACTCTGTCACCCAAGCTGGAGTGCAGTGGCATACACACAGTCACATGCCTTTTGATTTTTAATTTTTGCTATGTGGATGGCATTTTACACTTTATAATGTTTTTTGGAATTTAAAAAATACTTTGGCACATTGTTTTAAAAAGGACAACTTAATAATATTGCTTTAAGATATGTCTTTAGGCCGGGTGTGTTGGCTCACGCCTGTAATCCCAACACTTTGGGAGGCCGAGGCGGGCGGATCAAGAGGTCAGGAGATGAAGACCATATTGGCTAACACGGTGAAACCCCGTCTCTACAAAAAAATTAGCCAGGCATGGTGGCGGGTGCCTGTAATCCCAGCTACTCGGGAGGCTGAGGCAGGAGAATGGTGTGAACACAGGGGGCGGAGCTTGCAGTGAGCCGAGATTGCGCCACTGCACTCCATCCTGGGTGACACAGCGAGACTCCATCTCAAAAAAAAAAAAAGAAAAGAAAAAAAAAGATATGTCTTTAGAACATGTGGGAAAAGGAAATAAAAGAAAAAAATAAGAAATAAAAAATAGGCCAGGCATGGTGGCTCATGCTTGTAATCCCAGCACTTTGAGCGGTCAAGGTGGGAGGATCACTTGAAGCCAGGAGATGGGGAGTTTGATACCAACCCTGGCAACATAGTGAGAAACAAAACAAAACAAACAAACAAACAAAAATTAAAAACATGGCCAGGTGTGGTGGTAGCTGCTACTCATGAGGCTGAGGTGGGAGGATCACTTGAGCCCAGGAGTTTGAGGGTGCAGTGAGCTGTGATTGCACCACTGCACTCCAGCCTAGGTGACAGAGTGAGACCCTGTCTCAGAAAAGAAAAAAAAAACACAAATAAATAAATAAATAAAATAATAAGGTATATCAAATGTCAGCTCACAGGACAGAGGGTGGAAAAGCGTAATCTTTTTGTAATCTTAAGCTTTGAGTTCTGGAACAATAATTTAAAAGGCTGTTTCCCTAGGTTGTGTTACTTAGCTTTTAGCTCCAGTTTCCTTATCTGAGTAATGGGGATAATAATTGGTCTTGAATGGAGTTGTTATGATCAAATGAGGTTTAATATAAAACACTTTCATACAATAGTTTTGTGTATGTTAATATCCTTCAGTCCGTAACACCATTCCAGCCATATTTAACAGGGATGATATCTCTTAACCGCAATAGCATCATTACAGTTTGATGTGTATTTGGGAATGTAAGAAGGGAACCACACTCAGCTATATTATGTAGGAAATTCAGTGCTATCTCTGGTCTATGCACTCCAATGGAGTTGGGGTGGAGAAGGTCCTCACTCCTTTTCCATTGAATAATTGTGTTTTTCCTGTACTCTGTTGGGGCCTTCTGTGTTTACATCAGGTGTGTACATGACCTGGGGCTCTGGGGCCTTATTGGAGCTTCAGAAAGAGGTTACTGATGGTGAGTGTGCAGGGAGGGACACTGGAGGAAGAGTTAAGAATTGTTCCTGGGACCCAGTCCCTGAACCATCCAGGGTGAGTTTCTTCTCTTTGCCTTGACTTGAACTGTCACACAGTTGTTCAATGAGCATCCATCACTCTTCACACCTCCAGTGGCCCAGGGGATGGAGAGGTCGTGGTAATCATTGCATAAAGTCCAGGTCCTTGTGGAACTTATGGCGACCTCTGTAAAACCACCTTATTATACAAGAACAGGGAGGCCTCAATGGAATAATCAGAGACTCCTCAAAGAGGGGCTAGGCCTGGTACAATGGGCAGGACTTGTTGGGGGTAGTTGGAGAAGAGAAGAGAGGGGGGTCCAGCCTGACTGACTGGGCCAGGGGAACAGACAGGGCTCTGAGATAACTGACCAGACACTCTAGGTCTGAGGCCATCCAGGTTTGGGACCAACTGGTGAAGAACACATTTGCTTCAGTGGGATGCTGCAGGTTACCTTTACCTGAAATTGCACAAATATGGTGAGAAGGGAAGTGCCCTGTATGCCTCTCACTGGTCCATGAGGGCAGGGAAGAAACAGGAGCACTGACAATAGTAAAGTGATTGATGTCAGCACCCTAAACCTTCATTAAAGTGGGAAGTGAATATCAAGGGGAAGGATTTACCACTAATTGAGCACCCACACTTTCTGTAAATTGTCCACCCACTTTAATTTCTCTCTGACCCCAAGCCCCATGGACCCCTATCTGCCAGTGAGTCCTAGAGTCACATTCTTAACCAGAACATTCTCTCCACAAGGTCACACTCTCCATGTTTTCATTTGCTTTCTCTCTGCATCCTCCCTGAGATTTTTCACAAGGCTTTTCTCTCCCTCTGTTGCCTCAGCTCTTTTCATCAGCTCAGTGTGTTGTATCACAACTCAACAAGGTTCTGACAAGATTGGGCACAAGTTAACACTCACCTTTACTATCTTTTAGATATTGCATTTTTGCAGTTATTTCTGCAGAGTTAAATGTATACTCCCACTCTAACAAAGCTGCATGTATTGACCAAACAGCCTTTTATGGTTGGGCAACTGTGCTGTTGTAAGCATATGGGCTCCCTCTACTTTACTCAAATGTGCACTTTTCTCTTGTCCACACACTGCCTGACCTTTTCAACTGTGTTCTCTGTATGGGATTTCCCCTGGGATGTAACGATTTGTTACTGGATTTCAATCATGTTGTCTGCACATGTTCCCACATGCAAAATTGGCCCTATCACTCTCTATCCTTTTTGGATGCCTTCAGTGATTTACCAGGTGGGCCCACAATACTCCTTTCATTTCTCTCTAAATTCATGTCTCTGTCAACTTTCTCAAGGTAAAGAGTAATGAAGATGCAGGAGATGATTCCTGGGCTGTCTTGAGTCCTTTGACTTGAGGGAAGAAGCATTTAATACCCAGGAAGTGGATCTGACAAAATTTGATTGGTGGCGTTAGCACAATTTGGAACATCTGGAAAGTGTTACTTTCCAATAGAGATATTTTTTAAGGGAAGAGGAAAGATCTTTGAGGCCAAAGTAACCAAGTGTCCAAGGGAGTGATGTTCAGATCCTGTTTATTTAGAGCATGGGAAAACTGTGTGCCCCATCCCAGTATACTTCTCATTCATTCATTGTTTCATATATTCTTGAGTAATAGGTATGCTGAACAGTGGCAAGTTTGTGTATGCCCAGCTGTTTCCAATGCCAAGGCCAATAAAGTCTCCTTGTCATCAGCCACTTACAGTAGTATAGTCTTCAATATTTCTTCTACATATATTGAGAACTAATCAGATGGTGTTATACTTTTTACTTAAACCATCAAACAGAATTTAGAAATCTCAAGAGGAGGAGGAAGAGCTATTGTATTTACCCATCTTTTTGTTCTTATGTTCCAAGAGCACTTCTTTTATCAATTCCTTTCTGGCTAAAGCCATTCTTTTAGAGTATGTCTGCTGGTTAAAAATTGTTTTTCCTTCATTTGGAATATCTGTATATCCTCAATTTCTGAAGGATAATTTACTTGAATACATAATTTGAGGTTAACAGTTCTTTAAGCACTTGAAAAATGATGTGCCACTCCTTTCTGTTCTCCATGGTTTCTGATGAGAAATTTGCTATATTTTTTAATTATAGGCAATGCATTATTTCTCTCTTCCTGATTTTAGGATTTTATCTTTGTGTTTAGTTTTCTAAAGTTTGATAATGATGTGTCTTTTCGTGGATTTCTTTGGGATAATCCTTTTTGGGATATGCTCAGATTTGTACCTCTCAGTTTACGTCTTTTGCTAAATTTGAAGGTCTTCAGCCATTATTTCCTCAAATAATTTTTTGCTCATGCACTCTTTCTCTTCTCCTTCCAACACAAAAGTGACACAAATATTATATCTTTTGTCATAGTCCCACAAGTTCTTGAGGCTTTGTTCTGTATTTTTAGTGTATCCTCTCTTTTCAAAATGGTTAATTTCTGTTGCTCTGTATTCAAGTTCCCTGATTCTTTTCTCTTTCCTCTCCATTATGCTGTTGCATCCATCCATTGAGTGTTTATTTTATTTTAGAGATGGGGTCTCGCTATGTTGCCCAGGATGGTCTTGAAGTCCTTGGCTCAAATGAATCTCAAGCCTTAGCCTCCTGAGTAGCCAGGATTACAGTTGCATGCCAAGCACACCCGGTCCACTGAGTTTTACTTCAGTTATTGTATTTTCTGGTTCTAAAGTTCCATTTGGTTCTCCTATATATCTTCTATTTATTTGTTAAGATTTTCAATATTTTCATTGGTTTCCAGCATTCGATTTGTGGTGTTAGCACAGTTTGGAACATCTTATTTTTTTCATTGAAGCATTTTCATGATGACTGCTTTTAAAGTCCACATAGGATAATTCCAACATCTATGTCATTTTGGTGTTGGTATCCATTGATTGTATTTTCTTTCTCAATTTTAGATTTTCCAGATTCTCAGTTAAAGACAGATTTTTAAATTATTTCCTAAATATTTTTGGTATCACGTTATGAAACTCTGGATGTTATTTAAATGAAAACCCAGATTCGGCCAGGCGCGGTGGCTCACGCCTGTAATCCCAGCACTTTGGGAGGCCGAGGCGGGCGGATCACAAGGTCAGGAGATCGAGGCCATCCTGGCTAACATGGTGAAACCCCGTCTCTACTAAAAATACAAAAAATTAGCCGGGCGAGGTGGCGGGCGCCTGTAGTCCCAGCTACTCGGGAGGCTGAGGCAGGAGAATGGCGTGAACCCGGGTGGCGGAGCTTGCAGTGAGTCGAGATGGCGCCACTGCACTCCAGCCTGGGCGACAGCGAGACTCCGTCTCAAAAAAAAAAAAAAAGAAAACCCAGATTCGCTACTCAAACCTCTTTGACACAGGGGCTGGAGGGTGGGAGGGGAAGTGGTGCCTTATTACTGCTTGGGAGAGATGGGTTTCAGGCTTCTCACTAGGTCTCCATCTACACTACTCTGGCTAAGAAGAGCAGCACGCCTCCTTCCTATTTCCCATGTGGCCTCCATTGACACCATGGTGTGTGTGGAGGGGAATGGGGAGAGCTTATTACTGCTGGGTGGAGATAAAAGTCTAGGTTCCCCACTCAGCCTCCACTAACAATGTGGAGGGGGCAGGTGTGAGACTGGAAGGGAAGTGGCTCCTTCTTACTGCTTAGCAGAGGTGAAATTTCACTCCCTGCCAGGCCTCCACTGACACCACCCTGGCAGGAGGGGGAAGACACATTGTAACTGCTCTCCATGTAGCTTCCACTGACCCTGTGAAGATAAGAAAGCCCCGTATTACTGGATGGTCATAAACGTTTCACCTTCCCACTCAACTTCTGGTGACTCCAGCCCAGAAAAGAAGAGAAGGGGCATCTCATTATCATTGGGTGTGGGTGCAAGTCAAGTTCCCTGCATGGTGTCCACTGACACCATTGGGGGTTATTCATTTCTACCAGGTGAGGATGAAAGTACTTGTTCTCCACATAGTCTTCTCTGGTATCACCCCAAAGGGTGGAGATGGGTGTCTGTTTACAATCTGATAAGTGTGGAATCCATGCTCTCCACTCAGTCTGCTGGCATTGTAGGGGTGGAGCTGTGTTTTATTCCATTGTTCTTTGCTAAAATAGGGCAGTTAGAGTCTAAAAGCTTGCTTTCTTACTATATGTCCCCTTTTCTGGTTCTTTGTCTAGAGGTAGCCTTTCAGAGTCTTATGTTTATTTTACTTATAATATTGAGGGATTTTAGCCATGCTCAGCAGAAATAGTACTGAGAAGTGTATCTATTTCATCTCATCCCCCAAACAGAAGTCCTTTTCTTTATTCTTAATACAAGTAAAAAAAAGTATATATTTTTGCATTCCCCCCTTCTTACATTAAAAAGTACCATGCTACTCACATCTTTATGAATGTTGCTTTTTTTTTAAATTACTCTATATCCAAAGCACTATATGGAGATTTTCATCAGTTTTCTTTACATCTAACTTAGTGTCCACCTTTGTGTGGTTATATGATAGTATTTCATGCACCCTACAATGATGAGTATTTACGTTGTTTCCATTCTTTTGTTCTTCAAATAGTGCCACAGGGCATTTTGCTAGATATTAGCAAATTCCCATCCATAGTGGTTGTGTTAATTTTCTATGGCTACTGTAACAAATCACCACAAAATTAGTGTCTATAAACAGCTGAAATTTATTGTCACAGTTCTGGAGGCCAGAGTTCAAAATCAGTTTCACTGGGCCAAGACTAAGGTATCAGCAGGACCATCCTTTTTCCAGAGGCTCTAAGAAATAATCAATTTCTTGCCTTTTCTAGTTTCTGGTTTTCCAGCATTCCTTGGTTTGTGGTTTCATTGGTCCAATCTCTGCATCCTTGGTCACACTGCCTTACTGCCTTCTACTGTCCTGTCTGTGTCAATTATCCTGCCTCTTTCTTTCTTTCTTTTTCTTTTTCTCTCTCTCTTTCTTTCTTTTTCTCTTTCTTTCTCTTTCTCTCTTTCTTTCTTTCTTTTTCTTTCTTTCCCTCCCTCCCTCCCTCCCTTCTCTCCCTCCCTCCTCTCTTTCTCTCTTTCTCTCTGTCTCTCTCACTCTGTTGCCAGGCTGGAGTGCAGTGGCGCAATCTCAGCTCACTTCAGCCTCCGCGTCCCGTGTTCAAGCAATTTTCCTGCCTCAGCCTCCCGAGTAGCTGGGACTACAGGCGCCATGCCCGGCTAATTTTTTGTATTTTAGTAGAGACGGGGTTTCACCAGGTTGGCCAGGATGGTCTCTATCTTCTGACCTCGTGATCCACCCACCTCGGCCTCCCAAAGTGCTGGGATTACAGGCATGAGCCACCGCGCCCAGCCCTGCTTCTTTTTTGTCAGACGGAGTTTTGCTCTGTCTCCAGCCTGGAGTGCAGTGGCACGATTTCAGCTCACTGCAACCTCCGCCTCCCGGGTTCAAGCGATTCCGCTGCCTCAGCCTCCCGAGTAGCTGAGACTACAAGCACACGCCACCACGCCCAGCTAAGTTTTTGTGTTTTAGTAGAGATGGGGTTTCACCATGTTGGCCAGGATGGTCTCAATTTCTTCACCTCGTAATCTGCCCGCCTCAGCCTCCCAAAGTGCTGGAATTACAGATGTGAGCCATCGTGCCCCGCCACTGCCTCTTTCTTATAAGAACATTTGGTATTGCATTTAGGGACCATCTGGATAGTCGAGTATAATCTCTCCATTTCAAGATTCTTAACGTTATCCCATTTGCCAAGATCCTTTTCCTATAAGTAATATCATCAGTCTTCAAGCAGTAAGACCTTATATCTTTGGGGGCCAGTATTAAGCCTTCTACTTTGATCATACCATTTTCCATCCCTGTGAGCAATGTACAAAAACACATGCTTTTTTTCACTCCCTCATGAACTAAGTGAATTAACAAACCTATGAATATTTGACAATCTAATAGGTGAAGAATGATACTTAGTGTAGTTTTAACTATATCTCTCTTACTAGAACCAAGTTTGAGTTTCTTTGCATTTTCTTCCGTTAACTGTTTATGTTTCTTACAAGTCTTTGATAGGGTTGTTGTTTTTTAGTGGCTTTATATTTACAAGCTTTTATATAGAATGGATAGCAACACTTTCTTAGAAATATTAGTTGGGAATATTTTAGATGTCTTTTAGTTGTATACCATGTTTTTTGTCACACAGTGTTGCTGTTTTTATTTTAATGTTGTTAAATGTATCAATCTTTTTTCCTTAATACACCTGGATTTTGAGTCATAGTTGTGAAAGTGTTCTTCACTTCCTCATGATAGAGGAATTCACCCATGTTTTTTCCTAATACTTGTATACATTCATGTTTTACATTAAAATCTGCACCCTTTGGAATTTATTCTGATGTAAAATGAATCCCTTTTTGCCTTTATAACTATTTGGTTTGCTAGCTGTCAGAATACCACTTCTAAAATCATCAATCATATCTTCAGTGATTTGAAATGCTGCCTTAATCACATGCTATTAACAAATTTCCAAATATAATACAATATAAATACTATATCAGTATTTTCTCTATTTTATTAGCTTTTTCTGTCTATTTATGAGCCAGTGTCATACTTGTATATTGCACATACTTTATTATATGCATTAGTACCTAGTAGGACTCCCTCCCTTCACTCTTTCTTCTTTTGCAGGGTTTATCTGACTAGTCTTGCTGTTTATTAAGCCAAATAAATTTGTAATCCCAGCACTTTGGGAAGCTGAGGCGGGCAGATCACATGAGGTCAGGAGTTCAAGAGTTCGAGACCAGCCTGGCCAACATGTCAAAACTCTATCCCTACTAAAAATACAAAAATTAGCCAGGCATGGTGGAGCAAGCCTGTAATCCCAGGTACTCAAGAGGCTGAGGCATGAGAATCACTTGAACCCAGGAGGCGGTGGTTGCAGTGAACCACGACCACACCACTGCACTCCAACCTGGGCGACAGAGTGAGAGAATGAGACTCTGTCTCAAAACAAAACAAACAAACAGAATACAAAAAACAAACAAAAAAACTGAGATCACACTAAATTTGCCTTTTTAACTCAGCATATTAGCCTGGAATATTGTTTTGCATTTCTGCACTTTTTGTAATTTGACACATTTTTGAAAGTTTAATGAGTATATATACTGCTTATTTATTTATTTATTTATCTATCTATTTATTTTTGAGACAGAGGCTTGCTCTGTCGCCCAGGCCTGAGTGCAGTGGTGCAGTCTCGGCTCACGGCAGCCTCTGCCTCCTGGGTTCAAGCGATTCTCCTGCCTCAGCCTCCTGAGTAGCTGGGATTACAGGCGCCCGCCACCACACCAGGCTAATTTTTGTATTTTTATTTGAGGCGGGGTTTCTCCATGTTGGCCAGGCTGGTCTCCAACTCCTGACCTCAGGTGATCCTCCAGCCTCGGCCTCCCAAAGTGCTGGGATTACTTACAGGCATGAGCCACCACACGTGGCCTTATAGTGCTTTTTATATTAATTATCTGTTAATATCATTTGCTCATTTTTCTATCCATTATTAAGAGCTTTTTTTCCATATTAAGTATATTAAGTAGGTTAGTTAAGAAGTTAGCATAAGCTGGACACTGTGGCTTTTACCTGTAATCCCAACTACTCAGGAGGCTGAGGCAGGAGGACCCCTTGAGCTCATAAGGTCAAGGCTGCAGTGAGCTGAAACTGCACTACTACACTCCAGGATGGGCAACAGAGTGAGACCCTGTTTAAAAAAAAAAAAAAGTGTAAATATAACCATTAGAATAAAACTAGGCTGGCTGTGGTGGCTCACGTCTGTAATCCCAGCATTTTGGGAGGCCGAGGTGGGTGGATCACCTGAGGTCAGGAGTTCTAGACCAACCTGGCCAACATGGAGAAACCCCGCCTTTACTAAAAATACAAAAATTAGCTGGGTGTGGTGACGGTGGCCTGTAATCTCAGCTACTCAGGAGGCTGAGGCAGGAGAATCACTTGAACCCGGGAGGCGGAGGTTGCAGTGAGCCAAGATTGCACCATTGTACCCCAGCCTGGTGACAGAGAGAGACTCTGTCTCAATAATAATAATAATAATAAGCCTATAACAATTCTAAGTACCAACTAAAAAAAGAGAGCAAATAAAACCAACAATCCAGTGTAATACCTAGTAAAGTTTTATATATATGTAAAGTTATATAAATAATTTTATATTTATGTTACATGTATAAACAATACAACAGAACTGAGTCAAATATTCAAAACCTATACAGAATGCAAAACTAGACTTGGACAAACAAAAAAACATGATGTTCCGGAGTAAGAACACTCAATTTCATAGAGATGCCAATTTCCCCAAGTTAATTTATTAACTTAATGTAATCTAAATTAAATGCCATTAGCTTTTTTGTGATTTAGACAAGTAGATTATCAAATTTATGTGATATATATTTCATAAATATGTATGTATCTATATATATTTGTCTATATGTATATTTGTACATATAGTGTATAGAACCCCATTCCTGCTTCTAAGTAGATGTGTTACTGTAGAGTAATGATATTTCCTTCTTGAGGCTGACCTTGAACATTTGTATAATGGACATATTGATACTTGCCTCATGGAACCATTATAAGGAGAAGAAAAAACCTACAGAAAGTTTCATACATCTGTATATCCATCTACATAGATAGATAGATAGACTTTCTTTGTGTTCTCCCTCCCACAAACAAGATGACTTAAATATGAACATCTTATAGGTATCATTTGGATTTGAAGCAGCAGGAAATGAAATGTATATGTATTCATATGATGGATAAGTTTTAGTGCCATTTCTTTTCTTTTTTTGAGACAGAGGTCACCCAGGCTGGAGTGCATTGGCGCACTGCAACCTCCGCCTCCTGGATTCAAGCGATTCTCCTGCCTTAGCCTCCCCAGTAGCTGGGATTACAGGTGCCAGCCACCACATCTGGATAATTTTTGTATTTTTATTTTTATTTTTATTATTTATTTATTTATTTTGAGATGGAGTCTCGCTCTGTTGCCCAGGCTGGGGTGCAGTGGCGCAATCTCACCTCACTGCAAGCTCCAGCTCCCGGGTTCATGCCATTCTCCTGCCTCAGCCTCCCGAGTAGCTGGGACTACAGGCACCCGCCACCAAACCCAGCTAATATTTTTGTATTTTTAGTAGAGATGGGGTTTCACCGTGTTAGCCAGGATGGTCTCGATCTCCTGACCTCGTGATCCGCCTGCCTTGGCCTCCCAAAGTGCTGGGATTACAGGCGTGAGACACCATGCCTGGCCAATTTTTGTATTTTTAGTAGAGATGGGGTTTCCCCATGTTGGCCAGGCTGGTCCTGAACTCTTGACCTCAGGTGATCCACCCACCTCAGCCTCCCAAAGTGCTGGGAGCCACCATGCCCGGCCTTTAGTGCCATTTCTTTGAAGAATGAGATACCTGAGAATGGTGAACAAGAGAAAGCAAATCATCTGCTCTTTAGTTTTTGGTTTCTTATTTTCTTCTTCTATTTTACATTTTGATATTGCAAAGAATGGGGGACAGTATTGAATAACAGCATTTAAGGAACATTTGCTATACAACAGACTGAAATCAGATGACTCTGGTCTCCAGTACTAGATCCTTCCTTGTCCATAGCACCATGACGAGTCACTTCCCCTGAGCTGGCCTCAGCCCTACACAGAAAACGATTGTGTATCCCAGTGGTTAGGCATGGGGACTTGGGAGTCAGATAGAGCTCAGTATAAACTTCGGATCATTTAATAACTGGTTTTATGCTGTCTGGCAAATGTTGAGTGTCAAGATATGTGAGACCCATATACAATGAATATACATGATATATGCACACATGGAGGCATATAATGAGAGGAACACACACACGATACATTTTTTGAGGTACTGAGAGGTAGAGTTGCTTCTTAATTATTTATCTCTAGATTTGACTATGTGTTTATATATGTGTGTGTGTGTGTGTGTGTGTGTGTATTTATTTATTTATTTGTGATGGAGTCTTGCACTGTCACCCAGGCTGGAGTGCAATGGCACAATCTCCGCTCACTGCAACCTCTGCCTCCCGGGTTCCAGCAATTCTCCTGCCTCAGCCTCCCGAGTAGCTGGGATTACAGGTGTCTGCCACCACGCCCAGCTATTTTTTTCTATTTTTAGTACAGACGGGATTTCACTATGTTGGCCAAGCTGCTCTTGAACTCCTGACCTCGTGATCTGCATGCCTCGGCCTCCCAAAGTGCTGGGATTACAGGCGTGAGCCACCATGCTCGGCCTATAAATATATACACACACACACACACACACACACACACACACACACACACACACACACACATATATATATATATTTTTTTTTTTGAGACGGAGTCTAGCTCTGTCGCCCAGGCTGGAGTGGAGTGGCGCCATCTCGGCTCACTGCAAGCTCTGCCTCCAGGGTTCACGCCATTCTCCTGCCTCAGCCTCCTGAGTAGCTAAGACTACAGGCGCCTGCCACCACGCCCAGCTAATTTTTTGTGTTTTTAGTAGAGACGGGGTTTCACTGTGTTAGCCAGGATGTTCTCGATCTCCTGACCTCATGATCAGCCCACCTCAGCCTCCTAAAGTGCTGGGATTACAGGCATGAGCCACCGTGCCCCTCCATAAATATATTTTTTAATGTACTCTATATTATGATGTTTTAATATCTTAAAACATTTCTGGCTGGGAAGAGACTGCTCCTCCAGGGGTTAGCCAATTCTTAGTGATAGCAAAGGGCCCTGCCAGGAGCATACCTTTGATATGCAAACTAACCAATTCAGAGCCACACATCCTCTGTCTGACCCATATACTCCAGAAGGCTATATTCCTCTGCCTTAATCATCCCAGGGCCAGGTACTAGAAAACTAGGGACCACTTCTGTGGCACAGAGCTCACCAAAATTATTCAAGCTAGCCAATTTTTTTTTATCTTCCCCAATTTAAACCTTTTAATTTAAAAGTAAACTTTACTGTCGAAAATGCAGACTTGGGGAGGGCAGAAAGATCACACACGGGCTGCCACTTCCACTTCACACCTGGAGGGTTGCACGGCGGCCGGGCAAAGGCGCTCCTCACTTCCCAGACGGTGGGGCAGCCGGCCCAAGCTAGTCAATTTTTAATTGTTCACCTTGCCCTGCCTTGCTTTTCCTATGATAATTCCAATGAAAGCAGTGGCCTAAACCTACCCCTAATCCTGACCACCCCTGCGTCCTTCCCATGTGGCTGTGAGTGATGTGCTGTGCCTCCTGCATCTAGGACCTGTGAGTAAAACTATATTTTTTCCTAAACCTCTCCTGCGTCTCCTCTTGTGGCTGTACCTAATTGATGATCTCATAAAAGAATACAAAACACTATGTTTTGGATACATCTCTGATGTTTTAAGGCATGAAGCGTGTGATAATTTGTTGTGGTGACGCTAAGCAAGTAACACACTCACTAACAACATACCCTAAATGTCATTAACTGTGAGTAAACATCATTCTTTTTTTTTTTTTTTTTTTGAGATACATTCTCGCTCTGTCACCCAGAGTGCAGTGACAGGATCTCGGCTCACTGCAGCCTCTGCCTCCCAGTCTCAAGTGATCCTCCCACCTCAGCCTCCTGAGTAGTTGGGAATGCAGGTGCATGCCACCATGCCTGGCTAACTTTTTGTAGTTTTGGTAGAGATGGGTTTCTCCATGTTGCCCAGGCTGGTCTTGAACTCCTGAACTCAAGCGATCCACGTGCCTCGTCGTCCCAACGTGCTGGGATTACGGGTGTAAGCCACTGTGCCCAGCCTTAAACATTGACACAGGAGAGTTCCCTGGACCCCCTCAGAGGGCGTGCAACAGAGGTGTGGCTCTCTGTTCCGCCACTGACAGCGCAAACCCTTTATGGGAAGGGGAGCATTCAGGCACTCCTTCTCTTGTCTCCTTCTCTGCTGCACCATTCTGCCATTCCTCTGCCCATTTAATTCTGGAGCCTGGGGTTCAGGATTTATAGGGGTACAGGATACTGGGCCGTGGCAGGCCAAAAGGCAACTTTTGGGGTGCAAAAACAGGAATGTGTGTTCTCATATAGGGCCACAGGTGTCTGGCTCGAGGTTGGTGCCTTTGCCGGGGAACTGCCCTCTTCTACCCAGTATATCCCTGTCTCCTGTCATTATCAACATCAGTCTTTATCTTATTTTTTCATGCTTCTGAGTACAATAATGCCAATAAAAATACATATAAAGGGAAAAATGGCTAAAATATATTATATGCCATTGGGGTGAAAGGGAAGCTTCCTTCTTGCCCTTGGAGGGTTTGCTGAAAAATCAAGTCACAATAAGTCATATTAATAAGAGAAAAGGCACATACATTTATTTAACCAAGTACATGAGGGGAATGGCAGAATGATCGCCCAATTTCCCACTGGGGTCTAAACATATATAACCTCCTTTCAGAGTGGATTGGGGAGATGGGGAGCATAGGTAATTCCGTTAAGGGGCATTAAATAATTAGCAGGAAAAACATGAATGGATACTTGGGAGAATGAATGGATGGAGGGAACAGAGATTGACTTGTAAGTGGTTTTCTTTGGAAGTTGAACCTGAGAGAAGGGCATTATTCTGTAAGAAGACTGGGCCAGACCTGGTTACATTCTTCCTCTCCTTACCTGAAATAGATGAGATAACAGGGAAGAGAAAGAAAAGAAATTATTCTTCTTGATGGGTTCACCTGATCTTTAGGAAGATAGGGGAAAAGTCTCTTTCAAGGCCCGTTGATTTCCAAGAGTTTTTAATTCAAAATATTCATTATGCCACGGAGGCATATTTTGGGGTGAAATTCTCTGTGCTCCTTCAGTGTGTGAAAGGAACATAAGAAAAACTTAAGAATTTTTTTTTTTTTTTTTTTTTTTTTTTGAGACGGAGTCTCACTGTCGCCCAGGTTGGAGTGCAGTGGCGCGATCTCGGCTCATTGCAGGCTCCGCCCCCTTGGGTTCACGCCATTCTCCTGCCTCAGCCTCCCGAGTAGCTGGGACTACAGGCGCCTGCCACCTCGCCCGGCTAATTTTTTGTATTTTTACTAGAGACGGGGTTTCACCGTGTTAGCCAGGATGGTCTTGATCTCCTGACCTCGTGATCCGCCCGCCTCGGCCTCCCAAAGTGCTGGGATTACAGGCGTGAGCCACAGTGCGCGGCAAAGAATTTTTAAAAATCTTTAATTCCTTGAAAGTTTGGCAAGTTTAAAAGTTAATGTGCAGGAGCAGGAGCCATCTCATATCAGACTTAAACCTTGAATTTTCCCACATGTTAATTTCCCTTCTTACTCTTTTATATTTACTTAAGAGGGAGCTAATGAGATGCCTCCAATGGAATAGTATGGGTTCTGAGCCCAATACATATTTAGCGAATTGGTGAATGTAAGAATAGTTAATTGTATGTTGAAGAAATGCTAGTAATTCTTGGATTTTTGTCTCTCAGGGAAGCAACAGATGGCTGAAATCCTGTTGTGATATGGCTGGATAATGCATGCTCTGAGGATCCTGCACTGATGGCTATGGAATAGCTCCAGCATTTTCCTAAATATATTAACATTCTGAGCAGTCCAGGAGCAACCTTTAGGCAAACAATACACCGTGCTTCCCGGGTCCTATGTATTAATGAGATAACCAAGTGAGTTCACAGACACACCTGTCTTTCCAGCATAGGAACTGGATTTGGGTCCACTCAGAAGCATGATATTGAACAGTTCTTATGAGATTATGAAACACACAAGAATATTGAAAACCTTCTGTCTCTAACATGTTGAAATCAAGGCATATCAGAAAGATATTTGCTTCCTTTATCTACATGTCTATATTCTCATAAGGGAAAACAATGAAAAATAATTTTTCAGAATGCCTCCTTAGCCCTGAGTCTCAGCCAGTCCCTACTGCTGTTCTCAACATTTAATTCACCATTGAAGTCCCATTCTATGCCATAGAGTCTGGAAAAGTTTTTTCATTTGACTCTCAGGACAGCTCTGTAAGGATGGTATGGTCAGTCCCATTTCACAGATGACCAAATAGAAGTTTATAGAGCCGAAGTCACCTCTCCACATAACTGACAGGATTGGAATGAGGTCCTATGCCTCGCCCTTTTTAGAAGACACTGAGCACCCTCCCTTTTAGGAGATGGGAGCCCAGGGCTTGAGAAATGGTCAGATTCCACTCCCCTGCTATTGTGGCCTTATGGGTCCTCATTCAACAACCCTTCTTGGTGATGAAGATGGTAGTGTGCATATATGTGCACATATATTCATTGCTTTGGAAAGGCATTCTTTGTGTTTAATTTCATAGGAAAATGAAATAGATAAAAAGTTGAATTTACTCTGTGTGTGAGTGTATTTCTATGTCTCCTGTAGCTGGATTGCCCCACCTCACAGATGTTGCTTTATCTTTAGTTGAGACTGGAGCTGGATTCCAATCTGAGGTTTAGATGTCCTAGAAAATGAAGAATACAGAGAGATTGCTGCTAATTGGTTAAAAATTCCAGAAAACTGGCCTGGTACCATTAAATCAAGATCCCCAACTCTGGCTGGGCACAGTGGCTCACACTTGTAATCTCAGCACTTTGGGAGGCCAAGGTGGGAGGATAGCTTGAGCTCAGGAGTTCTAGACCAGCCTAGGCAACATACTGAGACCTCATCTCTAATAAATAAATAAATAAATAAATAAATAAATAAATAAATAAATAAATAAATATTTAAAAAGATCCCCAACTCCAATTCTCCCTACTCCTTGCTGAAACCCTTGGACTGAGACTTTCAGAATTGCAATCCTGGCTGTGACCACCAGACTACATCCATCTCCAATTTCTTTTTTATTTTTATTTTTATTTTTTTTTTGAGACGGGGTCTCGCTCTTTCACCCAGGCTGGAGTGCAGTGGCACGATCTCGGCTTACTGCAACCTCTGCCTCAGCAGAGCAATTCTCTGCCTCAGCCTTCTGAGTAGCTGGGATTACGGGTACCCGCCACCACGCTCGGCTAATTTTTTTTGTACTTTTAGTAGAGACAGGGTTTCACCATCTTGGCCAAGCTGGTTTTGAACTCCTGACCTCGTGATCCAACCGCCTCAGCCTCCCAAAGTGCTGGGATTACAGGCGTGAGCCACCATGCCCAGTCCAATTTCTTTTTTTCTTTTCTTTTTTTTTTTCAGGCGGAGCAACTTGTTTTTTAAAGAAAAGGAGTACAGTACGGTTTGCAGAGAGTAAGAAATGACTTGGAATGTTCTGTTTACTAAAATAAAAATTCTGTTTGGAAAATTCATATGTATATTAAAGCAGTTCCAATGGCTGTTGACTTCAAATCTACATCACATTCACTGATTTATCTCTTCCCTCCTGAGTGTAGGTTGAGGTGTCCACACTGTAGGAGAGCCCCTCCCTCCCAGAAAGCATGGCATTCACTCTCCATTACCCCACCCCTGTATAGGTTTCCCAGACCTTCTCCCATCTCCTCTCAGTCATCCTCTCTCCAGGACACGGTGGACACAGCTGCCCAGACCCCTCAATGACTGCCGATCCTGTCTCAGACACCTCCCGCCTGCCCTCTGCTGCTCTGTGCTCGCCCACCGGCCACGACCAAGGCGCACTGCTGCTACCTGGTGTTTCATTATATGGTTTTACACCATTATTTTATACCTATCCGGTTTTTTCAGAGAGTATTAGAATGTTCTGTACTGAGATTCATAAACTGGGTCGCAAGAGAGGTATTGTAATTTTTGCTCCTTGCAGACACTTTGAAGTTTGAAAATAGTGGTATATAGTGGTACTGTGGTGCCCCCTCGTGACATAGGCCTGCACTGCAGCTTGAACATCCATGAACAGGAAGCCAGACAGTTTTCTGGTCTGGGAAAAAAGTAGACATACCCTGGGTATCCAGGCAAAAAGTGAAGCCTCTTTCTATGCTTTGTAGGTTGAACAAAAGAGTAATTTTTATTTTTATGCTTTAGGACATCTGGATAAATAGGTTGAGACCCATATAAACAAAAATGGATCCAGGCTATTTGTGACCATTGCAACCTGCTTTTGCACCTAATATATTTCCATGTAAATACATTTCTATGCTAGCACTTTAAACTACTTTGCAACAAAATTTCACTTTTTTTTTTTACAAGGACCAAGTGTTTGATAGTATAAAGCTCTTAAATTTTAT
Source organism: Homo sapiens (assembly GCF_000001405.40). Classification (NCBI taxonomy): domain Eukaryota; kingdom Metazoa; phylum Chordata; class Mammalia; order Primates; family Hominidae; genus Homo; species Homo sapiens. Next base: position 103,176,935 of record NC_000023.11, read on the forward strand.
TTTTCCAGTACCCTAGCGATGGAAATATAGTCATTTTACATTTTCTATTACGAACAATAGCATACTTAATGTTCTTGTTCATATACATGAAAATATCTTAGTAAGCGTTTCTTTATAATAAAGTCTTGAAAGTGTCCTTTCAAAACCCTGGTAAATGATAAAATTTTATATTAGCATAATGAATTCAAAATGCTATTACTGACCAGACACAGTAGCTCATGCCTGTAATTCCAGCACTTTGAGAGGCTGCCTCGGGAGGATAATATGAGCCCAGGAGTTGGAGACCAGCCTGGGTGACATAGCGAGACCCCATCTCTACAAAAATTTAAAAAATTAGCCAGGCATGGTGGCATGTGCCTGTAGTCCTAGTTACTCAAGAGGCTGAGGTAGGATTGCTTGAGCTTGGGAGGTAGGATTGCTTGAGCTTGGGAGGTTGAGGCTATGGTGAGCTGTGATCACACCACTGAACTCCAGTCTGGACAACAGAGCAAAACCCTGTCTCAAAAAAACCATTGTATTACTCGTATATATTTTAACTTTGCAGCATGAAAGTACCTGTTTCTCTGAACATTCGAAGTAATGGGAATTGTTATTAATCTGCTAGGCAACATATCATCTCTCATCTTTGTTTTCATCCAAATTTGTTTTTGTTGCCTTCCAAAATTCCATCCTATAGATGTGACATAATCAGTTTTCACAAGCCCATGTTATTTAGAGTGTTCTGATATTCCCTATTATCTACACTCTGTGAATGGTATCTTTTCAGAGTCTGTACACTGCTAAAGAGTGCAGTTCAGGGCAATGGTCATGTGGCTGTTTGCACTGGTAAGTGGAATGTGCCCACTTTGAGCCCAGCTAACTGTCTTGGAAGAATTATAGTATTGTGATGATAGAATCTGGCTGGGGTTTCTCTCTCCCTCTCTGTCTCTCTCTCTCTCTGTGTGTTTGTACTGACAACCACATATCCCTCTGTTTCCTTCTGCCCCTGGATGTCTTTGCTTCCCATTGGTCTCCCTAACTAAATTCTGGCCCAGAAGGAAAGGTAAATAATTATTAAGATGGCAATCCTGGGCCAGCACGGTGGCTCACGCCTGTAATCCCAGCACTTGGGGAAGCTGAAGCCAGCGGATCACGAGGTCAGGAGATCCAGACCATCCTGGCTAACACGGTGAAACCCCGTCTCTACTAAAAAATACAAAAAATTAGCCGGGCGTGGTGGCACATGCCTGTAGTCCCAGCTACTTAGGAGGCTGAGGCAGGAGAATCGCTTGAACCCGGGAGGCAGAGGTTGCAGTGAGCCACTGCACTCCAGCCTGGGTAACAGAGCGAGACTCCGTCTCAAAAACAACAACAACAACAACAACAACAAAAAAAAAAAAAAAAGATGGCAATCCTTATATCCAAATCTTTATCAATATCCTTCACTACATCCTGAAGATAACCTTCTAAAAAATTGTTGGAGCAAAGGGTGTGCAATTATGTAGCCTGTTGATAAGTATTGCCATACTGCTACCCAGAGAAGTAGTGCCATTTACACTCCACAAGTAGAGTCATGTGACAAAGGCCACAGCGGAGTGAAGAAACTAATAATGCTAACATCCAATCATAGAGGGAAGGCCTTGGACCCTGTCATGGACTCACATGTCAGCAGTAGCCCTAGGAGAACCTGCAGGCTCATGTGCTTGTTGCTTATTGTGTCTGTTAGGCTGCATATGTAACTGGACCCTTTTGCATTGAAAAATAGTGATAATGATGATTAACAGAGTATTTGTTTACTAGAGAATTATTTAAAAATTACCTTAATATCTAGTTAAATATGATTACAGTGAGAGAATTTCCACCTGGCATGTTATCAAAGTATAAAAAAAACTATTCAGGATTCCAGTGAGGTGTGCATGCAGGGACATCTACCCTGTCTCATATTGCTAGTGGGGATGTCACTTAGTACAACCTCTTTCCAGGTTGATTTGTCAACATCTATTAAAGAGTCTATGCATCTCTGATCTGTATGTGTTTGGAGACTGTCCCTTCAAATATTCATCCTCAGTATGACACCTGTCCCTTTATTAGAGAATGCATGTCCCTCATGATATCGGTTGTCTGGGGACTCTACTTTCTAAAGCACTGACCCAAACACACTCCTTTGTCATTATAAAGTAGGAAATTGAGGTCCAACAATTTTTATCTGACCCACAGAAAAAAAAGAGGCCCGGTGCAGTGGCTCACACCTCTAATCCCAGCTGCTCAGGAGGCTGACACAGGAGGATCACTTGAGCCCAGGAGGTCGAGGTTGCAGTGAGCCATGATTGTGCCACTGCACTCCAGCCAGGAGACAGAGAAAGACCCTGTCTCAAAAAAAGATATATGCAAATAGCCAATAATCATGAAAAAATGTTCTAACTCATTAATTATGTAAAGAATGCAAATAAAATCAACTAAATAACTTTTTATTATCTATCATGTAGATGCTGCTACAAGAATCTCACTTCAGATGAAATGACAGACATAGGTTGAAGGCAAAGGGATGTGTGCTAGTCTGTTTGTGCTACTATAACAAAATACCTAGACTGTGTAATTTATAAAGAACACAAATTTATTTCTCCCATTTCTGGAGGCTGGGAAGTCCAAGATCACAGCACTGGTATTTATTGTCTGGTGAGGGCCATCTTGCTATATTTTCACATAATTAAAGGGAAAAAAGCTGTATGCTTACATGGCAGAAGGTGGAAGGGCAAAAGGGCAAATCTGGTTCCCTCTAGCCCTTTTATAAGGTCGCTAAACCCATTCATTAGGGCAGAGCCCTCATGACTTAATCACCTCCTAGAGGCCCTACCTCTTAATAGGCTCAAATTGGCAATTAAGTTTCAACATATAAATTTTGGGGGAAACATTCAGACTATGGAAGGATGAAAAATATACATTATGAAAATAAAGGAAAACAGGAGTGTGGTTGTATTAGTTTCAGATAAAGTACACTTTAGAGCAAAGATAAGTACTAGATACAGAGAGGAATATTATAAAATAAAAGAGTCAATCTGCCAAGAAGATATAGCAATCCTAAATGTATATACAGCAAACAGCAGAGTTACAAAATATGCAAAGTAAAAACTGATAGCAAGGAAAGGAAAAATACACAACGTCGTGACATTATTAGGATACTTCAACACTCTTCCCTCTACAATTGATACAACAATCAGATAATTTCTGTCATGTTATTGGTGTATTTAGACCTGTGTGGTGTTTTCTCACATCAAGTGTGTGTCATTTTTCCACACCAACAGCCAGTTCTCCAATTTTTCAACAGCAGCTCAGTACCCAACAGTTAAATTCAATTCTGATGCTATCTACCTAAGTTAGCTTCAGATCTCACAAGTTAAAAGGTTCAGTCCTGTAAGACTGTCCAAGTTCAGATGCCAGCCACAAACAAGTAGGGTCCTCAGGCAACTCACCCTTCTGCCCAACTGACTACAAATTCAAGGGTTTCTAAGGTTCCCCCACCATAGACTTGATAATTCTCTAAAATAACTCTTATAACTCAGGAAAATGTTTTACTTGCTATTACCGGTATATTATAAAGAATATAACTCAGGAATGGCCAAATGGAAGAAATGCATAGGGCCAGGCAGGGTGGGGAGGATGGATGTGGAGCTTCCACGTCCTCTCTGGGGCACACCATCTTCCCAGCACGTCAATGTGTTTGTCAGTCTGGAAATTCCCCAAACTCCATTGTTTAGGGGTTTTATGAAGACTTCATTATATAGATATGATTGATTTAAATCATTGGCCATTGGCGACTTACACTTAATTTCTCCACCTTCTGGATATCAAAGGAGTGGGGCTAAAAGTTCTAACACTTTAATTACCTGGTTGGTTTTTCTGACAACCAGGCTGCATCCTGAAAGTATCTACACCCTCACCCTGCAAGAGCCATCTCACTACTGTATAAAACCTTTTGAAGATTTTAGGAGCTCTGTGCCAAGAGCTGGGGACAAAGACGAAATACAGTATTTATTTTTATTATATCATAAAGCCTTTTACATTTAATGTAATTTTTCAAATATTTGGATTTATATCTACCATTTCATTACTTATTTTCTCTTTATTTCCTCCATTTTTTATTTCTATATTTCCCCTTTCCATCCTTCCTTTGGTTTATTTGAAAGGTTTTATAGTCCATTTTAATTTTTCTGTGGTGATTTTGACACTATTTCTTTGTTTTACACTTTTAGTGGTCACTCTATTTAGCACAAACTATCATCTTAACTTTCCGCAGTCTTTTAGAATTTTAGAATCAAAATTTAACATTTTAATTGATTTGTTGAAATCTCATCATCTTATAACCCTATAACCTTCCCCTTATGCCACAAAAATCTGTAAATATCTCATGTACTATGTCTACATTCACTGAAAACCCTGTCAGACAATGTTATACTTTTGCTTTCAACAAACTTATTTTAAAGGACAAAAGGAGAATATTCCATTATATTTGCCCAGATATTTACCATTTCTGTTGCTCTTCTTCTGCAAGTAGAATCATGATATTTCTGTCTTAAAATAAAATTGTATCTTAATTAAAATTTTATGACCTGCCTTTCTTCACTAGCAACACATATTGAATATCATTCAATGTCAATAAACAACCATCTATATCATAGTTTCAGTGCTTGCAAGAAAACAAATGGACACTAAAATATGAAACTATTAAAATTAGCTAAGATTGTTGCACCAAGTAGCCATATTTATTCTCAAAACTACAGTATAATCTTTTTCTTTCTTTTTTTTTTTTTTTTTTTTTGAGACGGAGTCTCGCTCTGTTGCCCAGGCTGGAGTGCAGTGGCGCCATCTCGGCTCACTGCAAGCTCCACCTCCCGGGTTCACGCCATTTTCCTGCCTCAGCCTCCAGAGTAGCTGGGACTAGAGGCGCCTGCCACCACACCCAGCTAATTTTTTGTATTTTTAGTAGAGATGGGGTTTCACCGTGTTAGCCAGGATGCTCTGGATCTCCTGACCTCGTGATCCGCCCGCCTCAGCCTGCCAAAGTGCTGGGATTACAGGCGTGAGCCACCACACCCGGCCTTAACCTTTTTCATTCTAATTTTACAGATGAAGGAAATGAAGAGCTGGGAGGTAAAGTACTTTGCCTAAACTCTAACACTTAGAAAGTGACACTTCATGGATTTGAACACAGCCAGCATGTTCCAGAGCCCATGACTACTTAGGGTGATAAGAGTTTGAAACACAGAAGCACACAGATATTATCAAATTTCAACTACAGAAACTCACACTAATACACACTGACACATACAGATCCATTGTTATAAACTGTAATCAGTTTATTTTCTCTCCTAATTGGTATTCTTTGAATATATTTCCAAAACAATAAAATCACGGATACATTATTTCTTTATATGATTAAAAGTATTTTGTTTTCAGGCCAGGCGCGGTGGCTCACACCTGTAATCCCAGCATTTTGGGAGGCCGAGGCAGGCGGATCCCAAGGTCAGGAGATCCAGACCATCCTGGCTAACACAGTGAAACCCCATCTCTACTAAAAATACAAAAAATTAGCGGGGTGTGGTGGCGGCCGCCTGTAGTCCCAGCTACTCGGGAGGCTGAGGCAGGAGAATGACGTGAACCCTGGAGGCGGAGCTTGCAATGAGCCGAGATCGTGCCACTGCACTCCAGCCTGGGCGACAGAGCAAGACTCCGTCTCAAAAACAAAAAAAAAGGTATTTTGTTTTCAAATTTTTATCTTAATAAATGTTCCTGTTTACAGCATTTCAAGCAATAATGACATATATATTTATAAAATAAAATTAACCTGAATCTCCTTCCTGCCTGACTCCTATCTTCTTAGATCATTTGTCCCAGAGGAAACACCTATTTTTCTGACTGAGCGCATGTCTGCCACCTTAAAAACCAGTCAATTCACATGGTCCCCATGCTCAGGTCTCTCGGACCAAAGGGCAGGATTTCATTTCTATCATCATCATTATCACTACCACCAAGAGGGGTTGTAGAGTAAGTATCCACAGGAGAGTGTAAAAAACCAACACCTAAGCCTTAGTGGGACATCATCTGCGAAAGTAGTCTCTGGGTATATGCAATGTTTCTCAACCTTCTTTCATTATTGCCCCTCTGAAGAGACTTTTCAGACATATTTCCTTATCAACCCCCTTCTGCCCGAAATTTGAAATGTTAATACCACAAATATAGTGTATACTTTTAAATGTATTGTGGACCTTTGGAGAGCCGCAAACCATTGCAGTGTCTACTCCCACTTCTCTACCCTAAAGCAATTTTTAGCCCTTTGTGGGTAATATTGCTCCTAGAGATTACATGGTATATTGTGATGAGGACAAGAGCTGGAATCCCATTTCTATCCCTTACTTCATGTGTGACACTGGAATCCTTTTTCAGTTTTTGTAAGCCTACGCTTGGTCATCTGTAAAAGGGGACTCACAATGCCTTCCTTAGACAAGTTTTCTGTGGGGTAAATGAGAAGTCCCATACAGAGTAGATGGCACCTAGTAGTACTTCAACGAATGGTCATCCAGGCCCACCTTTTTCCTCCCTCCCAGAGAAATGACGACTGTTATCTAAACCAAGCAGCATAACTACCACAGAGACCACCTGGAAGGAGAGCATGAAGATGGAGCATGTGCTCACACTTATACATGAACCTTTGGGGCCATTTCTGCGTTACAGGATGGCTTGTTGAGGTATTGGGGTGAGGTGAGAAGATCATCAAACCAATCCCCTATCATTTTCTGCCCCATCATTTGACCTTCTAGATTGATATTGGAAAAGCAGTTTCCCATTGAGTCTCAAATGAAGAAAGAGCGCAGATGAAGAGGAGGCAGGAGTCATAAGCCTTTGACTCTCATACCAGACCCATTACCACCTACAGGACATTGCACTGGGATTTCCTCTGCACCATCAGCTTCTTCAAAGAGAGACAGGTTGTTGAGTGAGTACCCACAAGGGCATATGAGGCAGTGCTCCTTTCACGGAGGCACTAGCTGCGGGGGCGTCTGTTCCTGCAGACCCCTGATTCAGCAACGAATGAATAAACGTACACTGACACACAGATACTGTGTTTTGCCAGTCCAGCTGAGTCTGTCCGAGCCGCTTACACACCAAGAGAGGTGCTGTACTGCGGCCTGCCTCAGTCAGCTAGGGAGATTTGCATTTATTCAGTAAGATTAACTAACAAAAGCTTGAGTCAACACCATTAGGGAGTAATTGACATTGTGGACTTCCTGAGTAAAAGGCACTTAAGCACCCAAGGTACATCAAAGGTTAGTTTTAAGATCATATGAGTAAACAAGCTAGCTAGACAGCTTCCCCACATTCCGTTGTTTACTATTTTAATCTATTTAACTAAAGGTAATGGGACCAGGCTGCTTCCAGTCCGGTCTATTACCAAAGTCATGTGAAAACCCTCAGGCCTTCCGAAAGGGTTTTATGGCTATCATAACTAATATTTTTCCCACCAGCCTGATCGAATCCCAACAGGCACAATCTTAGCACCATAAATAACTACAAGTGTTTAAGTCCTAGATGGTCATTATCTATAAAAGGAGACCATGTGTTGTCCTTTGAGAAGAGTAAGAGTTACAACTCCACTTCTGATCCTTACTAGATGCCTCTGCAAAATTGATTTTCCATCAGCGAGTCTGAATTGGTCATCTGTAAACTGGAAATAATGAAGCCTTCCTCGCAGACTTGTTGTGAGAGAATGATGCAAAATATGTAATTGCACATTTTTGGCTATAAATATTTGTGCTATCTTAGAGTAAGTGCCCCTTTGTACCTTTTTCCCCTTTGAAAATAGTGTTTCTGAGATTTCTCTAATAAGGTGACTTTGGGGCTGTTTTGACATGACTAACCATGCTGCCATAACCATCTTGCACAGGTTTCCTGGGACACATGTGCCTGAGACTCTCTGCAGTTTGTCACCAAGTATACAGCAGCTAATGAGGTCCTCACTTACTTATCTCATAAATGTTGCCAAAGGTCTCTACAAACAGGTTATACCAATTTGTCCTCTCACAGCAGTGTATGAAGTTCTCATGGCCCCACATTTTCCAGTTAAATAAGATGCAGCATAAACACATATAGTCATCAAAATTGGTTTTCAAACTGTAGAATTATTTCAAGACATATTCTGTGGCATAAATATGAACTATGCCATTTATACGGAAATATAATAGGAGAAAAATGAAAAGTAACCTAACATTCCAACAATATGATATCAGATTAGCAAATATTAAAATACTCTAAAAGTAGAGCAGCTACTTGAATCGTATCATTGGAGAAAATGTTTAGCAAGTGAAATTTCATTCCATCAGCAGCTACATGCTTTGTAGCAGCCCTTGGTGCCCATCTTATAGATAAATTCTTTTAAAGCAATGAATTCACCTGCTTGAGGAAATAACCTGACATTTAACATAAAATTGCAATAAATTCACATATAATTTTCTGTCTGTATAAATAATAATAAGTGACTCTATGTATCTCTCCGATGAGTGTTGAAATACGCAGTTGGTAGGAAGGTCTTCCTAACAATTTGAGATTATAATATGCATTCTTTCATGGTTACCACATTTGTATCCAGCCTATAATGACATTTTTTAAGAAGCCAGAAATTTATAAAGTGTTAGTAAAAAATATCAGGCGCAAGAATTCAGTATTTTCAAAACTAATAATTGCCCTCTAGTTTACCCTATGATAATGTTACTCAGCCACGTTCCCTAAAATAACCATATATCGTTAAACATCATTATGATTATTTTCCAAGAAATGATACTTTTAGTTACATCCTTCAAATGACATGTGTATCAACTTTCTCTAAATATTTAGATACACTTCATTGCAAATAATTATCTCGATTTCGGTCAAATGTAATGTGAACTAATTTGGTAAGCCATAGTGTGGACCTGTTAATATGATTAGAGCATATTTATGGGACTCTTTCTAATGATTAAGTTAATCGCATTCTTTAATGCATAAAAATACAAATACACTTCAAATGTGCACATTTAAAGTATATGTTTTAGTAAGTTGTGACATATATATATATACACACACACTGTGAAACTAATACTGTAGTCAAAATAATGAACATGTCACCCTCAAAGCTTCCTTGTGTGCTTTAGTATAATAATCTCCCCACTCACTTGTCTCCAGCCTCCGACTCCCTCCCCTCAACTCCTGCTCATTCCTAGGTAACCAATTAACTTATGTCACAATTAATTTTCCTTTGTATAGTTTTATATAAATGGAATCATACAGAATGTGTTCTTTTTTGGACACTTTTCTTTTTTTTCTTTTTGAGACGGAGTCTCGCACCGTCGCCCAGGCTGGAGTGCAGTGGCACGATCTCGGCTCACTGCAAGCTCCGCCTCCCGGGTTCGCGCCATTCTCCTGCCTCAGCCTCCATTTTTTATTCTCACCAGCAGTTTAGGAGAGTTCCATTCTCCACAATCTTGCCAATGCTTAGTGTGGTCAGTATTTTTAATTTTGGCCATTCTCATAGGAGTATAATGGCATCTCATTATAGTTACAACTTTCTAATGACTAATGATGTTGAGCATAGTTTCGTGTGCTTATTTGACATTTTTAGATCTTCTTGATAAAGTAACCATTAAAATCCTTTTCATATTTGTTTTGGAGAATGTCTATTTTGTTCTATGAAGTTTTGTGAGATATTCTTTCAAGTCCTTTATCAGATATATGATTTAAAAATATTTTTCTCCACCGGGCGCGGTGGCTCACACCTGTAATCCCAGCACTTTGGGAGGCCAAGGCAGGCGGATCACGAGGTCATGAGATCGAGACCATCCTGGCTAACACAGTGAAACCCTGTCTCTACTAAAAATACAAAAAATTAGCCAGGCGTGGTGGCGGGCGCCTGTAGTCCCAGCTACTCGGGAGGCTGAGGCAGGAGAATGGCGTGAACCCAGGAGGCGGAGCTTGCACTGAGCTGAGATCGTGCCACTGCATTCCAGCCTTGACGACAGTGGGAGACTCCATCTTAAAAATAGATAGATAGATAGATAGATAGATAGATAGATAGATAGATAGATAGATAGAAAGAATAAAAAATAAAAACAAAAATATTTTTCTCCCAGTCAGTGGCTTTGTCTTTTCATTCTCTGAATAGTGCTTTGGGAAGAGCAGACATTTTTAATTTAAGTAGATCTAAATTATCAATTTGTTCATGTATGGACTGTAGTTTTGTTGTGACATCTAGGAAATCTTCGCCTAATCAATGATAGCAAGAATTTTCTCCTAGTTTTCTTCTTTTGTGTTTTTTCCAATGTTTCTGTAGCTCTACGTTTTACATTTAGGTCTATGATCCATTTTGCATTGACTTTTGCATATGGCATGATATATAGATCACAATTTATATTTGTGCATATGAATATCCTCTTATCCCAGCACCATTTGTTGAAAAGAAGATCCTTTCCTCACTAAATTGCCTTTGTGCCTGTGTCAAAAATCACTTTTCCATATTGGCAGGATCTATTTTGAGACTCTTTATTCTGTTCCATTGATCTAATTGTCTACCTCGATGCCAACAGCACACTGTTTTAATTACTGTAAGTTTGGAGTGAGTCTTGAAATCAGGTGGTGTTTGTTCTCCAATTTTGTTCTTTTTCAAGGTTTTTTTTTTCTAGTGTAGATCTTTTGCACCTCCACATGAATTTTAGAATCAGCTCCTCCATTTCTTTTGAAAAAAACACACACTAGGATTTTCACTGGATTCATAGAACAGTTTGGGGATTTTTCCTCTTACCAATTTTCATCTTAACAATATTAAGCCTTCTGACTCAAAAAGAGACAAAAATGTTCCAGAGACAATTTTATAGGTGATGTAGAAAAAACTCAATTACTAGAAGAAAATGGTTATGGTACTTTCAATTTGATGTGGGTGGTTAGAATTGAATTTGTTGAATTTTGGAGTTTTTCTTCTTCATCCTCTGCAAATCCACCTTGATGAATTTGTGGAATCTTGAGTTGTGAGAGAGATAACAGAGCATATATGTATGTGGGTATATATGTATATATGTGTATATCACTAAAGCTGCTGGGAGTGTGTATTTTGAGGAACACTTGAGGTTAATTACTGTGCAATGTATCAGTACTGTTCAGTTCCTAGTACATATCAGGAATAAAATAAAGTGTTGTTTGTTTTTTTCCTAGCAGGGTTACCATGGTGACGTGGTTACTGTTGTGGGATTTGGTGCAGACTAAGCATGCATTTATAATTCTTACCTGAATCACTTATTACTATGAGACTTTACAAGTGCTATTTTTCTAATTCTGTTAGTCCTTCTAGATTTATTAAGTGGCATTCAACTGTAAAGTAGACAGGTCTCTTTGATCCTATTGTTTATTTATGTATTTATTCAAGCATTTATTTATATCAGTATGACTCATAGATTCCAATTTTGCCCAAAGGCAAACTCAAGATTCCACAAATTCATCAAGGTGGATTTGCAGAGAATGAGGAAGAAAAGCTTTATTACCATATAGTACTTTAATTATTTCGATGCTCAAATTGTCCCAGAATTGGCTAGTGGAAGCCCCTTCAAGTTGGCCTCAGTGTCCATTTGACAGCTTCCTTGAATTCCTTGAGCATGTCCTTTGCTCTCTGAATCTGACTATATCCCCATCTGTAGAAAAAAGTAATGATGCTTACCTCAGAGCAGCACCTTGAAGGCTTGAAGAGAAAAGGCCCTCAGCAAATGTTAGTTCCCCATTCCAACTTGTCTCCTTCGTTCCATCAATGTGATGCCTCTGGCATTAACATAATAGCCTGACTACCAGGGACAATATTTGGATATGTAACAGCAAGCACAGATAAACCCACATTTCCACTATGTGTTAGCTTCAGTGTCACTGCTCTGTGTGGCAGGGGGTTGTAGAATGGAGCTAGGGAAGAGGAAAAGTGTCATTACACAGCTTTTAGTTAACTGAGTGGGGACAGGCCAGACATCATCATCCCATCCCCTGCTTTTCATGTGCTTTCTCATCCTCTTACTTTCCTCTCTATTCCACATGCTTTATTATCTTCTTAATCTCCCTTCTAATGAAACAGCAGAGAAGGGTGTGGACTGTGCATCCTAGAACAAGGGGCTGATAGAGAAGAACCAAGTGTGGTATGGAGCCTGCTAGACAGCTTACTGGAACAAGAGTGAAAAGATCAGGGTCCCATCATTGGGACACTTTAGGTGAGTCACTACCCTTCTACCAGCCTCATGTGTATAACAGAATAACAGTACACAGTCTTCCTGATAACCAGTAATATACTCTGGAGTTTAAGTGTGATCCCACGTGGGAAAGCAATCTGTGATCTTAGGTGGGAGGGAAGGACTGGTGCAATTCTGAGTAATTACATGAACAGAGAAACCCTACAGATAATGTTTGGGGGAGAATGTACAGAGAATGTTTGGAGGTAGGGCAGGTGGGACCTGCAGTGCCTGTTCATGGTATGTGGGGATAAGGCACAGTCAAGAATGACCCCTCAGTCGTTTGTATAGCTACATAGAGAAATGTTGGTGCAGCTTTCTGAGATCAGTGGTTACACGTTCTTTTGAGATATTCTCAAGTTAATTAGTTAGGACATCCAAAAGTGGTTATAGTAAAGGTTAGTAATTTAAAAAATACATCAATTAATAATTAAGATTTAGTTGTGAGACTAGTAAGATTTATTGAAGACATGCAAACTATCAAACTTTTAAAACTATAAAAATCTCAATATGCAAGTTTACATTTAATGAAGTTACTGTGTGCCTACCACTGTTCTAAGCGTTTTCGTGTATTAACTCAAGTAATTCTCAAAGCAACAACCCATGAGGTGGGAACGATTGCTTTCCCCACTTGACAGAGAGGAAACTGAGGCACAGAGTTTTTTCATTGCCTCAGGGTCACAGAGCCAGGTATCCCAATGTGTCGACAGCAGAATGTTTTAAATGATTGGATTTCTGACCACTTATCTTTGTAAAAACTAAAACACAAGACAATATTTTAAAAACTTTTTTTCTAAGAACTATATAAACCTGGTTTTACGGGTGAGATATTTGAGTGACTTTAAGGTCAAGTAAAACTATTCAAAGGCATGCAGTTTTTATGTGGCAGACTAGAGTTTGCAATCATTCTCTCACAAGAATGCATATTCTTTTCTTTTCTTTTTTTTTTTTTTGAGACGGAGTTTCGCTCTGTCACCCGGGCTGGAGTGCAGTGGTGCGATCTCGGCTCATTGCAAGCTCCACTTCCCGGGTTCACGCCATTCTCCTGCCTCAGCCTCCTGAGTAGCTGGGACTACAGGCATGTGCCACCATGCCTGGCTAATTTTTTGTATTTTTAGTAGAGAAGGGGTTTCACCGTGTTAGCCAGGATGGTCTCAATCTCCTGACCTCATGATCCGCCCACCTCAGCCTCCCAAAGTGCTGGGATTACAGGCATGAGCCACCGCGCCCAGCCAAGAATGCATACTCTTAACTAGTACACTTAGGAGGAAGAAAAAGCCATGTGTTGAACCATGTCAGTCCACAGTAGTTGATGGTAGACAGGGCCCTATCTCTTTTGATGAAAATTACCCCTTGGTAGCCATTGTACTATGTAAGAGAGGGTATTTATTTAAGAAAAACAAAAAGGTAATACAAAAACATAAAAAGTAACAACCATAACAGATACTATACACTAGACCACTTGGCTATTAAGATAATTCCTTGGACTTCCACAGTAAATTCTATTTTTTTTTTTTTTAGTAACTTAGGCAGCTTTCTAGATGGAAATAACATTCTTCTGTGCTTTGGGTTTCATTGTTTGGGAGGCAGTGCAGATCTGACCCCCACTGATGGATGAGGCAGATGATTTACCCAAGGCCACCTAGAGTTAGTGTCTTGCACTTAGTGCCTGTCCTCATACACAACATTAGCCTAGTTCCTGCCGGTAGCAAATTGCGTTTCAAGGGCTGAGTGGATACACGGTTCTCTGAGGTTAACCTGCAGGTAATATAAAAAGACACTAAATACCTTCAAATAAAAGAAAATGGGGTGTTGATTTTCCTCTTCTTCCCCAAACTTTATTGGGAGATTTGAAGAAAAAATTGTTTTTGGTATCATACAGCTTGTACTTTTTTTGTGTCTGGCTCCTTTTAATCAACATAACGTGCATGAAATTTACCTCGATAGGTGTTTATAGTTGTAGACTATTCATTCTCATTGAATATTACATCATGTGAATATTTAAAAATACATATATTTGTTAATGGGATTTAGGTATTTTTCAGTTTTTGACTTATTATGAATAATGGTGGTATGAACATTCTTGTTTGTATCATTTGGATGGGCATTTACTTTTATTTCCCTTGGGCATGTATGTACCTAAGCGTGGCATTTCTGAGTCATAGGGTATGTGTATGTTCAGCTCAGAATATACCACCAAGCAATTTTTCAAAGTGGTTTTTTCCAATCTGTATTCCCACCAGCAGTGTTGAGAGTTCCACTGCTCCACGTCCTTGCCAGCACTCGGTATTTTCTTTCTCATTTTTATTGTTTTGTTAGGTGTGTGGTGGTATCTCATTGTGGTTTTAATTTTAATTTCTATTAAATCTAACTTTGAAATGTTGTCTCTTTTATTCCAAGGAAGGTCTGTCCTCTCTCTCTCGCTCTCTCTCTCTGACCCTCTAGTTTGTTTATTTAAGGAACTGGGTGTTTTGCCCTGTGGAGTTTGCATTCTGGGTTTTGCTGATTGTATTCCTATAGTGTTGCTTTTTATGTTTCTCTGGCCCCTTCTAATTCCTTTAATTAGATTTATAAGCTTGATCAGATTCTGGCTTTTTGGCAAGAATACCTCAAATGTGATGTTATGCTTCCTATAGCTTTCGACTAGGAAGCTTATCTTGTCTGGTTGTCTCTCCTGTGACTTTAGATTGATCACTGCATTTAGGTGTTGTCAGCCTGATCCATGCATTGTAAAATTTCCCATAGGCTTTTCCTTTCGTGATTTTTTTTTTTTGTAGCTTCTGATGATTGTTGCCTACAACTGCATTTAATTAAAGGTTTCAAATTATGATGTACTAATTCTTTAATTTCTGTTGCATTTATTAGCTGTAATTCCTTTATAAAAGAAACTTCCTCTTATCAACTATTAGGTTATATTTAGGAATAGTATGCACAGGAAAGGTAAGGTGAATGTTTAATTCTTTTGTAATTTTTCCACTATATATGAGTTGTCTCCCCAGGATCCTCCAAAATTGAGCAGTGAGTTGATTTTGTTTGTTGTTTCTTTTTTAGAGTGTCATCATGAGCTCATAGAGTTTTCTATATTTAATGTGTGTTAATCCATTTCAGTTACTAATGTTTTTGATACTTAAATTTTTTAATGTTTGGCCAATGGGAGCCCCTGTAGGTTGTCTTCTGAGTCTTTCTAAAAAAATAATTGTATATATTTATGTGGTGCAATGTGATGTTTTCATATATGTTTACATTGCAAAATGAACTCAGTCAAGCTAATTAACAAATCCATCACCTCACATATCTTTGTGGTAAAAATATTTAAAATCCACTCTTTTAGCAATTTGGAAAAATACAATGCATTATTACTGATTATAGTCACCATTCTGTGCAATAGATTACTAAAGCTTAACCTGCCTAATTGAAACTTTGTATCTTTCAATCAACATCTTTCCTTTCCCCATTCACTCCCCACTTCCAGTTCTTGGTAGCCACCTTCCTACTCTCTACTACTATGTGTTCAACTTTCTTAGATTTAATATATAAGTGAGATCATGCCATATTTTTCTTTCTGTGCCTGGCTTATTTCGCTTGCATAATGTCTTCCATTTTCATCTATGTTGTCACAAATGACAGAACTTCCTTCTTTTAAGGGCTGAATAGTATTCCCTTGTGCATATATACTACATTTTCTTTATTTATTCATCTGATGTTGGACCCCTAGGTTGCGTTCATATCTTAGGTATTGTGAATAATGCTACAATGACCTTGGGAGTGCAGGTATCTTTTTGACATATCAATTTCAATTCTTTTGGATATAAACCAAGAAATTATATATGTATATATTTGTCAAGTACAACATGATGTTTTGAAATATATATATATATCGTGAAATGGCTAAATGGCTAAATTGAGCTAGTTAACATATGCATTACCTCACATCCTTATATTTTTGTGGTGAGAATACTTAAAATATACTCTCTTAGCAATTTTCAAGAATACAATATATTGTTATTAACTATAGTTACTATGTTGTACAATAGATGTTTTGAATTTATTCCTCCTATCCAGTAGATTTTTTTTTTTTTGAGACGAAGTCTCACTCTGTCACCCAGGCTGGAGTGCAGTGGCACAATCTCCACTCACTGCAACCTCCGCTTCCCAAGTTCAAGTGATTCTCGTGCCTCGGGCGCCCGAGTGGCTGGGATTACAGGTGCGTACCTGGCTATTTTTGTTGTTGTTGTTGCATTTTTAGTAGAGATGGGGTTTCACCATGTTGGCCAGGCTGGTCTCAAACTCCTGACCTCAAGTGATCTGCCCCCCTTGGCCTCTCAAAGTGCTGAGATTCTAGGCGTGAGCCACTGTGCCCGGCCCCAACTGAAATTTTGTATTGTTTGATCAACATCTCCCCAGCCCCTGGTAACCACCATTCTACTCTCTACTTCTATGAGTTAAAATTTTTTTTAGATTCCATATCTAAATGAAAAAATAAAAAATAAATAATAAATGCAAACCCCAATAACAGCAATAATAATAAAAGATGTCAATAATTATAGCACATATAGTTGATAATTTTTTTTCTCATTTCATGTAACCAGCAGGTAATGTTTCTCAGCATAAAATCTCAGTACCTCTTATCTGACCACTGTTTTTGTATTGAGTGCCCTCCTGTGTTAAGCCAGAGGCCAGCACTGGGGAAGAGACTCACCCAAGGTCCTGTGGCTAATTGATAGGTCTGGCAACTGGGACACATATTTAATGACTCTCATATTTTATCTAGCTGATCCATTACTATTCTTTGCTCCTCTATATGATTTCTTCATGCTGTTGCTCTGTAAGAAATTGCTTAACTCCTATAACACTAGAAGGAAAATAAGGAGACAGGGAAACACATGAAAAGAAGGAAATGCTGACATGGAACCAAGTTCACTTCTTGCTGCCACATTTCCAGATGCTGCTACAAATATTCTATTTTAGGTGACAGGGCAGGCAGGGTGGGCCAGGAATAAGATACCAAAGTCCTACTATATTCCAGACATTCTTTGAGGTTTTCTCCTTTGCTTCTTACAAGACTGTGAAAAAGACACCCTTAGTACAATTTCACAGACGACCAACTTCAGACTCACAGAAGGTATGTACATTTTTCAGGGTCAAACACCTGTCCCTCACCACAATGAAATATCACCTCACACCCATCAGGATGGCTACTGTAAAAAATAACAAGTGTTGGTGAGAATGTGGAGAAACTAGAACACCTATGCACTGCTGTTGTGAATGTAATCTAGTGCAGCTGCTGTGGAAAACAATATGGGAAGTTCCCCCCTAAAACGTAAAGTTAGAATTACTATATGATCCAGCAACTCAATTTCTGGGACTATAAACAAAAAATTGAAAGCTGGGTCTTGAAGAGATATTTGTACACCCATGTTCATAGCAGCATTATTCACAATCACCAAAAGGTAGAAACAACTCAAGTGTCCATCAGCAGATGAGTGGATAAACAAAATGTGCTGTAAACATAGGATACAGTATTATTCAGCCTTTTTGAAAAGAATGGAAATTATGATACATACTACAACATGGATGAAACTTGAGGACATGCTAACTGAAATAAGCCAATTGCAAAAAAGACAAATATTGTATTATTCAATTTACATGAGGTTCTTAGGGTAGTCAAATTTGTAAAGACAGAAAGTAGAATGGTAGTTGTCAGGGGCTGGCGATGGGGAAAATGGGAAGTTAGTTTTTAATGGGTATAGAGCTTCAGTTTTGCAAGAAGAAAGAACTCTGGAAATGGATGATGGTATAGTTTTACAGTAGTGTAAATGTACTTAAAACAAAGTGTAAACTTAAAAGGATTAGGGTGGTAAATTGTGTTGTGTATATTTTGCCAAAAATTTTAAAAATCTGTGCTTTGTTCTCTGTGCACACTAACCAGCAGCCTCCCATTTAAGTTATGACTTTCCAGAGCTTAAGGACTGATAGTGGGAAACTACCCCAGTATGGAAATTGTGTTATGCCTGCATTGGTAGTCACCCCTTCGTTTGTTGATGAAGATGATGGTGGAGATGAAATTCTATCCTCTGGGCCAAGAGGCCTGGGTGTGAGCATCACATGGACTGGCTGGTTCCTGAGATGTTGAACTGGACCCAGGAAGCACCACAAGCTGGGGCTCTTTGGAAAGGGAAAGTGAACAGTAGACTATCAATAGGTACACAACTACTATTTGGAGGGTATTTTAAATTTCATCTCATTTTAATTCTAACAGCTCTATTCAGGCCGAAATTAAATTATTCCCATTACTTGGATCAGGGAAGATAAATTAAAAGTTAGGTAACTTGCCCTAGGGAAACAAACTTTATCAATTACTGCTCCAGGACTCAAAACTTGAGATTATTTGAAAAAATAAGATGTCCTCCTCTGTCTTGTGAGTTAATATTCAATATACCTCAAGGCATTGTTACTCAGTTATTTAAAACAATGTGCTGAATTAGTTCTAAAATACTAAAAATCACTATAAAGTATCAGATGCCATCTGCACAACAAACTAAATGGTATATGAAAAGCTGGGAGAAATTAATTAAGATTATTCTGAAATTATTTCAGACATATCTGTATCTGTATATCTTCAATGCATACACTATTCTTTAAAAATAGATAGTGGCCGGGTGTAGTGGCTCACGTTTGTAATCCTAGAACTTTGGGAGACCAAGGCAAGAGGATCATTTGAGCCCCAGAGTTCGAGACCAGCCTGGGCGACAAGTGAGACCCCATCTCTACTAAAAAAAAAGTAGAGATAGTGAATAATATCCAAAGAGAATGAACATAAGAAGGAATATAAATTACCAGTAAATACTTGGAAATATGCCAAACAAAAATAATTAATTTTTGAAAATAATATTAAGTAAAACAATATGTCACAAAATACAATGTAAAACATGACCCCATTTCTACAAAAGAATATATATCAACATGAGTGTATGGGTGTGATTGAATATAACTTAAGTGGCTGGGCATGGTGGTTCATGCTGATAATCCCAGCATATTGGGAGGCGGATGTGGAAGGATCACTTCAGTCCAGGAGTTCAAGACCAGCCTGGACAACAGAGGGAGACCATGTCTCTACAAAATATGAAAAAATTAGTTTGGCTTGGTGGTGCATGCCTGTGATCCCAGCTATTCAGGAGGCTGAGGTGGAAGGATCACTTGAGGCCAGGAGGTCAAGACTGCAGTGAGCCATGATTACACCACTGCACTCCAGTCTGGGCTACAGAGTAAGACCCTGTTTCAATAAATAAATAAATAAAACTTAAGCTGGGCACAATGGTGCACACTGTAGTCCCAGCTACTCATGAGGCTGAGGTGGGAGGATCACTTGAGCCCAGGAACTCAAGGCTGTAGTAGGCTGTGATTGCACCTACAACCAGCCACTGCCCTCCAGCCTGGGCAACATAATGAGATCCCATCTCTAATTTTAAAAATTAAATAGGTCGGGCACGGTGGCTTACGCCTGTAATCCCAGCACTTTGGGAGGCTGAGGTGGGTGGATCATGAGGTCAGGACATTGAGACCATCCTGGTTAACACGGTGAAACCCCACCTGTACTAAAAATACAAAAAATTAGCCGGATATGGTGGCGGGCACCTGTAGTCTCAGCTACCTGGGAGGCTGAGGCAGGAGAATGGAGTGAACCCGGGAGGTGGAGCTTGCAGTGAGCTGAGATTGCGCCACTGCACTCCAGCCTGGGTAACAGAGCCAGACTCCATCTCAAAAAAAAAAAAAAATCAAATAAATATAAGTTAACACATACAGAAAAAAATATGAAGAATAGGCACTGATAAATTAATAGAAAATATTTTGGTATCATGATGGGCAGAAGGTGGGGACAGACTAGAGAGACAAAATATTTCAGTTTATAAGTATACATTTCTATATTGTTTGATACATGTTAAACAACAAAAAGTTTTAGTTGGCACTGTGGCAAAATATTGAGATAAAGTTTTGTAAAGCTGATCCAAAAAATAATGGTGTAGAAATAAATTTGCTGAGGATACACTGACTTAGAAATATGTTCATACACTGTTGCATAAACATAGCACATTAAAATATTTCTTTGATAATAATTCAGTGTGTGCACATAGTGGGATATAGAGAGTACTTTTATTTTATAAGTGTGCATTTCTATAGTGTTTTAAATATGCAAACTATTGAAGATAATGTTGCAAGCCTAATATAACTGTGAAATGATTACAAATGTAATGCTCATATATTTATTGCTTTGGAAGCAGATTGAAGCAATTTACTTGACAGTTTCTCTCTCTCTCTTCTCTCTCTCTCTCTGTGTGTGTGGTGTGTATGTGCATGTGTGTATGTGTGTTTCTTTGTCTCAAACTGACTCTGAAGACCAAGTGGAATCTTTCTTCATTTTCTGCAAGTTTTTTCCCCAATGAAAAGGCATAATTTTAATAAACAGAAACAAAATGTTTCCTCAAAGCAGATTACAAAACAATAAGTACAGTATGACCTCAACTCTCCTTGAAAAATTCATGTGTATTTAAAAGCTGAAAAAAAAATGTGTATCTTTCTATCCTGCTTATTCCTGCATTTCATTGATTTATTAATGTGTAGGATGGCCAGGCATGGTTAGTCAAATTCCACATCTGCATCCCATACTTTCCTTCTCTTGATTTCCTGGGAATATCCATGGGGAGCAAGATGGATATTAGTCACCACCCTGTGATCTATGACCTCAACCGGATTCCATTCCAAGTAAGTTTAGTCTAAGCTTGACTCTGAGTCCTGGAAATCCAGCATCAAAAAAGGAAATGATGCAATTAAGTGGAGAAAAGTCACTTTCTTGGGAAACTGAGGTACCTTGTAACCCACACTTTCATCCTCTTGCATGGGGCTAATGGGCTACTTCTCCTACCAGCACAGAACAGACAGAGAATAAAGGATGAGGCAACTGTTATGGCTTCAGTCTTTGTTCTCTTTATGGGCGTGATCTAGAGATTTTACTTTCTCTTTTGATTTTTTGTTAGGCCAGAGTGGTAGATTTTCTTTCTTTTCCTTTTCCTTTTCTTTTCTTTTCTTTCCCTTCCTTCCTTCCTTCCTTCCTTCCTTCCTTCCTTCCTTCCTTCCTTCCTTCCTTTTCTCTCTCTCTCTCTCTTTGACAGAGTCTTACTTTGTCATGCAGGCTAGAGTGCAGTGGCATAATCATGGCTCATTACAGCCTTGACCTTCTGGGCTGAAGCGATCCTCCCACCTCAGCCTCCTGAGTATCTGGGACTACAGGCATGCACCACCATGCCCAGCTGATTTTTATTTTTTTATTTTTTTATAAGTTTTTTAAATTATACTTTAAGTTCTAGGGTACATGTGCACAACTTGCAGGTTTGTTACATATGTATACATGTGCCATGTTGGTGCACTGCACCCATTTACTCGTCATTTACATTAGGTATTTCTCCTAATGCTATCCCTCCCCCCTCCCCCCACCCCACAACAGACCCCAGTGTGTGATGTTCCCCACCATGTGTCCAAGTGTTCTCATTGTTCAATTCCCACCTATAAGTGAGAACATGCGGTGTTTGGTTTTCTATCCTTGCAAAAGTTTGCTCAGAATGATGGTTTCCAGCTTCATATGTGTCCCTACAAAGGGCATGAACTCATCCTTTTTTATGGCTGCATAGTATTCCATGGTGTATATATGCCACATTTTCTTAATCCAGTCTATCATTGTTGGACATTTGAGTTGGTTCCAAGTCTTTGTTATTGTGAATAGTGCCGCAATAAACATACGTGTATATGTGTCTTTATAGTAGCATGATTTCTAATCCTTTGGTTATATACCCAGTAACGGGATCACTGGGTCAAATGGTATTTCTAATTCTAGATCCTTAAGGAATCGCCACACTGTCTTCCACAATGGTTGCACTAGTTTACACTCCCACCAACAGTGTAAAAGTGTTCCTATTTCTCCACATCCTCTCCAGCATCTGTTGTTTCCTGACTTTTTATTGATCACCATTCTAACTGGCGTGAGATGGTATCTCATTGTGGTTTTGATTTGCATTTCTCTGATGGCCAGTGATGAAGAGCATTTTTTCATGTGTCTTTTGGCTGCATAAATGTCTTCTTTTGAGAAGTGTCTGCTCATATCCTTTGCCCACTTTTCGATGGGGTTGTTTGATTTTTTCTTGTAAATTTGTTTAAGTTCTTTGTAGATTCTGGATATTAGCCCTTTGTCAGATGGGTAGATTGCAAAAATTTTCTCCCATTCTGTAGGTTGCCTGTTCACTCTGATGGTTGTTTCTTTTGCTGTGCAGAAGCTCTTTAGTTTAATTAGATCCCATTTGTCAATTTTGGCTTTTGTTGCCATTGCTTTTGGTGTTTTAGTCATGAAGTCCTTGCCCATGCCTATGTCCTGAGTGGTATTGCCTAGGTTTTCTTCTAGGGATTTTATGGTTTTAGGTCTAACATTTAAGTCTTTAATCCATCTTGAATTAATTTTTGTATAAGGTGTAAGGAAGGGATCCAGTTTCAGCAGCTGATTTTTAAACTTTTGTAGAGATGAGGTCTAACTATGTTGCCCAGACTTGTCTCAAACTCCTGGGCTGAAGGGATTCTCCCACTTCAGCCTCACAAAGTGATGGGATTACAAGTGTGAGCTCTGCACCTGGCCCAGAGTGCTAGATTTCTAAACTGGTTTTGTATCTTCCTTATTCCTAGAAGGGTGGTCCCTCCCATTTAGTTTTCTGAGGGCCCCATCTGAGGTAAAGTGGAGTTTCTGCTTCACGTAACATCTTCTCTACCAGTTAGATGGGCTCAAACCCAGATCCACAAG
This sequence comes from Homo sapiens, assembly GCF_000001405.40. Taxonomy (NCBI): domain Eukaryota; kingdom Metazoa; phylum Chordata; class Mammalia; order Primates; family Hominidae; genus Homo; species Homo sapiens. The sequence continues at coordinate 103,200,032 of NC_000023.11, forward strand.
AGACAGAAAAGAGTAGAGGTAGTGTTCTCAAAGATAAGTATAGGGCTAGAAATTTCATACGAACATCTAATTTGCTTGATTTCATGACTTACTTTTCAAAAGTTTTTCACATGAAGGCCACTTTCCCTCAGGGTTCCTTTCACATCTGGCACACCAATATCATATGACCCATAGTTCTCTCCTCTCTCGACCACAAAAGTAAACTCACAACAAACGTCTCTGTACCATAGTAGTGGAGGAAACTTTTCTAAATATGACTTAATATCCAGAAGCAATAAGGGAAAAGAATGATACATTTGATTTTATATAAAAATGCATGGCAAAAACAAGACCCATAAGAAAAGGAAAATAAAAAATTACCAATTGGGAAAAATACAACTTACATCACAGAAAAGAGTTATACGTCTAGTATATAGAAAGCTATTGAAAAAGCAAAAGCAATAAACAACATCTTGAGAGGAAAAAGGGCAATAGATGCAAACAAGTATTTCACTGGAAATGTTCCTTAAACATAGGTTAATGAGGAGATGGAGATAAAAAGAGGTTAGTGAATGTATACAAAAATACAGTTTGATAAAAGGAGTAAGATCTTATGTTTGATAGCACAGTAGTGTGACTACAGTTAACAAAACTTATTGTACATTTCAACATAACTAGAAGAACAGATTTGGAATGTTCTCAACTCAACAAAATGATAAATATTTGAGGTGGTGAATATCCCAGCTACCCAGATTTGATCATTACACATCGTATGCTTGTATCAAAATATTACATTTACCCCAAAATATGTACAACTAATATATATCCATACAAATTAAAGACTCCAAAAATACACAAAAATGCTCAATTGCTCAACCTAGTTCTTGATAAGAGATGCAAAGAAAATAAGATGAAATGCTTCTTCTCATCAATTACATAGCATTCACAAGCACTGCTGGTGGTAATGAGGTAGGAGGTAGGACTTGACTCGGAGGCAGGGCTGGAACACCAGGCCAAATTGGGGACCTGTTAAAATGGGGAAGAGGCAGAAGCACCTCTCCAGAAGACATGCCCACTAGTGTACCATGTCAGTTTACCATTGCCATGGCAACACCCAGAAGTTACTATCCCTTTCCATGGCAACGACCCAAAGGCCCAGAAGTTACCACCCTTTTTCTAGAAATTTATACATGACATGCCCCTTAATTTGCATGTAACTAAAGGTGGGTATAAATAGGACTGCAAAACTGCCTCTGAGCTGCTACTGTTGACACACTGCCTATGAGGTAATGAGGTAGCCCTGCTCTGCTGGGGCAATCATGGAGCTGTAACACTGCCACCTCAAATAAACTGTTTTCTTTTACCACCGGCTTGCTCTTGAATTCTTTCCTGGTTGAAGCCAAGAATCTCCCGGGCAAGGTCCCAATTGGGGCTCACCTTCCCTGCATCAGCAATATGAAATGATATAACCCCTAACCAGGAGATTTGATACTATCTAGTTAAATTATATAGGTATTTGCTCTTGGAACCAGCAATCTCTCTTCTAAGAATCTGTCCCAAAGAAACAATACAGTAAAATAAAATAAAATACAAAACATAAAAGCATAAACAGAAAGCCATTCCTGCAGAACAATTCATAATAGCAGAAGAGTAGAAACAAAATGTCCATGAATAAGAGTTGTGGCTAGTTAAAAATCTTACAGTACATCAATATCTTAGAGTACTATGCAGCTGTAAAAAGCAATGAAGACTTCTTCTCTGTACTGCTATGCAATAGATTCTAGGAGAGATAGACAGACAGATAGATAGATAGATAGTTGTTGTTGTTGTTGACACAGGGTCTCACTCTATCACCCAGGCTGGAATGCAGTGGCACGATCTTGGCTCACTGCAGCCTCGACCTCCCAGGCTCAATCAATGCTCCCGCATCAGCTCCCCAAGTAGCTTCGACTAAAGGTGCATGCAACTATAACTGCCTAATTTTTGTATTTTTTCTAGAGACGAGGTTTTGCCATGTTACCCAGGCTAGTCTCGAACTCCGGAGCTCAGGCAATCCACCTGCCTCAGCCTCCCAAAGTGCTAGAATTACAGGCCTGAGCCACCGCACCTGGCCTAGGATATATTGTTAAATTAATAAAGTGAGGTGCAGAAAAATACGTAGCACTGCTGCTGTGCAATAATACGTTAGCTACTAGCCACAAGGAGATATCTTAATTTAATTAAAATTAAATTAGAGATTCAGTTACTCCATGACAATAGATGCATTGTATGCACTCAATCTTTAATTCCTCAATAAAACACTCAGGTAACTAGTGCCTACTGTTTTGGACAGTGCAGACACAGATTACTAGCTCTGAAGAAATGTATATTGCACAGTGAGGATGTAGAATATGCCACCTTTTACCTATGAAAGGGGGGAGAAAAGTCACATATATGTTATACTTGCTGATATATATATACACATATATATACATATATATACATATATATACATATATATACATATATATACATATATACACATATATACATATATACACATATATACATATATATACACATATATATACATATATATACACATATATATACATATATATATACACATATATATACATATATGTGTATATATATATATATTTTTTTTTTTTTGTCGAGACAGAGTTTTGCGCTGTCGCCCAAGCTAGAGTGCAGTGGCGCGATCTCCTCTCACTGCAAGCTCCGCCTCCCGGGTTCACACCATTCTCCTGCCTCAGCCTCCCGAGTAGCTGGGACTACAGGCGCCCACCACCGCGCCCGGCTAATTTTTTGTATTTTTAGTAGAGACGGGGTTTCACCGTATTAGCCAGGATGGTCTCAATCTCCTGACCTCGTGATCCACCCACCTCAGCCTCGAAAGTGCTGGGATTACAGGCGTGAGCCACTGCACCCGGCCACTTGCTGATATTTTTTAAAACTGGAAGGCTAAAACAAACAAACACAAAAAGATAAAAATGATTACCTATAAGGGGACAGAGGAGCAGCCCAAGATGGAAGATGATAATGTGTATTCTCCTAAAAATATAATACATATTTACTGCCTCCATGCACTGAAAAGGACAAGAAACAATGACCAACTCAGTAGTAATGAGCAACTCTAGTACTCAGATTATTAACTCTCGCAACATTTCCCCTTAAAAAAAAATCTGACTCCCTTGCAGAAATGGCTGATTCCAGGACTGGGCAAGGATTGCGCTGAATGAGTGTAGACTAAGCTATAATACCAGAGAGCACATCAAAAAGACTAGGGAAGAGATAACCCACAGATTGGGAGAAAATACTTGCAAACCACACATCTGTAAGGGAGTAATACCCAAAATACATGAGGAACTCAAACAACTTAATAGCAAGAAGCTACTGGGGAGGCTGAAGCAGGAGAATAGCTTGAACCTGGGAGGCAGAGGTCACAGTGAGCTGAGACTGTGCCATTGCATTTCAGCCTGGGAGACAGAGTGAAATCCTGTCTCAAAAATAAAAAAGATAAAGTGTGCAATTCAGTGGTTTTTAATATATTCACAGTGTTGTGCAACCATCACCAATATATATTTCCTGGCTATTTCCACCGCCCCCCCCGCCCCCCCCCCCCCCGCCAAAGAAACCCCGTAACTGTTAGTAATCTCTCCCTACAGCCTCTGGCAAACACTAATCTGCTTTCTCTGTGGATGGGTTTGGACTTTTCCTACCAATCAAATAATACAATATGTGGCCTTTTGTGGCAACATTTTTCACTGACCCTAATGTTTTCAAGGTTCATCCTTGTTGTAGCATGTAGAATTACTCCATTCTTTCTTTGTGGCTGAATAATATTCCATTCATGGTTATATCACATTTGGTTTACCCATTCACCAGTTGATGATATTTCTTATATTGAACGACCCTTTTATCCTTGGGATAAATACCACTTGGTCATGGTATATAATTCTCTTAATATGATGTTGGATTTGGTTTGCTAGTCTTTTGTCAAGAATTTCTGCATCAATATTCATAAGGGATATTGGCCTATAGTTTGCTTTGTGATGGCTTTATCTGTCTTTGGTATCATGGTAATGTTGGCCTCATAGAATGAGTTAAGAAGTGTTCTGTCTTTACTTTTTAAAGAGTTTGAACACTGATTTCAGCTTTTAAAAAAATGTTTGGTATAATTCTCCAGTGAAGACATTTGGTTCAGGGCTTTTTTTTATTGGGAAGCTGTTGGTTCAGGGCTTTTTTTTCTTGGAAAGCTGTTGATTACTGATTTAAAAAAAATTTTTTTTTTTTGAGACAGAGTCTCGCTCTGTTGCACCCAGGCTGGAGTGCAGTGGCACGATCTCAGCTCACTGCAAGCTCCGCTTCCCAGGTTCATGTCATTCTCCTGCCTCAGCCTCCCGAGTAGCTGGGACTACAGGCGCTTGCCACCATGCCAGGCTAATTTTTTATATTTTTAGTACAGAAGGGGTTTCACCGTGTTAGCCAGGATGGTCTCGATCTCCTGACCTCGTAATCCACCCGCTTTGGCCTCCCAAAGTGCTGGGATTACAGGCGTGAGCCACTGCACCTGGCCAAATTTCTTTACTTGTTATAAATCTGTTCTGATTTTCTATTTCTTCTTGAGTTTTTTTTTTTTTTTTGGTAGTTTGTGTGTTTCAAAAAATTTGTCTATTTTATCTAAGTTATCTAATTTGTTGATATACAATTTTCATAGCACTCTCTTATAATCCTTCTGGAAGTATGTGGTAACACCCCCACTTTCTTTTCTGATTTTAGTAATTTGGGAGTTTTCACTTTCTTCTTGCTCAATCTAGCTGAAAGATTGTCAGTTATGTTGTTCTTTCACAGAACATGCTTTTGATTTTATTAATTCTGTTGTTTCACTATTCACTGTTTTATTTATTTTTGTTCTAATCTTTATTATTTCCATCCTTTTCCTAGCTTTGCATTTAGCTTGGCCTTCTCTTCCTAGTTTTGCGAGGTATAAAGTTAGGTTATTGATTTTATATTCTTCTTTTTTAATGTGGGCATTTTCAGCTTTAAATTTCACACTGAGCACTGTTTTTGCTGCACCCTGTATGTTTTGGTATGTTGTGCTTTTGTTTTAATCCATCTCAACATATTATCTAATTCCACCTGTAATTTCTTCTTTGACCCATTGATTAAAGTATGATGCTTAATTTCTATATATTTGTGCATTTTCCAGTTTTCTTTTTGTTATTGAATTCTACTTTCATTCCATCATGGTTGGAGAAGATATTTTGTATGATTTCAATATTTTAAAAATGTATTGAAGGCTGGGTGTGGTGGCTCACACCTGTAATCCCAGCAGTTTGGGAGGCTGAGGCAGGCAGATCACGAGGTCAGGAGGTCAAGACCATCCTGGCTAACACGGTGAAACCCTGTCTCTACTAAAAATACAAAAACAAAATTAGCCACCCGTGGTGGTGGGCACCTGTAGTCCCAGCTACTCGGGAGGCTGAGGCAGGAGAATGGCATGAACCCGGGAGGTGGAGGTTGCAGTGAGCCGAGATCATGCCACTGCACTCCAGCCTGGGCAACAGAGCGGGACATCATCTCAGAAAAAAAAAAATTATTGAGACCTGTCTTTTGGTCTAACATATGATCTATCCTAGAGAATGCTCCATTTAACTTGAGGAGAATGTGTATTTGTTGTTGGATGGAGGGTTCTGTAGATATCTGATAGGTATAGTTGGTTTATGGTGTTGTTTAAATCCTCTATTTCCTTACTGACCTTCTCTCTAGTGGTTCTATTAATTATTGATTATGGGGAATTAAAATCTCCAACTATTATTAGAGAGTAGAACTGTCTATTTCTCCCTTCAATTCAGTCAGTTTTTGCTTCACGTATTTTTGGGATCTGTTGTTAGGAGCATATATTTTATAATTGTTACATATTCTTTTTAGAAACTAATGTTTACTTTCCATCAACTTTATTTTCATTTTGCTTAAGAGCCTGTGAAAGAACAGCTTAAGACCACGTAGTGGTTGTTCTTACCCATTCAGTGGCCTGAACAGCGGGAGTTGCAAAGCAGTCTTCAGAGGCAGGCTGTGGGCCAGTCTTCAGTGGGGAATTTCTGAATAGGCACAGAGGGCACCTGTATGCCTTCAAACTGGTCTGCAACCTCAGGTTGAGTGGCACTGAACTCAGAACGGAAGCAGTCCATTAATTTCTCCTTGATCACAGCTTTTTCAGCAGCAGCTTGTGCTCTTCCTTTTCAATCATTTCAGGATCTCTGTAGAAATAGAGATCAGCATGACCTTCCTTGGGATTTCACAGAAGATGGTGCCATGCATGCACAGAACTTCCTGAGTCAGCCTCCACCATATCAGACCCACCAAGTGAGAGCTCTTGTTGTTGCATTGCATGTCAATGTAAACATAGCACAGAGAAGAATCTGTTACACAGAGCAATTGTGGGCAGATTTATGTAAGATGCCTCCGTCAGAGCCTGGTGGTCAGCCTTGGGATTGATAACCACCAGAAGACATGGTTCCTGGAAGGCTGCTTGGATCTGGTTAGTGAAGTTTCCAGGAGTGAAGTGGCCAGAAATAGGAGTGGCTACACTGGCAGCAGCAAACTTCAGCATAGCCTGCTGGCCAGTATTCCTAGAGGATATGACACTGACATCAGCAGGGTTTTCACTGGCAACAATGGCATGAACTGCCACCAGAAGCTTCTCCCAGGTCCTTCTCAAGGAAAAGTGATGGCATACTGATTAGATGTATGATGCCGATGCCATCACTTTTCCTTTTGTAGGCATACTGCTCTATTTGGAGTCAAGGTTGTTGCCACCATAGGTTCCTACTGAAAGGAATTTGAGGACCTCCTCCTTCATTTACAGGACACCAAGGGCTCCAGACGTTGTGAAAGTTTCCCTTTAAGTTATGACACGAATCCAGAACAACACTGTATAGATCCCTTTCTGGGTAGTGCAGAAAGACAACTGTTTACATATTCTTGATGTTTTGACCCTTTTATAAATACATAATGTCTGTCTTCATCTGTTATAACAATTTTTGAGTCTATTTTGCCTCACAGTAGTATAGCCTTCCCACCTCTTTTTGGTTACTATTTGCAAAGAATATTTTTTCCCATCATTTCACTTTCAACTAATTTATGCCTTGGAATCTAAAGCAAGTTTCTTGTGGACAGCACATAGTTGGATTATGTATTTTTATTCATTCTTCCAATCTCCACCTTCTAATCGAAGAATTTCATCCATTTATATTTAGAGTAATTACTGATAAGAAAGGACTTAGTTCTGCCATTTTGCTATTTGTTTTATATTTTCAAATTTGTTTTATATTTCTTATACTTTTTTGTTCCACTATTATTAATTTCTTTTGTGATTTATTTCTTCTAGTGTATCATTTTGATGATTTTCTCATTTATTTTTCTGTATTTTTTTAGTTTTTCTCCCAGTCATTACCGTGGCTATTACAATGATCATATTAACTTTATAATAATCAAGTTTGAGGTAATACCAACTTAGTTTCTTTTTTTTTTTTTTTTGAGATGGGGTCTTTCTCTGTCACCCAGGCTGGAAGGCAGTGGTGTGATCATGGCTCACTGCACCTCAACCTCTTGCGTTCAAGCAATTCTCCTGCCTTAGCCTCCTGAATAGCTGAGGACTGCAGGCATGTAACAGCACACCTGGCTAATTTTTTTTTTGTAGAGATGAGGTCTCGATATGTTGCCCGGGCTGGCATGGAACTCCTGGACTCAAGCAATCCTCCTGCCACCTCAGCCTCCCAAAGTGCTGGGATTACAGGTATGAGCCATCATGCCTGGCCATATTTATTCAAATTTTTTTAAATTTACACATTTTGATAAATTTATACCTAAGTATTTGATTTTTTGCTGCTAATATGAATAATATTATGTTTTCAGTTTCAAATTTCAATCATTTATTGCTGGTATATAAGAAAGCAATTGACTTTTATATATTAACATTGTATCTTGGAACATTGTTATTATCATGTAATGGCTCCAAGAGTTTGTTGTTGTTGTTGTTGATTCTTTGGAATTAACTATATAGATAATCACACAATCTGTGAAAAATGACAGCTTTATTTCTTCCTTTCCAATTTGTTTATCTGTATTTCCTGTTTTGTCTTATTGCATTGGCTAGGACAGTAAGGCATTGAATAAGAGAAATGAGAGGGGGCATCTTTGCCTTGTTCCTTGATCTTTGCCTTGATATTAGAGGAAAAGCAGCTAGTCTCTCATCATTAAGTGTGATGTTATAGGTTTTTGGGTAGATGTTCTTTATCAAATTGTGGAATTCCCCTAAGGTAATAGTTTTATGAGTTTTTATTATTAGTGGGTGTTAGATTTTTGTCATATGCTTTTTCTGCATCTATTGATAGGATTATATGATTTTTCTTCTTTGGCTTGTTGATGTGATGAATTACATTTATCGATTTTCGAATGTTGAACCAGTCTTGCACATCTTGAATAAATCTCGTCTGGTCAGAGCATGTGATTCTTTTTATGCAATGTTGTATTTGATTTTGGTTTCATTGCTGAAAATTCTCCATCAATTTTCTATTTCCAATTTCATTAATTTCTGCTGTAATTTTTATTGTTTCTTTTCTTTTGCTCACTTTCTTTTAGATCTAATTTGCTCTTATTTTTCTAGGGTGAAGGCATAGATTATTGACTTTAGATCTTTTCTGTATTCTAATATATATGTTCAATGCTATAAATTTCCTTCTAGGCATTGCTTTTACTGCATTCTGCAAATTTCAGTAAGTTGTATTTTCATATTAATTTAATTCAAATATCTTAAAATTTCTTTTGAGACTTCTTTGACTTGTGTGTTACTTAGAAATATGTTGTTTAATTGCCAAGTATATTGGGGTTTTTCAGCTATCTTTCTGTATTAATTTCTAGTTTAATTCCGCTGAAGACCGACAGCATACTCTGTATGTTTTCTATTCTTTTAAACTTGTTATAGTATGTTTTATAACTCAGAATGTGGTCTATATTCATAAATATTCCATATGAGCTTGAGTAGAATGCATATTCTACTGTTGTTGGGTGAAGTATTCTACAATGCCAATTAGATCCAGCTGATTGATGGTGCTGCTGAGTTCAACCATGTCCTTATTGATTTTTTCCCTGCTGGATCTGTCTATTACTGATAGAGGGCTTTTCAAATTTTCAACTATAACAGTGGATTCATCTATTCCTATTTTCAGGTCTATTAGTTTTTGCTTCGTGTATTTTATTTTATTTTTCATATTTATTTATTTATTTATTTTTGAGATGGAGTCTCACTCTGTCACCCAGACTGGAGTGCAGAGGAGTGATCTCGGCTCACTGCAGCCTCTGCCTCCCAGGTTCAAGCGATTCTCCTGCCTCAGCCTCCCCAGGAGCTGGGACTAGAGGCGTGTACCACCATGCCTGGCTAATTTTTGTATTTTTTGGTAAAGACAGGGTTTCACCATATTGATCAGGCTGGTCTAGAATCCTGACCTCAAGTGATTCGCCCACCTCAGCCTCCCAGAGTGCTGGGATTACAGGCATGAGCCACCACACCCGGCCCTGAATTGCACACTTTAAAATGGTGATTTTTCTTTTTTCTTTTCTTTTTTTCTTTCCTTTTTTTTTTTTTTTTTTTTTTTTTTTTGAGATGGAGTCTCGCTCTTTTGCCCAGGCTGGAGTGCAGTGGTGCGATCTCGGCTCACTGCAACCTCTGCTTCCCAGGTTCAAGCGATTTTCCTCCCTCAGCCTACCGAGTAGCAGGCATGCACCCCCATGCTAGGCTAATTTTTTTATAAAATGGTGAATTTTTAATATGGAATTATATCTAAATAAAAGTGCTAAAACCCCAAAATGATATCAGATGTTGAATTGTAGGTAACATCTTATAATTTCTACTGGAATTTTAAGGCATAGTATCTAGAAATGATTTACATTGTAGCATAATTCAAGACTGATAACTCTCTAATCAGTACTTAAGAATTTATACTTTGAACCTTATGAAAAAATAAAGAAAAACAAGAATTTGTACGATATTTTCACTGTTTCAGGTAAGAGTGAGCCTGGAAGGAGTTGGGGAAGAACACACCAGCTTCAGCCTAAATTATTTTTCTCTATTTAATTTGCATATGTTTTTAGCAGGCATTTTAGTAGTCTCCAGTCCAGAAGACATATCATATTCCTCACCTGTGGGGAGCAAGAGTTGGGCAATTCTGAGTCAACATGGCATGCTCAGTTCCCACTGGGTAAATCCGGTAGAGACGGACACGGATATACACACACTCACACACACTCAGCAGAAAGGACTACTGTCCTAAAACTTCTGTTTGACATCAGGGCCCAAACAACATTAAGGCGGTACTCATCTAGTGTGTTAAAAAACAAAACAAAACAAAGCAAAACAAAACAAAAATAACCCTGTTTTTTCTCTGCAGTGGACACCATCTGGGCATCCTCTAACCCAATTCAATTCTGATGTTACCTACCTGGAGATAGCATTAGATCCCACAAGTTGCAGTCTCTGTCCCATAAGACTGTCCCCGCTTCAGACACCAGTGGCAAGTCTCGGCCTCTGGAACTTCTGACCAACCGGCTTCAGGTTAAGATTCCCAAAACCCCTTATTCAGGCTTCATTAATTTGCTAGAGTGGCTCACAAAACTCAGGGACACGTGTGTACTGGCTTATTATGAAGAATATTTTAAAAGATACAGGTAAGCAACCAGATGAAGAGATACATAGGGCAAGGTCTGAAAGTGTCCCGAGCACCGGAGCTCTCGTTCCTGTGGAGTTGGGGTGTACTGCCCTCCCGGCAAGCTGATGAGTTCTTGTTTACCTTCTTGCAGGCCTCCATGAGTTTACCTGTCCAGAGGCTCTCTGTGTCCCATCCCCTTGGGCCTTTTATCAAGATGTCATTAGATAGGCAGGGCTATCATGGACAACCATGTAAAAATGTGATTGAACAAAAAGGGTATAATCTAACACTATTAGACTGAGTAGGGAAACCCAGCAAGGCCTGACTATTCAGATTCTTCTTGGCCTCTCTGTGCAGCATTTCTTCATCCTGGGTATGGGGGAGGACCCCTTCTGAATTGGGGTCTTATTGAGGTAGAGACCCACAGGATTTATTTCCCTGGTCCTGACAGATTAAAGTGAAGAAACGCAAAAACCAGCAGATGGCGACAAAAGCGATCTCTAGCTGCTCTCATTGCTCATTAGTATAAGACGCTCCCACCCAGTGCCACAGTTTACAAAATGCCATGGCAATGGCCCAGAAGTTACTGCTCCTTTCCTAGAAAGTTCTAAATAACCTACCCTTCAATTTGCATTAACCCACTCCCTAATTTGTGTGTAATTGAAAGTGGGAATAAGTGAGTATAAATATAGTTGCCAAGAGCTCATATGTTGCTGATTCTGGGTGCACTGCCTTTGATTTAGCCCTGCTCCACAAAGAGCAGTACTGTTCAAAAACAGGTTGTTGCCCAACACCACTAGCTCACCCTTGATTTATTTTTCGGGGTGAAGCCAAGAAGCCTCCCTGGCTAAGCCCCAAATACGGGAGCTTCCCATTCCTGCATCATTATGACCTACAGTCAGACAAGGTAAATCGGAGAATTTACTTATGGCCACCTCCAAGACAGAAAGGCAGGGGAAAACTAGAGTATATTTTTAGTTTATGTGGTCTGCCTTGGAGAGAAAAAAGGAGTAGGTGAAAGGAGAGCAAGAGAAGGTCAGGGAGAGAAATTCTGTCTTTTGAGGCCTGCTTCTGAAGCCTGAAAGAGCCCCAACATACACGGAAAGACAGTCTTTTTTTTTTTTTTGAGACAGTTTTGCTGTGTCGCCCAGGCTAGAATGCAGTGGTGCGATCTCGCCTCACTGCAAGCTCTGCCTTTCGGGTTCACGTCATTCTCCTGCCTCAGCCTCCCAAGTAGCTGGGACTACAGGCGCCTGCCACTACACCCAGCTAATTTTTTGTACTTTTAGTAGAGATGGGTTTTCACCGTGTTAGCCAGGATGGTCTCGATCTCCTGACCTCATGATCCACCCGCCTCAGCCTCCCAAAGTGCTGGGATTACAGGTGTGAGCCACTGCGCCCGGCCAAGAAAGACAGTCTTTTATGTTTATGGTTCTGAAGCTGTTCCGAAACAAAAGGCCAAATACTTTAATCAAAGATATGCTGATTGTTCTAGCCACTTAGGAAATAACAAAGGCTATGGGAATTATGAGCCAAAAACCACAGATGAATATGTGTATCTCACAGTACCTGTAAGTATAAAATAAAGAAAGAGGTTTTATGCACACCTTTTTTTTTTTTTTTTTTCAGAGAGACCTGCCTCGGCCTCCCAAAGTGCTGGGATTATAGGCGTGAGCCACCACACCTAACCTTTATCCACTTTGTTAGGGACAGAGTGGGTCTCTGGCTCAACAAAAAGCCCAGATAAATCAATGGGGCTTTGGCATATTAGGTCAGCAGAAGGGAAAAGGCCAGTAGAAGGGACAGCAGTATGCAGTAAACATGGAAGTACCTAGGGGAGAAGGAAGGAGACACAAAAGTTGGAGGCACCTGTAAGCCAACTGGACTTGTTTCTGAATACAGTTTAGATAACCTGTAGACACATCTATGCCTGACGGTATTCAGAAATAAAATCAGTAAAACTTTCAACACGACAGCAGAGCATTAAACCAGGAGTAGAACTCTTCTGACATCAGGGCCCTGTGCCACAGCACAAGTCATATACCTATGAAACCTTCCCTGGCTGTGTGTGTTGGCTGATAACAACTTACATCTTTTTTCGGGAGGAGTGAGGGGACAAGGTCTCACTCTGTTGTCCAGGCTGGAGTGCAGTGGTGCTGTCATAGCTCACTGTAGCCTTGACCTCCCGGGCTCAAGCAATTCTCCCTCCTTAGCTTCTCAAGTAGGCGGGACCAAAGTTGCGTGCCACCACACCCAGCTAAATTTGTGTGTGTGTATGCGTGTGTGTGTGTGTGTGTGTGTGTGTGTGTGTATGGAGATGGGGTTCTCCCTATGTTGCCCAGGCTGGTCTCAAACTCCTGGGCTCAAGCAATCCTCCTACCTCAGCCCCCCAAATTGCTGGGATTACAGGCCTGAGCCATACAACTCACATTTTACCTCTTCTCCAGGGAATTGTTCTCTGCCAAATGGGAGCCACCTTGCTCCAGAGACTATGCTCTGCTCCACCTACAGACTTTGATCTGTGACTGACGCTGAGCTACAAAAAGCCAGTGACTTACTGTCAACGTGGGATGACTTGTGTGTGCTTCAGAGTTTTCAGGTGCGATTAACTAAACTTAATCTCTAGTTAAACCCCATTCTTCATCACTGCCCTGCTCCCCAGCCCTGTCCTGCTGCCTTTACTTCCTTTAACCTGAGAGAGCATTACAAGAAACTACATTCATAAGGATCTCTGTTCCAAGTTCTGCTTCTAGGGAGCCCGACCTAAAATAGGAAGGGTCTCTTTATAGAAATATTTCAGCTAAAATCCCAAAAAGAGGAAAACAGAAAGAGTCTTTGCTTTCCCTTGGACAAACTTGAATTGAAATTGAACCCAAATTCCAGGATGCTTTTCTAGAATTAGTTACCATCTTATAGGAACCACAGAGTAAAGAGATAATGTGTTAATGACACCACTGAGATCCAGACTGTAGGAAAATACAGAACAAATGACTATTTCATCAATAATTAAAGAAAAAATTAAAAAATGAAAACCCACAGATTAAAAGAAATTTAGGAAATTTGGCAACCAATCAAAATGCGCATATCTTATTTGTATCTTGATTCAAACAAACTGTTAAAAAAAACTATAATACAATTGGGTATTTGAACACAGATTAGACATAAAATGATATTAAGGAATTGTGAATTATTAAATGTGACAACAGTATTGTGGTTATATGCTAAAAAGAAGAAAACCCTTATCTTGTAGATACATACTTTGAAATATTTATGCCTAAAGTGATATTATGTCTAGAATTTGCTTCAGAAATAATTTTAAGGTTGGGAAGCGGGTAAGATAAAGACGAAATAAGATTGGCCATGAGTTGTTAACTGTGGAATCTGAGTGAGGACTAGTACATGGGGTTTGCATTATACTATTCCATTTTTCCAAATGTTCGAAATTTTCCATTAAAGTTAAGATAAAGTTAAACTATAAAGACTGTTTCTTAAACAAAAAAGGGGCCGGGCGCTCACGCCTGTAATCCCAGCACTTTGGGAGGCCGAGGCGGGCGGATCACGAGGTCAGGAAATCCAGACCATCCTGGCTAACACGGTGAAACCCCGTCTCTACTAAAAATACAAAAAATTAGCCGGGCGTGGTGGCGGGCGCCTGTAGTCCCAGCTACTCGGGAGGCTGAGGCAGGAGAATGGCGTGAGCCCGGGAGGCGGAGCTTGCAGTGAGCCGAGATCGCGCCACTGCACTCCAGCCTGGGCGACAGAGCGAGACTCTGCCCCACCCCCCAAAAAAAGGAACAGAACAGAAAGGTATTAAGAAGAATTAGAAAAAAAATCCACTGTCCTTGACTCATTTCCTGTCCCCCCCCAAACGTTCTGGTGTGGAGAAAAGGATGAGCATTGGTAACAAGTACCACAGTTTGCCATTGGGGTGGGCGGGACTGATGCTCTCTTTATTTAAATTTTTGACATCTTGCTCATCATAAATTTTCTTGCAATAATTGTTTTTTAAAATGTTGCATTAAAATGTTATTTTTCTTGACTGCTGAGGAATTTTGCACCCCTTTAAATTCTGCGCCCGCGTCCTGGTTGGGAGATGTGGGGAAAATCCTGGGAGCCCAGGACAGGGAGAGGCAAGTCCCCACAGAAGTGGGAATGGCCAACAGCTCCCTGAGAAGACAGCTTCCCTCTTGGGGAGGCAGAGGAAGTCCCAAGAATACACAAAGACAGGAGAGTGGAAGGGCCGGCCAGTCTGGAGATACTAAAAGAGACTCCGGATGAGGATAGGGGCTGACCCGAAAGCCCCGCCTGACTCCGGGCTGCAGGAGGGGGCGTGGGACGGGGGCGGAGCCGTTGGCGATGACAACAGCCCCACGTGACCGGCCAACACTGAGTGTTGTCTCGCTCTGGCGTCAGAGCCGTCGTGGCTCGTTCCATTCTCGGCGGTGGTACCTGCTCCCGGTGGCCCTGAGGACGTGTGGGCCAGGGGCGGCCCCGAAATTAGGAAGCGGAGGGGGAGCAGGTAAGGAACCCGGCGGGGGGTCCCTGGGGTTGGTGTGAGGGAGTGGCTCCGGCCTGCGGATGCCCACCCCGGGGGAGCCGTGCGGAGAAGCAATCGGTCCGCGATGCAGCCCCCGGGCCCCGCGGCGGGCCCGCGAGCCTTCCTTGAGCGGAGAGGTGCCCGGCCCGGAGGGAGCCGGCGGTCCTGGGGCTACGACCCTTCGGAAACACCTGCCTACGCCATCAGCGCAAGCTTTTCCGACACCCCTGCCCCGCACTTCTTGGTGCAGAAAATGGTGGTCAGCTTGCGGGGCGGGGCGGCTGAGGCGGGGGGCGAGGGTGGCGAGGAGGGCCAGGGCCAGGGCCAGGGCCAGGGCCTCGGGGCGGGGCGGGGGAGGGGCCGGATGGCGGTAGTTCCTAGCTAGCGTTCTGCTGCAGCAGCCCCCACTTCCCCCACCCCGGCAGTCTGCAGGTCTGCGGGGCTAAGTGTCGCGGCGGCGCACCTCGCGTCAAGAATCCGGAGGAGGAGACTGCAAGGATAGGCCCAGGTCGGTGCGAGGGTCGGTGGTGAGGCGGGGGCCGGAACGTGAGGAAAGCCCAGTCTGAGACCCTAATCCATGCCTTCACCCTCGCCCCCCTCTACCCCATGCAACCCTCCCCTTCCCACACGCCATCCTCGTCCTCCATTTTGCTGCCTGCGGAAGCCTGGAGATGGATCTACAGGGAAAATGGTGGGCTTTGCGGAAGGGAGGGGCTCGGATTGAGGGCACCCCACAGGGCATACTGGCTTCTCAGGTGGAAAAAAATGAAATGTTAGAGTATAAAGTCAAGTCCAGGGCTCTGAATTTTAAAAGGTGCCTAGTAGGGCCTCTGTCCTCAGTGCTTATCAGTCCACCAAGAATTCAGCCCATTTTCTCTCTCTTGTCTCCTAGGAGTAATGGAGTCCAAAGAGGAACTAGCGGCAAACAATCTCAACGGGGAAAATGCCCAACAAGAAAACGAAGGAGGGGAGCAGGCCCCCACGCAGAATGAAGAAGAATCCCGCCATTTGGGAGGGGGTGAAGGCCAGAAGCCTGGAGGAAATATCAGGCGGGGGCGAGTTAGGCGACTTGTCCCTAATTTTCGATGGGCCATACCTAATAGGCATATTGAGCACAATGAAGCGAGAGATGATGTAGAAAGGTTTGTAGGGCAGATGATGGAAATCAAGAGAAAGACTAGGGAACAGCAGATGAGGCACTATATGCGCTTCCAAACTCCTGAACCTGACAACCATTATGACTTTTGCCTCATACCTTGAATCCTAAAAGTTTTCGCTGAGGTTAATGTGAACACTGCTTTACAAGCTTGTATTTTTGTGATTTACTTTTTCTGTAAGCCTTTTGGGGTTTACACTTACCAGTTTCTAATGGAAATTAGAATTCTAATTGAATATTGTTTTGTCTCAGCCTAAAAGTTACGGTCAGCATGGCAATTCACCTATTTTAGGAAAAATACTCTTTTCATAATATGAAATGCATAAAGCAGTTCAAAAAGCAGTCTGTATTCCATCATCTTCCTTTTTCATTCCAGTCCTTATTTTTGTAAGTATTACTTTTCCTCCTCCGGCTACCTGGACTCAAAATCTCAGTTGTCTTTGACAGTTTTTTTCTTGTCCCTGACCAAAAAAGAATGATCATACCCAGAATTCAATGTTTGATATTTTAAGAATGTATGTTCTAGTGTTTTTCAGAGTGAGTCTACCATCTGTATAAAAACACCTTGGGGGCAGGCAGGGGCATTTAAAAATGTAGGACCTATCGTCCAGACTCACAGAGTGGGGCTCCAGAATCTCCATTTTTAACAAACTCTCTTAAGTAATTCTGATGTGTACCAAAATCAGTGCCATTGGTGTGTGTGTACGTAACTATATACATATGTGTGTGTGTGTATATATATAATGTGTCATAACCGTAAACAATAAACAATATCAAGATAAATCTGACTTTGATGGGCAAGTAATTAAAAAAGAAAAGTATGAGACCTTAAAATAAGACTGATGATTATAGGAGTGGTAGGGACAGTGGCAAAGTTATTCACTGTGCAAAGCAAAACATGCCTGAAGGTCACAGCCTGAGGAACTCAGAATTCATCACCCCTGTCAGCAGTTTCACATCCAGGATCTCATTTTATTCTTAGAACAACCTATAAAATCTGTATTGTTATCCCACTTTTACAGATGAGGTCACTGGGGCTTAGAGATGTTAAGTACCAAGGCTAACTCCTGCTGAATATCTTGGGGGTGGGGGAATCCAGCCTGGGCCATTTTCTATTGGACCTTATCATCTGGAGATGCAGAATATTTGACTTTTGTAACTTGATGACAAGCTGAGGATGGTAAAAGAGACTCAGCAAGAATGGGGCTGTTTTTCTATACACTGTTTTTCTACATCTCAAGTACACTTTAATTTTTAGAATATTGAGGGATAAAAAAAGTAAGATCCTCTAGTGTTGTTCAAAGTTAGGATTGCCACTCTATGGCTCTTGAAATCAGTTTTGTGGGTTACAACAAGCAATTTTTTAAAAAGAGAACAAAAGTCATCCTATCACCCGTGAGTAGTGTTAAGAATTGTTTTGGAGAAAATAATGTGTTCTATGTAGTAAATATTGCCACCTTTATGATGTATTTCTAACTAGATCACAGTGAAAAAAGAATGAAAATCACTTATTTGGTGCAAACTTGGTTTCACAAGTGAAGAATTGTTAAGAAAGCGATTTTTCCTAAGGTCATACAGCCAATTAGTGAAAGCTGTGACCACAGCCTTGGTGCTTCAGGGTGCTTGTCTTCTCACCACATTGCCTCCACAAAGAATTATTTGGAAATTTTTGCATTATGTACTGATTGCCAATCAGTGTAAATGGAAAAGCATATACAACTTATGCAAAAATCACTTTATATGAACTTCACACTATTTAGTCATCAGAATTCCTGCATGTTCAACTGAGAACCACATTTAAGGGAAACTCTGCCTCAGATAATTTTGGAGCTGGAGTGATCTTTCACCTGTCTAGAGGAAGAGGATGATATAGAGTCTGATTTGAAAATGCACAGTGGTGAACTCAGGCACTTCAAAAAGGCTAGTTGACTGAGTAGAGTCCATGAATGATCTTTTGGTTCCTCTGAAAATGAGTACTATGCCTTCTGGCAAAGACCAATTGTGGATTTCCCAAAGTAGCCTCAATCTACCTCCCTCACAAAAAAAGCTAGCTGTGGGGGTGTGAGATCAGAACATGATTAGTTGAAAGAAAGCTGAAGCCTCCTCACTGGGGTTTTTGGGGGAGAATGAGGAATAAGGACAGACTTTCTGGAAGAAATAAAAGTGTCAATGCTTGGGTTCAGAATATGGTTTTTTGAAGTACCAAAATGAGCCCTGTCTCCTTGGTGTTTCTGGGAGAGTGGGATGATAAGAACAGAATTTGCTGGAAATGGTAAAGGTCAGGGAACGGGGTCACAATGTAATTGGTTGAAGGAGAACTAAATTAAGACTCCTATCGTGGGAGTTTCTGTGATGGTAGGCGACGAGCACAAAACTTTAGAGGACATAACGTTCAGTGACCAGAACATGATCAGGAGCGTGATTGAAGAACTGAAGAAAACTCCCTTACCTCTGTGTTGCTGCAAGGGTGGAGGAGTAAAGAGAGAACTTTCTAGAAAAAGCTAGAGGGGGCTGGATCAGGTGACTGAAGAAGAACAGAGCTATCACAGCGAACACATTTATACATCCCATGGGAGGGTCAACTTTCCTTGATCTTGGTGGGCAATACATTTTGTCTTTTTAAGGTGACAACAGAGAGATGTCAGTGAATGCCTCTAAAGAGACTAGCAAGAAAGTATAATGACTCTTTTATAAAAACCAACAAAAGCAAATAAACCAAGAGTGAAGAAAAAGGGCTAACACATTCATCCCTATCAGTGGTTTATACATTCATATTTGTAAAATTTTAGTTTCTTGAGGAAAATGTGCATGTTTTTATGGATTTTGGAGCAAAGCTTGGGAAGGATGCCTGTCAACTAATGCCTGGCAAATCTTCCAGAACTTAAGAGGAGAAAGACTGACAAGACCTCTGAGAAGAGGAGAGTCAGTCTAATCTTACACAGCAGCATATGCTGCTGTCTTCATATTACAGAAATTGGAGATATCACTGAAGAAGTCTTTAAAAAGGCCAGTGTTATGGACCGAATATTTGTGTCCCTCCTAAAATTAAAATGTTGAAAACCTAATTCCCAAGGTGATGGTATTAGAAGGTGGCGCTTTTTGGGGGGAATTAGGTCATGAAGGCAGAGTCCTCATGAATAGGATCAGTACCCTTATAAAAGAGACCCCAGACTGGGCGTGGTGGCTCACGCCTGTAATTCCAACACTTTGGGAGGCTGAGGCAGGCAGATCACGAGGTCAGGAGATCGAGACCATCCTGGCCAACATGGTGAAACCCCATTTCTACTAAAATATAAAAAATTAGTCAAGCGTGGTGGTGCGCACCTGTAGTCCCAGCTACTGGGGAGGCTGAGGCAGGGGAATCGCTTGAACCCGGGAGGCAGAGGTTGCAGTGAGCCGAGATCATGCCACTGCACCAGCCTGGTGACACAGCAAGCAAGACTCCGTCTCAAAAAAAAAAAAAAAAAAAAGAGAGAGAGAGACCCCAAAGAGCTCCTTCACCTTTTCTGTGAACCAGGAAGCAGGCCTTCATCAGACACGGAATCTACCAACACCCAGTCTTGAACTTCACAGCATCCAGAATTGTGAGAAATAAATTTCTGTTGTTATAAGCCACTCAGTTTATGATATTTTGTTATAGCAGCCCATATAGGCCAGGACAGCCAGCAAGAAAAAGATTGAACTTCTAATGAAAAAAGCAAAAACAAATAAACAATTCAAATATAACAAGAATAAAATACCAGGAGAGGGGGTAAGACGGCCAATTAGATGCAGCCAGGAGGAACATCTCCCATGGAGGGACAGGACATCTACTGGCACACTCCTAGTAGATCTTCTGAGGGAAGACATTGAGAGCAGACAGAGGAGAGACACAGATGCTGCACTAAAGGGGGAGGAAACTGGGAACACTGCCCGGGACAGGTACACCAGGACTCATTCCTAGTCCCCAACTACTCCTGGGGAAGGGGTGAGATGAACAGGCAAAGAGCAACCAACTGCCCACAGGCCTTTGGAATCCTGGCAGGAGGAGAACCTTGACCACTATGGACACTTGAATTGGCAGGGAGAGCTGCTCAGAGAAGTGGTAGGGGTAGAACTCCAGCTAGAGTGGAGGCCAGAGGGTTTGGTGCAAGAGCATCTGCAGTGGGAGCATGGTCAGTGTTGCCCATCCCCCTAGGCTTGACTCGCTCCTATAGGAGACTTTAGCCCTAGGGCAACTGTGGGACCTGAACTCTGCAAAGCAATCTTGCCCAGGAGACGGAACCGGTCTGACCTGAGCACCTCTCAATCCGCTGGCCTCTGGCGGGGGCCCAGCGTAGCCGCGCCTGCTTGCAATGCAGCCCCCATGCCACATCATAGCTCCGGTGGGGGCGGATCTCACCTAACCAGCAGAATGCCCCAGCAGAACGGCCCCCGCTGACACGCACCAGCTCGCCCGCACTCTCCCCCAACTGTAGCCTCACCAGGCCGCTTTTCCCACATATACTCACCCTTGGCCACCCCCAATATCACTTTGCCAGTGCGTGTGTGCTGGCAGGCCGACCTTGCCTTCCCTCTCCCGCCAGCGCGGGTGTGCCTGTGCACCCGGCCATGCCATTTTTGCTGGCGTGAGTGCACCCCGCCCCCTTCCCCAACCACCATTGTTGTTGGAGAGTTGGCAGGCAGAGTGCCCCACCCGTGTGCGTGGAAATGGCCTCCAGGTGCGAAACTAAGCACAGAGAAAAGTGGACCCGCCCCTGCCCTAAGAGGCCACTGCTGCCAGCTGGACCGCTCACAAAGGGCGCAAACACCACCACCAGTGTGAACAGGCACACAGTCGCCGTCTGGGCCCTGTCACCGCCCGGCCCCCACAGCCGCGCTGTCAATGCTAGCCGCTGCTGCGAAGGCCCGCACAGAGGCCAGCAACACAACACCCATCAGTACCCTGTCGCAGCAGATGAGTGTGCACCCTACTATGCTGTAGCTGCAGATGCTACTGCCACATACGAACAAGGATGGATCCCACTGCTACCGCCCTAGGAAGTGCTTTGGCTGGCACCACCCATCGTAGTGTGATAACCAGCAGTCTGGGAACACCTCAGCCGTTGTAGCACAGCAGGTTCCTAACCTCAAGGAGCCAGACAACAAAGTGGGGGCTGATGCCAGTCTCCCAGTGTTACAGCACATAGTCCAGGAGTCCTGAGCTGAACTTTGCCCCCCTAAAATCTTCCAGAAATGAAACCAGTCAACTGAACTATACCACAATGAAACCCGCAAGGTCATCAAATAGGATAAAAGAAAAAAAAAACATCCAAAGGACAGCAACTTCAAAGATTGAAGAAACATCAACACACAAAGATGAGAAAGAACCAGTGCAAGAACTCTGACAACTCAAAAAGCTAAGTGTCTTCTTTCCTCTAAATGACAGCAGCAGTTCTCAAGCAAGGATCCTTAACCAGAATGTGATGGCTGAAATGACAGAAATAGAATTAAGAATATGGATAGGAGCGAAGATGATTGAGATCCAGGAGAATGTTGAAACCCAATCAAAGGAAGCTAAGAGTCACAATTAAAAGATATAGGGGCCGACAAACAAAATAGCCAGTATAGAAAAAAAATGTAACCAACTCGATAGAGCTGAAGAGCACACTACAAGAATTTCATAAAGCAATTGCAAGCATTAACAACAGAATAGACCAAGCTGAGGAAAGAATCTCAGAGCTTGATGACTGAGTTTCTGAAATAAGACAATCAGATCAGAATAAAGAAAACAGAATGAAAAGGAATGAACAAAATCTCCATGAAATATGGGATTATGTAAAAAGACTAAATCTATGACTCAAGTGACATCTCTGAAAGAGATGGGGAGAATGGAAGCAACTTGGAAAACATGTTTCAGGATATCATCCATGAGAACTTCCCCAACCTGGCTAGAGAGGCTAATATTCAAATTCAGAAAATCCAGAGAACCTCCATAAAATACTTTACAAGATCACCTCCAAAACACAGAATCATCAGATTCTCCAAGGTTGAAATGAAGGAAAAAATGATAAAGGCAGCTAGAGAGAAAAGACAGGTAACCTCCAGAGGGAAGTCCATCAGACTAACAGCAGACCTCTCAGCTGAAACCCTACAAGCCAGAAGATTGGGGGCTTATATTCAACATTCTTAAAGAAAAGACATTCCAATGAAGAATTTCATATCCAGAAAAATTAAGCTTCATAAGTGATGGAGAAATAAGATATTGTTCAAACAAGCAAATTCTGAGGGAATTTGTTACCACCAGAACTGCCTTACAAGAGCTCCTGAAAGAAACACTAAATATGAAGATAAAAGACCATTATTAGCCACTAAAAAAACACACTTAAGTACAGAGACCAATGACACTATAAAGCTACCACACAAACAGGTCTGCATAATAATCAGCTACCATCATGATGATAGGATAAAATCCACCCATATCAATACTAACCTTAAATGTAAACAGGCTAAATGCCCCAATCAAAAGACACACGGTGGCAAGCCGGCTAAAGAACCAAGACCCTGAACTCAACACTGGGCCAAATGGACCGTTAGACATCTACAGAACTCTCTACCCAAAAATAACAGAATATACACTCTTCTCATTGCCATGTGGCACATACTGTAAAATCGAACACATACTCGACCATAAAACAATCCTCAGCAAATGCAAAAGTGCTGAAATCATACCAACCACTCTCTCAGACCACAGTACAGTAAAACTGGAAAACAAGATTAAGAAAATTGCTTAAAACCATACAATTACATGGAAATTAAACAACTCACTCCTGCATGACACTTGGGTAAATAATGAAATTAAGGCAGAAATCAAGAAGTTCTTCGAAACTAATGAGAACAAAGATACAACATACCAGAACCTCTGGGACACAGCTAAGGGAGTGTTCAGAGGGAAATTTACAGCATTGAATGTGGACATCAAAAAGTTAGAAAGATCTCAGATTAACAACTTAACATCTTAACTAAAGAACCTAGAGAACCAAGAGCAAACAAACCTCAAAGCTAACAGAAGACAATAAATAACCAAAGTGAGAGCTGAACAGAAGGAGACAGATACACAAAAAAACCATTCAAAACATCAACAAATCCAGGAGCTGGTTTTTTGAAAAAAAAAAAAAAATGAGATAGATAAACTGCTAGCTAGACTAATAAAGAAGAAAAGAGAAATAATCCAAATAAACACTACCAGACACGACAAAGGGAATATTACCACTGATCCCACAGAAATACAAATAACCATCAGAGAATACTTTGGACACTTCTATGCACATAAACTAGAAAACCTAGGAAAAATGGATAAATTCCTGAACATATAACACCCTCCCAAGACTGAACCAAGAAGAAATTGAATCCCTGAACAAACCAGTTATGAGCTCCAAAAGTGACTCAGTATATCCTACCAACTAAAAAAATCCCAGGACCAAATAGATTCACACCCAAATTCTACCAGATGTATGAAGAAGAGCTGGCACCATTCTTACTGAAATTCTGCCAAAAAATTGATGAGGAGGGACTCCTCCCCAACTCATTCTATGAGGCCAGCATCATCCTGATACCAAAACTGGGTAGAGATACAACCAAAAAAGAAAACTTCAGGCCAATATCCTTAAAGAACATTGATGCAAAATCCTCAAAGAAATACTAGCAAATTAAATCCAATAGCACATCAAAAAGCTAATCCACCATGACCAAGTGGGCTTATCCCTGGGATGCAACATACACAACATACAAAAATCAATAAACATGATTCATCACATAAACAGAACTAAAGGCAAAAACCACCTGATCATCTCAATGGATGCAGAAAAAGCTTTTGATAAAATTCAACATTTCTTCATGTTAAAAACTCTCAGCAAACTAGATATTGAAGGAACATACCTCAAAATAATAAGTACCATCTATGACAAACCCAGAACCAACATCATACTGAATGAGCAAAAGCTGGAAGCATTCCCTTGAAAACCAGCACAAGACAAAGAAATCCTCTCTCATCACTCCTATTCAACATAGCACTGGAAGTTCTGGCCAGGGCAGTCAGGCAAGAGAAAGAAACAAAGGGCATTCACTTAGAGAGGAAGTCAAATTATTCCTGTTTGCAGATAATGTGATCCTATATCTAGAAAACCCTGTAGTCTCATCCCAAAAGCTTCTTAAGCTGATAAACAATTTCAGCTTTCAGGATACAAAGTCAATGTGCAAAAATTACTAGCATTGCTATATACCAACAACAGTTAAGCTGAAAGCCAAATCAGGAATGAACTCCTATTGACAATTGCTACAAAAAGCATAAAATACCTAGGAATTCAGCTAACTAGCAAGGTGAAAGATCTCCACAAGGAGAACTACAAAACACAAAGAAATCAAAGATGACACAAACAAATGGAAAAACACTCCTTTCTTATGGATAAGAAGATCCAGTATTGTAAAAATGGCCATACTGCCCGAAGATATTTATATATTAAGGCTATTTCTACCAAACTACCAATGACATTCTTCACAGACCTAGGAAAAACTATTTTAAAATTCATATGTAATCAAAAACAGAGCCCAAATAGCCAAGGCCATCCTAAGCAAAAAGAACAAAGTAGGAGGCATTACGCTACCCAACTTCAAACTATACTACAGGGCTACAGTAACCAAAACAGCATGGTACTGGTACAAAAACAGACACATAGACCAATGGAACAGAATAGATAACCCAGAAATAAGACTGCATACCTACAACTATCTGATTTTCGACAAACTAGACAAACACAAACAATGGGGAAAGGATTCCCTATTCAATAAGTGGTGCTGGGATAAGTGGCTAGCCATATGCAGAAGATTGAAACTGGACCCCTTCCTTATACTATATACAAACATCAACTCAAGATGGATTAAAGACTTAAATGTAAAACTCCAAACTACAAAAACCCTGGAAGACAACCTAGGCAATACTATTCTGGACATAGGAACTGGCAAAGATTTCACAACAAAGACAACAAAAGCAATAGAAACAAAAGCAAAAATTGACAAATGAGATCTAATTAAACTAAAGAGCTTCTGCACAGCAACTAGCAACAGATTAAACAGGCAACCTACACAACGAAAGAAAATATTTGCAACCTCTACATCTGACAAAGGTCTAATATTCAGAATCTACAAGGAACTTGAACAAACATACAAGCAAAAAACAAACAACCCCATTAAAAGGTGGGCAAAGGATATGAGCACACACTTGTCAAAAGAAGACATACATGCGGTCAAGAAGCATATGGGAAAAATGGTCAATATAACAAATCGTTAGAGAAATGCAAATCAAAATGAGATACCATCTCACATCAGTCAGAATGGCTAGTATTAAAAAGTCAAAAAATAGCAGATGCTAGTGAGGTTGTGGAGAAAAGGGTACGCTTATACACTGCTGGTGGGAGTGTAAATTAGTTCAACCATTGTAGAAAGCAGTGTGGTGATTCCTCAAGGAACAAAACCAGAACTACTGTTCAACCCAGCAATCTCACTATTGGGTATACACCCAAAGGAATATAAATTGTTCTACCATAAAGACGCATGAATGCATATGTTCATTGCAGCACTATACACAATAACAAAGACATGGAATCAACCTAAATGCCCATCAACAGTAGACTGGATAAATAAAATGTGGTACATATATACCACGGAATACTACACAGCCATAAAAAAAGAACGAGATCATGTCCTTTGCAGGAACATGGATGGAACTGGAATCCATTATCCTTAGCAAACTAATGCAGGAAGAGAAAACCAAATACCACATGTTTTCACTAATAAGTGGGAGCTAAATGATGAGAACATGTGGACACAAAGAGGGAAAGAACAGACACTCATCCTACTTGATGGTGGAGAGTGGAAGGAGGGAGACGTTCAAGAGAAAAAGAAATTGGGTACTATGCTTAGTACCCAGGTGACAAAATAATCTGTACACCAAACTCCCAAGTCACAAGTATACTTGTATAACAAACCTGCACATCTAACCCTGAACCTAAAATAATAGTTAAAAAAAAAAGAATAAAATACCAAAACAGTTTGCCACTTTCAGTTCTTTCAGTCTGTATCTACATGGGAGTAATTATTTTAGCTTTATTGGGGTATAATTAAAGTTTACAAAGCACATATTTAAAGCATTCAGTTTAACCTATTTTATCTATATTTAAGCCTATGAAACCATGACCGCAATCAAAATAGCAAAACTAAAAATTTTAAAAATTAGCAAAATAGCAAACACTTTAATCACCTCCAAAAGACTCTTTTTTTCCCATTTGCAATCCATCCCTCCCTCCATCTTCAAGCCTAGACAACCTCTGATCTGTTTTTTGTCACTTTAGTTTGGATTTTATAGTATTTTTAAATAAATTGAATCATAGAGCATATACTCTCTTTTTTTCTGACTTTATTCATTGATCGTAATAACTTTGCATGTAATAATAGTGTATTCCTTTCTATTGCTGAATAGAAATATGTTGAATGCTTATCCATTTATCTGTTGATGTACATTTAAGTACTTTCCAATTTTTGGCTATTGCAAATAAAGCTAATATGAACATGCACATACAAATGTTTGTGTGGACATATCTTTTTATTTTTCTTGAGTAAATACCTAGGAATGAAATGGCTACATTATATAGAAGATGTATGTCTAATTTTTAAGAAACTGCCAAACTGTTTTCCAAGATGATTTTGCAATTTATATTCCTATAAGTAGAGTGGGGAAGTTCCAATTTCTCCACATCCTCACCAACACTTAATAAGGTCAGGTCATTTTTGTTAATATTTAAAATTTTTCAACCATTCTAAATTGTATATAGTGGTATCTTATGGTTTTGATTTTCATTTCTTTGTTGAGTAATGAGACTTAGCATCTTTTCATGTACTCAGCCTTTCATATATCTTCTTGTGAATTACACGTTCAAACAGTTTTCTATTTTTTAGTTAGTTCATTTTTCCTATTATCACTGAGTTGCAACAGTTCTTTATAAATTCTAGATTAAAGTTTTTTGTCTAATATATAAACTGCAATTTTTTCTGTTGGTCTTGCCTTGCCTTTTAATTTACTTAATGATTTCTTTCAAAGTTTTAAATCTTTATGAAGCAGAAAGGTCAGAAAAGCAGAACTGCTGGGGATGTGCCCCACTAGTATGGCTATTATCAAAACAAAGAAAGAAAGAAACAGTAGTGGGTGTTGATGAGGATGTGGAGAAATTGTAACCCTCATACATTGCTAGTGGGAATGTATTATTCAGTCGCTGTGAAAACAATTTGGTAGTCCTTCCAAAAGTTATACACAGAACTATCATGTGATCCAGCAATTCTATTCATAGGTATGTATTCAAAAGAATTGAAATATATGTCCAGACAAAACTTGTGCACAAATGTTCATAACATTACTCACAGTAACCCCCAAAATGCCAACAACAAAAAAGGCAATCAATAGATAAGCTAGTAAACAAAATGTGGTGTATACATACAATGAATTTTTAGTAATAAAAACGAATGGAGCACTGATATATACTGTAACATAAATGAACTTTGAAAATATTATGCTAAGTGAAAGAAGCCAGACACAAAATGTCACATGTTGTATGATTCTATAAGGGATCTTCAAAAAGTTCATGAAAAATGCATATTATGAAAAAACTATGCATATATTTAAAAATGTTTTCACACCAAAATAAACTCATACTAAGTTGTTATAAGATGTCTGAATGAGATCTAGTTTGAGGTACTAAAGATAAGAAATCAGTTTGAAAAAGCCCCTATCAGAGCAACATGAATTCTGCTAAAATTGAAGCAAGAACAAACATCAGATTTATGGTGAAGCTTGGGGGAAAGAATCCTGAAATCACTGATCCTTTACAAAAACTTTAGGGGGACAATGCCTGAAATAAATTGGCAGTTCACAAACGGATAACTCATTTTAGGAAGGGACTAGAAAATGTTGAAGATGAAGCCTGCAGTGGCAAACCACCCACTTCATACCTTCACATCAATTTGTGAGGAAAAAGATAATCTCATTCATGCCCTGATTGAAGAGAACTGACAATTAACAGCAGAAACAATATATGGATACCATATAATAAAAATTTGTAATGAATAATCTCATCATCTAAGAATTAGGAATATAAGCTACAATCCCAGTTCTACCATTTATTAGGTGTATGATCTTGAAAAAGTTTTCTGAGTCTCAGTTTTCTCATGTATCCATTGAGACCAATGATATTTAACTGTGGCTGCAGGTTCTTTGGAGAAGACTATTCCCAGTACATACTTATGATGTTATAGTAACGTCCTCTCTCAAGGGGCTCTGGGTATGATAGTTGAACTGACTTGGGTCTTGTAATTAAGAGAGAACCTAGACTATCTAGTAGCTTATACCAGCTCTCTGTTTGCCATGATTAGGAGTTTTTGATCACCCAATCAAGTAAAAAATTAGTGGGCCGCCTGTATTAGTCAGAGTTCTCTAAAGAAACAGAAATAATAAGATAGATATATATATATAAAGGGGAGTTTATTAAGGAGTTTTGACTCACATGATCACAAGGTGAGGTCCCATAATAGGCCATCTGCAAGCTGAGGAGCAAGGAAGCTAGTCTGAGTCCCGAAACCTCAAAAGTATGGAAGCCGACAGTGCAGCCTTCAATCTGTGGTAAAAGGCCCAAGAATCCCATAGCTGAAGAACTTGGAGTCTAATGTTTGAGGGCAGGAAGCGTCCAGCATGGGAGAAAGATGTAGGCAGGGAGACTAAACCAGTCTAGTCTTTACATGTTCTTCTGCCTGCTTTTATTCTGGCCGCGCTGGCAGCTGATTGATTGTGCCCACCCAGATTGAGGTGGGTCTGCCTTTCCCAGTCCACTGACTCACTCAAATGTTAATTTCCTTTGGCAATACCCTCACAGACACATCCAGGAACAATACTTTGCATCCTTCAATACACTCAAGTTGACACTGAATATTAACCATCACACCACCTATCCATTTCTCTCCTAGTAGATGACAAGGTAGGCTAATTACTGTACAATCATTTCCAAAATCTCAGAGGCTTAGCAAACTTAAATTTTAATTTTCATTCAGATAGTAGTTCAATGCAGGTGGGATAGGATGGGACCAGCTCCATGCAATCGTTTAGGGACCATGGTGGCAGGAAGATTCACAATCTGTAAATGTGATTTCCAAGGTTGCCTTGGGTGTTTACATTCATCAGGAAAACAGAGGAAGGGAGAAGACTCATGGAAGATTATGTTGGAGTTTTCATATGGAAGAGACATGAAATTGGTAAATATAACTTCTGCTCACATTCCAATGGCCAGAAATCAGTCACCTAACTGCAACACAGTCTGGGAAAAGCAGTACCTGAGTATGAAACTCAGAGAAAAATGGAACATAATTTAGTTAACAAACATACTGTCTCTACCATCGTATCACAGGATCAGTTAGCTGTGGATAAAAATTCCTCCAACTCAAATTATTCTGTCTAGCATGACATTCCTGGTGCATATTAAGGTAACCAGGCCTTCCTTGGTTAATCATCCAGGTGATTAAGTTCAGCTTCTTAATTTACTTTACATGAGATCCTGGCATCACTACTGAAATCAAGATGACATATCAAGCTTTAGAGTCACTCTCAGCATCCTCTGCCTAAGGAGAATAGCCATGTTAAGAACTTTAAAAATATACTTGCCTGTTCATTACTCAATTTGCTGTTAGCAGTAACATCGTATGGCCCTCTCTCTGGACATAGTTAGGAAGTAGATGTACTCATAATACATGATAAATACACAATAACATTCCCTTTTCCATGATTCTTTAGGTTCTTGCCTCTACAGCATACTAAGCAATCTCTTGTATACCAATCTCGTTTAGTGTGATCCATCAGAAACCCATATTTCAGTCAACCAACTGAGCAAACAATTAGAATCCAGCTGCGTGAGATAACAGATTGGATTTAGAATCTCTGCTGTATGCACAAATATTGATTAATAGCTAATGATTATTATATATAACAATATATATTATATAATAATAAAATTATTATTAATAGCTAATTAATATTAAATAATAATTTAACAAATTATTAGGCACTTATTATGTGCCTGGTGCTGTCCTAGGTGTTGAGGTTTACAGGACTGAACAAAACAAAACAAAACAAAATATCCCAGTCTTCTTGGAACTTAAGTTCTTATTGAAGAGACAACAAAAGAAGGCTTGTGAGGAAACAGCTGAAGGAGGTGAGGGAGTGATACAGGTGAATATCTCAGGGTAGATTTCTAGGCAGAATAAATAACAAATGCAGTGGCTCTAAGTTGAAAGGATGCCTGACCACAGTAGCTAAAATTATGTTCCTTCCTACCTTTAGCTAATATCCTCAGAAACTATTCTCAAACATATTCTGGAGATTATTGGCAATGTGGCAAATACATTAAACAAGCAGAATCTGTAGGATGAATAATATACCAACTTTTTTTTCCTGCTGCCTATGCAAACCTGTTCTTTGGAACTAGTTCTACTCTTGTCCCCTGGGTGAAATCTAGGGTATGCTCCATAACTTTTCTGCCTGCTCATGTAAAGTAAAAATCCTCCTGTCAGTTCTAGTCATAAAACAGTTTCTGTTCAATGAGGGCAGAGAGGAGGTGAGAAGAAATTAAAATCTTATATAATTGACACTGTTATAGCCATCCAGTATTGGCACTTTCTATGACTCCTTCTCTTGTGTGACATTTTTCAGAGTACTATAGGGAGTCTCCCATTGTTGAGGAGCTCTCCCTTGCTGTTCTCTTGAAAAACATATCCCTGGGCTAGTTGCTTTTGACTCCTTATTTAGCCTTTAACCTTCCAGCAGTATATCTCCAGGTTGTTTATTTTAAGGTGTTTTTTTTTCTTCTCCAAAAGACCATCATGATCTAAATCTATGACATCTCCAAGCTACTTCTGTCTTCCATATGGCCCATGTCAAGTCCACGGGAAGCACTTACACATCCTTTGCCCAAAATGGCTCTCAAATTCAAAGAGTCCAGGCTCTCCCCAAACTTTCTTCACTCTGATATCAAGGTAGCTGGTCAGCCAGTCTCTTGTTTTTTGGATTTCTCAGGGATAATTCGGATGCTTACTATGTTATCAAGTTCCAGGAGCTCTGAATCGCCAAATTGAAGATTTTTGCCTCAAGCTTGATGTGATATGAAAAGCCCCTTGCCTTCCTTATGTGGGGGCACTCATGGAATACCAACAGCTCTCATTAGAAACTCCTTTCCAGGCCAGGTGCAGTGGTTCATGCCTGTAATCCCAGCACTTTGGGAGGCCAAGGCAGGTGGATCACTTGAGCTCACAAGTTGGAGACCAGCCTGGGCAACATAGTGAAACCCCATCTCTAAAACAAGAACAACACCAACAAAAACCCACAAAAATTAGCCAGCTGTGGTGGTGCAAGACTGTAGTCCCAGCTACTTGGGAGGCTGAGGTGGGAGGATGGCTTGAGCCTGGGAGGTGGAGGTTGCAGTGAGCTGAGATTGTGCCACTGCACTCCAGCTTTTTTTGTTTTGTTTTGTTTTGTTTTTGTCTCAACAGGAAAAAAACAAACAAACAAACTTTCTTTTAATCTCCAGCAATCTTCTTGGCCTCTCAAATGTCTTTTGTAGGCTGCAAGTCGGTGGTTATTTAAGTGCAACAAAATCAGTGCTCATTCATGTCCATTGCAAAACCTGCTTTTATTACCTTACTCTCCACTTTGGAATTTAGCAGTAGTTGACACCCAGTTGTCTTGGGGTCCCAACCAAAAATGAGGCTGAAATAGGTAAGGTTATATTTCCCATTATAACAATATAAATATTAAAAAGCTTGTAATGTATCTGGTGTGTGAGCTATTTGATTTTCTAATTTCAATCTTCCCACTTTCCCACACTCCAGCATACTGGGATTTGATTCTAATTACAGATTTAGAGAAAATAAGTACATCTGTGGGGCAATGAAGAGGGAATGAGGACAATTGGTCTCCCTTACAAGGGACCTTGAGGCAGGTTGTTATGGATCTTCAAACAAAGTAGGAACAGCCTCACTCATATAGAGGAAGAGGAGCTGATTTAGCTGGTAAGGAAGACCTAATCAGGGTTGAAACTAGGGATATTCTGAAGCAGAGTTCCATTTTCCCCCTTCTCTATCTTGGCTTCCTCTTCCTTGTACTACCTATTTCTTAAGGCCCAGTCCTGATCATAGGGTGTCGCCAACTAGAAGCAATCTCTTCCATTTCTGTCATTGATGCACAGCACATGGGGCCTTGACCTCTTCTGTGGCCTTTAACAAAGGCTGCCCTGTCTCTTTCATCTTAGGTGTGTGTGTGTGCGCGTGCGTGCATGCATGCGTGTGTGTGTGTGTAGAGAGAGAGAGCCCATCTCCTCAGAAAGTTAGGTGCCAGGGTAGTAGGCAGGTGCCCACTCTCATTCTGCTTTAGTAGCATCTATAATGTTTACTTGGTGTGTCTCCAGAAATCTCAGAGGCTTGAGAGAAGCTATTTGCTGATTGGCTCACAAATATCCCTTTTTACTTCCTGCACCAAGTTAAAAACAAAGATTCTATTGACTCCTCTGCTGCTTACATGTAGTCAGAGGCAACCTTACCATCATTTTAATGGAGTTATTGACAGAAGATATCCTCAATTGGGCATGAAGATGGTGATCCGTTTGTGATCAAGTGCTGTTTTGTGAGCAGTTTCACCACACGTGGGCTATACTTACTTTTGAATTTAACTTAAGCCCAATGCTGCTTATATCTTTTAGTTTGGTAATGTAGTTACATAGTTCAGTCATAAAACAGAACTAAATGTTTGTTTTTCTTGTCCTCAGCCCTTCCCTTCCCTTCCTCAACAATTCAGTCCCAACACTGTCAGATGGGGAAGGTCAAGGTAAGTGTCTTTATCAGATGAGAGGAGGGAGCTGTGTTTGCCTGAGCAGGGTGAGGAAGGCATTCATGCTGGGAGAGCAGCTTATCGCAGGGAGTCAGAGCCTAAAAATTATGATGAGGGCTTCCCAGACAGGAGACAGCCAAGTGAGAGATATTGGAGTTTTATCTGGTTGAAGAGTGTGTCCATGTGGAGGAAGTGTGTGGCAGACTGGAGCGGGGTTTCAGAGTCTGAGCAGGTTAAGAAGCATGTCCATGCTGCTAACAGTGTGAGGAAGGTACCTGTATGGTAGGAGTTGGGTAGGGAGGAAGTCTGTTGCACTACTTCTCAGCCAGAACAGGTTTACAAAGTGGGTTGGAAAACAGGGACTGTAATCCACAGTTGGGAGGATGTCAAGTGGAGCTTCCAAGCAGGGAACGAGGAGTGCAGGAAATGGGAGATTGTTTACATATAGGGGGATTGGTCAAGTAAAGGTAATGGGATCCAAGGTTCTCATTGTCATTGAAGAGAGTTACAAATATAGAAAGGGAGAAAACTAGAATGAACCTGGTGGTATTGTATTGGAGTTAGGTATCAGTGTGAAGTCATGGCTTCAATGGATACAGATACAGAAATATAGATGTAAATGTGTGAATGTATATGAGTGTGAGAATTTGTGTGTGTGTCTCTCTGTGTATATACAAATATTGCCTGATTCCTTCCACTTAGAGGGCCTGGGAGTCACAACACCCCAATAGCAATAAGCACAACTAATTGTTCATATCTTGCTTTCAAAATGCCATTATTAAATAAAAGGAACAAGGAATCCTTGGAGAATTGTTGGATGGGACAGGAAAATAACGCAATGAATCTGGAACATCTTGCTGTGCCAGAAAGCAAAGTGCTAAAGAAATGATGGAGGCATACCAAAAGGACGTGGAAGCAAGCCTGAAGAAGCTTCTACAAGTCAAGTAGGAGACACTGTGAGCATCAAAATAAAGAAATATAGAACACAGTATAGCTTGTTGAATCAAAAAAAGAAAACATAAGTCAGTATATAAATAAATATACATATATAAATACACAATAAATATTTACATAATTTCAAAATTCCTCACCATAAAATATTAATAATTACCATGGAAAAACGAGTACCGAAATGGCCTGGAAATCACTATCTTAAACAAATGGTCAATGAGGATATTATAAGTAATGGGACAAACCAAAATTCTGTGCCACCTGATAGGACAGAAAGAGAATACTATAGGCCAGGCGCGGTGGCTCACTCCTGTAATCCCAGCACTTTGGGAGGCCGAGGCAGGCGGATCACGAGATCAGCAGATAGAGACCATCCTGGCTAACACGGTGAAACCCCATCTCTACTAAAAATACAAAAAATTAGCCGGGTGTGGTCACTGGCTCCTGTAGTTCCAGCTACTCGGGAGGCTGAGGCAGGAGAATGGCGTGAACCTGCGAGGCAGAGCTTGCAGTGAGCAGAGATCATGCCACTGCACTCCAGCCTGGGCCACTGAGCGAGACTCCGTCTCAAAAAAAAAAGAGAGAATACTACAACATCACTTTGGTAATAGTCCTGCCAAAGATGCATAACTTGAATCCATTCAAGAGGAAATAGGAAGCAAATCCAAAATAAGGGACATTCTAGAAAATAACAACTGTAAGATCATGAAAGTCAACAAAAGCCTAAGGACATACTCTATATGAAAGGATAATAAAGAGTCACCAATTAAATGCAACAGGTGATTGTGAACTGGATCCTTTTGCTATAAAGAACATTGCTGGAATAACGTGAAAATTTATTGGGTTCTAAGTTTAGATGGCAATAATATATCAATGTTAATTTTTAAAATTTTGATCATCATATTGCAGTTATATAGGAAAATGTCTCTTTGGGGGAAATATGCACTAAAGACATTTGGGATTATATTTAGTTTCTATCGCAGGTAACATATTACAACACACTAAGCAGCTTGAAACAACACTCATTTATTAACTCATAGTTCTGCAAGTCAGTATTCTGGGTAGCCTCAGCTGGTTTTCTGCTTAGGGTCTCCCAAGACTGAAATCAAGTTGTTGGCTGTCCTGGGCTATTATCTGGAGGGCCAGGAGAAGAATCCCCTTCTAAGATCATTCAGGTTGTTTGCAGAACTCAGTTCCTTGCAGTTGTAGAACTGATGGCTCCATTTCTTTGCTGGTTTTTGACAGGCAGCTGCTCTCAGCTCCTAGAGGCTTCTTTCTGGTCCTTGCATGTGGCCCCCTCCACCTTCAAGGCCAGCAATGGAGATGCATTCAACCCTTATCATGATTCAAATCTCTCTGACTTCCCTTTCTGCCATCAGCCAGATAAAACTTTCTCCTTTTAAAGAGCTTAGGGGCTTAGATTAGGCCTACCCAGATAATTTCCTTTTTGCTGTGTCATGTAACATAGTGATAGGAGTAACCCCAGGAGGTGAAAGTCATAGGGATTATCTTAAAATTCTGCCTCTCATAGGATAGATGGGACATCAGGCTGGCAACTTACCTTCAAATAATTCAGGGAAAAAAATTTCTGTACTGTCCCCGCAATTTTTTATAAGTTTGTTATTTTTTTCCTCCAAAATAAAAAAAAAAAACAGTAAATATAAAAATTTGTACAGCGAAGTTCTGGTTCTAGGTATCATGGAATAAACACATTTCAACTTTCTCTAGCAGTGAACACAGCTATGAAAACCAGACAGAATGTGTGGTGTAGATATTTGAGGTATCTGAAAAGTAAATATGAACTAGAAGATGTATTGGAGAAGAAGATCAGTATTTGAAGTACCCACCTTTGGAAACTGGGAATGGCGCTTAGCTTTAAAGTCTGTCAGATATTTAGAACATCTATGTTGTTGATTTGCCCAAGAAAACAGAGATCTCAGTTCTACAAACACAAGGATTTGAATTTTGCCAACAACTTCAATGAGGAAGGAATAGATGTTTCCCTAGAGCCCCCAGAAAGAAATGAGACATCTTGGTCTCTTCCTGGTGAGACCTATGTTGTTCTGACCTAGATAATTGTAAGATAATATATTTATATTGTTTAAGATGTTAAGCTTGTAGTAATTTCTTATGACAGCAATATAAAACCAATACAGAAGAAGAGGAAATACTTCCCAACTGATTTTACAGCCCTAACATTACCCTGACACCAGTCAAGACAAATAATAGTGCAAATAAAGAAAACTAAGACAAATATCCCTTGTATTAGTCAGGGTTCTCTAGAGGGACAGGACTAACAGGATATAGGTATATATGAAAGGGAGTTTATTATTTATTCATTTATTATTATTTTTTGAGACAGAGTCTCATTCTGTTGCCCAGGCTGGAGTGCAGTGGCACGATCTTGGCTCACTGAAACCTCCACCTCCCGGGTTCAAGCGATTCTTCTGCCTCAGCCTCCCGAGTAGCTGGGATTACAGGTGCATGCCACTACACCCGGCTAATTTTTGTATTTTTAGTAGAAACAGGGTTACACCATGTTGGCCAGGCTTGTCTCGAACTCCTGACCTCGTGATCCGTCCACCTCGGCCTCCCAAAGTGCTGAGATTACAGGTCTGAGCCGCCACACCAGGCCAAGGGAGTTTATTGAGTATTGACTCACAAGATCACAAGAAGTCCCACAATAGGCCTTCTGCAAGCTGAGGAGCAAGGAAGCCAGCCCGAGTCCCAAACCCTTAAAAGTAGGGAAGCCAACAGTGCAGCTTTCAGTCTGTGGCCTAAGGCCCAAGAGCCCCTGGCAAACCACTGGTGTAGGTCCAAGAGTCCAAAAGCTGAAGAACTTGGAGTCCAGTGTTCGAGGGCAGGAAGCATTCAGCATGGGAGAAAGATGGAGGCCAGAAGACTTAGCTAGTCTAGTCCTTCCACATTCCTCTGCCTGCTTTTATCCTATATGCACTGGCAGCTGATTAAATAGTGTCCACCCAGATTGAGGGTGGGTCTGCCTCTCCTAGTCCACTGACTCAAATGTTAATATCCTTTGGCAGTACCCTCACAGACACACCCAGAAACAATACTTTGCATCCTTCAATCCAATCAAGTTGATACTCAATATTAACCACCACATCCCTCATATTACCAGACTGAATTTGTCAATATATAAAAGAAATAATTTACCACAACCAAGTGGGATTTATCCCAGGAATGAAGGCCAGTTCAATAGTTGAAAATCAATCAATACAATCTAGTCTAAAGAAGAAAAACCACATGAGCATAGTCATCGATGCAAAGAAGTCTTTTGATAAAATTCAACTTTTATTAATGATAACAACTCTCAGCAAACTATGAGTAGAAGTAAACTTCTTCAACCTGGTGAGATGCTTCTACAAAAAAATCCTCAAGCTAACATAATATTTAATGGTAAGAGACCAGATTCTTTCCCCCATGACTGGAAACACGGCAAAGGTATCCGTTCTGAGCACTCTTATTTGACATCATAACAGAAGTCTCATCCAGTGCAACAAAGGAAGAAAAAGAAATAAAAGGCAGACAAATTGGAAAGTAAAAGTAAATTTTTTTATTTGCAGTTGACATGATTGTCTATGTAGAAAATCCCAAGAAATACAGGTTTGAAAAGAAGGAATCAAATGAAACAACTAGATGCATGTCCAAAATACAAACTTCAATACATGCCTCACAGCTTATAGAAAAATTTACTAAAAATGCATCATATATTGAAATGTAAATGTATTAAGTATAAATTAAAAACAGAAACTGTAAATGTAAAACATAAACAGTGTTGTAACTTCTAGAAGAAAATGTAGAAAAACTGTGTGATCTTGGCTTTGACAATGATTGTTCAGGTATAACACCAAAAGCATTATCCATAAAAGAAAAACAAAGACAAATTGGACTTTAGGAAAATTAAAAGCTTTTGTTTTATAAATGACACTGTTAATTGGAACCAACCCAAATGTCCAACAATGAGAGACTGGATTAAGAAAATGTGGCACATATACACCATGGAATACTATGCAGCCATAAAAAATGATGAGTTCATGTCCTTTGTAGGGACATGGATGAAATTGAAAATCATCATTCTCAGTAAACTATCGCAAGAACAAAAAACCAAACACCGCATATTCTCACTCATAGGTGGGAATTGAACAATGAGATCACATGGACACAGGAAGGGGAACATCACACTCTGGGGACTGTTGTGGGGTGGGGGGGGGGGAGGGATAGCTTTAGGAGATATACCTAATGTTAAATGACGAGTTAATGGGTGCAGCACACCAGCATGGCACATGTATACATATGTAACTAACCTGCACATTGTGCACATGTACCTTAAAACTTAAAGTATAATAATAATAAAATAAAAAAATAAAAAATAAAAAATGAATTTGAAAAAATATATAAAATGAAAAAAGAAAAAAAAGAAAAAAAAATGACACTGTTAAGAGAGTGAAAAGATAAGCCACACTGGCAAAAGTGTTTGCAGATTACATATTTTATAAACGACTTGTGTCCTGGATATGTAAAAAACTCATAAAACTTAACCAACATAAAACAAACCAATTAAAAAATTGTCAAAATATCTGAACAGTCACTTTAACCAAAAAAGACATACAGATTGCAAATAAACAGAAATGAAAACATGTTTAATATTGTTAGTCATTAGGGAAATTCATATTAAAACTACAATTAGTTATCAGCACAGACCTATAAGAATGGATCAAATAAAAACAATCTTCCACGATTGCAAATGCTGGTGAGGATGTGGAACAAGAGGAACTCTGATTTATTGCTGGTGGGAATGCAAAACTCTCACCAGCAGCATACAATAATTCTGTTTACTGACACCCAGACAAGCACAGAATCTTATCAGTTTTTTAAATTGTTTCTGATTTAAGAGGCAAAGGAAGAATTTTGTTTGTTTCCATTTGCATTTCTTCCATTGTCAGAGTTTCTGTTTGTTTACTGGCCCTTTATGTTTCCCTTATTTAAATGTCCTATTCATATCCCTTGTCCATTTTACTCTTTAGTTGTAAAAGCTGCCGAAATAGTAAGGTTATTAGCCCAAATCTGTAATACATGTTGTAAATACTGCATTGCATTGTTTATTTGTAGTTTAACATGCATTATGGTATTATTTTTAAGGCATTTGTAATATTTGGTATGGCATTTTCAGATTATAATATTAACACATGATTATGGCAAAAAAGAAAATTTGAATATGTTAATTGTAAAAAAGAAATCAAATACTGGTGTGTACTAAAACCTTTTCTAATATTCTAATTGTAAAAGCCACTGATTTGGCACTGAGGGTGCAACAGGACATAGTTGTTAAGAAGTGTGACTTTAGATTTAGGCAACTTGGGTTCAATTATTGTCTAGCACAATTCACTTAACTTCTTTGTCCTCCAGCTGCCTTTATTTGTAAAAAGTAATTCTAACATATTTCAATGGGCTGTTGTTAAAATTAATTTATTTTATTCATTTATTCAACAAACTTAATGAGTGCCTACCAATTACCAGGCACTATTTTAGGCTAGTAGTTCTTTAAATGTAAGAGTACACACACACACACACACACACACACACACACACACACACATACATATGTATATATGAGATGATTTCAACTTAAGGAAACAGGCAAATAAGGCTATGTATGTCAGAGTGGCAGGGTAGGAGCAATCCTTACTACAGCATGGTGTCTGTTGTTCAAATGTATCTGTATCATCTTCCCTACTCGCCTACCCCCAATGCATTCATCATGGAAAGGAGGGGCCTGTATGTTAAAATGATTTTTTTTTTTTTTTTGGTAATACATCAAGTCCCAAGAAACATTGGGGCAGTATCTATCTGGGTAAATACATTGTCAAAGTGGAAAGAAATACATTCCTTACTTCTTTGGCCCACCAGAGACTCCAGATAAATCAGTAAGATTTGTGTCATCTTGAAGAGTCCAATACATATGCAATATTGCCAAGCAGCACATGGCAGTTCCTTAAGTAAATTGGGAGGTGGGGTTGGGTTGTATATAGTACCAGAGGAATGAAAAACTGGTTACTCATCTCTGCTGTCTGAACTTGTTCCTAAGCATATATCTTGAATTCTATCCCCACTAATAACTGAAGGAAATCTGAAGAGAATTGAGGCTATGCATGTACTGGGGTTGGGAGAAGGGAGCTAATCAAACAGCTCATACTCATTTCAGACTCATTACTTCACTTGATCTACTCAGCAATCCTGTGGAATATTTTCCCCATACAGTACATAAAAGACGGATTGTGAAGTAAATGTATGTGCAAAATTACCTGGTTTGTACTTCTAGCCTAGAGATTCAAACATCACTTGAAATTTATCCTTTTTAAAGTTTTTTTCAAGTATTTATTAAAGTGTTCTCTATTGCCTTTATAAGCCAACTGACCTGTTACTTTTTTTCTTTTTAGACTCTTTATTAATTTTGTGACACAAGTTAAACATACTCTTTTTTTTTTTTTTTGAGACGGAGTCTCGCTCTGTCACCCAGGCGGGAGTGCAGTGGCGCGATCTCGGCTCACTGCAAGCTCCACCTCCCAGGTTCAAGCTATTCTCCTGCCTCAGCCTCCCCAGCAGCTGGGACTACAGGCACCCGCCACCACGCCTGGTTAATTTTTTTGTATTTTTAGTAGAGACGAGGTTTCACCGTGTTAGCCAGGATGGTCTGGATCTCCTGACCTCGTGCTCCTCCTCGGCCTCCCAAAGTGCTGGGATTACAGGCGTAAGCCACCGCGCCCGGCCAAGTTAAACATATTCTTTTGAAAAAATGAAAGAATACAGATATTCAAAATAAAAAATTTTCCATAAATCTGCCCCTTAGAGAGAAACCAATA
The DNA here is from genome assembly GCF_000001405.40 of Homo sapiens. Classification (NCBI taxonomy): domain Eukaryota; kingdom Metazoa; phylum Chordata; class Mammalia; order Primates; family Hominidae; genus Homo; species Homo sapiens. Next base: position 103,241,172 of record NC_000023.11, read on the forward strand.
TTATTAAGCTTTTCGTGTACATCTTATCCAAATTTTTCTATGCACACATGTAACATATAAATATACCTATTTTAAATTGGGATATCATATATATGTGTATGTGTCTGTGTACTTGTGTGTACACACATGAACTTTTTCTATGCAAATGGAAAAAATCCAGTATTAAAATGCAGACTTGCATATGAAACCATAAAACAAAATCTAATGAGATACTGGTGACAACAAGAACATCTAAAACCAATATCATCAAAAGGTTAAAAACACAAACATGAGCGAAAGTAAGACTAGAAAATGCAACCTAAAATAAAAGTGAAGCCCTAAAAATATAAGAAAAAATAATTCAAGACAAAAAGCACTGAATTGGATAAGGCCACTTCCTGGACTGTCTTTTCATCCGATGCATTACTCTAAATTTATTTCTTAATTTTTAAAAATCTCTTCTGGACACTTTTCTTCTCCTCCTCTTTCTCCTCCTCTTTCTCCTCCTCCCCATCTCCTTCCTCCTCCTCATCCTCTTCCTCCCTCTCCCTTCATTGTTATTGACATGCCTATGGGGCAAGCCATCTCCATCTTCCTGGGTAGGTGGTGCTTGTTCCTGGAGATTATTTCCTCTAGCTTCCTGGCCTTCCATTTCTTCCAAATGTAGCTCTTCCTCTACGTTATGAACACTTTCTTCATTTTCCTGGTGGGAATTTTCCATGTCGAAAGTTGTTTTTCCCTTTTCCTCTTTGACTGCAATTACTCCTTGGAGAAAAAAGGGAGGAAATACTGAATGTGTGCTGTTCATTCCAGTACCCGTGTGTTTTCCCGAATCAGGGGGATGAGTGCAAAGGTCTCACCTTTCCTCTAATTCATTCCTCTATTCCCTCCAGGTTCTTGCCCTTCTCCCATACCTAAAGAGTACATATATATTCTCTCAGTCTCTCTCAACAATTTTTCCTTTAGACCATTCTACCAGCCTCTCCCTGGACTGAATGAAACATAAGTAGGAGCAGTGTCTCCTCCTAGTTATGTTCTGGCCTGGACCATTTCCATCCTTTCACCCCCAACCCTCAGAGGTTCTAGTCCAGAGCATGGCACATAGTGACCTGCCCAAATCCCAGTCAGTTTCGTCTTCCTCTTTCCTTTCTTGAGCCTAATAGGCATTTGGACCTGCAGAGAGAAGAAAGATAGTGGTACTGAAGTGCTTGGTGGATGGACCAGTATACTAGACAAGGGCCTCTTTGAAGACTGGACACCAAATCCCTTCAAGCCTCAAAGCTCCTCTTCCCATCCCTGTTTCATCCCCATCTCCTGCTCTAAAATGCCTACCACATTGGATTAAGGGAAATAGTTTCAATGATTTCTTAGTCTCCATTTGTCCACATCTGCACCCTCTACATAACCACCATTTCTTTTACATCCTTCCCCCTTCATCTCAATACTCCTCATCTTGGTGCTTATGCAGCACTCCCTTGCAGGCAGGGTGTAAAAGAAGTGAATTATTTACAAGCTACCCCCAGGTCTATGTGTTCCCTCCTGACCCTCTTTCTCCAGCCCTTCCCTCCATCCCAAGGCATATCATTTCTGTTTCAAAATATTGAAGAGGTGTCAAAGCAAACAGACCTGTACCTGCTTCAGTTTTTGCCTTCCTTCCCTTTCACATATACCCCCTTACACCACCACCACTGATGCACAGCTCCAAGTCCAGTTGCTCACGCAGACCTGCTCCATTCTGGGAAAGTGTCTTTCTCCCCCTCATCCTCTGGGCCAGACACTAGCCTGTCTCAACAGAAAAGGGGAGTGCTGCAAAAATAAAAAAGACCTGAATAAGAGGAATTTACTCACACCTTGGCTCCTGGTCACATGAAGGTCTCGACTAACGGCAGAGTTTAATCTCCCAACCCTCACATTCACCTCTAGGCTGGCAGGCAGTGCAACAGAAACCACCACCACACTCCCACCATACACACAGAGAGACCCACCTCCACCCCTCTGTGAACAGTGCCTCAGTGCACACCACCCTGTCACTCTGGTCTTCGCCAATCTTGAGGGGCCACAAATGGCATCACCGATGAAGGTTAGTGTTTGCCCTTCTCTGGTTATTAATGAAGGTCTGCACCCCCTATCCGACCAATCCTCCTACGCTCTACCCCACCAGGCCTTGTTTCTTGTTACCTGTCCCTCCTGTCACCACTCTTCCTCCTCACCCCACCCCAAGCCACCTGTGCCCGCCAACTTCCTTGTTTTTGTCATGCACAGTGTCAGGGATCTATAGTGTAATTTTCAGTAATTCTCAATATTTTCCTGCATAGTTTCTTTAAAAATCATAAATACAATAAAGCTATTTTCATTTGGGAGGAGAAAAGGTTTTTCTTAAGGCCTTTATTTAACATTCCACTAGCTCCAGATTCAATTTTTGCATTACTCCTTTCACATTTCTTGGTCATTGTTCTATATTTTACTTTAGAAACTTTAGTTAGAAGCAAGAGTTTTGAAAAGCAGTTCAAGTTTATGCTCTTAGGAAGAGGTAATTTATCATTAATGTAACCATGTAACCATTTCAATGTAAATGTCACCTGAAAATTGTAAGGAGGGGAGAAAGGAGAAAGACCTGAATAGAGAATGTGGCATTATTGTCACAGACATAAAGTAACTATCAAAGTAGAAAAAGATTTTACTACTGTCTCAAATCCTCAACAACCTGCATTTTGGCCTGTTTGGTCCCAAAAGTATAAATGCAACACACACACACACACACACACACACACACACACACACACAGAGAGAGAGAGAGAGAGAGAGAGAGAGAGCGCAGTCCACGTAGATGCTTTATTTATTTATTTATTTATTTATTTATTTATTTGAGACAGAGTCTCCCTCTATCACCCATGCTGGAGTGCAGTGAACGTGATCTCGGCTCTGGCAACCTCCACCTCCCGGGCTTAAGTGATTCTCCTGCCTTAGCCTCTCAGGTAGCTGGGATTACAGGCATGTGCCACCCGGCTAATTTTTTTTTTTTTTTTTTTAGTAGAGACGGGGTTTCGCTATGTTGGCCAGGCTGGTCTCGAACTCCTGACCACAAATGATCTACCCACCTTGGCCTCCCAAAGTGCTGAGATTACATGCATGAGCCACCATGCCTGGCCAGATGCATTATTTTTATTTATATTTTTATTTATTTGTTAGTTTGTTCGTTTGTTTTGAGATGCTCTGTCACCAGGCTGGAGTGCAGTGGCACGATCTTGGCTCATTGCAACCTCTGCCTCCCGGCTCAAGCGATTATCCTACTTCAGCCTCCCGAGTAGCTGGGACTACAGGAGTGCCACGCCCAGCTAATTTTTGTATTTTTAGTAGAGACGGGGTTTCAACATGTTGGCCAGGATGGTCTTGAACTCTTGACCTCATGATCCACCTGCCTCAGCCTCCCAAAGTGCTGGGATTACAGGCGTGAGCCATTGCGCCCGGCCCAGATGCATTATTTTTTAACAATGCAGGCTTTGGTCCCAAGCCTTCATGTAGTCTCTTACATTGCTGAACTGATATGGATAATTCAATACAGCTTCTCTAAAAGAAAAGCATTCAGTGTTGGTTTATCCCCACATTAAAAACATTTATTAACTACACAATGATTATCAGCTGTAAATCATGCTAACACACTTGCATCTCCAAAACAACCACTTATGAATCATTTGCTATGTACCAAGTGCATTAATTGGAAATTAGCCTTTAATCCTGACAAAAGCCCCTTGAGGTATATGCTGTTATAGTCCCAATTTTACAGATAGAAAAACTCAATATATCATTTAAATAACTTGTACAAAGTCACATAGCTAGTGAGTATAGAGTTGAATTTGAATACAGATCTCTCTGACACCACCGCTTGTGGTCGTAGCCAATAGACTATATTGTAACCCAACTGAAATATCAGTATCCTTCAGGTATTCTTTCATAGACCTTTTCTTCTTTCTCAAGATGTTTGTATTAGGTTTCTATTGCTGCTGTAACAAATGACCATAAAATTGGTGGCTTAAAACAACAGAAATTTATTATTTTACAGTTCTGGAGGACAGAACTGTAAATTGAGTCTTACAAGGCTAAATTCGAGGTTTTGGCAGGGCTGGTTCCTTCTGTACCTTTCTTCTTCCAGTTTTGGTTGACTGCTAGCATTTTTTGGCTTGTGGTTTCACTACTATAAGTTCTGGGCTTCCATTATCGTATTGGTTTTTTGACTTCTGAAGTGAAATCTCCCTCTGCCTCTCTCTTATAAGGGACACTTGTGATTGTATTTAGGGCCCACCAGAATAATCTCCCCATCTCAAGATCTTTAACTTAATCACATCTGCAAAGTCCCTTTTACCACATAAGATAAAATTAACCTAGTCCAAGGATTAGGACATGGATATCTTTGGGGGACATCATTAGCCTACCACAATGTTCAAATGATCTTACGGTTTTCACTATCATATAAGTGTTGACTCCCAAATCTGTATCTCCAGCATATATCTCTCTTTTGAGCTCCATAATATTTTATCCAACTTATTTTGAACTTTGACATGGAAATATCTCACTTTGAACTAAATATAATCTTCTCTTTCAGTTCTCTCACTGCACCTCAAATCTCACCTTGGGTCTCTATCTATATTAATGACACCAAGATTCAACTAGTTCCCCACGCCATACTTTCTTAATGTTCACATCCAATCAACCACCAAGATCTGTCGTTTTTACCTCCCATAAACTACTGCAACAGCTTCTTCCTGGTCTCCCTACCTGAAGTATTGCCCCATCACATTAAAGGATGACTCCAGAATACCATATAAAAAGATATCACATTCAATAATCCTTAAAACAACCCTATGAAATTGGTATTTCTTTGGGAAATCCTCATTCTGCAAAAGCAGACTTCTCTAAGACAAAAAGAAGGTGACTTGTAGAGAATACTTTCATGTATTCTTACATGAGCTGTTTTTGGATATGAACTCCACTTGTGGAATATTTAGAAGACTGGAGGAAAAATATAGCTCTTGGGAAACAACTTTATGTCCTGAGGGATTACTATACTATATCCCTGATACATTTTTAGTCTGAATCCAGTTTCACCTCTGGCCCTTGTGTAAATACAAATTATGTTACTTTTACTTTGGAGTTTTGCTCTATTCCCATCCTTCCTACATCCTCACACCACCTGATACTCCATTCCTATCATTCTTAAGTTTCCTTCCACTCTCTTTCTGAACACTTGTTCTGGAGTTGCAGATCACTGTTTTCATCCCATAATAGATGGTGGTTGAATGGGACAAGGCCAGCCTTGGTCCCTGTGACCAATAAATCAATATATGTTCTCATTGCTGGCAAAGCAGCTCACACATTGTCTTTCCACATCAAAGTCTGATACAATAAACTACGTTTTTCTAACTAGAACATTATCTTTTTTGTCATAACTCTTTATGGTTGCTTCCAGTCTACCTAAATTGATATTAAGATGTTCTCAAGGTCCCCAACTCTCTTCTTCCCACAGGAGTCAGATCATATCCATGATATATAAATACTGCTATTTTAAATCTTACAAAAAGTCTTGATGACATGGGGTGGTCTGTTTCAACAAGCCGGCCTATAGAATGATTTCTTAAACTACCACCAGAAGCAGATAGCAGCCTGCTGTCTCTCTCTTTTTGTTACTCTATAAAGGTGTTAGAGCAAACTATCATTTCATGATTGCACATAACCAAATTTGTCAATCTTATGCTTGTTCTCATTCAGCCACCTTTTCTTCTGGAAGGCTGACAGATATCATTGCCTCCATCCTCATCAAAGTTTTGTTTTGAAAACAATTCAGACCTACAGAATGTTTCAAGGATAATAAAGTAAATTGAAATATACTTTCAATTTCTTCATCTAGATTGCCTTCACCAGTTAATATTTTGCCAATTGCTTTATCTCTCTCTCTCTCTATATATATATAATATATATATATATTTAACATTGCTGAACTATTTGAAAGCCAACTGTAGATGATGTAGACATCATCATAATACTCCAGCATTTTATCTCCTGACAACAAGGACACTCTCCTAAACAATAACAATACAATGATCACATTCATAAAATTTAAAATTGATATAATACCATTATCTAACTTACAATCCTTATTCAAACATTACATGTAGTTGGTATGTCTTTTAATCTAGAACAGTTCTCTATCCATCTTTCTTTCATGACATTGACATTTTGCTGAGGATGTTGAACAACTGAAATTCTCATACATAGGTAATATAAAATGGTACAACCACTTTGGAAAACTGTTTAGCAATTTCATATCAAATTAAATCTTTACCTTTTCTATAATGCAGAAATTCCACTCCTAAGTATTTCCCAAGAGAAATGAGAACATATATTCACAAACAGGCTTACACAAGAATGTTCATAGTGGTTATATTTATAATGGGCAAAAATGGGTACAACTCATATGTCCAATAACATCTGAATAGATATACCAAATTTTTGTATGTTCACACTATGCAATACTATGCAGCAATAATTTTTAAAAAGAATAAACAACTAATACATACAATTATAAGGATGAATCTTAAAAACCTTATATTGAGTGAAAGATGCTGGACACGAATATATACTGTATGATTCCAATTATCTGAAGTTCTACAACAGAAAAATTTGTAGAAATAACCTAAGTGGTTATTGGAGGAGAGGTGGCTGGGAAGAGGGACAGGAAACTTTCTGGAGTGATAGAAATATTCTATTTTACACAGTTAATTGTATATAATTGCACACTTAAGATCTGTGCATTTCCCTGTATGTGAATTTTACCTCATTTTTTAAAAGAGTGTAAATCGGAATATAAGCATCATGAAGGCAGAAACTTTGTTTTGTACACTATGTTTCAAGACCTAGTCAAAGGCCAAAGCAGTTAGCAGGAGCTCAATAAATGTCAAAAATACAAGAAGCAGGCCTTGGAAATCATCTACATCAATGGTTGTGAAATGCATAATAGAGATTTTTACTCTCAATCCTAGATAATATAGGTATGTCTTGTATTTTAAAACCATGTGTAATAAGCCATGGTATTAATCTACTTTCTGGGTCACCAAGAATCCTGTTGATCAATTACTAGAGTTCTGAAGTAAGAAAATGGCTATTTCAACAGATTTTCCTGACATTCAATCCCAGGCTTTCCCTGCCTTTTCATACTGCCTCCACTTTACATGGTCAACTTCCAGTTTTATGGGATAGATTGGCAAAAAGTGATGAGTATGTGTCCATGCAGGGTCATGTCCATATGGTTGGATAATATTTATCTTGGTCCAAGTGGTCAATTTGAGCAGTCTGTTGAATATAGAGGTTTAAGGAGAAAAGTCTACGATGCATGAATGGATTTTGGCTAGCACAGTTTTACACATTGTAGGCTTCCAGTAAATATTTGTTGAATGAGTAAATAAATGAAATGTGAACTTGGGAGCCTCAAGAAAATGCAACCAAAGGCATAGCCTTCCATTATTTCTCTACACTTACATATTTTTAAAGTAGTGCTGGAAATCAGTTTCATAATGGTCTTTGAAATTCATGTTTATTACTACTGTATATTTTTGAAAATTAACATAACTTTATTGGAGAATATTTAGAAAGTAGTTATGAATTGCCACCATGTGACCAAAGACAGAACTGCAGCATAAATTTAGTTGACAAGGGAAAGTGGCAAGCAGATAGTATAGAGAGGGGAAGCTTCTTAGCCAGGACCCACAGAAATCTGACACTTTACCAGGTTATTCTTAGAAGTAAGATGAAACAGGTAGCAAATGACGAATTGGAAGAGCTAACAGCCCCTATATCAGCTAAAGCAAAAGGAGAAACGGAATTATACTGTTTTCAACTTTATGACTATTTTTCTAATTATAAAAGCTCCACACGCTCACTGAAAAGAATAAAACTGGAAATACAGAGGATGAAGATGAAACTATAAATTTCCTATAATAATGTCACCTAGAAATATCCACTTCAAGTATTTTGATATTTATCCTTAAACTGTGTGTGTGTGTGTGTGTCTGTGTCTGTGTGTTCTGAAGTAGGTTTTTTCCATGTTAATGATATATTTCTATATTATATTTTGCAATTCATGTTAGTTAAGATTTTTCCTCATGATTTGAAATTTTTCTGGCAGGTAACTAAATAAAATGGAAATGTGGAGGGAATTTTTTTTCTCATCCTACAATAAAGAACAGCATCGGAGTGCATAAATAATGTAAATATTTATAGAATTCAATTATTGTTTTTCAATTCCAAATGAATGACCATTATTATATTTAGCTTATATAAAAGTTGCTTCTTTTATGCAAGAAAGAAGATTGGATGAAAGGAATGAGATTAGGCTTTTGCTTTAGAAGGTTGGCATGGGGTCAAGAAAGCACAGACTTTTTCAGTTCCTATTTGAGTATTATGTTAATATCATCTGATGACAATGATGATGACGATGACGCTGAGATGATGATGACGATGACGCTGACATAATGATGACTGCAGATCTAACATTCTCTGAAGGCCTATTATATGCCAGGCATTTCATACAGTTTCCTGCATTTACTTCTCACAATACAGTCTTGTAGGTTATATATGGTCATACTCATTTTATAGATGAATGAACCAATTTGACCTCACACTTCTTATGAGCAGGAAATCCAATTCTTTTGCTATTATATTGGGTCCACCCTTTTAGATGACGGACTTCCAGGGCAAAGTAACTGATTATGTCAAATCTTCTCATTATGTGACCTGTCCCCAACCAGAATCCATTGAATATTCACTGAACACCATCCCTTGATGATGATGATGATGATGATGATGATGATGATGATGCTGTTGACAGCAATGATGGTGGTAGAGAGGACATTTTCTGTTTGACCTAAGAGTCTTATGTCTGGGGGCTACATGAATGGCCAGGTCTCTCAGAAGGTAGTTATCCTCCAAGAAAGAGGATAAATAATTTATACAAGGTCACATACCAATAAGGAGAAGAGCCCAAATTGGAACCCAGGTTTATCCGACACTACGGCCATATACTTAAATCACTTTTTTCCTTCCTAAACCCAAGGATTTGAATTTCATCTTTGTCTTATTGTTCAAACAATCCTTTAGGCTGTCAGAAATTTGGTAATGTTTCCTCAGATGACAGACCTAAAGAGCAAGGCTCATAGTTGGATTACTTTCTGCATGATCAACGCCTTAAAAAGGCATCTTCACACCAATTCAGTTTGACTGTCCTGACCCCCAAGTCGTGAGCTGGGCCTGCAGTGCATGTGGGTTTTCAGATAGGAGGGGACACCCGTTTTCTCCTGAGTTATAAGACCACATGTCTTTACAAGTTCCCTTTACCTGGGGTCTCCTGTGCTTCAGGGCCTGGGCTGGCTCAGGCATCAGATGCTCTGCACCAGGAAGACACAGAGCTAAAGTCCTTGCAGAACCAACCAAACAGGCCAGGGCACATCGAGGCCCTTCTGGGAGTCTGTGCAAGGTGGGTGGGAGAGGGATGGGTGAGGTTTTGTGTGCTGTCTAACTCTGTTTTTGCCCCAGTTGTCTTGTGGGCTACTTCACCGAACTCTGAGAGAAGGGTCAGCCCCTTCTGCTTCAACCCCAAGTTACCTGGTCAGACCTGTTCAGACCTGTTCAGACATTTGCTTGCTCAAAGATTATCCCAACCAATGTTTTCAACTGGGAAGTTATGGAGCTTTTTCTTTTCCCCTACAAAATGTTCCCCAGAAGAGAAAGGGAAAAGGAGGGAAAGGCAAAGTGCTCTGACCTGAAATAGGACAGTCATCCTCCTCCACATGTGTATGTCCAGGATAGCCTGGCCATTAGCCTTAGGAGAACCTAGTACCTGCTGCAGACTGGAGTGGAGGGACAAAGTCAGAAGTGTTGCTTGGGCCAACCCTTTAACATCCTGTCTGAGCACCACCCTCTGGGGGCTGTGCGGAGGATTTATCCTTTCTCGTAAAACTGGTTCCGGTGAACCTGGAACTTTATCTCACTCCAGCTAGAATTCCAGTTTGACTAGCGCCTATCAGGCTGCCATCACCTTGAAGAATGGTCTGGAGACATGAAGATTCCCTGCAAATGACATCATACAGTGAAAAAATAGAAACAGAAGAAAGCCAAGGGCGCAGGGTTGGCTCAATTATTTTTTGAGATGATTACTAAAAGAGAATTTTGAATTTATTTCTGATACATTTTACTCATATTGGAAGGAGGCAATGCATGGCTAAACATGGTGTTCAGTCAATAAAAAGGCATCTTATGTTACATTCCTCCCCCTAGCTTTTTATCTTGTCTTTGTTAACACGAACCTTTTAAATTTTATGTATAGATGTGTCCATCTTTTCCTTTAAAAATTCATACTTAAAACAATAAATGCTTGTATAGGCCTTCTATTTCCTGAATGTCAGTAAGCACTCACCAAGATTTCCTGCCAATTATTTTATAGTTAATATTTGTAATAATGAAAAGCATACTGTATTACTAGTGGTTCTCATTCTTCAGTCCATATCATTATCACCTGGAGGAGTTTGCAAGCTATAATTTTACAGTCTACCTCCAGAATGTGGGTCAGTGGGCCTTATGTGGGGCCCAGACATCAGCATTTTCAAGATGCTCCCCAGCAGATTCTGATGCAGGTGATTATGTGAGATACTTTTATAATAAAACATTTAGAGTACAATCAATTCTCTGCCCTGTTTCTTCTTGGAATTGCTTGTCATAACTCTAGAGAACTAAAGACTTGTAGATTATTCAGCGAGTAACCTAATTTGGACAAACCTACTAGCTCTTAGTAGCAATCAAAAAATCAATTAAATATTAAAACACAATGTGCCAGTTAAACACATACAAGTATTCATATGTGGGATACCAAGAGGAAGAGACAGTCTTTGCTTGTTCTACAGGGGAAATATAATCTCTAACATTTATATAGTAGCATTCTACTTCAAGTACATTTACAAGGTTCTTACTGACTTTGAAAGTTTTTTTTAACCACAGGTCAACAGAAGAGATGGAATTAAGGGGACTGTTCCTTAGATCTGTTCCCTGCATCACTTTGTGCAATTTATATATGTTCCCCAGCAGTCTTCCGAACCAGTAAGTCAGGCCTGCCCAGGAGCCTTCAGGAAGAGATCATCCCACGAGGACAAAACCTCATTCCTTAGACTTAGAGCAAAAACTGTGATTACAACAGGTCTTTGACTCAAACTTATACCCCAGTCCAAATCCCAAATGGAGTCATCACATCTGACTCCTATGGAGAAGAAGGGTCTTGTGATTGAAAACAGAAGGGTTATTTTGCTAAGGGCTCTGAAAGACCTTGTGGCCCAAGCAACCCTAGAGAAGTCCCACCTGTGTTAAGTGTCACTATAAAGCAGAGAGAAGCTTTAGAAGACAGTGAAAGTTCAACCTACTGAGGACTCCAGGGAACTCGGTGGGGTTTTGGCCCTCAAGGACTGCAGTGCATCAGCAGTAGTGGGGCCAGCAGGGAGCACAGCACTCAGCAGAAGAGGCAGCAGTGTTGGGCAGGCATGGCAGGAACCAGGGGAAGAGACAGGGTTCAATAGCAGAGGACTGATAGGTAAGCCCCCACCTCTGCCTACTGGACTTGATCCTGAGTACAAGTTGCATCATGCCAGGCCCTCCCTTAAATATTGGTGCTTCTATAGTGGGTTGGGATTCCGTATGCACAGGTGGGAACAAGATCTCACTGAGCACAGCTGTTACTGCCTCATTTCTTCCCCACTGCAGCCCTGTGAAGCAAATATTTTCCCCATGAAAAGACTGAGTCTTAAACGTGTGTATCTGTAATAATTGCCAGTTTATTCCTCTGGCTAAGAGATCCAGAGGTAATTTGAGGTTTACATTTCTTTTTAAAGTTCTTTCATCAAGAGTTTAGGTGCCCCCATTGCCCTCATAAGCTGGTTGCAAATTATTTGACTCTTACTTGTAAAAAAAATCCTTAATTCTTTTTGTGTGTGAGACACGTGTTCATTAAAAAGTACATATAAGCAAAAAGAACAAAAAGAAGAAAACAAATAAAATTTCACACCACACAGAAATAAGCTTGGTTAAGTTTGTGATATATGTTATATGGATGTATGTATACACACACGCACACACACAAAGTTTGGAATTTTATCCTACATATGTGAGCTGATATTAAATATGCTGCTTTGCCATAACCTGTTATGTTTTACTTTACAACATGGAATGAACATATTCCCATGCAAATGTGTGAAAGTTTCCAATTGAAAAATAGACCTGGAAAATGGGTCAAAATCCAAAATCCAATGAGATGCTGGTACCAAGGAAATTACCTAAAACAAAATTTCATCAGATGATTAAAAGTAAAATGGAGGTCAAAGATACATCAGAAAATGCTAACAGAAAGAAAGCTGGGGCCAGATTTTAATATTAGGCAAAAATGAATTCAAGGCCTAAAGCACACAGGATAAGGACGGCTGCGTGAATGTCTTTGCTTCCAATGCATCATCACAAACTTGTTTCTTACTCTTCTTATCTCTTCCCTAAGCCTTTCAAGCTCATCTACTCCTCTTATCATTTCTTCAGGGTCCAAATGCCTAACGGGTGTGTCCTCTTTAAATCCCTGGCCAGGCTGATTCGGCCCTCCTCTGGGGTTTCCTTCTGCTTCCTGGCTTACGCCTTCTTCGGAAGGTTGAGGATTTCCTTCTGCCTCCTGTGGTACATCCTCCAAAGGGCGATCTTCCTCGGCCTTTGGCATGTTCTGTGGTTTTCCCTCATTTTCTTCACAAGACTTTTGCATATTGAGTATTTTTTATTTCCTTTTTGAATAAATTAATCCTAGAAAACAAGGAAACAAAACTACTAGATTCCAGGCAAACAGACCAGCAGTCAGAGTATGGGGTCCCATAGCGACTGGCCTTTTTTGACTCAGTACCCTAATTGTCAAAAGTTTTCCAACTAGAGAAAGCTGGATCCTCAGGCTCAGAACTCCCCTGACTCCACCTCCCTTCGCGCCCCCTTTCGTTCCAGCTCCATCTTTCTCCTCCTGCTCCTGCCCACCATCTTCCCAGCAGGCCCTGCTACAAGCCTCTCCTAATACTGAAATGGGAGCAGTACGGAAGCAATTAACCCTTCTCCCGCCTCTGGTCTCCAACACTCCCGCCCTTCAGACTTTCCCAGGCCCTCTCAACCTCCAGCCTCTCACCTGAGACGGCTGGTCCAGTCTCTGGCCTCCCCTCCCCCTTCAGCGTCTCTTAAGCCTCCTCCTCCCCCGCCTCATTTCCGCTGCAGGCTCGGCACCGGCCTCTGGCACTTAATCCGGATGGGGAGGGGCTGCTGCGACCCCAGGATGTGCTTTGGTGTCACTCACACTTCCACCCCCACCCGAAGAGACCTGAAGCAATTGCACCTTTACAAAAACTGACCTGCAGGGATTCAGGGGATTTTCCTCTCTCTTCCCTCACCTCGATTTGTGTCGCGCCCAAAAAACCAAATATCCTGCAGACAGATGGGAGTGTTTGGTGAGCAGACTAGTACCTGGATCACGGGTCCCTTTCATGATTCTAGGCCATGTTGGTGTAAAGTTTCCCATGTCCTCATCCTCGCCCTCCTTTTATGGCAACCCCGCCCTCCTCCGTGCCCACCGTTTTTCTGCAAGCAGGGAGTAGGAAAAGCAAGTTTCTTCCAAACAGTTTCTATGTCTCTCTCTCAGGACCCTTAATTAGCTACCCTTCTCTCTCTCCACCCGCCATCCCCCACCAAACAGCCCCAAATTTCCTGCACAAAATGGGAGTTTGGCGGAACAGAAGTGGGGAAAGCAGTGCCGGCCCCGCTTGCTTTCTGCTCTCGGCCTCCTCGACCCCAGGGTCTCCAAGTCAGCGCCCACGTTTATACTAACCTGAAAGGATCTTGGGCACTTTTCTCCTTCTCCAGCAATAAGGAGCTGCTACAGGGAAACAGGCCCTGGACTATAAGGACTTCTGCACACGTCGACTCCTGGTCACGTGAGAGTCGCGTCATCACTGAGCTCGAGTCCCCAGTTACCCCTCCCATTAACACTGCAGCCCGCCCGCTGCGTTCCCTCCACTTGATACTGTCAATCTTTTTTCGTATTTGCCAATCGGAGACAATAAACTGTTATCTTCGCCCTGGAGTATTTATTCGCCTTTCTCAGATTACCAGGAGGATCAGCCTTTTAGGGGTAATCGACCATTTCTCCTTCTTTGAGGAATCATCTCTTTCTTCTGCTCCCAATACTCCCACCTCCCCTCCTCCAAGACCCCTACAGTCCACCATTTCCCCTGGAATCCTATCCAGCATTGAAATGGGCAAAGGTGGTAGATCGGGAAGAGGGGGCTGGAAAAGAATCTAAGGTTGAAAGTGGAGGATTTGACTAATCCTCTTGAATAGTTTTCTGTTGTGTTCTATGTTTTCAGCAATCAGCATACTTTTAAAAATGGTATCAGAAAACGGATGCCTCATAAGCAATATGTAACACTTAATATGAAGGACAAATTAGTTATATCAATGTGTAAGACTTTGGAAAAGTTTTCTAATGGCTGGAAATGAAATGACAATATTCACAACATATTGATGTGTTAGAATTTTTTAAAATCTTACCAAACAGCACTTAAAAAATTGACTCCCAAATTAATGTGTGGAAGGAGGCCTAGTTTTCTCTTGTTAGCAATTTTGTATAGGTAATCTACTACTCTTTCTATTTCTGGCAGAACTCAAGTTATCAAGTGTTGGATGTCTGATCTTTTTCATTGATGACCACTGGTGGCATCCACTAAGGTTTCACTTGGAGGCTTCAGACAGACTTCCTCCCCATTTCCTCTATAGGATTCAGTATCTTGTTAATCAGATAAGTCCACAGAAAAGCCTGCTTTCCACTGAGTAAAATTCTTTTGGAACTCAAAGTAGTATGTTTCTTGGAAAACATTTCGTTGTTGGGAAATAACTCATACACTCATGAAACACTCAGAAAAGAGAATTCTCTGTATCTCACCATCAGGCTTGAGGCTTCTTTGCATGGCATTTTCATTCATGGCACTCTTGAGATAGTCTGGTATCATCCACTGTGTCCCATTAAAAGAACTATTGACATGCATAATTGTTATGATTAGAAAGCAAAGAGAACAACATTGCTGTAAAAAATAATATTAAACAGGAAACTGATATCCCTGCAACTCAGAATCCACTGGTACTTGGAAGGATGGTGGTGCCTGGAGTGGCATTCTGGCCAATGGAGCCAGCTGGAGAGTCAGAAGAAGACAGAGGGGGTCTTTTGTCTAGGGTGGTCACAGCAGGATGCCTTAGCCAACAAGAACACCCACCAGAGAAGAGAAAAGAAGGTTTGGAAAAAATAAATATTTTTTGGACTTAATGATTTATAGTTGAAGCATGACAAATTTCTTCCACACTTGAGGGATAAATGTTCTATTGTTTGAGAGAGAGCTTTTAATATAAATATAACTAGCAAATTATAAAGATTTAATCATTGCCTATCACCAAATGTTTCCACTCTTTTAAATGTAACCATTTAGTGAGGAACAACTCTGATCTTTTAAAAGAAAAATCATCAGCAGCAAAATGGACTTTGTGTGTGTGTACACTTCTATGAAGTTTAACCAATGTATAGATTTGTTTAACCACCACTGCAATCAGAATACAGTTCAATCACCCCCAGAAACTCCTGCATGCTGTCTCTTGTAGTCCTATTTGACTGCCTTCCCTAAACTCTGGCAACCACTAATATATTCCCCATTACTACACTTTTGTCTTATTCAGAATATTATGTAAATGATTTCATTTTTCAATTTTTGTGCACTGGCTTCTTTTGGGACTGGCTTCTTTCACTCAGCATAATGCCCTGGACATCCATTTGAGTTGTTGCATGTATCAATAGTTTATTCTCTTTTTTGCTGAGTAGTATTCTGTTATTTAGCTATTCCACAGTTTGCTTATTCATTCACCTGCTGAAGGACATTTGAGTTATTCCCAGCTCTAAGCAATTATGAAAAGAACTGCTGTAAACATTCATGAACAGATTTAGGCCATTGCTTCACTTCTGGACTTCCTGCCTCCAGCGCCTCCCTCTCTCCCTTTAATCCACCTTACACATTACCTTGTCCCTGCTTTCAACAGTCATTCTCCTGCTCAGTGACCCTGGATGGTAACCGCACCACTCACCAAGTAAATCCTATACTCCTTATCTTGACATTCAGCCTCCATCAGAATTGAACCTCAGGACATGTTTCTAGCCTCATCATCTCCTTCTCTGCCCCATCCAAAATAAACCCTTACTTCATTGTCTACAGAAGCAGTGAGATCAAATTAAAAATTAAAAACTAATAATAATAAACAACCCTTAGTCACTGTGCCCAAGCATGCCTTATACTTCTCTCTTTGTCCTTGTTCGTCATTATCTTGTTCCTGATTGCCCTCCTCTTCCTCCTAGATCCTGGTGCTGCTCATTCTTAGAGGTCAAGACCTAATCACCCAGCCTCTGAAGCTGGAAGTGATCTCTCCCTCCTCTGTCATTGCTGCACATGAAATCTGCACCCTTCGTGTAACCCTTAACAAAGGTTACCTTGTACCTTTCCGTGTGTGTGTGTGTGTGTGTGTGTGTGTGTGTGTGTGTTGGGGGTGGAGGGTATCTAACCAGGAAGATGGTCAGATGTGAGTTGAGGGTAGGGAGCAAGGATCAGGCTCCAGCTATTACGCTTCTTTAGTGGCTCTAGTAATGTTAAACAGTGGGTCTCTCAGAAATCTCAGGGTCTCAGAAAGAGCTGTTTGCCATTTGGCTCACAGACAAACTTCATTTTGCTTGCACAAAATTGAAGCAGAAGTTTCATTGTACTCTCCTTTACTTATTCTGCTTTACATATAGCCACAGCAATATTAATACCATGTTTATGGAGCTATTGGCAAAGGTTATTGACCTTGTCTTCCTAAATACTCACAGTAGAGATTAGTTAGCTCACTGGTACACACCTGACAAAGAGCCAGGTGATACAGGCCTTCACCTTCATCCTTGTTCCGGGGCAATTTCAGTGTGTCAATACAACACTCAGCTACCTTTGAAATTAAGTCAATCAGAGTAGATTTTAAATATAAGTAAATTTTTGAAAATAGCATTCTACTGAAGTAAAAACTATCTTTTTAAAAAGGAAAGAAAAAGGTGTACACATTAATTTTAACAATAAGGATATGAATTCTGGAGAGTAGAAACCCTGGGCCTCTGAGCCAATCAATGTCCTGTTTTTGTGCACCAAGAGAGCACTAGAGATAGTTCCAAAGTCCAAAGTCCTTCAGGTTATGTGAGAGGAGGAGAAAGCAGTCAGCATTTTACCATTTGAGTATCCAGAAAGCTCTTATATAAGACTATAGTATCCAGAATATTGTTTTCTATGTTCCTTCCATAGTCTTGTGTTCTGATACTCTATATTTAGCAACTCCTCCTGCATTTTTTTTCATTGCTCTTTCAAAGGTCATCCCATAGAACTTGAGCTGACCATTCTTATCTATCACTTCTTTAGCATGATCTGTACGGCTTGAAAGCATCACTCCTTACATAGCAAAGTCTTCCCCAGATCCAAAGTTTTAGCTACCAGATCCTAAGGTGTGCACTCCAGCAGCCTCCATCTGAGATGATTTGCCCCTTCAGAATGAAAGCAGATTCAGCACATTCCATCACTTTGCACAACCAAGGGTAGTCCACCAACGTTTTGGCGCAACTAGTACACACAGAGCCTGGGCTTATATCTACTTAGATTGTTTGTGCTCCAGAAAGAAGAAACTCTTCTGCCATCCTCCGTCACCACATTCCCTGACATAATGGTATGTTTTTCAAGTTTGGCAACAATACATTTCACAACGTATCTGGATATTCTGCAAAATATCCAGAATAGTCACTGGCCACATTTAGGTAAGTGAATATAACTTGAAGCACAGCTTGTATGATACTTATGATCTTTTCCACATGATTCTGTACACTGCCTGAACTCACAGCTAAATGCTGCATACATTGTAGATGATTGTGACGTGAAGTTTCTAGTTATCCAGAACATAATGCTTATGAATTGCTATGAACCTAAAGTGCTGTGTCATAACTACTGCCATTTCAAATGTCCCTGAGTGGGTTTACTTGGACTTATTTTTCTGAGACAGAGTTTCACACTGTTGCCCAAGCTGGAATGCAGTGGCATGATAACAACTCGCTGCAGCCTTAACCTGCTGGGCTCAAGCCATCCTCACGCTTGTCCTCCCAAAGTGCTGGAATCACAGGCCTGACCATCATGCCTGACTGCTTAGACTTTTAATATGCAACAGCATCCTCAAGATCCACCTCAGCAAGATTTTTGAGATTGCTTTTCTTAAGGCTTGAGGTCTGCATCTATGTAGAGGATCATGCTGGGTTGGTGGAGAAGCACATCTCAGCTGGCTGGGCAACTCTTTCCTGTGGCAGAAGCACAGTTGTGGGGGAGAGTGTGCTGTTGCTGCAGATCAGGTGCTTTTAAAAATTCAGTTTATAATGCAAAGAAAGCTTTATCTGACCTCTTGATTCTGCATTAGTTGCCAGTGCTACATGATTCTTTAGTCTCGGTATTTACCCATCCTAATACTTTCACCCTGTTTTGTTGGCTTTCTACTTTGTATCCCTCTCTAGTCTCCAAGTGCTACAAGGACAAAAACTATATCTGGTTCAACTTTGTAAACCATTCCAATGTGGAAATGTCAAGTTGGTGGAAACAATTAAAATTTCCATTAATATGGGAATTGTTAAATAAATTATAGTGTGGAAATTTTTCAGATACAAAAAGGAGTAAAATTATGCACACATAGTGACGTGAAATTGTATTAAAGCTATATTTTTAGTGAAAAAAGTGGCAGAACACTATTTAGAGAATAGTTCCATGCATATATACGTATAACACATACATATCTATGTATGCAACTAGTTTAGTAAATAGTTCCAATTTTTGATATAAATATGGAATTGTTTCATGTTTTTTTAGAAATTGCTGTCAATTGTGATCTGTCAAACCCCCCTTTCTCACTAGATAATAAATTTCTTTAATGACACGTTCACTTATTTCCTCAACTATTAGGTCACTTTCATTCATTAAGAGCTTTATTTTGAATTCTTAAGATTCAGTCTGTACCAAAGGCATCCAAAGAGAAGGAAAAAGAAGTCTGGTCTATTTTTTAAACGTTTCATTTTGAAATAACTTTAGCTATAAGGAATGCCGCAGTTTCCATATACCTTACACCCAACTTTGCCTAGTAATTATGATACATTTATAAAAACTAAGAAGTTACCATTTGTGCACTGCTATTAAATAAAAACGATTCATTCACCAGGTTTTCTACTAATGTCCTTTTTCTGTTCCAGGATTCAATTCAGGAAACAATGTTGCATTTAGCTAACATGTCTATTTAGTCTACCCTGTGCCAGTTTCTTGGTCTTCCCTTGTTTTTCATTACCTTGACACATTTTAAGAGTGAGGTATTTTGTAAAATGTTCCTCAGTTTGGGTTTTCTGATGTTTTCTTATGATTAGATTGGGATTTTTGATTTTGAGAAAGAATGCTACAGAGGTAAAGTGCCCTTGTCTTCTAATGTCAGGATTATATGATATTAGAACGAATTATCACTGATGATGTTAACTTTGTTCATTTGGTTAAGGTTCTCTTCTGGGTTTCTCCACTTGTAAAGTTACTACTTTTCCCTTTTCATACTCTTATTTGTTAGAAGCTGGTTTCTAAATGTAGCCCATACTAAAAAGGTGGGGAATTAAACTCTACCTCCTAGAGAGAGGAGTGTCAATGAATTTGTGAATATATGCTTGAAAACAACTACAGTAATCAATAAATACTTGGGGGCAAATAATTTAACACTATGCAAATATACTATGAATTTTACCTGTAGCAATTACTAACTACTATGATGTGCTGATGGTGATTTTTTAAAATATCCCTCATTGCTTTTACATTTAATATTTCAAATTACCCCGTAAGAAGACTTTCCCATTCTCCCCCACCCTATGTATTTATTGATACAATTATTTGTTTCTGTCAGTATGACTCAAGGATTTTAAAAAATTATTTAGGCTATAATCCAATACTATCATTTGTTATTGCTATTGCTGTTCAAATTGTTCGAGCCTTGGCCATTGGGAGCTCTTTCAGGTGGGCTTTCTTTCATCCTTTTTCTGTCTCCTTGCTTTCTGGCACTACAAGATGTACCAGGTTCATCTTTTATCTTCCTTTTCCCAGCCCTTTGATCAGCCATTTCTCCAGGGAGTCTTGGTTACTTTAATTGGATAATCATATTTAGTAATTAAGATCTGGGCGTTGATTGTGCTGGTTACTATTAGGGTGTCATTGATTCTAGGGCTTCTCAGTTGATAGATAGAACAAGTAGATACATGTGTATATGTATACTAAACTGTTTATACACACATACTTGCATATATATTAATTATATATACACATATATAAGCTCATACTGACACATTGACTCTAATCCATTACCACAAGTATTCATCTAGCTTTCTCATCTCTTGCTTATTTTTACCTTCTATCTCTGGCAGTGAGAAACCTGGTTCTTCTTGTCTATCATTTATTTACTTATTTAATTCTAGTGTATAAAGTAGTTTAAAATGGCTATCATGTACCCCCATGAGAAATAAACTTCCCAACCAGAATACAACATTTATGTAGTTTTTTCTTGAGCTTTACAGTATGCAGTCAAAACAGTGGTTTCCAAAGCAAATTAGGTCAGCCCCTTTTTCCCACACCCTTTTCAGTGAAGTTATGTCATACATCTGTGATACAGTGAGATTCATGTGCCACAGTATGCTTTCCATTTTGGGTTCCCCCTACATTTTTAATTGACATAAAGCAAAGTCACCTTTCATGTTTTGGTGGTTCTGTGGAATTCAACACATTCACAAAGTCATGCATCTACCACCATAGTATCTATACAGAAGAGTTTTAGTATCCTGAAATTTCCCTTGTGTGGTGCTTTTGTAGTCAGCCCATCTTCCCATCTCTACCCCTGGCAGCCTCTGTTTTGCATCCCTATAAATTAGCCTTTTCATAATGTCATGTAAATGAAATTGTACAATACACATCCTTTTGAGTCTGGCTTCTTTCACTTAGCAATATCCATTTGAGATGCATACTTGAATCAGTAGTTTGTTCCTCTTCATTACTGAATAGTATTCCATTGTACAGATGTACCACAATTTGTTTATATTTTCACCAGCTGTAGAACACCTGGGATATTTCCAGTTTGGAGAAATTATGAATAAAGCTGCTATGAACATTTCTGTACAGGTTTTTGTATGAACATATATTTTAATTTCACTTGGGTAAATACCCTGAAGTGGCATTGCTGGATTGTGTGGCAATTGTATGTTTAACTTTATAACAAATTGTCAAAATGATCTTTAAACTGGCTGTAACATTTTGCATTCCAAAGAGCAATGAATGAGAATTTCTTTTGTTCCACAGCCTCGCTAGAATTTGTTATTTTTTCATTTGGGGATTTTCATTTGTTTGTTTACTTTATACCATCCTAAGTTTACAGTATCTGTTTACAGATCTGTTTGTGGTTTTAATATGTATTTCCCTCATTACTCACGATGCTAAGCATCTTTTCACGTGCATATCTGTTGTCTGAATATATACTTTAATGAAGTCTCTGTTCATATCTTTACTTCCCGTAGCCTTTTTTGGGGTTTGCTTTTCTATTATTGGGTTTTAAGAGTCATTTATTTCTTCTGGATAAAAATCTTTTATCAGATATGTGATGTGCAAATATTTTCTTCTAGTGGGTGGCTTGTATTTTCATTCTCATAACAGTGTCTTTCATGAAGCAAAAGTTCTTAATTTTCATGATATCCAGTTTTTAAAGTTGTTAGCTTTTGGTATTATATCTAAAAACTCATCACCACACCTAAGATCATATAGATTTTCTCCAATATTTTCTTCTAGACATGTTATAATTTTACATTTTACATTTAGGTCTTTGATATATTTGATTTAATTTTTGTGCAAGATATTATGTATGAGATAAGGTTCATTTTTTGCAGATAGATGTTTAGTTGTTTCAGTGTCATTTGTTGAAAAGACAATTCTTTCTTCCTTGAATTACCCTTGTGCATTTGTCAAATATTAGTAGACTATATTTGTGTGGGTTTATTTCTGAGCTGTCTTGTTTCATTGATCTATGTACCTACTATTTTTCTGTTACCAAACCATCTTGCTTAATGTAGCTTTATAAAAAGTATTGAAATTGGTTAGTGTGTGTCCTCCAATTTTGTCCTTCTTTTTCTGTATGTTTTGGTTATTCTATTTCCTTTGACATTTCATTTCAATTTTGCAACTAGCTTGTTGATATCTACAAAAATGCTTGCTCTAATTCCATTACTGAGTATATACCCAAAGAAATATAAATCATTCTACTATAAAGACACATGCACACGTATGTTCATTGCAGCACTATTTACAATAGCAAATACATGGAACCAACCCAACTACTCACCGTGATAGACTGGATAAAGAAAATGTGGTGCATATACACCATGGAATACTATGCAGCCATAAAAAAGAATGAAATCATGTCCTTTGCAGGGACATGGATGAAGCTGGAAGCCATCATCCTCAGCAAACTAACACAGGAACAGAAAACCAAACACCACATGCTCTCACTCATAAGTGGGAGTTGAACAACTAGAACACATGGACACAGGGAGGGGAACAACACACACTGGGGCCAATTGTAGGGTGGGGGCAAGGGGAGGGAGATCATTAGGGCAAATAGCTAATGCATGCGGGGCTTGAAAACCTAAATGAAGTATGTTGATAGGTGGTGCAGACCACCATGGCACATGTATACCTATGTAAAAAACCTGCACCTTCTGAACATGTATCCTGGAATTTAAAGTAAAATACAATAAAATAAAATAAATAAAAATTAAAAAAATTTTTAAATTCTTGCTCTGATTTTCATTGGGATATACACCAAATTGAGAAGTACTGACTTCTTAATAATGCTGACTCCTCCAATCTATAAACACAGAATGTTTCCATCTTAAAATGTCTTCTTTAATTTCTTTTTATCAGTGTTTTATTGTTTTCAGTAAACAGGTCCTGCACACACTAAGTTAGATTTACACTTAAGTGATCCATTTTTTGGTGCTATTGTAAATGGCATTTAAAATTTTTTAAATTCTAATTTTTCATTTTTTGTATATAGGGATAAAATTGACAGGTTGACCTTATATCCTGTAACCTTGCTAAACTCACCTAAGAGTTCTAGACTCTTTCAAGAATTCTTTAGGATTTTCTGCATAGATAATCATGTCTGTGAACCCAGTTTTATTTCTTCTTTTCCCATTTGTATGTTTTTTATTTGTTTTTTCTTGCCTTACTTCATGGACTAGGACTTCTACTACTGTACTAAATAAAAGTAGTGGGAAATTAAAAAAATTCCAGATGGGAAAGAAAGGAGAAAAATGATGTCTGTTTGGAAATTATATGGTCTTGTATATAGATAATAATAAGGAATACACTAAATTTATGGATCTATAGGTTCAATGCAGTCCCTATCAGAATCCCAGCTGGAATTTTTTTTAAAGAATTTGACATGCTAATTCTAAAATTCATATGCCATTGCAAGGAACCCTCAATATCAAAAAGTTTTCAAAATAAACAAAACAAGAAGAAACAAAGCAGCAAAGTTGGAAGGAGTCACACTTCTGATTTCAAACTTACTACAAAGCACAATAATCAAGACAATGCAGTACTGGCATAAGGATGGACACTTAGATCAATGGAATAGAATGTAATCTGTAGATCAATGGAAAGTATTAGTATTTTAAAAATATTAAGTCTTCCCATCCTTAAACATAAGTTGCCTTTCCTTTTATTTAGATCTTTAATTTCTTTCAACAGTGTTTTGTAGTTTTCAGGTTACAAATTTTGCACTTCTTTTATGAATTTTATACCTAAGTATTTCATTCTTTTTGATGCTATGGTAAATTGAATTGTATTCTTAATTGCATTTTCAGTCCAATTATTGATTCCATATACAAACACAATTGGTTTCTGTGTGTTGACTTTGTATGCTACAACATGCTAAACGTGTATATTAATTTTAATAGTTTATTAGTTTACTCCTTACTGTCTTCTAAATATTAATACAAGATCATGTTATCTCCAAATAGAAATGTTTTCTTCTTCTTTTCCTATCTGATTGCTTTTTCTTTCCATTTCTTGCCTAATTGCCCTGTCTAGAACCTCCAGTATGATGTTGAAAAGTCGTAAGAGCAGATATTCTTGTCTTTTTCCATATTTTAGGGGGAAACATCCAATGTTTCACCACTAAGTATGATATTAGTAGTGGGATTTTTTAGATGCCCTTAATCAAGTTGAGAAACTTTTCTTCTATTCATAATTTGTTGCATGGTTGTTGCAATCAGGTGTTGGATTTTGTTGAACTATTTTCTGCATTTTTGGAGAACAGTGTGGATTGTTTTTATTCTATTGATATAGTTAGCTTACAGTATTTTTTCAGTGTTCAAATTTTATTTTTAATCTTGTGCTTAGTTTTTCTATTCATTATTCAAAGTAGAATACTGAACTCTCCAATTATTAAGGATAAATTGTCTATTTTTTCTGTAAATTCTGTCACTTTTTGCTTCATTCATTTTGGGACACAGTTGCTAATTGCATATATGTGTAATACTTTTGCATCTTTCTGATGGATTGCATCGTATTTCTGATGAAATACATCTTATCACTATAAAATACCATGCTTTACCTCTAGTAATATTTTTTATTTTAAATTCCATTTTGTCAGATAATAGTGTATCTACTCCAGCTTTATTTTTGTTGTTTACAGTATGTACGTATGTGTGTGTGTGTATATATATGTGTGTGTGTGTGTATATATATCCTTTTATTTTCAACCTACTTGTGTCTTTAAATCTAAAGTGTGTCTTCTGTAGACAGCATATAGTTGGATCTTTTTAAAAATCCAGTCTGACAATCTCTGCCTCTTGTTTGAATTGTTTAATCCTTCACATTTAATGTTATTATTGATACAATTGGATTTATGTCTGCCAACTTACCTTTTGTCTGTCATATATCTTCTGTCTTTCTTGTTCCTCTTTTGCTTTTTTCTTGCATTAAGTGAATATGTTTTGAGGAAGCATTTTAATTTCTTTAATAATTTTTTCATTATATTTTTTGGAATTTTTTTTAGTGGTTTCCCTAGGATTTGGCATATACATATTAACTTATGAGAATCTACTTCAGATTGATACTAATTAATTCTAGTGAGATATAGAAACCTCACTTCTATATAGCTCTATTCCCATTTCCCACTTTTTGTGATATTATTGTTTTCATATTATGTCTATAAATGTTATAATGTATAAATGTTATAAATCCAACCATTGTCATCATTATTACTTTATATAATTTTGTCTTGTATGGAAGATGAAAAAAGAAAAGAAAGCAAGTATGTATTTATAGAATATATTTTCCCCCACACCCCTGCTGTGTAAAGCCTCTTACATCACTCTTCATAGGGCACAGCCTTGAGTTTGTCCACAGTCAATCTGGGTTTTTGCAATTTTGTCTTTCACCACCTCTTTCCCTGGACACACCTGGCTGTTGAGCTACACTAATTGCTGGTTGATTGCTCTATTGTTTTCGACAATGCACTAGGGCATAGAATGCTCCACAGGTTCATGGTATTAAATTTGGACTTCTTTGCAGAGATAGCATTTTTTTTTTTTAAACAGTCTTGCTCTGTCGCCCAGGCTGGAGTGCAATGGTGCGATTTCGGCTCACTGAAATCTCTGCCTCCCGGGTTCAAGCAATTCTTGTGCCTCAGCCTTCCCTGTAGCTGGGATTACAGGTGTGTGCTACGACACCTGGCTAATTTTTGTATTTTTAGTAGAGACAGGGTTTAGCTATGTTGGCCAGGCTGGTCTTGAACTCCTGGCCTCAAGTGATCTGCCCGCCTCGGCCTCCCAAAGGTGCTGGGATTACAGGCATAAGCCACAGTGCCCGGCCTGCAGAGATAGTTTTTGAGGTGAGTGTTTGAGATTTGCTTTGACCTCAAGAGCACTCTACTTAGCTGTGTCTTTCCCTGGTTCTCTCTGGTAAACTAGCTGGTCTAACATTTAGTTTACATCTCTCATGAATCTACCAACTTCCTCTTAATTGCTTTTCACTACAACCTCCATTTTTATAGCACCTTAGCCTTCAGTTTCTCCACACTGTGTGACAAATGAAATCAGTTCTTTTGGAAAGAGATTTAGAGCTCTGAGTTTTAAAGCTTGACTCTCTCCCTGGCCAAAAACTCTTACACAAGGCTCTGGAGCTGGGGATGGGAATGGTGGCACAATTCTCTCTGAATAGAACTTCTGCTTTAGGAGCTGGGCACTTGACTGTGAGTGGGCATTACCTTCATGTCTTCTTAGCTTGCCCCTCCCAGGCAATTGGTGCCCCAGTATTCTCAGCACGTTATGCTGGAAGTAAAGCCACCTTCTAATGAGTGGGGCCTGGGCAGAAGGAAGCCCTCACCTCTCCGCTGCACTCTTCCAGGATTTAGCTTCTGCAATAGATAGCTCAAGGCAGGATGAGAACTTATGTCTGTCTGGGGAAAATACTGTGACCCTCCAAGTATGAGCTGGTTGGAGAGAGTGAGACCTGTGTTTTTGGCTGAACCCTTCTGGAGCGTTTTCATCATGCTGAATTGGAAGTGAGAAGACAAGAAGAGGATCTTGGTTCAAATGCCACAGATTTCATTGTTCTTATTAAGTTTAGTAGATATTCTTGAAGAAATGTTTCTTTATTTGCCCTTAGGACCATTTCCAAAGAGTTTAAATAGTTATATTCTTTCACCAGTTTCACCGAGGAGTATATCCTCAGACCTCATGTTGCCATGGCAGTGGATCATGAATCATAGCTATTTTAAATTATTGGTCTTATTGTTCCAAAATCTGTGTCGTATCCGATTCTAGTTCTGATGATTGATTTATCTATTCAGAATGTTTTATTTTCTTGCCTTTTTGTATTTTTCATAATTTGTACTTGAAAGGTGGGTTATGTGTAAGGCAGTAATCACTGAGGTAAACAGATTTTATGCTTGGGTATGTCTATATCTTTCCTTCTGCTATGTTTTAGGGAGAAGGTTTGCTTAAATCTACTCAGAAGTTAGGCTGAGTTTGCTGAGTTTGACAGTTTGCTTACCATATATATCTAGTTCTTTTCACCTGGCTTTGCATTTTCCCTTTCTACTGCTCCCTAGGAAGGATATGTCCCTTGCTGTCATTCAGTATATTTTTACTCAGTATTTGTTAGCATGGTGCTGGGGAGCAGAAAGGGCATTCTCTGATGTTCTGATCATGTCTTCATCTTTGGTAAGCACTGAGAGCCTGAGTTTTGGTGGTGTAGACTTCACATGTGTTCATGCTTCTCTTCCACATGTAAATGCTGGACCTAGCACACATGCCTGCACCCTCCCCTTCATATAGCTTTTGTTTTCCTGTTTGCTTTCCTCAGCTGCAGTGGATTTCCACCAGTAACTTCATGATATGGGTTTTGTTGTCCTTCTTCCTGCAGATTAAGACTTTTGTTTACTAAGAGAGATGGATCTAGTTGAAATGTCAGCAAGGGACTGCTATTTCCCTCTCTTAGCTGGCACTACAGGGCAAGCTTTTATGGATTCCCACTGATCTTCCCTGGGAACATCTAGTGGAGTTTCTAGAGTTAAGCCTGAAGGAGGGTGCAAGTTCCTTTATGTCTGTGACCCTCAGAGACTTCACATACTCTCATGCTGGTCCTCACTCAGTCTTCAGAAATCCATTGACAATTTCTAGCTCAATTTTTTTTAACTGACCTACGTGGCATTTGATGGTATATATTTCAGGTAAGGAAATGCTTGGTTACTACTATTTCTCTCCCCAAGTGTCTTTCTCTAGATTTGAGGATAATTGTTTGCCCTGTGACCTGAGTTCTCTGGTGGTTTTAAGAAAAAATGTTATATTGCAGTTTATCCAACTTTTTCCCCTATTGTAAATGTGTAAGTTATATTGTTTTCAGCTCTCCATTTGGAGCTGAAACTGGCAATTGTCTTGTTCATTTTACAACTTATATAGTATATTCAATTTAAGGTTCCCTTTGGTTCCCATAAACAACATATACCCTTTTGCTCTAGGAGCTTGTAGCAGACAGGCAGTTGGAGTCTATTCTTAGGAACATTTTTCTCCTTATCCCAAAAACATTTCCTAGGTTTGGGAGAGAAATTAGGGAGAAGAAAGGTTCGTATCCTCTATTACATGGTTGTGCTTAGCATCATTGGCCATTTCCTATTGGCTTGAAAGAACTGGCGATAGATTCAATAGTCTCCAGTGTTAAGAACTGCTTTCATTTTTCTGTCATAAAGCTTCGCATTTTTTCCCTGTCCTCTTTCCTTTTGGGGTATGTAGGAGACTTTTGTAGGAATGGATATAAAACTTCACAGCATAAAAAATTTAAAGCATTTGTCCTTGTCACAGCCAGCTGCAATCTGAATTTGACCAAATAATTTGGGGTTAAGGTAGGAGGGTTGAACTATTCTCTCAGAGTGCAGAGAAACAGCCCCTAGAACAGTTTGGGTAGGTATGTAGTTGGAAAAATAATCCCAACCTATTTTGCTCAGACTCTCAGAAGAGCCTTGACTGTGCCTAGACCTGTTTTGGTGTTTATGTGGTGATTTCAGTTCTGTGTTTCCTTGGAACAATGCTTCTGATGTTTGAATCAACTCAGGCCCCAAAATTTAAGGAACCCCAAGCAAAAAGACCTTGCCTGTAGGAGCATGCGTTCCTACAATTCAAAATAAAAGGGATGTTACCATTTGTCTGAATACCCACATTCACTACAGAAACAGTTTACAATTTCGGGGCCAGTATAGTCAAGCTGTGAATTGGTGTGAAAATGCCTTTCTAAGGCATTGATGATGGAGGCAGCAATGCCATTGTGAGCCTTGTTCTTTAGGTTTGTCATCCAAGGAAACATTATCACTTTTTTGACATCCTAAAGAACTGGTTGGACAATAAAGTGAAAATGAAAATGAAATCCTTGGTTTAGGAAAGGAAACTGGCCGGGCGCAGTGGCTCACGCCTGAAATCACAGCAGTTCGGGAGGCCGAGGTGGGTGGATCACTTGAGGTCAGGAGTTCAAGACCAGCCTGGCCAACATGATGAAACTCCGTCTTTACCAAAAATACAAAAATTAGCCAGGCACAGTGGCATGTGTCTGTAATCCCAGCTACTCAAGAGGCTAAGGCAGGAGAATTGCTTGAACCCAGGAGGCGGAGGTTGTAGTAAGCCGAGATTGCACCGCTCCACTCCAGCCTGGGTGACAGAACAAGACACCGTCTAAAAAAAAAAAAAAAAAAAAAAAGTAAAGGAAAGGAAACTAGTTAAGAATTATTGCATTAGAGCCAGATAAACCTGGATTTCAATCTGGCTCTTCTCTTTGTTGGTATGGAACATCGAATAAATCATTTTCCTCTTTGAGCCTCAGTTCAATCATCTATATAGAGGGCATAAATAACAGCTCTCTCAGAAATCAATCACCTATATAGAGGGCATAAATAACAGCTCTCTGAGAAATCTTGTCAGAATTAAAGGAGCTAGAAATATGAAGAACTGGGCTATGAATAGTGGTGATTTTTGTCACTTCTAGACCACAGTGTAGAAAAGTGACTGTGAGATCCTCATACACTCTCTTTCTTTGCTGCAATGGATCCCTGACAGACTATGAGGAGCAGGGCTTCTCTATCCCCAACCTTCATGAAGTTTGAGAAACCTTTGTTGTGTTAAGCCACTGAGGTTTTGGGACTCTTAGCTACCTCAGCATAAGCTTAGCCTAACCTGACAAACACAAATGGTCCTCAAAGTTAAGCAACAGAGTCACTGGGATGCTTGCTAAAATAAACATTGTATGTGGTAAAGCTATATTGGGGGTAGGCAATAGACAATGGGGGTTATGATGGTAAGAAAGAATTACTCCATTATCATATCAGAAAATCTTAATGACTAAAATAAACAAGTCAAGAAATAGCAGTTGCAAATCATATATCTGATAAGGGACTTATGTTCAGAATAAACAAAGAACTCTCACAACTCATCAATAAGAAAACAGTCCAATTTAGAAAGGGACAAAAGATCTGAATACGTATTTCTCCAAAGAAGAGATGCAAATGGCCAATAAGCACATGAAAAGATGATGAACATCATTAGCAATTAGAAAAATGCCAATTAAAACCACAATATGACGCCACTTCATATCCACTAAGATGGCTTTAATCAAAAATACAGGCAATAACGAGTGTTGTTGAGGATATGGAGAAATTGGAAACTTCCTACACTGCTGGTGGAATTGTCAAATACCATAGTTGCTTTGGAAAACAGTTTTGGAAGTTCCTCAAAATTTAAACATAGAGTTATCATTACTTCGCAATTCCACTCCTAGGTGTATACACAAGAGAATCAAAAACATATCTACACACAAAATATGTATACAAATGTTTAGTAATGATATCTGTTACAACATGAATGAACCTTGAAAATATTATGGCAAGTGAAAGAAGCAAGACACAAGAGGCCACATATCGTATTATTCAATTAATACGAAATGTCCAGGATAGGCAAATCCGTAGAGACAGAAAGGAGGTCAGTGCTTGCCAGATGCTAGGAGAACAGGGGAGTGGGCATGACATTATGTGCTAATGGATATGGGATTTCTTCTGAAGGTGATGAAAATATCCTGGAACCAGATAGTGATAATGACTTCAGAAGTCTGCTAATATACTAAACACCACTGAATTGTATACTGTAAAAGGGTGAATTTTGTGGCATGTGAATTACCTCTTAATAAAGCTGTTAAAAAGGAAATGGCAACATATACATATTATTCAGAAAGATGGAGGTAAATGCCAGAATAAAACGAAAATGTTTATGGTAGTTGCCTATGGTAGTAGCCTCTGGGGAGTGGGAATGTGGAATGGCAAGGAAAACTGCAGGTTTTAATAATTAAAAAAAACTCTTGTGCTATAGGATTTTAAAAATTTGTGTGTGTATTCATTTGATAAAAATGAAAAGGAGCTAAAAGCAAAAGATGCATGCAGACACGCACACACAAACGCACACACACATATTGTGGAGACAAATCAGAAGCGATTCTGACGCATTGGGTCTGAGGTGGGAGCCAGGATCCTGCATTTTCAACAAGATAGTTAGGTGATTTCGATGCAGGAGGTCTGCTAGTAAGTAGCAAACTTTGAAAAACACTACTATATCCAATGTTAAAATCATTTAGCAATGAATTTTGATATAATCCATCTCCCGCTGTGTTCCTTTTGAAGTGGCAAGTTTCAGTAGCTAAAGAATAACATTACAGTTTCAAGGCTATGTATTCAGTCAGGGGCAGAACTGGGCCAAGAACTGAGGCCTTCTGACTCAATAATTAATGTAGTTACTTTTTAAGCTTCTATTATGTTCTATGGAGTAACAAAATGAGTAAGATAAACTCTTTGCTTTAAAGGGCAAGTCTAGTGGGGTAATTATAATGCCTGACAAATATATTAAGATTTTACGAAGCATTTTTCCCACATTTCGTCAGTATTAACATAACTATAAAGAGAGAAGACGGACATTCTCCACAGTTCAGAAGGGAACCTATTGGGGATTCAATTCACCAGGGACTTCAGGTGAATCTAAAGGGCTTTGTTACCTTGAAGACTCTAGCCCACCAGCAACAACTGGGGCCTTAGAGGGTGCAGGACCCTGGAGAGGGGGCACAATGCCCAACAGATGTGGCATTACCCAGGGGAAAGTGGCAACTATCTCTCAGCTTCCTGTACCTATTTTTAGGCACAGGTGAGACCTCCCTCCGCAACACTCCATACCCTCACCAACTGTCTGACTTGGTACTGTTAGTGCAGGGGAGAGGGCAGGAGCCAGCCTAACATAGGTCACAGACTCAAGCGTCACATCTGATCTACTCCACAGCCCTGGGAGGTAAGTTTCAGCCCCATTTCACACAAGGCTGTCTCTTATAGCAATGAATCTGTAGTAACTGCCAGGTTGATTCCTCCAACTTCAAGTCCCAGGGGTAATGTGAGTTTTATCTATCATTTTGTGTTCTAACAAGAATTTTGTCTCCACTGCCTTAATATGATCAATGAATAGTTCTTTTGATTGCCTAGTATTTACTATTTTCCTATTTTGTTTACCTTTTATTACTTCCTTTAAAACAAAAATAGCCTGTGCTTTTTAGATTTAAAAGAAGTACAGATGAGAAAAAGAATAATTTTCAGTCCCACCACACAAAGAAATTCATGATTTCTCTTTGATCTACTCAATTGCATAGTGTCCCCCATGTATGGATATATTATGTAAACATTTTTTTTCAGAAATGGGCTGATACTGTATACATGGTTCTGAAAACTCTTTTTTATTGTTATTTTACAATGTACCATGAACATTTATTCCATGCACATGGGTGAAAATCCTCTACTAAAAGACAGAGCACTGTAGTTGGGTCAAAAGTCTGCTGGTAACAAGAGTGACACCTAAAGGAAAGTATCAGCTTAAGGTTAAAGCACATAGGCCGGCAAATGCCTGCCAGGAAAAGCAGGACTGGCAATATTCCCATCAGAGAAATCAGAATTAAAGGCCAAAGACATTAAACATATGGGACATCTTCTAAGTCTTTCTGGCCCCTACCTCCGCCCCTCACTCCCCTCACACCCCGTTGGCCCCTTGGGGCGAATGGATCCTGTACATCTCTTTGCATCCAATGAAAACCACCCATTTTCTGTTTTTTCCTTAGCTCCTCCTGAGCCCTTGACACATCTCCACATTCTCTCATCATCTCCTCACTGCTCAGATGCCTTTCTTGTAAGTCCTCCTGAGAGTCCTTGGGGGAATCGTCCGTCCCCCTGTCGGTTTTTCTTTTTGCTTTCCGGGGCACATAATCTTCAGCCGGGCGCTTTTCGGCGGCCCGCGGCTGGCTCTCTGGCTTGGCCTGGGAGGCTGGCTTGCCCTCACTTTGTGGCTTGTCCTCACCTTCAGACTTGCCCTGCTTTTCCTGGTTTCCCTCATCTTCCAGTTGTCCCTCATCACCTGGCTCTCCCTCATCCTCTCGCTTTCCCTCGCATTCTGTCTTCCCCTCCATGTCCGGCTTTTCTTCCTCGTCTGACTTTCCTTCATCTTCTGTACTTCCCTCATCCTCTGGCTTTCCCTCACTTTCTAGGTTTCTTTCATTCTCTGGCTTTCCTTCATTTTCTTTGTAGAGCTTTTCCATGTTGAGATGTTCCCTTCTTTGCCTTTCCTAGGAGACAAAAAGAAGACACAGGACACTGAGGGCTTTGGGGGTTGAACACAGGTCCTTATAGTACTTGTCTTTCTTAACTTAGGGTTTTCCTGGCCCTATCCCATCTTCCAGGTGCACTCCCACCCTTACATTCCTTCCTTTCCTTTTCACTTTACACATGTTCACACAAGCCAACCTTACAGAAACTTCCACAGGTGCTTCTCCCTACATTTAAGGAGGATGTGCTGAGAAATGCGTAGGAGCATATTGGCCCTTAAACTTTGCTCTGGCCTTGGCTATGCCTACCCATACCAATTTTAACTGGGTAGTTCCAATTTACACGGACCTGCAGAAATCCTGGGCAGTTTTCTTCTTTTTCCCCTTGCATGCAGTTGTAAGACTTATAAAACTGCAGACAGAACAGAACCATAGCCAGTTCTCAGATTTCAGGGCTACCCTTATGTCCTCAGGGGGCATCACAGATGCTACACCTCCATTCTCTTACTTTCTTATTCTCCCCTCTATCCTCACCAGCCATAGATCACCATATCCCCTTAGGGTCTTGACAGCAGTCATGTATCCCGAAACTGCAAGAGGGAGGATTGGAGGAGGGGTGGCAGGCAGTGGCCTCCCCAACTTCTGCTCTGGCTTAAGTTACTCCTACTCCCAAGGGTCCTGGTGCAGTAGCCCTCTCCCACTGACCTGCACCGATACTGCAGGTCTTTCCTTTTCTTGTCTGGGTTAGTGCCCACAACCACAGACTTGAAGACCTGCAGAAAGACAAGAAACAGGTGGGTGAATGAGAAATTGAGAAAGTGAATGACTGGTAACTTGGACACTGGTTCTTTGGGACCGTATTTGTCAAAACTTTCCGAGCTCCTATCACCTCCTCGCCTTTTCCCTTGCATTCTCTGATTCCCCCTCCGCGCGCAGCTCTTTCTTAAGAGCCTCCATTGTTCTACTTGTGGGAAATAGGCGAGAAAGATTATTTCCAAAGCGTTTCTATGTTTCTGAATCTTCCTCCCAAATTTTTATCTCACTTTTCTGGCACGAAAATGAGTAGGGTTAGAGACAAGGATGTTCTGAAGACAGAGTGTTCTGATGCACTCAGATCTCTACATTCCAAATCCCTCACCCTAGGGTAGCCAAATAGCAGAGCCCACCACTTCTCTGAAAATGGTGATGACAGAGATAGGGGGCAGGGCAGAAATGTCCAAAACACTCCTGCCACCTCCTCCCTCCCCACATACACAGAAAGCCCACATTTTTCTGCAATGCAAGAGACAAATTATTTCCAAACCCGGTAACATTTTTGGTCTTGCTGCTACCTCATCTCAATCCTCCTACTTCAGAAGCCACTCCTCCTGGATAGGGAGCTGATCCCCAGATCAAACCTCTGTCTCCCTTTTTCTACAGCACCTCCTTCCCCTGACCCCCTTAGCCCACCGTTTCCGGCTCCAAAATGGAGGGAGGTTGGAGAAAAGACACAGGGAACTCAGGCCTGGACCCGTTGCAGGGTCCGCCCTCAGCAGCCTGGGGTCACTGACTGTGCCCGCCTCCCGCTGCCTTGCAGGGATCAGGCCGTTTTCTCGCCGTTTCGTCGCTGTTCTCTTCCCTGGTCCTCCTCCTCCTCCATCAGACATCACCCGGTCGCCGGCTTCCTAGGAGTTCCCAACTGGTACCCAATTCTCAACCCTTGACCTCTCTCGAGTTCCGCCCCCCTCCCCCCTCCCCGCCCCGCACCAAGCCCTCCATTTCTTGCACCAAATGAGTGAGCATCGGGAAAGGAGTGGAGAGAATCCAGTCCTGGACCCGCTCTGGTCTTTGCCCTCTGCCATCCCAACCACAGGGATCCACAGGCTGTGGATGGGTTCGTAGCCATCTCGGGGAAATGACTCTTTCTCACATTTCCTTCTGCCAGAAGCCTGCACTTCTCCAGGGAAATAAAAGCTGGTACCCATACCTCTTGCCCAACACAAAAAAATTTCTGCGCCAAAATGAATGGGGGTGGAACAGGGCGGTATCTAGAAAGCAGATCCGATCCTCTGTAGCCTATGTGCATTACCATCCCTACCTCAGGGGTCCCCGGCTTGTACCGACCTGCAGGGCTGTAGGGCAGTTGCCTTCTCTGTCCTTCAGTCTGAAGTCTGCCTTCCTCCACGGAAACAGGGATCTGGTACCTGGAGGAGAGGGACTTCTGCACACGTCGGCTTCAGATCACGTGAGAAAAACGTCACCAGTGGGCTCGGGTCCCTAGTTCCCCTCCCACCCGCAGAAAGTGCGTCAGGAGCCAGCCCACTTCTTCCCTTCACTAGTCTGTCCGTCTGAGCGCCCTCAGCACCCCCAACCCCGGCTTAGCTCTCTCTCTCGCCCCACAGCACGGGGCCCTGTCACTCATTTTGGTCTTTGCTAATCCCACAGGTCAAATGTGGCCCTTTCTCTGTGTAGTATGTATTTATTCTTCCGTGGTTATCAGGGAGGGACCGCACCTTCTTCTAGAGCTATTGGCCATTGGTACATCTCAGAGGAATTTTTTTTCTTTCTCTCCTTTTATCCGAAGGCACCTACTCGATCTAATTCTACACGCAGCCACTGATGTTCATTCTGCCTGTGAACCAGACCTTCTCATAATGGGTACAAGGTGGATTGTCAAGTAGGGACACAAGTAGTTAAAATAGGGGTTTTATTTTTTTAAATTTTTTTGATCTTATTTAATTCACTCTCCTCAGCATGGGTTATTCTTATAAGCACAAAATTAAATAAAGCTATTTCATTTATGAGAAAGTGTTTAAGAGAGAGAAAAACTTAAAAGATTTCAAAATTTTCTACTCAGAAGAGAGACCAAATTAGGTTCATAATATTAACTTTTGCCATATACACAAGGAATTCAATTGGCAACAAGCAAAATATACATTAGAAATTTTTCATAAATAGCTGGTTCTCTCACGTTCTATTTAACACACACACACACACACACACACACACACACACACACACACACACACATTTAATGTTCCCAAACGATTACTGAGTGCTAAATAGACTTGCTGGAATCTGATGGTTGAAAGAAAATTCAAAAATGTCTCTTTAAAAAATTTGGCTCATGGCTATTTTCATTCAAATGTTTAGCTCTAGGGGAAGGGAAGAGCTGTGAGACCAAGGCTGCAGGAGATGTGAAGGATGCAGAAATGGTCCTATCCTCCCTGCCCTGCCAAGATCAGGGGAAGGTGTTCTTCTCCACCCCCTCATATTCTAGAATTTCTCATCCCCTGCATTTCTCATCCCCAGGCACATGACTCTGTTGCTCAAGAGTCATCTGTCCAAGAATATAACTGGACAGGTGACCAAGGTGGTGATATGAGTAAATGCCTTTGGCTCCTTCCCTCCTCCCTCCCCCTAATTCCCACAGGGATAACCCAGCCCCAGCACAGAGTGGAGCATTGTTCATGCCTCTAGAAAACTAGAACAGATCTCTTCTAGACCCTTGCAGCTGAGGGTGTTCATGAGGCCTGAAGTGATTGCTGGGGTAGAGTCCCCTGCAACCTGCCTGCTCTCTGCCCTTATTCACAGTGCCTGAGTGGAAGCCTCCCTAGACCCTGTCTGTTACCTCCCGCCTAGCCTAAAAAGTGCAGTCTGGCGGGCCTCTCACCCCCAAACTCTGTATCTTCAGGGAACCCAGAGGGAGCCTAACCTTGCTGCAGGATTGCTGCCTGCCAGTCCATACTAACCTATGACTGTCTCAGCAAATTTAGGCCAGTGTCTAAGGAGTTCTGCCATGCTGTCCATATTGACCTAGACCAAGTATTCCCAATTGATGAAGTCTGTGGGCCACCTGAAAGGGCATGTAAAATTGCATATGTTTAGGAAGTAGTGGAGTATGCACACTCTTGTGAGAAGAAGATCTGTACCCTAGGAGCCTGAATAGTGTTTTGTTCTATTTGCACACCCCATTCTGTTTATCCATCATATGTTGATGAATATTTAGGCATTTTCATCTTTTAGCTGTTATAAATAATGCTGCCATATACAATCACGTATAAGTTTTTGTGTGGATGTATGTTTTTATTTTATATAAGCAAGTTGACATCATGAAAAAGAGGAAACCATAAAGGACAGAAAGAAGAAGCTACTTGACAAAGAGATAAGAAGGGGAAGACACAAATAGCAGCTGAGCCATGTTAAAGAGAGCTCATCTATTCCTTGGGTTCAGGCATTATTAAACTATGAATCCCCTAAAATTATGTTCAAACTTGTGTGTGTGTGTGTGTGTGTGTGTGTGTGTGTGGTCGTGGTTTCACTCTGTTGTCCAGACTAGAGTCCAGTGGTGCATTTATAGTTCACTGTAGCCTTCAACTCCTGGGCTAAAGGGATCTTCTCACCTCAGCCTTCTGAGTAACTGGGA
This sequence comes from Homo sapiens, assembly GCF_000001405.40. Lineage (NCBI taxonomy): Eukaryota > Metazoa > Chordata > Mammalia > Primates > Hominidae > Homo > Homo sapiens. The sequence goes on from NC_000023.11 coordinate 103,278,975, forward strand.
CTACTGGTGCACGCCACAACTCCCAGCTAATTTCTTTAAATTTTTGTACAGACAGTGTCTCCCTACATTGCCCAGGTTGGTCTCCAATTCTTGACCTCAAGTGAGCCCCCTGCCTCAGCCTCCCGAAGCACTGGGATTACAGGCATGAGCTGCCGCACCCAGGCTGGATATATACATTTTTATTGTATGTGCACATTTGCTGAGAATAGGTTCCGTTGCTCTCATTAGATGTTCAAAGGGGTATGTAATATTAAAAAGATGAAGGCCATTGACCCAAAGAATATACTTCTGTATACATTTTTTTCAAATCGTGCTATCTTTATTCTCTATTTAAAAGAGAAATTCACATAACATAGAATTAACCATTTTAAAGTGTACAGTTCAGTGACATGTATAGTACACTCAAAATATTGTGTAACCATCCCCTCTATTTAGTTCCAAAACAGTTTCATCAATCTGAAAAGAGACCCCATACCCATTAAGCAGTCATTCTCAATTCCCTTTTCCCCCTAGTCCCTAGCAATGACTTATCTGCTTTCCATCTTTATGAACTTACCTATTCTAGATATTTCCCATAAATGGAATTGTACAATATGTGACCTTTTGTGTCTGGCTTCTTTCACTTAGCATAATGTTTTCAAGGTTCATCTACATTGTAGCATGTGCAATACTTCATTCCTTTTTATGAATTAATATTTCATTTTATGTGCATACCACACTCTGTTTATCCATTTGTATGTTGATAGATATTTGGATTGTTTTTGCCTTTTGGCTGTTATAAATAATGCTACCATAAACAATTATGTATAAGTTTTTGTGTGGGTGTATGTCTTTACTTCTCTTGCATATATAGCTAGGAGTGTAATCATTGGGTCATATGGTAATTCTATGTTTAAATTTTTGAGAAACCGCCAAACTGTGTTCCACAGTAACTGCAACATTTTGCATTCCTATCAGCAAGACTCCAATTTTACCATATCCTTGCAAACAATTGTTAATTTCTATTTTTTATGTTTATCATCCTAGTGGGAGAGAAGTGGTTTTGATTTGCATTTTCTTAATGACCCATGATGTTGAGTATCTTTTCTTGGGTTTGTTGGATATTCGTATATTTCCTTTGGAGAAATATCTATTCAAGTGCTTTGCCAATTTTTATTTTTTATTTTTTAAATTTTATGTTAGGTTTGGGGACACATGTGCAGGTTTGTTTCATAGGTAAATTGCATGTCACAGGGGCTTGGTATACACTTTATTTCATCAGCCAAATAATAATCATAGTACCTAATATGTAGTTTTTTAATCCTCATCCTCCTCCCATCCTCCACCCTCAAGTAGGTCCCAATATCTATTGTTCCCTTCTTTGTGTTCAGGAGTTCTCATCATTTAGCTCCCACTTGTAAGTGAGAACATCTGGTATTTGGTTTTCTGTTCCTGCATTAGTTTGCTGAGGATAATAGCCTCCAGCTCCATCCATATTCCTGCAAAATACATGATCTTGTTCTTTTTTTATGGTTGCATAGTATTCCGTGATGTATATGTACTATATTTTCTTTATCCAATCTGTCATTGATGGACATTTAGGTTGATTCCATGTCTTTGCTATTGTGAATAGTGCTGCAGTGAACATTCGTGTGTATATGCCTTTATGGTAGAATGATTTACATTCCTCTGGGTGTATACCCAGTAATGGAATTGCTGGGTCAAATGGTAGTTCTGTTTTTAACTCTTACGGGAATCGACACACTGCTTTCCACAGTGATATTGAGCTTGCATGTATGTCTTCTTTTGAAGTGTCTGTTCATGTCCTTTGCCCACTTTTTAATGGGGTTGTTTTTCCTCTTGCAAATTTGTTTAAGTCCCTTATACTTGCTCGATATTAGACCTTTGTCAGATGCATAGTTTGCTAATATTTTCTCCCATTCTGTAGGTTGTCTGTTTATTCTGTTGATAGTTTCTTTTGCCATACACAAGCTCCTATGTTTAATTAAATCTCGTTTGTCAATTTTTGCTCTTGATGCAATTGCTTTTGGTGTCTTTGTCATGACACCTGTGCCCATTTCTATGTCCAGGATGGTGTTGTCTAGGTTGTCTTCCAGGGTTTTTATAGTTTTGGGTTTTACATTTAAGTCTTTAATCCATCTTGAGTTGATTTTTGTATATGTTGTAAGGAAGCAGGGATCCAGTCTCAATCTTCTGCATATCCTTACCCATTTTTTAATTAGGTTGTTTGGCTTTTTGTTGTTGAGTTGTAATAGTTCTTATATATTCTGGATATTAGTTCCTTATTTGATATATGGTTTGTAGATATTTCCTCCCATTCTATAGGTTCTCTTTCACTTTCTTAATAGTGTCCTTTTATGCACAAAAGTTTTTCATTTTGAAGAAGTCCAATTCATCTATTTTTCTTTTGTTGTTCATGGTTTTGGTGTCATATCTAAAAATTTATTGCCAAATCCAAGGTCATGAAGATTTACCCCTTTGCTTTCTTCTAAGGGTTTCATAGTTTTAGCTCTTGCATTTAGGTTTTTGATTCATTTTGAGTTAATTTTTATATGGTGTAATTTAGGGTTGTTTTATAAGATTTTAAGATTATTTTGATGGCAGGACACAACACACGGTCACTTGGAAAAATGAAAGGAAGAACTTTTGTTACTTATGGCTCCAAACTAGAGAAGGCTACCAGGCAAGACCACACAGGGGGTTGCATCTGGGTAACAGCAAATTGGAGCTGTAAGGAGCAGCTTACTTATGGCAAGTGGGGTGGGATTAGCTAGGTTTCACTGGCTCCCTGAGTAATGGCTAACTTGAATAATTTCTCAGGCTCCAGGGTATAAGGGCTGTCCCTAGCTGTCTATACCTGGCCCCTAGGTGGATAGGGCTGGTCTGAAGCGGCCCAAAGCGTGAACACCTGATAAGTGAAGTGGATAGAGTGTGGAGTTGATCAGCAGCCCAAGAAGGGGAACTGACAGGCCTCTAACCAGGGCCTCAACAATAGGCCACGACAGCATTAATATAAAAAATACATTACAATTTACTCCTTGATGTCTTGACATCCATTTTGAGCTCGATTATTTAGAGCATTTGATTGGCCTGAAGTGTAGAGGAGATATTCAGAGACTAGGGCAAAAGTTGCCCTAAACAGCATAAAAAACATTTTATTATGAAAGTAAACAGGAGGAAAATATGTGGAAGTATTAAGAAGTTTTTGTCAGCCAGTCATAACAAAGTTTCCTATTTATATGCCATTAGGCAAGAACATAGATCTGAAATTTTCAGGATCCCTAACAACATCTTTAGTGGCATTGTAAAGTGGGCTTTAAACATAAATTATATATATTTTATTATAATAATATTTTGGTGTATTAATTAGGTCAAGGTGACAGGGCCAGTAATGTTGTTGGAGGATATGAATTAATAGTTTAGTAAAATATATGTAAAGGTTAGTGATATTGTTTGTAAAAGGCATAGATGATCATGGTTGAAAATATAGGGCAAAATATAGTGATAGAAAGTTGGATGGTGGAGGGGTGGAGCCAAGATGGCCGAATAGGAACAGCTCCAGTCTACAGCTCCCAGCATGAGCGACGCAGAAGACAAATAGACAAATGATTTCTGCATTTCCAACTGAGGTACTGGGTGCATCTCACTGGGGATCGTCAGACAGTGGGTGCAGGACAGTGGGTGCAGTGCACCGAGCCTGAGCCAAAGCAGGGCGAGGCATCGCCTCACCAGGGAAGCACAAGGGGTCGGGGAATTCCCTTTCCTAGCCAAGGAAAGGGGTGACAGACAGCACCTGGAAAATCGGGTCACTCCAACCCTAATACTGCCCTTTTCCGATGGTCTTAGCAAACGGCACACCAGGAGATTATATCCCATGCGTGGCTTGGAGTATCCTACGCCCACGGAGCCTCGCTCATTGCTAGCACAGCAGTCTGAGATCGAACTGCAAGGTGGCAGCGAGGCTGGGGGAGGGGCACCCGCCATTGCCAAGGCTTGAGTAGGTAAACAAAGCAGCCAGGAAGCTCGAACTGGGTGGAGCCCACCGCAGCACAAGGAGGCCTGCCTGCCTCTGTAGACTCCACCTCTGGGGGCAGGGCATAGACAAACAAAAGGCAGCAGAAACCTCTGAAGACTTAAATGTCCGTGTCTGACAGCTTTGAAGAGAGTAGGGGGTTCTCCCAGCACACAGCTTGAGACCTGAGAACGGACAGACTGCCTCCTCAAGTGGGTCCCTGACCTTTGAGTAGCCTAACTGGGAGGCACCCCCCAGTAGGCGCGGACTGACATCTCACACCGCCGGGTACTCCTCTGAGACAAAACTTCCAGAGGAATGATCGGGCAGCAACATTTGCTGTTCACCAATATCCACTGTTCTGCAGCCTCCGTGGCTGATACCCAGGCAAACAGGGTCTGGAGTGGACCTCTGGCAAACTCCAACAGACCTGCAGCTGAGGGTCCTGACTGTTAGAAGGAAAACTAACAAACAGAAAGGACATCCACACCAAAACCCCATCTGTACATCACCATCATCAAAGACCAAAGGTAGATAAAACCACAAAGATGGGGAAAAAACAGAGCAGAAAAACTGAAAAATTTAAAAATCAGAGCGCCTCTCCTCCTCCAAAGGAACGCAGCTCCTCACCAGCAACAGAACAAAGCTGGATGGAGCATGACTTTGACGAGTTCAGAGAAGAAGGCTTCAGATGATCAAACTACTCTGAGCTAAAGGAGGAAGTTTGAACCCATGGCAAAGAAGTTAAAAACCTTGAAAAAAGATTAGACGAATGGCTAACTAGAATAACCAATGCAGAGGAGTCCTTAAAGGACCTGATGGAGCTGAAAACCACAGCACAAGAAATACGTGATGAATGCACAAGCCTCAGTAGCAGATTCGATCAACTGGAAGAAAGGGTATCAGTGATGGAAGATCAAATGAATGAAATGAAGCAAGAAGAGAAGTTTAGAGAAGAAAGAATAAAAAGAAATGAACATAGCCTCCAAGAAATATAGGACTATGTGAAAAGACCAAATCTATGTCTGATTGGTGTACCTGAAAGTGACGGGGAGAATGGAACCAAGTTGGAAAACACTCTGCAGGATATTATCCAGGAGAACTTCCCCAATCTAGCAAGGCAGGCCAACATTCAAATTCAGGAAATACAGAGGACGCCACAAAGATACTCCTGGAGAAGAGCAACTCCAAGACACATAATTACCAGATTCACCAAAGTTGAAATGAAGGAAAAAATGTTAAGGGCAACCAGAGAGAAAGGTCGGGTTACCCACAAAGGGAAGCCCATCAGACTAACAGCTGATCTCTCGGCAGAAACTCTACAAGCCAGAAGAGAGTCAGGGCCAATATTCAACATTCTTAAAGAAAAGAATTTTCAACCCAGAATTTCATATCCAGCCAAACTAAGCTTCATAAGTGAAGGAGAAATAAAATACTTTACAGACAAGCAAATGCTGAGAGATTTTGTCACCACCAGGTCTGCCTTAAAGAGCTCCTGAAGGAAGCACTAAACATGGAGAGGAAGAACCTGTACCAGCCACTACAAAAACATGCCAAATTGTAAAGGCCATTGAGGCTAGGAAGAAACTGCATCAACTAACAAGCAAAATAACCAGCTAACATTATAATGACAGGATCAAATTCACACATAACAATACTAACCTTAAATGTAAATGGGCTAAATGCTCCAATTAAAAGACACAGACTGGAAAATTGGATAAAGAGTCAAGACCCATTGGTGTGCTGTGTTCAGGAAACCCATCTCACGTGCAGAGACACACAGAGGCTCAAAATAAAGGGATGGGGGAATATCTAACAAGCAAATGGAAAACAAAAAAAGGCAGGGGTTGCAATCCTAGTCTCTGATAAAACAGACTTTAAACCAACAGAGATCAAAAGAGACAAAGAAGGCCATTACATAATGGTAAAGGGATCAATTCAACAAGAAGAGCTAACTATCCTAAATATATATGCACCCAATACAGGAGCACCCAGATTCATAAAGCAAGTCCTTAGTGACCTACAAAGAGACTTAGACTCTCACACAATAATAATGGGAGACTTTAACACCCCCTGTCAACATTAGACAGATCAACGAGACAGAAAGTTAACAAGGATATCCAGGAATTGAACTCAGCTCTGCACCAAGAAGACCTAATAGACATCTACAGAACTCTCCACCCCAAATCAACAGAATATACATTTTTTTCAGCACCACACCACACCTATTCCAAAATTGACCACATAGTTGGAAGTAAAGCACTCCTCAGCAAATGGAAAAGAACAGAAATTACAGCAAACTGTCTCTCAGACCACAGTGCAATCAAACTAGAACTCAGGATTAAGAAACTCACTCAAAACTGGTCAGCTACATGGAAACTGAACAACCTGCTCCTGAATGACTGCTGGGTACATAAGGAAATGAAAGCAGAAATAAAGATGTTCTTTGAAACCAATGAGAACAAAGACACAACATACCAGAATCTCTGGGACACATTCAAAGCAGTGTGTAGAGGGAAATTTATAGCACTAAATGCCCACAAGAGAAAGCAGGAAAGATCTAAAATTGACACCCTAACATCACAATTAAAAGAACTAGAGAAGCAAGAGCAAACACATTCAAAAGCTAGCAGAAGGCAAGAAATAACTAAGATCAGAGCAGAACAGAAGGAAATAGAGACACAAAAAACCCTTCAAAAAATCAATGAATCCAGGAGCTGGTTTTTTGAAAAGATCAACAAAATTGATAGACCGCTAGCAAGATTAATGAAGAAAAGAGAGAAGAATCAAATAGATGCAATAAAAAATGATAAAGGGGATATCACCACCAATCCCACAGAAATACAAACTACCATCAGAGAATACTATAAACACCTCTATGCAAATAAACTAGAAAATCTGGAAGAAATGGATAAATTCCTCGACACACTCTCCCAAGACTAAACCAGGAAGAAGTTGAATCTCTGACTAGACCAATAACAGGCTCTGAAATTGAGGCAATAATTAATACCTTACCAACCAAAAAAAGTCCAGGACCACATGGATTCACAGCCGAATTCTACCAGAGGTACAAGGAGGAGCTGGTACCATTCCTTCTGAAACTATTCCAATCAATAGAAAAAGAGGGAATCCTCCCTAACTCATTGTATGAGGCCAGCATCATCCTGATACCAAAGCCTGGCAGAGACACAACAAAAAAAGAGAATTTTAGACCAATATCCCTGATGAACATCGACGCAAAAATCCTCAATAAAATACTGGCAAACTGTATCCAGCGGCACATCAAAAAGCTTATCCACCATGAACAAGTGGGCTTCATCCCTGGGATGCAAGGCTGGTTCAACATACACAAATCAATAAATGTAATCCAGCATATAAACAGAACCAATGACAAAAACCACATGATTATCTCAATAGAGGCAGAAAAGGCCTTTGACAAAATTCAACAGCCCTTCATGCTAAAAACTCTCAATAAATTAGGTATTGATGGGACGTATTTCAAAATAATAAGAGCTATCTATGACAAACCCACAGCCAATATCATACTGAATGGGCAAAAACTGGAAGCATTCCCTTTGAAAACTGGCACAAGACAGGGATGCCCTCTCTCACCACTCCTATTCAACATAGTGTTGGAAGTTCTGGCCAGGGCAATCAGGCAGGAGAAAGAAATAAAAGGTATTCGATTAGGAAAGAGGAAGTCAAATTGTCCCTGTTTGCAGATGACATGATTGTATATCTAGAAAACCCCATTGTCTCAGCCCAAAATCTCCTTAAGCTGATAAGCAACTTCAGCAAAGTCTCAGGATACAAAATCAATGTACAAAAATCACAAGCATTCTTATACACCAATAACAGACAAACAGAGAGCCAAATCATGAGTGAACTCCCATTCACAATTGCTTCAAAGAGAATAAAATACCTAGGAATTCAACTTACAAGGGACGTGAAGGACCTCTTCAAGGAGAACTACAAACCACTGCTCAATGAAATAAAAGAGGATACAAACAAATGGAAGAACATTCCATGCTCATGGGTAGGAAGAATCAATATCATGAAAATGGCCATACTGCCCAAGGTAATTTACAGATTCAATGCCATCCCCATCAAGCTACCAATGACTTTCTTCACAGAATTGGAAAAAACTACTTTAAAGTTCATATGGAACCAAAAAAGAGCCCGCATCGCCAAGTCAATCCTAAGCCAAAAGAACAAAGCTGGAGGCATCACGCTACCTGACTTCAAACTATACTACAAGGCTACAGTAACCAAAACAGCATGGTACTGGTACCAAAACAAAGATATAGACCAATGGAACAGAACAGAGCCCTCAGAAATAATGTCACATATCTACAACTATCCGATCTTTGACAAACCTGACAAAAACAAGAAATGGGGAAACAATTCCCTATTTAATAAATGGTGCTGGGAAAACTGGCTAGCCATATGTAGAAAGCTGAAACTAGATCCCTTCCTTACACCTTATACTAAAATTAATTCAAGATGGATTAAAGACTTACATGTTAGACCTAAAACCATAAAAACCCTAGAAGAAAACCTAAGCAATACCATTCAGGACATAGGCATGGGCAAGGACTTCATGTCTAAAACACCAAAAGCAATGGCAACAAAAGCCAAAATTGACCAATGGGATCTAATTAAACTAAAGAGCTTCTGCACAGCAAAGGAAACTACCATCAGAGTGAACAGGCAACCTACAGAATGGGAGAAAATTTTTGCAACCCACTCATCTGACAAAGGGCTACTGTCCAGAATCTACAATGAACTCAAACAAATTTACAAGAAAAAAACAGACAACCCCATCAACAAGTGGGCGAAGGACATGAACAGACACTTCTCAAAAGAAGACATTTATGCAGCCAAAAGACACATGAAAAAATGCTCATCATCACTGGCCATCAGAGAAATGCAAATCAAAACCACAATGAGATACCATCTCACACCAGTTAGAATGGCAATCATTAAAAAGTCAGGAAACAACAGGTGCTGGAGAGGATGTGGAGAAATAGGAACACTTTTACACTGTTGGTGGGACTGTAAACTAGTTCAACCATTGTGGAGGTCAGTGTGGTGATTCCTCAGGGATCTAGAACTAGAAATACCATTTGACCCAGCCATCCCATTACTGGGTATATACCCAAAGGATTATAAATCATGCTGCTATAAAGACACATGCACACGTATGTTTATTGCAGCACTATTCACAATAGCAAAGACTTGGAACCATCCAAAATGTCCAACAATGATAGACTAGATTAAGAAAACGTGGCACATATACACCATGGAATACTATGCAGCCATAAAAAATGATGAGTTCAAGTCCTTTGTAGGGACATGGATGAAGCTGGAAACCCTCATTCTGAGGAAACTATCGCAAGGACAAAAAACCAAACACCGCATGTTCTCACTCATAGGTGGGAATTGAACAATGAGAACACATGGACACAGGAAGGGGAACATCACACACTGGGGCCTGTTGTGGGTTGGGGGGAGGGGAGAGGGATAGCATTAGGAGATACACCTAATGTTAAATGACGAGTTAATGGGTGCAGCACACCAACATGGCACATGTATATATATATGTAACAAACCTGCACGTTGTGCACATGTACCCTAAAACTTAAAGTGTAATTAAAAAAATAAATAAATAAAAATAAATAAAATTTTTGTTTGGATCAAAAAAAAAAAAGTTGGACGGGGGAGGCCCAGTGCTCCTGCCATAATCCCAGCACTTTGGGAGGCCAAGGCAGGAGGATCACTTGAGGCCAGGAGTTCAAGACCAGCCTGAGCAACATAGCAAGACACCATCTCTACAAAAATTTTAAAACTTTACTGAATTCATTTGTCAGTTCCAGGAGCCTTTTGGCAGAGTCTTTTGGGTTTTCTATGTATAGCATCATATAGATGGCAAAAGAGATAGTTTGACTTCTTCTTTTCCTATTCGGATACCTTTTATTTCTTTCTCCTGCCTGATTGCTCTGGCTAGGACTTCCAGTATTATGTTGAATAGGAGTGGTGAAAGTAGGCATACTTATCTTAGTCCAGTACTCAAAGAGAATAGTTCCAGCTTTTGCTCATTCAGTATGATTTTCTTTGCTCATTTTTGAATTAGATTACCTGCTTTTTGTTGTTATTTAGTTGGAGGAGTTCTTAATATATTCTGGATATTAACCCTTTATCAGATATAAGATTTGTAAATATTTTCTTTTATTTTGTGCATTGCCTTTATGCCATGTTGATAGCGTCTTTTAATGCACAAATGTTTTTAATTTTAGAGAAGTCCGATTTATCTATTTTTTGTTGCTGCCTGCGTTTTGGGTGGCATATCCAAGAAATCATTGCCAAATTTAATGCCATGAAGTTTTCTTCCTGTATTTCCTTTAAAGATTTCTACACTTTTAGCTCTTACATTTAGGTCTTTGATCCATTTTGAGTTATTTTTTGTATATGGTGAAAGGCAATGGTCCAACTTCATGTTTTTGCATGTGGATATTTAGAGGTTTTTTTTTTTTAAACCACCGTTTGTTGAAGAGACTGCCCTTTCCTCATTGAATGGTCTTAGCACCTTTGTCAAAAATCATTTGACCATATATGTGAGGGTTAATTTCTGTCCTCTCAGTTCTACTCCATTGGTCTTTATGTTTGTCTTTCTGCCAGTACCACCCACACTGTTTTGATTACTGCAAGTCTTATGGACTGAATGTTTTTGTTCACCCAGAATTCATATATTGAAGCTCTAATCCCCAGTGTGGCTGTATTTGGAGTAAGAAGGCAATTAATTGGAAATTAGGTCATAAGGGTGGGGCCTTGATCCTATAGAATTAGTGCCCTTATAAGAAGAAGCATGAAAGCATTCTCACATGTCCTCTCTCCTCCCCCCAGCCCCATCCAGCATGCACACAAAGAGGAGGTCCTGTGAGCACACAGCAAGAAGGCAGCCATCTGCAGGACAAAGCGAGAACCCTCACCAAACACCAAGTTTGCTTGCACCTTGATGTTGGACTTCCAGTCTTCAGAACTGTAATAAAATAAATTTCTGTTGTTTAGGCCACCCAGTCCATGGTATTTTGCTATGGTAGCCCAAGCAGACAAATACAGTAGCTTTGTAGTAATTTTTGAATTCAGGAAGTGTAAGACTTCCAACTTTGTTCTTTTTCAAGATTATTTTGATTATTCACGCTCTTTTAGATTGATTCTATATTAATTTTAGGAAATATTATTCTATTTCTTAAAAAAGTATTTGATTTTTGGTAAGGATTGCACTGAATCTGTGTATCATTTTGAGTAGTATTTACATCCTAACAGTATTAAAATATTCCTATTAGATCCCACCTCCAACAACACTTGAAATCAAATTTCAACATGAGATTCATTGGGGTCAAACAAACCAAACTACATCACCTAGTATGTTGATTTTTTTAAATCAAGAACGTGTGTTGAATTTTGCCAAATGCTTATCCTGCATGAATTTAGATGATTATGTGTTTTTTCTTCATTCTGTTAATGTGATATATTACATCAATTGGTTTTCATATGTTGAACAATCCTTGAACCACAGAATAAAGCCCACGTTGTCATAGTGTGTAATCCTTTTAATATGCTACTTAATTTGATTTACTAGTATTTTGTTGAGTATTGTTGCATCAATATTCACATGGGATATTGGTATGTATTTTTCTTTTCTCGTTTTGCCTTCACCAGGCTTTGATATCAGGGTAATGCTAGCCTGATAGGGTGAATTAGGAAGTATTCCTTCTTCTTCAATTTTTTGGAAGCATTTGAGAAGGATTGGTGTTAATTATTCTTCAAATGTTTGGTAGAATTTACCAGTGAAGACTTTGGTCCAAATCTTCCTTGTTGGAAGGTTTTTGATTACTGATTCAGTATCTGTATTAGTTATAGATCTATTCACATTTTCTATTTCTTTATGATTTATTCTTGGTAGGCTTTGCATTTCTAGGAATTTTTCATTTCATCCAGGTTATCCAATTTTTTGGTGTACAATTATTCATAGTACTCTTATTATTCTTATCATTTCTATAAATTCAACAGTAATGCTCCACCTTCCATTCTGATTTTAGTAATTTGAATCTTCTTTTTCTTAGTCAACCTAGCTACACATTGTCAATTTTCTTGATCTTTTCTAAGAAGTAACTCTTGGTTTGGTTTATTTTCTCTATTGTTTTTCTAATCTATTTTATTTATATCTGCTCTAATCTTATTTCCTTCTTTATGCTAACTTTGACTTTAGATTATTCTTTTTTTTTTCTATTTCCTTAAGTTGTAAGGTTAGTTTGCTAACTTGAGATCTTGCAGGTATTTTGTAAGTCAGGGGGCTTTGTGGATGCACAAGTAGCAAAAGTGATTCAGTATCCAAAATACTGTTGTAATTGGAGTAAAGTCCTAGAATTTGACTGACACAAATAAAGCCCTAATTGAGGATGGCTAAATCTCAAAGCTCCCAACAGTCCAAGGTTTTGCCCAGATGGTTGATGAGAGAGTTTCTGCTGTAAAAAGACTTTAAATCATATGGCTTGATTTGGGAGCATGTTGTTAATATGGTGTCAGGTTGTTTGCCAATTAAAATATCTTCGGCCAGGGTTGGAATTTTAGCACTAGTCTGTAGTCAGTCCCTACCGTTTAACCAATGACTGTGGAATCTTTGCCTCAGTTGTCAGTTCAGTTGGTGAAGGAAAAGTCAGTGAGGTGTTTGGGCTGTAGGGCTTCTATTAGCCAATCTTGATGGCATGTGGGCCTCAGTATTTGCCAGGTTTAGTTGAAACGATGAATTATTTTCAGGTTTTGGCCTCTGGACTGCAAACCATCAAAAGCATCCAGACCAATAGTAATAAGATCAATATCCAATAAAAAGGTGTGTAGCTGTATATGACAGACTTTTGTTTCTTGATGTTGATTCTCTCCTCCCCTCACGTGCATTATTATCAAGGAGGTGTTGTCTGGTTTTGCCATTATGAGATTTGGTGTTGATTCCATTACCCTCTCCAAATGTGATTTTCATTTGCTAAGAGGAGTTTTCTACCTCCTTTCTTGGTAGTCCACACTGTCTGTGGGACTCTTGAGCAATGTTTGTTGTTAGCTCTTGAGCACTAATTTTAATTTTCTGGATGGGAGCAGAGGTAGATCTCAGATTAATTATCCATGCCTTATAACCCAAATGTTAATAATGGTTTTTGGGTGGTAGAAGTTTAGTCACAAATGGTTCTCATATAAGATGGGCAAGGGCCTGACCTACGAGACAATCTATGGTTAACAGATCTTAGGAGAGCATGCACCCTTGACCTGGCCTCCAGCACTTATGGGATGGTGCAGGATTAAAAATCCATAAAGATAGGAGGAGACAATATTAAAGGGCCGCACATATATAATGAGTTTTCATAAGCATGGAGGTGACACATATCCCTCTTTGAATACACGAAAGGGTGATGAAAAGGTTTTCTTTTTTTAATGTTGTGAGGTATGAGATGGCCAAAGACCTTAAATTAGGAGAGATTAAGGCCTGGAGTAACAGCAAAACCCACTTAGTGGTCCATATACCAGACTGGAGTTTTAAAATGAGTTGTTTGTGGAAACCATTAGATCTCTTCTGATAAAACTGGCTAGCTGGGACCCATCAGGGAGTCAAAAGTTCTATTGAATGCCTTTTCCAAGAGCCCAGCATTATGTATTTTGAGATACAAAATGTGTACTTTGGTTACTATCAGAAATGTCTGAAACTCCAAAGAAGATAAGGAGTGCCCTGGTGAGACCTTGTATTGTGGCCTTAGTATATGTAGAGACATGTGGGATTTTGATGTGTCTATGAGGCTAGAGATTCCCAAAGTTCTTTACCTTTAAGGGAAAACCTCTTGGGCAATGGCCCAAGAGTTTGTAGAAATGTCCTGATCATTTGCTAACCAGGGCATCCAGTGCTAATATGACTGCCTGTAGTTTCACCAATTGTGCTGATCCTTGGTTCACATTCTTTGTCAGGAAATTCCTGGCTAAGGGATGAAAAGCAGACCCATTCCACTGAGCTCCATAACTTATGATAGTGGCAACGCCTCCCCTGTAGTCTATTAACTCCCATTGTTTTTCATTCAGTTAATCCTAAGGGGGTCGCCAGGTAGCTAAGGGGTTTGGAGAGGGGTGACCTCCATGAACATGGCATCTGGCAAGGGACTGAGGACAGGGAATACCATCCCCTCCTGCAGGTGGAATATATCAGAGGACCCAGGTTTGGCTCTGTCCTGTATCAAGGAGGCCTCCATCACTGTGCCAAGCTTGCGATGTGCTGTGTCCATTATCCAGGGCATATTGAGCAACTGGGTACAAAAGATCACAGGCTCAGGGTCTATGAGAGCCTCTGTTTTCAGAGAAGCCTGGTATATGCCCAGCAATTTTTACTCTCATGGTGTCTAGCACAGAGCTGAGAAAGGCAGTTTTTCATATCAGAAGGCTATGGGCAATTTATGGCCATTATAGGTAGTTCAGAGATACCAGGAGGCATGAGAAGAAGTTGAAGTTGGTGAAATCTTTCCAGTGAAGGAGTCTCTGAGGGCATTAATGGAAGTGTCTGTTGATTTCAATCTGGACAAATTTTAGAGCCTTCTGTTAGAGAATATCTCATTTAGATTGGGCTGATTTGTAAGTGGCAGCATCAGTGAGATTAAGTAAAATTTGCAAATGAGGAATATGTTGCTTCCAAAACCCCAAAATAACTTAAGGATGTTGGACTTGTATGTCCTTAATGAGTATGTCAAATGAATCTCCTAGGAAGATGTTATCAATGTAATGCCATGGCTGTATTCCTGGAGAAAGCTGGGTGCAGATAAGATCTTGTCCATAAAAATTGTGCACAATGACAAAGCTATTGAGATACCTCATGAGAAGCTTAATAAAGGTGTATCATATCTCTTTGAAAGGGAAGGCAAACTGCAGCTGAGAGGCTACTGAAACAGTCACTGAATAGAACATACTAGTCAAAGCTATAATGGCAAAATATTTACTGCCTGCTGATTAGATGGAGTTAGTAGTTTTAATAATATCGACTATTGGATTTGGGGGCCTTAATGGATAGGACCACAGCATTAGGGTTATAGTAATCACCATGGGGTACCACTCATTTTTCTTTAGGTTTAAGAACAGGCAAGATTGGGTTACAAATGGAGAAGCAGTGGAGATAATTACCCACTAATTATGTCTTATACAATAAGTTTTAATCCTTGAAGGCCCTGTTTTAATTTATATTGGACCATCTTAGCTATTTTGACCGAGGAGTGCATGGGGTCCCATTTTATCAAGTCACTTTGTAAATACAAAAGATTTAATTTAAATTTAATGTATTATTCATTGTTTCAGAATATCTATGTCCACTATGGGATATATTAGGACAATGGATTTTATTACTATGGGAATTTTTTTGAGGGAGAGTCTCACTCTGTCACCCAGGCTGAACGCAGTGGCACAATCAAGGCTCACTGCAGCCTCAACCTCCTGGGCTCAAGATCCTACCTCAGCCTCCTGAGTAGCTGGGACTACAGGCATGTGCCACTATGCCCAGCTAATTTCTTATTTTATGTGAAGATGGAGTCTTGCTATGTTGCCCAGGCTGGTCTTGAACTCCTGGCCTCAGGTAATCTTCCCATCTCAGTTTCTCAAATTGCTGGGATTACAGGTGTGAGCAACAGCACCTAATGCTGGCCTAGTATGGAAAATTTTGGCAAGGCCATAGTTAAAATGACGCATACCTATTTTTCACTATCTTATATTTAGTTACTTTCATAAGATTATAAGGAATACCATGTTTAAATTTAGTGGGATCCCCAGGAATAACCGTCTTTTGAACACCAGTACTAAGTCCATGAAGTTCTGTCAACTGATGCATTTTACCAAATGTTAAAGTTAATTCAGAATCTATGTTATAAGCACACACACACACAAATACTTGTGATTCCATATTAATTCTAGTACTGGCTTTTCCACTCTAGTTTCTATTTATTTTCTACCTTATATTTATATTTGCTTTCTTTTCTGTTTCTGCAAAAAAAAAAAAAAAGGTGGGCACTGGGATTTTGACAGGAATTACATTGAATTTGTTGATTGATTTGGAAAGCATTGCCATTTTAATGATATTAGGTCTACTAATTCCTAAATATGGGATGTCTTCCCATTTATTTAGGATCTTTTAAATATCTTTCAAGAATCTTTTATAGTTTACAGTATATAAGTCTTACACCTCCTTGGCTAAATTTATTCCTGAGTATTTTATTGTTTTTGATGTTTTTATAAGTGAAGGTGCTTTTAAATTTCCTTTTTAGGTTGTTCATTGCTGGTTTATAGAAACACAACATATTTTGTATATTTACATTTTATCCTGTAATTTTGCTGAATTCATAATTACTGATTCAATCTCTCTACATATTGCAGGTCTATTCAGGTCTTCTATTTTTTTCTAATTATTGTTTTATACATTTGTCTTTTAAGTCATATAGAAAAAAAGAGCAATTCCATACCAAAATTACAATAACACTGATTTTTATATTTGCCCATGTCCTTTCATTTCAACCTGAAAGAGTCTCTTTAGCATTTTCTTGTAGTGTTGATATAGTGTTAATGAACTCCCTCAGGTTTTGTTTCTTTGGAATGTCCTGATTTCTTTCTCATTTTAAAAAATCCTTGGGAACAAAGTCTGCTCTGTTACCTCTAAATCCAGGTATCCACATTAGAAATGTAGGGCCCTATTTTCAAGACCACTACTTCACTAGCAAGTGGGCTGAGGCAGAGCTAAATTAAAATGTCACAAAGCTCTTCTATCATGGTTAAGTTGCCATATTCTTGATTCAACATTTGCTTGATTGCGATAAACCTTTGACTATTTTCCAGAGTCCTGGTAAAATTTATTCTTATTGTTTTTGTTCCCAGTGTTTCCATGAAGGGACAGGCCCTTGGAGTTTTCTACTCTGTCATTTTCATTTTCTTTTGACATTGAAGGTCACGCACAGTTACTGCGAAATATATCTAAACAGTGCACAAATGTATTCATTCATCATCTTAGAAAAATATGTGCTAGCCGTCTAAAAACTGTCAGTGTATACACAACACAAGGGGAAATCCAGACAAATACACACTTTATTAATAAAACATGTCAGGTTTGGTCTCAGAGTCCCTGTGGCTCCCCCGCCTTGGTGAGCTCAGTGAAACAATTACAAAGGAATAGCATTCAGTGTTGAACATGCTCTCATAAAAACTTAATGCTTTTATTGATTAGTCAACCTATAGCAGTCTTCATGCTAACATAAGAAATGTTTATGGCTCACTAGAACTACAAGTTATGAAACCCTTACTCTGTAATCTTTTCTATAAATAAATATTTTCATGGAATCCTGAACAGTACCATATAATGTATGGTCAATAACTATCTTTTTGTCACAGATTAGAAAAATGAGGCACAAATACTTTGAAAGATTTGCCTGGGATCACAGGGTTAGTAAAGGACAGAGAAGGGGTTTGGACCTGGCTACATCTGACAGACTGAACTCTTGCTCTTAGCACATGAGCTATATTGTTTCCCTAAATGTTGGAATTCTCAGCCTCCATCTTCGTTGACTGATCTCACCCACTTCTGTAGTTTTTAACTATCATTCTAGCAATGAGGACTTCCAACCCCTTATCTCCAGCCCATACTTCTTTCTCCAGGACCCCAGACAGTTATCCAGTTCTCTGTTGGACCTCTTGTGGCTGTCACAAGGGTACTTCAACATCAAAAGGTCCAAAATTGGCTTCATCATATCCCTTTTAAAAAATCTCTTCTTTCCCAGCCTCCAGCATGTTCCCTTATCTTACATTTGCTCTACCAGTGAATGGCCCAAGCATCCATTCTGCTGTCAAAATCTAGAAAACTGGGCATGATCCCTTACTCTATTTTACTCCCAACATCCAATCAATTGCCAAAGCCTACTATCAACTCCTTCTTAATATCTCTTCAGTACACTTTTCTCCATTCTTACTATGTCTCCCCAGGTTTAGGTCACCATCATATACTTATCTTCTGTAGTCCCATAATAGCCTGCTTGTTGGTCATCCTGCCTAAAGCTTTGATTTTTTTTTTCACAGAAAATGATCATTTCCACATTATAAAATATGATTATGTAACCACGCTGCATTTTCTCATTTACTTCTCAAAATAGCCCCTATGTATTAGGTACAGCTTAAAGGAAGTTGTTTTTTATTTTTCAGAAACCAAAAACATTTCCAAAATAAAATGATCTTTGTCCTTAACGTGCAGTGTAGGAAGATATAGAAAATCAAATCATCAGGATAATATAGGGAGAAAAGTGAAATGATGGGAAGGACTTGAGTTAGCTCACAGAATGGAGGGGTAATCTGAAGAACTAGACCCAGTAAGGCCAGGAATCCAAGTAGCAGGAACTAACAGAGAACATCTTCCAGCTATCACTCTTGATCTGCATCAGAACCAGTTCTTGTGGTGTTAAGATTTTTAGTTCCCTTAATATTCAGGGAGTAGGATTGTTCTATCCTGGGCTCAGTTTGGGATGATGAAAAACTTCTGGAGATACATAGTGGTGATAATTGTGATGCAGGGCAGGCAATCCCCAAATTGGGGCTTAGACCAGGAGGGTTCTTGGTTTTACCCAGGAAAAAAATTCAAGGGTAAGCAGGTGGTATTAGCAACTTTTATTGAAGTAGCAATGTACAGCAGCAGAAGAGGTACTGCTCCTTGTGGAGCAGCACTACCTGATAGGCAGTGTGCCCAGAGTAGCAGGTCAAAGGCAGTTCTGTAGTCATATTTATACCCACTTTTAAATATGTACAAATTATGGAGTGGATATGCAAAAATTTCTAGAAAAAGTGTGGTAATATCCGAGCTATCAGGTCATTGCCATGAAAAGGGACAGCAGCTTCCGGGTGTTGCCATGGCAATGGTAAACTGACATGGCACACTGGTTGGCATGTCTTATGGAAAGCTGCTTCTACTGTCCCTGTTTTAGCTAGTCCTCAATTTGGTCTTGTGTCTGAGCCCCACCTCTGGAGTTGAGTCTTGCCTCCTACCTCATTCTTCCCTCAGAGATTAGATATTCCTTCTTAATCTTAAAGGGGCTGCAGAAGGACGGAGGCCTATCTTCTGTAACTGCTTCCTGCTGAGTTTATGGGCATATACCTTGCCTAGCGCTGGAGGAGTAAAAATTTCTGGATCCCTGATCCAAGGAGCACAGAGGCAGGACACTTTTATTCTCTAGGTCAGTAGATGGAATGAATTGGAAGCCTCGTGCCAGCATTGTTTCTATCTGGAACTGTTGTAATCTAGAAGACACAAACTTTACACAGAGATTGAACAAGCAACAGCCAAAAATTAGTAACAACATGATAGCTATCAAAGGTCTTAGGAGAGGTAAAACCAGGTGAAACTTGGGAAGGCATTTTTGATAGTCTACCAAATATATTTGGGGTCAGTGCCCTGGTTATATCTATGTAACCAAGTGGCTTGCTTGTATATCTTTTGAATGTTAATGTCGACTTGTCCAGAGTTGTTAATACGTGCAGCAGGTTATTAATAACTGTACAGACACCATCTTGTTCAACTAGTAAATAATCTAATGCTAGTCTGTTATTGAGAATTACATTTGCCAAAGAGTCTAGGGACTCTTCAATTCTCTTTAGTGTCCGATCTCTGTTGGTGGCTGAGGATTCTAGGGCTTGAGTCAAGTTCTTTAGAATTGACTTGTGGTAAGCAAATCTGCCCCACAGTGCTGCTAGTCCTACTGCTGCCCCAATTCCCACCAGACTTAATCCAATTGCTCATTTACTTCTGGTGTTCTTGGGTGTTATGGGGTTATAGACTGTGACCCCTGGAGGGGCAAGGGGGGCCAAAGTACATTTACCTCTGTTTTAAGTTGTTTATATATAAGGGCAAGCTATTCCTAAAAGAACAGATGACTCCCTGGAGAGTCAGTACTAGTTATGAAGTGTGACTTTTCCCCATTTATGACCACAAACAATAAGCCCAGTTGGGACACAGAGGCTCTATGGGGTGTGATGTTTATTCTTGCTGCCAAGTTAGGTCTATAGAGGTATTTTTCCCCTGTTCTAATGGGGATGGTTGAACAATCTTTGTTTTCCAAAAGGGGGCAGTACTCCCGCCTTCCCAGATTAGGCGGTTGTGTTTTGTTTTGTTTTGTTTTTTTCCCCCTGTATGTTCTGATCAGGAGAAGGCACCATATATGGTTTCCTTGTTCGCAAGTGGAATCCCATTACCTTGCTGCAGCCTTAAGAACATGGCAACTAGAGTTGGATCAGATCATTGTAGGGAGACTTCTGCTTTTTTGTCATTAACACAACAGTGAGTGCAAAAGATAGAATCATTACTGCACTGGAGATATAGATAATCAACTTCCCAGGTCCAGGTAATAGTGGTGGGGGTAATTCAGGTGGAACCCATTAAGTGGGGGGAGAGTTCTATTTAACAAGTAGGGATTTGGGCACTTTGGGATCACTATGGTTAGTTAGGAGGTCTGGGGACATGGCTGTGAGATTTTCTGGATAGGCCAGAAGATGGAACTCTCTATCCTGGGGATATTGATGACAAATCTAGCAACCATGAAGATGATTCTCTGATGCTATACTTTTTGAAATATTTACTATAGAGTTTTGTTCCCACCCACACTGGATCAGGGTAATTGGAAGAGCAAACAAGATTAACAATGACAGCTTGGTGTCCGGTTGGACCTTAGAGTGGCCTCTAAACCCAATAAGGACAAAAGAGATGGTTCTCAGGAGAAGGCGGCTGGCTAAAGCCATAGAAAAGAAATGTTATGGTAAAGGAGAGAAAAATTAATGCTCCTGTTCCCATCCACAGCATCATGTTACCACTTCTGGCTGAGTGTTGATTCTGTTAAATTACTAGTGAAGGTCTTCCAAAGGCCTACAGATGTCCTATATATATCCCATTAGTTCTGTCCCTCTAGAGAACCCTGACTAATACAGACAGCAACTTTTATTGAAGCAGCAGTGTACAGCAGCAGCAGAGGAACTGCTCCTTGTGGAGCAGGGCTACCCCGTAGGCAGTGTGCCCAGAGTAGCAGCCCAAAAGCAGTTTCTGTAGTCATATTTATACCCACTTTTACATATATACAAATTAAGGACTGGATTATGCAGAAATTTATAGAGAAAGGGTAGTAACTTCTGGGTCATTGGGTCACTGCCGTAGAAAAGGGTGATAACTTCTGGGTGTTGTGATAAGAATGGTAAACTGACATGGCACACTGGTGAGCATGTCTTATTGAAAGCTGCTTCCACCCTGTCTTTGTTTTAACTGATCTTCAATTTGGTCCAGTGTCTGAGCCATGCCTGCAGAGTTGAGTCCCACCTCCTACTTAGTTGCACAACAATATGAATGTACTTAATGCCACTGAACTATATACTTAAAACTTGCTAAAATGGTAAAAGTTATGTTATGTATATTTTACCAATATAAAAGCAAAACTAAACTAAAAATACCCAACAAAATATGTTGCAAAGGATCTGAATATTCAGCTCTAAGAAAAAAGACATACCAATGATGAATAAGTCCATGAAAAACTGACTTATTGTATGATTCCATGCATATATAATGTCTAGAATTGACAAATCCATAGAGAAAGAAAGTAGATTAGTGGTCAGTTAGGGCTTTAGGGTTGGAAAAGGTAGGGATCATACCTACAGAGCATGGGGTTTATTTTTGATGTGATGAAAATATTTTAAAACTTATCACCGGGCGCGGTGGCTCACCTCTGTAATCCCAGCACTTTGGGAGGCCGAGGCGGGTGGATCATGAGGTCAGGAGATCGCAGACCATCCTGGCCAACATGGTTAAACCCCGTCTCTACTAAAATACAAAAAATTAGCCAGGCATGGTGCCGCATGCCTGTAGTCCCAGCTACTTGAGAGGCTGAGGCAGGGCAATCATTTGAACCCAGGAGGCGGAGGTTGCAGTGAGCCGAAATTGTCCCACTGCACTCCAGCCTGGGCAACAGAGCAAGACTCTGTCTCAAAACTTATTGTGATGTTGGTTGTACATATCTGTGAATATACAAAAAGTATTAAATTATACACCTTATATGGGTAAATATTATAATATATGCATTATATCTTAATAAAGCTATTACTAAACAAAAAGGAATAATATAGAGATAGCCACTGTACCATTTGTCCAGTTTCCCTCAGATGTAACTTTTGCATAGCTATAGTGCAATATCACAACCAGAAAATTCACATAGCTACAATCCATTGACCTTATTCGGATTTCACCACTTTTACATGCATTCATTTGCATGTGTATGTATATATTTAGTTTTATGCAATTTTGTCATGTATTGATTTGTATGACCACCACTACAGGCAAGATACATCACAGACATTCCTGGTCCTACCCTTTTATAACCAAAGTCACCTTCCCTTCCTTCTCTCCTGCTAACTTTTGCCAACCACAAAACTGCTCTCCATCTCTATAATGGTGTCATTTCAAGAATGTTATATAAATGAAATTATACTGTACCATTTGGGATTTTTCTTGACAGCATAAACATATCCAAAAATGTTTTTTGTTAAATAACCTTTTTCTCTGTACTTGGCTAGAGGAAACAGGTTTTTCTTGAAGCTTTTCATGTTCATGACTGTTGGATGCTCCTGATAGGAGGCTTTCCCAGAGTCCTGTTCATTATATGAGACAATAAGGAAATCAAGGGAACTTGCTGCTGTGTTGTTCCTTAAGTTCCAAGGTCCTTAGGCAGTCCGTCTACCTCTTCCTACCTTTCAGTCGTCCTACCTTTCAGAGTCTTCCTATGCATGTTTGTTGTGCTATGACTACGGTTTTTTTAGTTGTAATAGGGAGGGCCTTGGAGGGATGGGGCTGCTCCATCTTGTCCAGAACTAGAAGCATGAAGGTCAGGTTTTTGCTGTACGATAAGTTCTAGTCCAGCTCAGGTCTCACTGTGGACCAGCAGCTTCTCAGCTGTGTGGCTTTCAAGCAAGTCTCTTGTACTCTGGTTGTGTGTGTGTCTTTTTTTTTTTTTTTTTTTTTTTTTGAGAAGGCGTCTCGCTCTGTTGCCCAGGCTAGAGTGCAGTGGCACGATCTCGGCTCACTGCAACCTCTGCCTTCTGAGTTCAAGCAATTCTCCTGCCTCAGCCTCCTGAGTAGCTGGGATTACAGGCACCTGCCACCACACCCAGCTAATTTTTTGTATTTTTTAGTAGAGACGGAGTTTCACCATGTTGGTCAGGCTGGTCTCGAACCCCTGACCTCATAATCCACTCGCCTCAGCCTCCCAAAGTGCTGGGATTACAGGCGTGAGCCACCACACCAGGCCGTGTGTCTTTATTTATTGTTGTAGGGAGGGGCCTTGGGATTCCTACCAATTTGTCTCTATCCTTCTCAGAGAATCAACAGTATCTTTTGAAAAGAAAAAAAAATTAAGGTTTGATAAAATCTGACATATTGATCTGATCTGTTGTTGTTAGAGCCTGTGTTTTTGAGTTCTAATTTAAAATTTCTATGAACTAAAGATCACTGAGAGTTTCTCCTGTTTTCTTCTAGAAGCTTTATGTTTTACTTCTTAAATTTAGGTCTATTATACAGTTTGACCCAACTTTTCCATATGATGTGAGATAAAGTTCTTGTAAGTATTGCTGTTATTGGAAATGGCTATCCAATTGTTCCAACACCAATTGTTGAAAAGATTGTCTGTTCCTCATGGAATTACCTTGGAATCTTTGTCAAAAATCAATTGGAGGGCCAAGCAAAATGGCACACGATTATAATTCCAGAACTTTGGGAGGCTGACCCAGGAGGATCACTTGAGGCTGGGAGTTTGAGACCAGCCTGGGCAACCCCATCTCTTCAAAAATAAAAAAATCAGTCAGCTGTGATGGCATGTATGTGTAATCCTAGCTACTTTGGAGGATGAGGCTGGAGTATAACTTCAGCCCAGGAGTTCAAGGTTACAGTGAGCTATGATTGCATCACTGCACTCCAGCCTGGGCAACAGAGTGAGACTCTGTTTCTATTTTTTTAAAAAATCAACTGGCATATATGTGTGGGTCTATTTCTTCACTCACTATCCCATTCCACTGATCAAGTTGTTTATATTTATGCTGATAAATACTGTAGGATTGCAATGCTCTATGCAAAGTGTTTTGATTACTGTACTTTTATAATAATCTTACAATAAAATAGTGAAAGTCCTCCAAAATGTTTGTCTTTTCAAAGTTGTTTTGACTGTTCTTAGTCTTTTAGACTTTTTAATATAAACATTAGAATCAAGTTGTCAATTTTTATAAAAAACTGCTAGGATTTAATTTATGTCATCAATGTTTGGTACTTTTCAGTGTGCAGGCCTTGTACATCTTTTGTCAAATTTATCCCAAAGTATTTTATATTTTTAGTGCTATTGTAAATTATATTTTTAAAAATTTTAGTCTGGTTATTCACTGTTTGTAATGTTTTGAATATTTTCCCCCAAAATCCATATCCACCCAGAACCTGAGAATGTGACCTTATTTTGAAATAGGGTATTTGCAGATGTAATTAATTAAGGGTTGAAATGAGATTATACTAGATTAGTGTGGGTCCTAAATCCAATGGGTAGATCCTTATAAGAGACAGAAAGAATACACAGAGAGACACAGAGAGGAGAAGCAGAGATGAGAGTCTTGCTGCCACAAAGAAATGCCTGGGGCCACTAGAAGCTGGAAGGGGTAAGGAAGAATTCTTTCTGAGAGCCATCAGAGAGAACATGGCCCTGGTGACACCTTGACTTTGGAGTTCTGGCCTGCAAAACTATGAGATGATAAATTTCTAGGTTTTTCTGAAGCCACCAAGTTTGTGGTAATTTGTTGAGGAAGTCTCAGAAAACTTAATACATTGCTAGTATATAGAGGTACAACTAAATTTGTATATTGTGGATTGTATCCTGCAACTTCTCTAAATTCACATTATTAGCTCTAGTAGCTTTTTGTATACTATTTAGGAGTTTCTTCATAGGCAATTATGTTTTCGATGAATAAAGATTGTTTTACTTCATCCTTTGCAATCGGTAATACTTTTATTTCTTTTTCTTGTCTTAACTGCCCTGGCTAGAACTTCTAATACAATGTTGAGTCAATTTTGTGAGAGTGTCCATTTTTCCCTTGTTTCCCATCTTGGGGGGAAAGCATTTAGTCTTTATGTACACATCATTATGTATGCTTTTGTAGATGCATTTTATTGGGTTGAGGTATTTTATCTATACCTGGCTACTGAGTATTTTAATCAGTAATGAATATTGGAATTCTGGCAACTGTTTTTTTCATTATCCATTGACATGATCATAATATTTTTTTTACTACGTTAATGTGGTAAATTATCATTTTTTTCTAATATCAACCCTACCTTGATTCCCTAGCATAAAACCTACTTTTGGTCATGGTGTATTGTGTTTTTTATATATCATTGGATTCAATTTTACTAACATTTTGTTGAGAATTTTTGCATATATGTTCATGAGGGATATTGGCTTATAGTTATATTTCTTTGTAATATAATTATCTGGTTTAGTTGTCTGGTCAATTATAACCTCATGGGGTGACTTGGAAAGTATTTCCTCATCTTCAATTTTCTGGAAGATTTTGCATAGAATTTGTGTTATGTCATCCTTAGATGTTTGAAAGAATTGCCAGTAAAGCCACCTCAACCTAGAGGTTTTTTTAGAAGGATGATTTTAAATAAAACTTTCATTATTTGATAATTGTAGGGATTTCTTTTATTCTAATATATGAATTTAGTGCTATAAATTTCCCCCTATGTACTTCTTTTACCACATCCTGCAAATTATCATATGTTGAGTTTTCACTTTCACTCAGTTCAGAGTACCTTCTAATTTCCCTTTTGATCTCTTCTTTGGGCCATGGGTTCCTTAGACATGTGTTATTTTGTGTTAATTTAAATATCTGAGGATTTTTCAGAGATCTTTCTGTTACTGGCTTCTCATTTAATTCCATTGTGCTTAGAAAACATAAGTTTTACTATTTGAATCCTGTTAACATTATTGAGATTAATTTTATGGCTCTGAATGTAGACTACCTTGGTAAATGTTCCACGTGCATGTGAAACAAATGTATAAACTACTGTTATTGGTGGCAAGTTCTATGCTGTTGTTCAAGTCTTATAGATACTTGCTGATTTTCCATTTTGTCAAATTTTGAGAGAAGGTTTTGAAATCCTTGTAACTGTGAATTTGTCTATTTCTCCTTGCAGTTCTATGTTTTTGTTTCATGTATTTTGAAGCACTGTAATATAAGAATGCTTAGAATTGTTGTGTCCTCTTGATATATATGCCACTTAAAATTATATAATGACCTCCTTTATTTCTTGTATTATTCTTGGGTCTGAAATTTATTGTATCTGATATCAATACAGTCATTCAAGCATCATTTTGATTTGTAATAAAATTATTCATCTTTTCCATCCTTTTACTTGTAAACAATTTGTATCTTTAAATTTAAAATAAGGTTCCTATAGGCAGCATATATTTGTGAGTTTCTTTTTTTTCACATACTATTTTTTAAATTATTGTTATACTTTAAGTTCTGGGGTACATGTGCAGAATGTGCAGTTTTGTGACATAGGTATACACGAGCTATCGTGGTTTGCTACACCCATCAACCCGTCACCTACATTAGGTATTTCTCCTAATGCTATCCCTCCTCTAGCCCTATAAAGACACATGCACACGTATGTTTATTGTGGCACTATTCACAATAGCAAAGACTTGGAGCCAATCAAAATGTCCATCAATGATAGACTGGATTAAGAAAATGTGGCACATATACACCATGGAATACTATGCAGCCATAAAAAAGGATGAGTTCATGTCCTTTGCAGGGACATGGATGAAGCTGGAAACCATCATTCTCAGCAAACTATCACAAGAACAGAAAACCACATGGACACATGGAGGTGAGTTTCTTTTCTATTCAATCTGACCATCTCTGCTTTATGACTGAGGTGTTTAAACCACTTACATTAATGTGACTATTGATATTTGAGTTTAAGTCAACCATCTTGTTATTTGTTTTCATTTGTCCTGTCTGTTCTTTGTTCTCTTTTTTTGAATTTCTTTCGACTATTTTGAGGATTCCATTTTACCTCATATGTTGGCTTATTAGCTATAACTTTTTTACTGGTTGATTTAAGGTTTATAGTACACATCTGTAATGTATCAGAATCTACCTTCAAGTGACATTAATATATAGAATAAGAACCTTAAAATTGTGTACTTTCATTTCCCTTCTTCTGGCCTTTGTGCTATTATTTCCCCCTCTTCTGGCTTTTGTGCTAAAACATACATTTTAATTTTAATATCCAGTAAGTCAGAGACAATCATAAGACTCATGTTACTTATTTACCCTCTTTCAGATAACTTTGCCCTCCACTCTCTGATAGATGGTAAGTGACTGAAAAGTGTTGTTTTCATATGTTCTGTCCAGGTTTTAGTTGTTTCAGTTAGGGAGGTAAATCCAGTCCCTGTTACTCCATTTTCACTGAAAGCATAAATGTGGATTAGTGTTTTAAATGACAGTTAATCATGAAGGCTTTATTTTACTTCTAACCAAAGTGTACTTCCTATGCTATCTGGAATTCCTGGAAGAGTCCAGTGTCTGTGTCCTTGCCCTACACTGAACTAGAATGTTCAAACTGCCGTGCTTTCTTTGGTCATACAATAGCCTTTAAGTTTACTTTCTACATTTCCTTCAATGGACTTGAATGTTTTAAGGA
This sequence comes from Homo sapiens, assembly GCF_000001405.40. NCBI lineage: Eukaryota > Metazoa > Chordata > Mammalia > Primates > Hominidae > Homo > Homo sapiens. The sequence goes on from NC_000023.11 coordinate 103,306,814, forward strand.
AAAAAAACGAGTAACTGTTTTGTTAGAAAGTTATGAGATATTATCTACATTATCTCAATTTTGTTAGAAATACGTAAGGATCCAAAAATGTATTAATTGTTACTATTTGCTGAATAGCACTAAATGAATATTTCTCTTGTCCAGTTTTTCATTCATTCATTCAACAAGTATTTACTAGATGTACATGATGTGCTAAACCCAAATGGTCTAATCCATATCTACATCTCAAACATCCATTTTGAACATCGTTTTTCTTTGAGAACCAAGGCACACTCTCTAAGCTCCCTGTCTGCTCTTTGCCAGAATTTGTAGGCTTTTATGGGAAGAATTTACACATTTTGTGAAGAATGGCCACAGTAAAGGAGAAAAGGAGGCTCACCATATAACCTATAGAAATGATATATAGGCAAATGCCTTCAGAATCTTAGCTATAGCTGCTCCCCTTGAGGGAATGTTATGCTCTGCTCTCTATTGCCTTTTGCTCACTGTCTGCTGGTTACTGGTAGTTGCTTGAGCATTTTATATGGAGCCTGACCACTCACATGCTACAGCCTCAGCTGCGCCTTCAGACACAAACACTGTGTTAAGAGCCAAGAGAAACTGGTTAGCAGAAGACTCTCTTCATAGAGTAGAATCTTAAACCCAACTTTCTCTGAGAAACTGACAGGGCAACTTCAATCTGCCTAGACATAGAAGAGATATGCATTTTTATGGGCATATGTGTGTCTCATCTTCTATCATGGGTATGATATCAGTTCACACATGAACTTAATTTCTCCTCATGAACACTTTTTTTTCCATTGAAGCTGGTGCTAACACTGACAATCAAGAGTAAGAAGTCTGGTAGGACATAAGCCTCTCTGTTCATCAATTTTCCTGACCTTTCAACTCTAGCCTCTCTATAATCTTCTGTCTTGTGTCTTAAGTGCCTGCAGGAGGAGAAAGAGCTTTGAAATTACTAAAGCATCTGATTCATGAAGTCTGGGATTTGTGATGTTATGTGACATTTTCACCTGCCTGTCCACTTTTCCCCTTTGGTTTCACAAGTTCTATTGCAATGTTATATTCTAGAACAGGAGTGGCAAACTTTTTCTGTTAGGACCAGAAAAAAAATATGTAGTCATTGTAAGCAAGCTATACTATCTCTTTCACAACTACTCAACTCTGACACTGTAGTACAAAAACAGCCATAGATAACATGTAAATCAATAAGCAGACCATTGTTCCAGTAAAAATTTATGGACACCAAAACTTGAATTTCATAGTTTTGGTGTAATATTCTCAAGTTTTTCAACCTTTAAAAAATGTAAAAATCATTCTTATAGGCCAAATAATAGGCAGTGGGCCAGATTTGGCCCATGGGTTGTTTGCCAACCCCTGTTCTGGAATCCTAACTTTAAGTTTATAAGACTGTCTTCATACATAAAATGTGTGTATTTCATCTAATTAGCACAAACTGAGGGGGATTTTATTTCCCTAGTTCTGCTGGGACACTTAACCCCAATTGTCTTCCCGTAGACTTCTCATAAAGATCTCATTTGTGTATCCATTTATTCACTAAGTGATTTCCTGATGTCCAACTCTGTATAGATAACAAAATTCTGTACATTCATGGATTTCAGGTAAATGTGAGCTGGTATGAGGTGGGACTATCTCAGATTGAAAGTGGGCTGTGTTTCCTCACACATCTTATAGTCTGCTATACTGAGGAGGAGGTTTCCTGGGAGAGAACTACCTGTAAGGAAAGATCTAGACAGACAATGTTTTTCCATGAAACAAAGCAGGGAGAGGGGATTTGTCCACTCTTTTGTAGAGTAGAGCAAGGATTCAATCCACTGGAAATTCCAGAGAAATTGGTGGGACTTTCTCACTTTCAGGATTTCTGAACATCTGCATTGGTAGGAGCCAGTGTAGGGAGCAAAACCTAGCAGAGTAATACCCAGGGGAGATGATGAGAATAGAGCACAGCAGCAGAGGAATGAAAGTACCTACTCCTTAGTCCACTGGACTTGTGAATATAGGGAAGACCTCACCTTGGAAATTTCCTCTAATAACAGAAGGGAATATCTAAAGTGTTGGGTCATGCATGTCAGTAAGAACAAGAACTTGGGAGAAAGCTCACAACCTCATTACCTTATCTGGTCCATACAACAAGCCTGGGAGGTGATTGTCTTCATCTTACTGATAAATATTATTATCTTCAAAGAGATGTGTCTCTTACATTTCTAAAAAGAGAACCCAGAGGCAAGCTAAAATTGAGATTCTGTCACAAGTGTTTAGTAAGTGCTCACATCGCTTTTATAAGGTGGTCACATTGCTTTTTATCAGTAATACGTGTTCCATTTTGAAAAATAAGAAATTATGGGTAAGCAAGAATAAACTCCCTCTTAATTCTACCACAGAGATAAACACTATTTACTATATATATGTGTGTGTGTGTATATATATATATATATATATATATATATATATATATATATATGACTGTTTAGGTGCATGTTTAAGATTTAAAGTAAAAAAGAATGCAGAGAATGCTTTTTAAAACTGTTTTATTAACTTCACAATATATAATGAGCATCTTTCCATGCAATAGGTAAAACTCTCCTGCTGACAGAAACTTACAAACTGGGTCAAAAACAACATTCATTTAGAAGCTGGTAATAGGAGACCCACAAGAAATAGGTAACATCAAAACGTTTACGACAAAGGTACACCACAAATGTGTAAGTTTAGGAAGCAGGGGTCTCCCTATTAACTTCAGGGAAACCATCAGGATTCAGGGCATAAGGCAAAACTCATCGTGATGGTCATGGTGAGGGGGATCAGTGCTGACTGCCCGCAAACTATGACTCAACTGCTTTTCCCTCAGCTTTTCCATCAGCTGTCTCACCTCCTCCCCAATCCTTTCCATATTCTCCTCTCTCATCCTTGCCTGTGGCTCTCCAAGCCTATGCATTATGTCCCATCTATACTGCAGGATGGGCTGCCTAACGCGGAACCGCCTACGGTTTCCTCTAGGCACACAGTATTCACTAACATTCAAAGGTAGGGCCAAGGGCTCCCCTTTATTAGCAACTTGCTCCTTTTCATCTTTTTCATCATTTTCCTGGTTGACATTTTCCACGATGAGATTGTTTAACGCTCGTTCCTCTTTGGACTCCATTACTCCTAGGAGACAGAGAGAAAATGGACTCAATTCTTGGTGAACTGATCAGCACCGAGGACAGAGGCCCGACTACCCACCTTTCAAAATTCAGAGCCCTGGATTTCAAAGGCCTTTTTTAAATTTCATTTTTTTTCCACCAGAGAGGCCCCATGTACCCTCGGGGGGGCGAGGGGAGCCAGTCTGTGCCCTTCTCTCCCGCAAAGCCCACCATCTTCTCTGCAGATCCATCTCCAGGCCTCTGCAGGCACCAAAATGGAGGACGAAGAAGGGGTGGGGGTGGGGGATTGCTAAGTGTGGGGGTGAAGGCACGGATTGGGGTCTCAGACTGGGCTTTCCTCATGTTCTGACCCCCTCCCCACCACCGTCCCTCGCACTGACCTGGGCCTATCCTTGCAGTCTCCTCCTCCCGATTCTCGACGTGAGGTGCGTCGCCGCAACACTTGGCCCCGCAAACCTGCAGACGGCCGGGGTGGGAAGAGTGGGGGCTGCTGCAGCGGAACGCTAGAGAGGACCCGCCGCCACCCGGCCCCTTCCCCACGCCGGGCCCGGGCCCTCCTAGCCGCTCTCGCCCCCCGCCTCAGCCGCCCAGCCCCCCAAGCTGACCACCATTTTCTGCATCAAGAAGGGCGGAGCAGGGGTGTTGGAAAAGCTTGCGCTGGTGACGGAGGCAGGTGCTTCCGAAAGGTCGTAGCCTCAGGATCGCCGGCTCCCGCGGGGCCGGGCACCCCTCCGCTCACACAAGGCTCGCGGTCCCGCGGCGGGGCCCCGGGGCTGCATCGTGGACCGGCTGCGTCTCCGCGCTGCTGCCCGGGGATGGGGCATCCGCAGGCCGGGGCTGCTCCCCCACACCAACCCCAGGGACCCCCTCCGGGTCCCTTACCTGCTCCCCCTCCGCTTCCTACTTTCGGGGCCGTACCTGGCCCGCACGTCCTCAGGGACACCGGGAACAGGTACCACTGCCGAGAAGGGAGCGAGCGACGGCGGTTCTGACGCCACAACGAGGTAAGACTCAGTGTTGGCCGATCACGTGTGGCTGTTGTCATCGCCAGAGGCTCCGCCCCCGTCCCACGCCCCCTCCTGCAGCCCGGAGTCAGGTGGTGCTTTCGGGCCCGCCCCCATCCTCACCGGGAGTCCCTTTTAACATCCCCAGCCTGGGCTCTGCCACTCTTCCTTCTCTGTATATTCTTGAGACTTCCCCTGCTTGCCCAGGAAGGACGGAAGGTATCTTCTCAGGGAGCTGTTGGCCATTCCCACTTCTCTGGGGACTTGCCTCTCTCTGCCCTTGGCTCCCAGGATTCACCTCCTTCTGCCTGTCTACCTCCTTCTGTCCTCCTACCAATATTCTCCGTTTTCTCTCCACTAAAATGAGTGGAAGAGGTGTATCAGGAAAGGAGCACAAGAGAGTAGGCTTTTCTCATTCTTAATACCTTTTCTGTATTATTTCTTTTGTAAAACACAAAAAATTAATATACTTCTTTAAAAAGGAAAAAAAGTTATTTTTACTTGAAAGACGGGATTAAAGTTGGGCAAAATGTCCCAACCACCTGTCCTGTTAAGTCATTATATAAATATAGACTCTACACGCAGCTGCTTTTTTAGAACTTGGAAAAGGACAGGGCAGCTGATGGCTCCCCTTTTGAGGGGCCCCTGGACACATGAGGCCCTTCTATGAAATGAGCTAGTGAGTTGTAGTGCTACAGAACCTTGTTGGGTTTTCATAACTAAAAGGAAAAAAAAGGCCTTTTTCACAAATTTCTGGTTCAAACGATAAGTATGTCTTTATTTAAAGATCAAGTAATCATGTATTTAGGAAATCCAGAGACATCTACGGTAAACCTACTATAGGAGTAAGAATTGATTTTAAGAAGGTTGCAGCTACAAGATAAATATTACAAACGTACTCATAAATTTATTTGAAAATGCAAAGGACCTAGAATAGACAAATAATTTTTTTAAAATATCCTACAAATCTTGAGAGTTACATTATATTATTTCAAGACTTAAGGTGTAATAATAAAGTTAGTGTAGTAGTAAACATAGACCTGTAGATCAATAGAACAGAATAGACTCCAGAAATAGACCCATACGTATGTTGTTAATTAGTTTTTGACAAAGATATCAAAGTAATTCTATATGGAAAGTATAGTCTTTTAAACTAATGGTGCTGAAATAACAGAATTCTTAAAGGAAAAAAAGGAGCCTTGCCTTTTATTTATACTATACACAAATTAATTCAAAATGGATCCTAGGCCTAAATGTAAAAGCTCAAATTAGAAAACTTCTAGAATAAAACATACAGAAAAACTTTACAATCTTTGAGAAAACAATTCCTTAGGACACAAAAAGAACAGATCACAAAAGAAAAAAATAAGAAATTGGATTTATCCAAATTAAAAACTTCTACCATTTAAAACACATGGTTAAGAAAATGAAGTGAGAAGCTGGGAGTAAATATTCACAGTATTTGTATCTGACAATGGTTTTGAATTCAGAGCATATATAAAGAACTTCGAAAACATAAAATAAGAAGGCAAATAATGCAGTAAAAATGATCAAAAGATCTGAATAAACATTTCACAAAACTACACACACAAATTACCAATGAGCTCATGAAAAGATGTTCAACCTCATTAACTATCAGGGAAATGTAAAATAAAGCCAGGATGAAAAATCACTGCACACCCATTATAATTGCTGAACTTAAAGTCTGACAGTCCCAAGCACTTTTGAAAATACTAAACAGCAGAAACTCTCACTGATTGTTGGTGAGAAGTTCAACCACTCTGAGACTTGGTGGCAGTTTCTTGAAAAGTTAGACTTACCATATGTCCTAGAAATTCCACTTTTCGGAATTTTCCCAACAGAATTTAAAACATATTTTCTCAAAAATATTTGCATAGGAATGTTCATAGAAATTTCCTTTATGATAGTCCCAAAGTTGATAAAAACTAAATGTCCAACAAGTGAAGTGATAAACAAATTGTGATGTATTCATACATTTTAACGCTGCTAAGCAATAAAAAAGTGACAAGCTACTGATACAAACAATAACATGGATGAATCTCAAAAAAATGAAAAAAATTTGTATCTATAAAGATACCAGCCACAATTGAGTGTTTTCTGCATGATTGCATTTATATAAGTTCTAAAACAGGCAAAACTAATCTGTACTGATATAAGTTGAATCAAATCAGTTTTTGCCTGGCTTGAAAGTTGAGGTTTTTGTGATTGCAAAGAGGCATAATGGAACTCTCTCAGCTGAGGAAAACATTCTGTATCTTAATGGGGTAGTGACTCCATTGACAAATACATTTGTTGAAATCATTGAACTATACAGTTAAAAGGTGTGTATCTTATTGTAGGTAAAATACAGCCCAATAAGTTTTGCTAAAAATCAAATATATAGAAATAAATCTAATTAAATACTTTCAAGACCTCTACACTGAAAATTATAAAATAGTTTCAAGAACATTAAAGAATAACTAAGTATAGGGATTACCATGATCATAGATGAAAACACTCAATATTTTAAGGATGTCAATTATACCCAAATTCATCTGTAAATTCAGTGCAATCCATATGAAAATCTCAACAGGTCACTTTTTGTTGATAAGCAGACTCCAAATATGTGTATGAAAATACAAAGAGCCGGGCCTGGTGCGGTGGCTCACGCCTGTAATCCCAGCACTTTGGGAGAGTGAGGTGGGCGGATCACGAGGTCAGGAGATCCAGACCATCCTGGCTAACACGGTGAAACCTGGCTCTACTAAAAATACAAAAATTAGCTGGGCGCGATGGCAGGCTTCTATAATCCCAGTTATTTGGCAGGCTGAGGCAGGAGAATCGCTTGAACCCGGGCAGCAGAGGTTGCAGTGAGCGGAGATTGCGCCACTGCACTCCAGCCTGGGCGACAGAGTGAGACTCTGTTTAAAATAAAAAGAAAAAGAAAATACAAAGAGTCAAATATAGCTAAGACAGCCTTTTAGATGGAGAAAGCTCCAAAACGTCCACTATTAGATATCAAAATTTAATACAATTTTATGAGTATGATATTGTCTCAAAGATTAAAATGTGTCTGTGTTTGTGTGTGTGTGTCTATCTTATATGGACCTGTGAAACATACCTACCTATACAGTCACCTAATTTATGATAAAGATGACAGTTCAATGAAGTGGGGGAAAGCATTTTTCTTTTCAAAAGTGGTTTTGAAAAGATTAGTTGGATATCCATATGGGGAAAAGATGTATATTGATTCCACCTTACATAATACATTAAAAACAAAAACGAAAAAAAAAAAAAAAAAAAAAAAACCTCAGTGGATTGCAGACCCAAATGGGAAAGGTAAAAATGTAATCCTAATGTAAAAAAACTCAGGGGATCACCTTCATGACTCTGGAGTAAGCAGTTTTCTTAAACAGGACACAAAAAGCACTAAGCATGAAGGAAAAAGATTATGGATTGCACTTTATTCATATTAAAACAAACAAACAAACAAAAAACTTCTAGGCCTGGCGCAGTGTCTCATGCCTGTAATCCCAGCATTTTGGGAGGCCGAGGCGGGCAGATCACCTGAGGTCAAGAGTTCAACACCAGCCTGGCCAACATGGTGAAACCCTGTCTACAAAAATACAAAAAAATTAGACAGGCATGATGGCGGATGCCTGTAATCCCAGCTACCCGGAAGGCTGAGGCAGGATAATCGCTTGAACCCAGAAAGTGGAGGTTGCAATGAGCCGAGCTTGTGCCACTGAACCCCAGCCTGGGCGACAGAGCGAGACTCTGTCTCAAAAAAGAAAAAAAAATTGTTTATCATACAACACCATTAAAAGAATGAGAAAGCAACCTGCAAACTGGGAGAAGATATTTGCAACAAATATATCTAACAAATGACTCATGTCCATAATGTATTATATAAAGAACTCTTAAAAATAAGTAAGAAAAGGAAAGATAATACAATGGAAAAATGGGAAAATATCTTTAAAAACAACACTTCACAAAACAGAACATTTAATACAATAAATGTTCAATAATTTTTGAAAAGTTGTTCAACTTCATTACTTTTTAAGAGAAATGCAAATTACAGCCAAAATGTGATGTCACTGAACACCACCCAGACTGTCTAAAATAATAAAGACAGAAAGCACCAAGTATTTTACAAGAATGTGGTACAACTAGAACTGGTACTACTGATTTGGAAAACTGGCAGAATATAGTCAAAATCAACATATGTATACTCTAAGACTGAACAATTTCGCTCTAGATATCCCTATGCTAATAATGTGTTCACTGGTCTACCAAACAGCATTTACACATATATCTGTAATAGCATTTTAAAAATTGCCAACAATTATCAAATACCCAAATATTTTTATCAGGAAAATGTATAAATAAATTATGTATTTACAGTGGAATATTATTCAACAATGAAAATGTACAGATTGCAACTACAAGCAATATAGATAGGCCTCACAAGCATAATGTTAATATAAAGAAGTCAGAGAGAAGAAAAGAGTATTTAATGTGTAACTCCATTTATATGAGTTTAAACACAGGCAAAACTAATCTGTGATGTTAGAATTCTCGGTAGTAGCAGTCTTTAGTACTGGAATGAGGATTTTACAGTGTTGGTAATGTTCTATTTTTCTTTGTTGTTTTGTTTTAAATGCTGGTTCAATGGTTTTACTTTGTGAAACTTCATTGAGCTATAAATTTCTAATTTGGGCACATTTACATATGTATTTATACTTTATTGACTAAATGCAAAACAAATAGATATTCTTGTCATAGTAAATTGTTAAATCTAAAACAATTTTCACACTATAGCTGGGAAGGTAATTTGGTACATTCTTTATAGAAGGCAATTTGACAGTAATTATTCAAAATTTTAGAAATATTCGTACTATTTGACATAGTTATTTCACTATTTACATTCTATTCTACAACAAATATCTAAATGTGTGAAAAGGTTTATGCTTAAAGATATTCATGGTAGTAAAACATATAACAGTAAAACAATGGGAAAAACAAAATATGCCAATATTGATTATTTGGCTTAAATAAGTTATTACATATTCATATCGAGTTCCATAAAAAGATAAAAATATGCTATAAAGGGATATTTAATGATAAAGAAAACTTTTCATTATTTATACTTTAAATAATAGCAAATTAGATTAGAAACAGCATGATCAATGGGATTCTAATATTTATACATACATATGTATAAACATGGAATGTAGTAGATAAAATATAATCATTTCTTATTTCTGAACATACTTACATAATAGGATATTAAAACAATTTCTACACATAAAACCACCAGAAACAAAAATATAAGTAAATACAAACTAGGAAAAATGTGCAGAACATATATCATAAATTCATTTTAACCTCATTTTTCCATGTCAGAAAAACGTGATGATCAATTTCTATCACTTCTTTCACAAGTGTGCTTACGATACAGGATAAGCTACTATAATGTAGAGGCCCCAAACATACGATGGTTCAAACAAGAGAGAATTTCTTCTCTCAAACAAAAGTGTAGTTTTCTCACACAAAATAGTCCAGAGATAGAAAGGGAGTTTGGGGCCGGGCGCGGTGGCTCACGCCTGTAATCCCAGCACTTTGGCAGGCCGAGGCGGGCAGATCACGAGGTCAGGAGATCGAGACCAGCTAACATGGTGAAATGCCGTCTCTACTAAAAATACAAAAAATTAGCCGGGCGTGGTGGTGGGCGCCTATAGTTCCAGCTACTCGGGAGTCTGAGGCAGGAGAATGGCGTGAACCCGGGAGGCAGAGCTTGTAGTGAGCCGAGATCGCACCACTGCACTCCAGCCTGGGCGACAGAGCGAGACTCCAAAAAAAAAAAAAAAAAAAAAAGAAAGGGAGTTTGGGGCAAGTGGATTTGTCTACTATATGACTATATGAGGTTAGGTGCCTTCTGTTTTGTTGCTCTACCATCTCCTAGAGTGTTGATTTTGTATTTCTTCTGAGTTTTAGAATGCAGGACGGAGGAAAGAGGAAGTAGAAAGCAAACAATTCTCTTTTGTAGAAATGACACAGAAGTTGTACACTCCACATCTACTCACATTCCATTGCAAAGAATTTGGACAAGTAGACATACTTGGTTTCAAAGGATGCTGGGAAATGTTAGTTTCTAGTTGAGTCATCAAGAGTTTTTCTAGGCGAGGTGGCTCAAGCCTGTAATCCCAGTACTTTGGGAGGCTGAGGCCAGGAGTTTGAGACTAGCCTAGGCAACATAACGGGACGTTGTCTCTACAAAAAATTAGCCAGGTGTAGTGGCGCGCGCCTGTTGACCCAGCTACTAGGGCGACTGGGGTGGGAGAATCGCCTGAGCCTAGGTGGTCGAGGCTGCAGTGACCCATGAGCATGCCACTGCACTCCAGCCTGGGCGACAGAGGGATATCCTCTCTCAAACAGAAACAAACAAAGCCAAGAGCTCTTCTAAAACTTTGGGGAGCAAAGTCCTATTACCTAAAGGAAGGTGGAATACATTGTCTCTGGGGACAACTAGTGCTCTTGGCTAAAATGAGCGATGCAATAAGGTTACAATCAGCAACCAAACTTTGGCAAAGTTGATAATCTGGAATACATCCACACAAAACTCAATATAGTGTAAAACATAAGGTTTTTCTCTATTTTTATCTAAGAATCAGTATAGTATAAAGCCACCCTGATCAACCATATTCACTATAACTTTGTTGTAGTTAAATTTTATAAGTATCATTGATTATGGATATCTAGGAATGGATTTGTGGGCTCAAGGTAGATGTATATTTTTAATGCATTTGTCTAAGTTCTATACAGAAAGATTGAAAAATTCAGATTTCATGACTTGAAAATAAGCAAGAAAGGCCTTACGAAAGTGCAGAACACAGATTTTCTGACTTCATGTCATAAACTGCTTGCAGTGAACCACTTTCAGACAATAGACATCATCCATAGACACTTCCAAAGAAGGAGAAAGTGGACTTCAATCCACAAGCAGCATGAAACAGGCCAAGGCAACTTGCGCCTGGGTCCCTTCAGTCAGGTCTCCTTCCTTCTTCCCATCCTAATTCTACACCCTGCCCATCCTCTGAGACTCAGGTCAAGTACTTTTCCTCCTTGAGGCTTTTTCTATTTGGGGCCAATCTGGCATTGCCTTCCCCTAGAACCTATTGGCCTGACAGTCAACCCCTCCCTTTAGTCCTTTCTCCATATGGCCCCATATGAAGGGTTATTCAGCCCACCCAGAGAGAGTAGATTTCTCACCAGTGTAGACCCTTGCTCTGAGACCCAGCCCTTTTCATCCAAAGTACACAGGGCAGTTCTGGGCATCTGGGGAGCCTCCAAAATAACTATTGACTCATCAGTGAACAAAGGGAAGGAGGTTGAATGAAGAAGATGGGAGAAAACATAGGGATGTATTGAGACAGTCCTCATTCTAAAACTGGATTAATTCCCAGGCTTGGCACTAACCAGCTATGTAACCTTGGATATTTTACTTAAACCTCTCTGAAGGAGAGGCTTGGATATCTTACCTAAAACTCTCTGAAGGAGAGGGGGTGACAATGGAGGGAGAAACACCAGAGAATGGGCTGCCCTAATAGTTCATATGTAAGATGATAAGGGCCTAAACCAGGAGAGTGACAGATTCAGCCATCAGAGTGAAGAAAGACGGACTTGTTGCTTAGGGAAGGGGTAAAAATCAAACAAGGCTCTGAGATTTCAAGACAGAGTGACCAGAAAAATTAATATGACTGGTAGGATTAATTTATATTAAGAGCATTTTGGGTTTTACATTATTTTGGGTTTAATATCCTTCTATTCTCTCACTCAAAGATGACTGTGAATTAGCAACAAGGGACTGAAAAGTAAAGTTAGCACCCATACACTTGTAGTTACCAAATTGTATCATCCAGACAAAGGCAAACTCTTTGTTGTAGTCAATATTTAAAGCTCTGTACCTTGATATCTCTGTGAGTGTGTGTGTCTTAATTAAAAATCTATATATGTACCTATGTATTCATGTATGTATGTATACATATGTATATGTGTGTACATATATAGTTTTAAAATTAAGTCTTTGGTGTTTATAGAAACTGCATTGCAAGAAGTGTGAGGGGGGAACTCATTAGCTGCTTGCTGGAGGCCACCACACTACATTTTCTTAAGCACATTACAACTACAGGCTTTCCTTCGATAGCATTAAACATCAATGGCTGATAAATACTAAAAAGAGCATTTATTTCTTCGTGAAAGAAAACAATACAGCTTATTAATCCAAAGAGATCATATCCAAGTCTAATAAAACCCCTGAATATGATTGCCAATTTTTAGGAAAGAGGATCAGGTTGGACTATACCATTAGTAGACAGCAAAATCCAGTATTGTGGGAAACTGTACAAGTCAAATAGCTCAGGTTATTCCACAAATAATTTGTAAGGAAAAGCAAGAGAAGGACAGAAAATCTGTAGATTAATACTTTAAATAACCATAAAAAATTTAAAATGAGCAAGACTAAACTCTAAACTGTAGTGTCCAGCTATGCAATGCACACTTGGGAGATAAAACCACAAAGAAACCAAAGAAAGTGATTACTATAAACGTCAAAATAGTAGTTGCTTTTTTGGAAAAGGGAAGAGGTACATGGAGGGGCTTCTAAGGTGGCTGGGAAATTTTCATCTTTTTATCTGAGTGATGGTAACAAGAGTGTTCACCTTATACTATTTCACTAACCTACACACTTTTTAACACAATTACTTCCTTATTTTTTATTTTTTAATTTTGTGGGTACATAGTGGGTGTATATATTTATGAGTTATATGAGATATTTCGATGAAGGCATGCAAAATGAAATAATCACATCAGGGAAAATAGGGTATCCATCACCTCAATCACTTATCCTTTGTGTTTCAAACAACCCAATTATATTCTTTTAGTTATTTTAAAATGAACAATCAAATCATTTTTTACTATAGTTTTATTCTTTCTATTTGTCTGTACCCTTTAACTATCCTCCTTTCCCACCCCCCACCCCCAAATACCCTTCCCAGCCTCTGGTAATCATCCTTCTACTCTCTATCTCTATGAGTTCAATTGTTTTAATTTTTAGCTCCCACAAAAGAGAGAGAACATGCAATATTTGACTTTCTGTGCTTGGCTTATTTCACTTAACATAATGACCTCCAGTTCCATCCATGTTGTTGCAAATCAGAGGATTTTATTCTTTTTATGGCTGAATAGTACTCCATTGTGTATACGTACACTTTCTTTATCCACTCATCTGTTGATTGACACTTAGGTTATTTCCAAATCTTGACTATTGGTGAACAGTGCTGCAACAAACATGGGAGTACAGACATCTCTTTGATATACTGATTTCCTTTCTTTTGGGTACATACCCAGCAGAGGAATTGTTGCATTGTATGGTAGCTCAATTTTTAGTTTTTTTGAGGAAACTCCAAAGTGTTCTCCATAGTGGTTGTACTAATTTACATTCCTATCAATGGTGAATGAGGGTTCCCTTTTCTCCACATCCTTGCTACCATTTGGTATTGCCTGTCTTTTGGATGAAAGCCATTTTAGCTGGGGTAAGATTGTATCTCATTGTACTTTCGATTTGCATTTCTCTGATGATCAATGATGTTGAGCACCTTTCAATACACCTGTTTGCTATTTGTATGTCTTCTTTTGAGAAATGTCTATTTAAATCTTTTGCCCATTTTTAAATCAGATTATTAGATTTTTTTCCTTTAGAGTTCTTTGAGCTCCTTATGTAGTCTGGTTATTAATCCCTTGTCATATGGGTAATTTGCAAATATTTTCTCCCATTCAGTGGGTTGTCTCTTCACTTTGTTGATTGTTTCCTTTGCTGTGCAGAAGCTTTTTAATTTGATATGATCCCATTTGTCCATTTTTCCTTTGGCTGTCTGTGCTTGTGGGGTATTACTCAAGAAATCTTTGCCCAGACCAATGTCCTGGAGAGTTTTCCAGAGGTTTTCACAACGAAGTTTCATAATTTGAGGTCTTAGATTTAAGTTTTTAATCCATTTTTATTTGATTTTTATATATGGTGAGAGATAGGAGTCTAGTTTAATTCTTCTACAGATGGATATCCAGTTTTCCTAGAACCATTTATTGAACAGATCATCTTTGCCCCAGTGTAAGCTCTTGGGACCTTTGTCAAAAATGAGTTCACTGTAGGTCTGTGGATTTGTTTTTGGGTTCTCTCTTCTATTTCATTCATCTATGTGTCAGTTTTTATGCCAGTACCACGCTGTTTTGGCTAGTATAGCTCTGTAGTGAAGTTTGAAGTCAGGTAGTGTGATTCCTCGTGTTTTGTTCTTTTTGCTCAGGATGTGGTTCCATATAAATTTTAGGATTGTTATTTCTATTTATGTGAAGAATGTCACTGGTATTTTGGTAAGGATTGCATTGAATCTGTAGATTGCTTTGGGTAATACGGACTTTTTAACAATATTGAATTTTTGGTGTCCTCTTCAATTTCTTTCATCAGTGTTTTATAGTTTTCATTATAGAGATGTTTTACTCCTTTGGTTAAGTTTATTCCTAGGCATTTTATTTTATGTGTGGCTCTTGTAAATGGGATTTTTTTGTATTTTTTTCAGATTGTTTCCTGTTGGCATACAGAAATGCTACAGATTTTTGTGTGTTGATTTTTTATCCTGCAACTTTACTGAGTTTGTTTATCAGCTCTAATAGTTTTCTTGTGGAGTCTTCAGGTTTTTCCAAATATAAGATCATATCATCTGCAAACAAGGATAACCTGACTTCTTCCTTTGCAATTTGGATGTCCTTTATTTGTTTCTCTTGTCCAATCGCTGTAGCTAGAACTTCCAGTACTATGTTGAATAACAGTGGTGAAAGTGGACATGGCATCCTTGTCTTGTTCCAGTTCTTACAGGAAAGGCTTTCAGTTTTTTCCCCATTCAGTAGGATACTAGCTGTAGGTCTGTTGTATATGGCTTTTATTATGTTGAGGTGTGCTCCTTCTATACCCAGTTTTTTGTAGGGCTTTTAACATGAAGGGATGTTTAATTTTATTAAATGCTTTTTCAACATCAATTGAAATGATCACATGGTTTTGTGTTTCATTCTATTAATATGATGTTTCATAATGATTGATTTGTGTATGTCGAACCATTTTTGCACCCCTGGGATAAATCCCACTTGGACATGATGAATGGATCTTTTTAATGTATCGTTGAATATGGTTTGCTAGTATTTTGTTAAAGTTTATTTGTATCAATATTCATCAAAGATATTGGCTTGTAGTTTTCTTTTTTTTTTTTTCTGATGTGTCTTTTGTCTGGTTTTGATACCAAGGTAACACTGACTTTGTAGAATGAGTTTGGAAGTAGTCCCCCCTCTACTTTTGGAATAGTTTCCGTAGGATTTGTATGATGAGGTTTCACCATTATTGGCCAGGCTGGTCTTGAACTCCTGACCTCAAGTGATCTGCCTGCCTCAGCCTCCCAAAGTGCTGGGATTACAGGCATGAGCAACCACGCCCGGCCCTCCTGCTTGGATTTTGATTGTGATTGCATTTAATCTGAAGATCACTTGGGAAAGGAGAACTGACATCTTAACAATATGGTATTAAGTCTCCTCAAAAATATCCATAAATAATGACATATTTCTATATTCATTTGTTTTATTCTATTTACTTTGGGTTTAATATCCTTTTATTCTCTAGCTTTTGTACATAAAAATTTAGATAATCGATGTTAGACCTCTCTTTTTTTCTAATATAAGCATTTAAAATTACAAATTTCTCCCTAAACACCATTTTAACAGCATCTCCAAAATTTGATATGCTATCGTTGAGTTTGAAATATTTCTATTTTGTCTGTAATTTATTTATTTAACCTATGGGTTATTTACAATATTTGTGGCTTTTTCTAGATATTTAATGTTTCTGTTTTTTAATTAAGTACATTTTTGGTATTCAGAGAACATACTCTGTAAGTCCTATTCAAGTGAGTCCAGATAGCATGAAAGCGCACTCTGGTTACAGAGGAAAAAAGCTTTCATGATTAACTTGAATTTAAAACGTTAAGCTAACAAAATAAGTTATCTTTTCCTATTTGTTCCTTTGAAGTGGTAAGCCCTACTATTGGCTGAAACATTATTCTGGATGTTTCTGTGAGGGTGTTTTCTGGATGAGATTAACATTTAAATTTGTGGACTTTGAGTAAAGCAGATTGCTCTGTATAATGTGCGCAGGCCTCATCCAATCAGCTGAAGGCCTTAATAGAACTAAAGACTGACCTCTCCTGAGCAAGAGGGGATTCTGCTGGCAAACAGCCTTCAGACTGGCACTGCAACATCAACACTCCTTGGGTCTGCAGGCTGCCTGCCTACCCTGCAGATTTTGGGCTTGTCAGTCTCCATAATTGCATGAATCTATTCCATGAGCCTATGCACACACACACACCCTATTGGTTTTATTTCTCTGCAGAACCTTGACTAATTCAGACATCTAGTTGTGAAAACCATAGACAAGAGAGCCCCTCTGCCCCCTTCCCCTAATACTCCAAATGGCTTCAGTGGCCACCTTTTAAAAATATTTGTTTTAAATATTCATATTTTAAAAATTGTAAACATTGCATTTCAAATTGTGTCAGTATCCTGCACACTTTGAGTTACCCATGGGTACTAACTCACTCAGCATCTATTTTCTTACATAGTTGATAATCACCAGGAGCTGCTAAGAAGCCCAGGTATAAATCCCACAGGAACTGGTTAATAACTGAGCCAAATGGGCATGGAGGAGACAACACAGGCAGATGATCTGTTGTGTAACCATAGACAAGCATCAGATTTCTCATGTGTTAAATGTAGAAAAGAATCTTTACCTTATAGGCTGATGAGGGGTTACATGGGATAGTGCACTGGCTTACGCACCTAGCCTATGCTTGGCACATAGCAGAAAACCACCAAAGCTGAGGTTTTTCAGAGGTCTCTAGATGGCAAATACCATGTCCTCATGGGTATCCTTCCCACCTACCCATCCACTCAAAACTGACACAGATCAGTGGACATACAATCAATTATTGTGATCGCCTTTCATTGAGTTCCATAGGTGTAAGGACCTATCATTTGTCAAATTTCATTACCCAGGGATAAACATGTTTGACAGGGTAGTACATATTTTTATGTATCTGGTATTATTTTCATATTATTTTATATTCTTTTTACCATGAACAATGTATCTTGGCAATATTTTACATTAGACATGTTAGATATACCTGATCTTTTTAAATGGCTACATAATATTCTATTATATGGTTAACTACATTTTATTGGCTATAGATGAACATTTTGGTTGTTTTTAGTTTTTCTTTTTCCTTTTTTAAAGTAAGCTTGCTTTTCACCAACAAAGCTCGTGCAAAGATCAGGTACTCAATATATTTTTGCCACCTTATACCACTGTATTTTAGGATCTTCCCTATTAGTTCCTTAGGTAAATCCTTAGATGTGCTAGATTTGCTTTCAGAATTATAACATCATTTTCTACCCCCAATAACAGTATAGAGAACTTCCTATTCATCCACACCCACATAAAACTTGTATTTTCATATTCATACATTCTAATTTTTCAATACATTTTCTTGCCTTATCAGTAAGTTAATCTTTCTTTTATTATTTATTCTTAGCTTATTATTGTTTCAAATTTTTAACATCTAAATGTTTAATTCATTCAGATGTCTTTTTAGGATCGGGAAAATTTATATTATCCTAAAGTATTAACCAATTATCTCGACAGCATGTCTTTACTGCTAAATTGTGAGCTGTAACACATCTATTAAAAAATGCAGTAATCATAAATAAATAATTATAAAACAAACATCCAGGTAACATATAACCAAACTCAGGTCAAGAAATAGAACTTTGCAAGCACCTGTAACCCATCAGGTGATTTTTTTTACTAATTACAAAATACTACCTTCTTCCCAGAGGTAACCGTTATCCTAACTTTTACAGTCATTATTTCCTTGTTGTTCTTTAGAGTTTTACCACCTATAAATGCCCTTCCAACCATTTATTTTTGCCTGCAGTTTAACTTTAAGTAAATTTAATCATACTGTTTTTATTTATTTAGTCTTTATAGTACTCAAATTATGTGAGTTATGCCCATCCATGTTTTTATGTATAGATCTAGTTCATTCTCATTGCCATTTACTGTATCATTTCATGAATATAACATATTTATTCATTCTCATCTTTATGGATATTATTTTCAAATTTTTGGTTATTTACAAATAATGTTTCCATTAACATTCATATACATCTCTAATGGGTATTTATTAGAAGTTGGATTGCTGGGTTATAGGTATCCGTATCTTCACTTTTAATAGATAATGCCAAAATGCTTTCCAAAGTGATTGCATCATTTATACTCTCAACAGAACATTTTTTTCTGGATACTAGTTTTTTGTCAGTTATATCTGAAATATATTCAAAAGTAGTTTAGAAAAATAAAACAAAACCTGACTGTATCCACCTTTATGCTGTAACAATTTTCAATTTATGGTCAACCTGTTTTTATTCCCACCCACTTCTTTCCTACCATATTATTTCAAAGCAAATTCCAAATAGCATATATTTTCATCTGTTGATGTATCAGTATGTATATCTAAAAGATAAGCCCTTTTTAAATTTAGCCACAATATCATTATTACACCTAAAAATAACTCCTTAATATCAAATATCTATTCAGTGTTCAAATTTTCACTTGTTCCATAAATTATCATGGTTTCTTTTGTTACATTTGTTTCAGTTAGGATCTAACACACATTACCCTTGCTTGATATGTCTCTTAATTCTCTTTTAATCCAAAGGTTTCCCATTCATTTTTATAAAATATGCTTTTATTGTGGTAAAATATACACAACTTAAAATTTACCATTTTAACCATGTTTAAGTGTATGGTTCAATGGCATTAAGTACACTCAAATTGTTGTGCAACCATCACTACTGTTCATCTCCAGAACTTTTTCATCTTCCCAAACTGAAACTTTGTGCCCGTTAAATAGTAACTCCCCATTTTTTTGCTTCCCCTAGCCTCTGGCAACTGCTGTTCTACTTTCTGTCTCTATGAATTTGACTACTCTAGGTACCTCATATAAGTGGAAACGTAAAATATCAATCCTTTTCTGCCTGGCTTATTTCACTTAACATAATGTCTTCAAGGTTTGTCGATGTTGTAGCATGTATCAGAATTTACTTTCTTTTTAAGGCTGTATAATATCCCATTGTATGTATATACCATGCTTTATTTATTCATTCATCTGTCCATGGACATTTCTTGCTCTGAAATCTACTGTGCTGATATTAATCTAACCATTCCATCTTTCTTATGATTTGTGTTTCCATACTATTTCTTTTTTCATTCTTTTACTATTAACCAATGTGTGTCTGTAAATGTGTTTCTGCATAAAACCAAATACCACACATTCTTGCTTATAAGTAGGAGCTAAACATTGAATACATATGAACACAAAGAAAGGAACAACAGACACCAGGGCCTACTTGAGGGTGGAGGGTGGCAGGAGAGTGAGGATAGAAAAAACTACCTATTGGGTACTATGCTTATTAACCTGGGTGACAAAACAATCTATACACCAAACCCCCATGACATGCAATTTACCTATATAAAAAGCCTGTATGTGGCTGGGTGCGGTGGCTCACGCCTGTAATCCCAGCACTTTGGGAGGCCGAGGCAGGCGGATCATGAGGTCAAGAGATAGAGACCATCCTGGCTAACACGGTGAAGCCCCGTCTCTACTAAAAATACAAAAAATTAGCTGGGCGTGGTGGCGGGAGCCTGTAGTCCCAGCTACTCGAGGGGCTGAGGCAGGAGAATGGCGTGAACCCGGGAGGCGGAGCTTGCAGTGAGCTGAGATCGTGCCACTGCACTCCAGCCTGGGCAACAGAGCGAGACTCCGTCTCAAAACAAAAAACAAAAAACAAACAAAAAAAAAAAACCTGTATGTATACTCATGAACCTAAAATAAAAGTTAAAAAAAGAAAAGAAAAGAAAAGCCTGTTTCTTATAAAAAGCAAACAAGTGGTTTGGCATTTTTACCCAATCTGTCAATCTCTCTGTTTTAGTCAGTGTTCCTCAGAAAGACAGAACTGGTAGAATACATAAAGAAATATATGAAAAGGGATTTATTAGGGGAATTGGCTCACTTAATTATGGAGGCTGAGAAGTCCTACAATAGTCTGTCTGCAAGCCGGAGAGTGAGGAAGGCTGATAGTGTGGCTCAATCCAATTCCAAAGACCTCAGAACCATGGAATCCAATGGTGTAATTATCAGTCTGAGGCCAAAGGTCTGAGAGCCCCAGGTTGGGTGTATGGTGAGGGTTGTGGGGGGTGGCTGCTGGTGTAGTTCCTGGAGTTCAAAGGCCAGAGAACCTGGAGTTATGATGTCCATGGGCAGCAGAAGAAGATTTTCCTAACTCCAGTAGAGAAATGGTGAAAATTCACCTTTCCTCCACCTTTTTGTTCCATTGGTCCTTCAGCCGGTTAGATGGTGCCCACTCACATTGAGGCTGCCCTCTTCCCCCACTCAATCCACCAATTCACATGTAAATCTCCTCTGGAAATACCCTCACAGACACACCTGAGGAAGCCCAATCATTTTAATCGAAAGCAAAATCACCTAGGTTTCCCTTTGAGCAGAAGAGAGACTGGCTCAGTGCCCACTGAAGCACTGAGAATAAATAATGCTTTAACAGCTATCTGAGTAACCCTTAATCTAGTCAAGCTGACACCCAAAGTCAACCACTACACTCTTCTTTTTTAGCGGGCATGCTTAGGCAATTAATGTTTGATGTAATGATTAATACAATTGGATTTAAAACTAGTATTTTGCTATTTGCTTGCAGATGTCCCATCTTATTATTGTTCCTTTTTACCCTTTTTTCATGCCTTATTAAAAATTAATTGAGATGTGAGGAGCTAGATGTCAGCAAAATGGCAGAACAGGACTTTCCTGCACTCATCCTCCCACAGAAACATAATCTGAACAACTATCTGGGCACAAAAATAATTTCGCAAGAGCTAAGGAAACCAGTTGGCAGATTACAGCACCTGGGTATAGAACAGAAATAAGAAAAAAACACATTGAAAAGGATAGGAAGGAAAGTTTTACATTACCCACATCACCCCTTCCTGAACCCCAGGCTGCACAGCTTGGAGGTACCATCCACTTGGGGGAAGGAGAAGGAAGTGAACACCAGACTTTTTCTTGGATCCCAACACTAGGCCCATCCCAGTAATACCCAGCACTGGACCCGCCCCCATGGTCCCAGACTCTAGGCCAGTACCTGCAGACTGAGCCTCCAGGCCTGCTTTAGCACTAGTCTGGATCCCACAGCCCCAGGCTCCAGGCCTGCTCTAAAAACTCAGTGTCTAGGCCTGCCCCACTGCCAAACTGACCCCCTGGGCTGCAGGCTTCAGCTTCACCCACCTCCCCCATCCCTGGTGCCAGACCTGCCCCCACATATTTAGGCTTCAGGCTGCCTTGGTACTTGTCAGTCATGTATTAAATGTTTTACACATATTAAATATGTAATTTAGTCCTGAAAACTCTGTGAGATACTTCAAACTATTAGCCTCATTTTATAGATGAAGCACAGAGAAGTTGCAGTATCCAAGTTTTACATTCAAGTTTATACAAAAGCTAAGTAAGTACAATTAATTCAAACTAGGATTTGTCCAATGCCATTCTTCTTACTAATATGCAAAGTCTTCAACACCCGAATCCTTCAGCCATTTTATAACTCTGAGTCTAACCATCTGCATGAAAAGCTGTTCACAGAGGATTCAGGAATTTTTCTCCCCACAAACGAATTTTTTGCCTCTATCACAACTAGTCATTCCTTAATAACTGTGACAATGATGCTCTACTGTTTTTAAGACTTTTTTCTGACCACTGAACTTTTTTCTGGAGTCATTTATATCAAACTGATTAGTGGTAACTTTATATTCATAATGAGCTGCAATCTTCCTAAAAACAACTTATGAGAAGTTTACACATCTCCCTTTCTATTGCATATATTTCAAGCTAACAAATCAAGAGCAAATCTACTTAGACAAGTACCCAAATCCTTAGCAACAAAAAGTTTAGTGTGTTGGGTGGCTAAATGTGACTAATTTTTGTTAGTACTACAAGTAGCTTTCAATACATCAGTATGGCTAAATAAGGTCATGGAAAACATAAATAGGATGGAGATGTCTAGGGAAAATGAAAAACTATTCTTTTCTGAATGAGAGTGTTGAAAAAAGTTGGGATATTAGGGGTACAGTATTGAAGAAAAAAGGGTTATGTGTATGGTATAAACTGGAAGAAAGAGGGCATGATACTGAGCTCAAACTAGTTAAAATTTGTGACTTACAGTTGCGATCTGGAAATCTAAGGGCAAGGTGCTGTAGGATTATGGTCTCAGTGACTCACCTAATGGAAGGACCTCACATGCCCGGGAGCCCCTCAAAAGAGTAGGTTCCAACTGACCTGTACATCTTAAACTTCAAAAAATATGTCTGCCTAAAGGGTCTATATTTATATTATGACTTCAGCAGCAGAAACAGGTGGCTGGCCTTTTTATCCTCCTATCTGGAATCTTTTTCCAAATGTACATATCTTTATCATATTTCTGATTATTAAAAGTATATAATAAGTTTATGGAAAAATTGGAAAAGAATAAGAAATTATCAAAACAAAAGTAAGAAGCACAATCCAAATCATTACCTCCTTTCCTAATTCACCCCATTCCCTCCAATCTGGTTTCAAGGATTGGACTCCAAGGGAAATGATGGCTATTAGTGGCTGAGAGGCGATTGGATGGAGGAGACTGCCACTTTTCTTTTCTTGTAGCTTAGAAAAGGATAAGTAATCCTCCCTCTCAGCACAACCACAAAAAAAGTAACAATGGTTAATATAACTTTGGGAAAATGCAGCCCCTCCCTGGTAATCAGAGAAAGGCAAATTCTGACCACAGGGAGAAGGCGCCACTTTTGACCTCTGGAATTAGCAAAGACAAAAATGAGTGACAGGGCCTGGTGTGGTGTGGGGTGGGAGGTTGGTAAGCCGGTCCACTTCTGCAGCGCTGCTGGTGGGAGGGGAAAGTGGGGACCAGAGATGGGGGATGACATAATCCTCACGTGATCAGGAGCTGACGTGAACCGAAGTCCTTATATTCCCGGGCTTCTTTCTCCTCTGGGTACCAGCTCCTTACTGCCCTGCAGACAAGCGTGCCGTGCGTGCTTGTGGCCAAGGGAAGGAAGAGGTAAATTCCTTAAATCCCAGCAGGTTGGAGTGAAGGAACCACTGGACCCCCGGGGTCAGTAGTGGGTGAATCTAATGACTGGAATAGGTCCAGACTTGCTTTCCCAAAACCGCTGCAAAATCGTCGGAGATAATTGTATCTTTTGCAGGGGGAAGCAAGGGGGTAGGTCGAAATCTTTTGAGAGACACCTAGAGATTTAGTGACAGCTTTGAAATAATCGGCTTCTCTCACCCTGGCATGCTTTCTTTTTATCCTTCTCCTCATCTTTCTCCAATTTTGTTAAGAGAAAATTTTAGGCCTGGGGTATGTGTTGGTGTGTGGAGAAAGGCTGAAATCCCGGGATGGAGACAACAGAAATTTAGAGATCATTTGAAAATAGTTCACCTCACTCAATGCCGGCCTGTGGTGGTGGGGTGGGGCGCGGGACGGGGCGAAGGAGGGAGACGCGGGCCTTGCAAGGCCCAGGCCTGAGGGTGAGGAGTGGGGAGTGGAAACGGAAATCCTGAAGGAAAGGATACAGACAGGAAGGAGGGGCCAGGAGGTAGAAATCCGGGGGGCGATGACGGTGATGATGAGAATCCCAGGTTCAAAATAATAACGTCTGTCTTGTCTCTGGAGCTGGTTGATCCACAGATAGCTCCTTCCTCCCCGCCCCTTCCTTTTTGTTTGGAGGTCCCAGGATCTGTGTTCACAGACATCTGGGGGAAGAAAAGGAGCAGGAAACTACCCCGCACAGGTCAGTATGAGAGAGGCACTTAGACTGAGATCTCTGAGGATAGGAGTCGGGAAGGGGCAAAAGCTAGGCGAAATTTGCGGCTTCGCAGTCCATCTCCTTTTCTGCTCCGCCTCTCCTGCCTATTGGAGAGGCCATTAGCTTTGTCTGCTGGGGAAACGGTGGGTTCCTGAGGTGGGAGGGGAGAAAAGGGGGAGATGAGAGGGTGGAGGGAACTGCCGCAGACTTATGAGGTCTGGACCTGTGGGGCAGAGATGGGAAAGTATCTTGCCTCAGAGAGAAACTGACAATCGTGATTCAAAAGTAATGAAGCAATTTGTCTTTACATTTTCTCCCTAGAGTTAAGCAGGAAACAACAACAACATCATGCAAAAACCCTGCAAAGAAAACGAAGGAAAGCCAAAGTGCAGCGTGCCAAAGAGGGAGGAAAAACGCCCGTATGGAGAATTTGAACGCCAGCAAACAGAAGGGAATTTTAGACAGAGGCTGCTTCAGTCTCTCGAAGAATTTAAAGAGGACATAGACTATAGGCATTTTAAAGATGAAGAAATGACAAGGGAGGGAGATGAGATGGAAAGGTGTTTGGAAGAGATAAGGGGTCTGAGAAAGAAATTTAGGGCTCTGCATTCTAACCATAGGCATTCTCGGGACCGTCCTTATCCCATTTAATTAATTTCTCTGACAATTCAATTATTTTCTGTTATTAATGTTGCCACTGCTTTCTGTTTGTCTGCACTTTCTTGATAAATATTTGCTATCGTTTTACTCCAGTCATTCGATGTTGCTGAGATTTACATATGACTCTTGTCAACATCTCATCTTTTGACCCAATCTTATTCATTTAATAAGAGGTCTCATTCATTTGCATGGAAAAATGCTCATTGTATATTGCAAAGTGAAAATAACGAGTTGCAAAACAGTGTATACATATATGTGTGTATATATGTACACTTTATTTGTACATTTCTATGTGACATAATGCAAAGGAAAGTGTCTGATTTTATTATACACCAAAGGTTAACAGTGAATCTCTGTGTGATCTCTTTTTTTTTCTTTTTGCCTATCTGCATCTTCTCACTTGCCAAAAAATGAATATATGTTTATGTGTGTATATTACTTGTGTCACAAAAAACCCTAAAGTAGACAGTAAAAGAACTTGTCAATCGCCTTTGGAAGGCAATGAAACACTTAATAAACTCTCAATAACAGAAGCGTAAAAATGAAATGTAAACCTCCAATTACCTCTGGATCTCTTAGCCAGAGTAATAAACTGGTAATTATTACAGATACACACGTTTAAGACTCAGTCTTTTCATAGGGAAAATATTTGCCTCACAGGGCTGCTGTGGGAAGGAAATGAGGCAGTAACCAGCTGTGCTCAGTGGGATCTTGTTCCCCACTGTGCATACAGAATCCCAACCCACTATAGAATACACCAATAACTTCAGAGAGGGCCTGGCATGATTCAACTTGTACTCCGGAACAAGTCCAGTAGGCAGAGGTGGGGGCTTCCCTATCAGTCCTCTGTTATTGAGCCCTGTCTCCTCCCCTGGGTCCTGCCACACCTGCCCAACACTGCTGCCTCTTCTGCTGGGCCCTGTGCTCTCTGCTGGCCCCACTGCTGCTGATGCACTGCAGTCATTCAGGGCCAAAACCCAACCGAATTCCCTGGAGTCGTCAGTGGGTTGAACTCTGACTCTTGTCGTCTAAAGCTTCCTGTGCTTTATAGTGACATTTAACACAGGTGGGACTTCTCTAGGGTTGCTTGGGCCACAATGTCTTTCAGAGCCCTTAGTAAAACAGCCCCATCTGTTTTCAATCACAAGACCCTTCCTCTCCATAGGAGTCAGATGTGATGAGTCCACTTGGGATTTGGACTAGGGTATAAATTTAAGTCAAAGGCATCATGCTGTATTCAGAGTTGCTGCTCTAAGTCTAAGGAATGAGGCTTTGTCCTCTTGTGAGATAATCTCTTCCTGAAGGCTCCTGGCAGGCCTGACTTAGTGTGTTCAGAATAGTCTTGGGAGATGTGTAAATTGCACAATGTGATATAGGAAACAAATCTAAAACCAAATCCCTGCTTTTCATTTTTTCTCCCTGGAAACATGCAAAAATGCTTCATAAGACTAAGATGTGTGTGTGTGTGTGTGTGTGTGTGTGTGTGTATACATGCACATAAATGTGTATGTGCATATACATATATAAATATATATGTGCATATACATATATAAATATATATGCTATGTAAGACATGTATACTAATACATATATATTAAGCTTAATATATATGCTTTGTAAGACTAATATATAAGCATATATATAGTCTTAATATATATTAGTATATATAATATATAAATGTCTATATTACATATTATATGTAAGTATATATAATATATAAATGTCTACATTACATATATAAGTATATATATTAATATGTAGTCTTAATATACATTAGTATATATATATTAGTCTTACAAAGCATATATATGTAAATGTATAGAAATGTAAGCATTATTTCTAAACAGGATTTTTTACATTTTGCATCTCAAAGTAAAGACGACATCATATCTTTTATTATACTTCTATTAATCTATTAATCTTATTAACATACAGTGGGCATTTAATAAATTAACATACAGTGGGTATTTAATAAATGTGTACTTAGAATTATAGTGCCCAGTTTTACTTCTGATTACATTAAGTTGGTAATAACTCCTCTAGAAACTATATTTTTAAAAGGAGCCCAGTAAGAAAGGGATTATTCCCCAAATTCAGCCTATAAAATTATTCAAATGTTAAATAGCTGGCCCCTCTCAAAAAGTCATCTCCTTACATTATAATCATCTGGAGTGCTTCTAAAATGCAAATTTCTAGCCAGGCATGCTGGTGCACACCTGTAGTCCCAGCTACTGGGGAGGCTGAGGCAGAAGGATCACTTGAGCCCAGGAGTTTGAGGCTGTAGTGTGCGATGATCATGCCTGTGAATAGCCACTGCATGTCAGCCTGGGCAACATAGCAACACCTCATCTTTTAAACAAAAATGTAAAATTCTAACACATATCTCTCCATATACACACATACACGTGCAAACACACTGAGATAAAATCTCTGTGCATTTGGCCCTGGAATCTTCATTTTGGGATTCCCATGAAATCATGGTCTCCACTACTTCCTGATAAACATCATAGACTTTGTTTCATCTGGGCTGTACAGAGGGAGTCTTCTTATAATCAAAGACCGTACTGGTTAATAGTTGATAATTAGGGGCTCCTAAAAAGTAAAATGGGGGTATCATACCATAAAAATTCTGCAGAGGACATAAGTAGGGTACCCATATAAATAGGATACCCAAATAAATCTATTTGGAGAATAAACATTATTTAGCTTTCCTAGGAGGCAATAAGACAATTCTAAAAAGAAACAATAAAAATGACAAGATATTACTACCAAATAGGCAAACAAATGTTTACTTATGATAATTTTATTGCAGATGTAGGCATTTTCATACTGAATGAGAGAGTAAATAATGGCATCCATTTTTGTGCTTCTATTCACAATAAGTTGAAATGCTGTCTATTTTTCATATTCTAGGACCTAACTTCTATTGCTTTGAATTTGTCCTAAGAAAGTAATCATAGTTATGAGCAAATGTATAGCTATATGCATATTTGCTTAAGGCTTTTGTGTATTTGCAAAAAAAATTAACCTAAGAATTGAGCGTTATGGACTATTCAATCAAAAGAAAAATGAACATAGATTCCTACTCCCCGCATACACAAAAATGTATCCAAAGTGGATTAAATAAAAAAGTCTGAGAAACAAAAATGAAATAGCACAATAAAAATCAAGAAAACAATTTTTATAATCTCGTGATAGTGATTATCTTCTTAAGCAAAAAGAAACCCGAAGGTTATAAAGGAAAAAATATAAAAGGTACAAGGAGAAGAAATAGGCTGAGAAGAAATATTTGTAATACCACGACAGATAATGGGAAAATATCCCTAATATCCCAATAGCTTTTAGAAATGGAAAAGAAAAAGATAAACCAGTAAAATATGTGCAAACTATACAACCTAGCACTTCCATTACATTGAATTACTGTAGAGATATATTTACAGATATGCACGGGAAAGCAAAAATGATGTTTACTGTGGCATTGTTTGTAAGAGCCAAAATATTAAAAACAGACTAAGGTATCAATCGGAAAATAGTCAAACTGTGGTTCATCCATACCAAGAAAAACTACACAATAGTTAAAAAGAATGACATTCGTATATTGAAGCATCTCCAGGAATATTGCTGAATAAAGGCAATAAGACAGTTGATTCTCTATGATAGCCTTTAGTGAAAATGCAAAACAGAGATATATAAATTTCTGAATGGATATCCATCAAACTGGTTAAGTATTTAATTGTAAAGAAGAGATCCAAACTGGAAGTGTGTTTAAATCAGTATATTAGGATGGACTAGACTATGCTTAGTTAATTTTTTAAAAATGCAATCTGTATTTTAAAAACAGTTGATTATTCTTTCATGTCATAATTTCAGTGAGGGTTATTGTCTCTCATGCATGGCTCTGCTCTATTGCTTTTTTGGGTATCTAACCTGCATTTGTCCTGTAGTCTGGTATTCCAGATGGCATACATGGTTTCCAAAGTTACCAGAAGGATAGCAGAAGGATCACCTGGGGTTGTTTATAAGCCTTAGAAGTGTCTTATGTTACATTCTATAGCTGCAACATATGTGCAAGGGAGGCTAGGAAATGTAAAAGAACACATACTTTTTGACCAAGCAACCTTACTTTCAGGCATCTCATCTATAAAAAGAAAAGTATGTGTACAAGCATGTTCATTGCAGGCAGCATTGCTTTTAGTGGCAAAACATACAAATAATTTCATGTTAATTAATGGGGAATTGATTGAATAATTTAAGGTACATTTATATCATAGAAGGTAGATTCATTTGCATATGTATTTACTGACCTCTGCCAAGTCTTACAAGACTTCCAAGCTGAAATAAAGGGATACAAGATATGTAAGCCAAAGTCATATGAGAAAATAAAGAACAACAGTAAGGTAGCTACACAGGAAAATATAAAAGCAAGTAGTATGGCATATATGGCTTATAACTCCTCTTTTTTTCCTATATGATTTAAAAGACAAATGCATAAAACAATAATTATAAAACTATGTTAATATGCACACTTGGTAAAAATATATTATTTGTAACAATAACAACATAAAGGGGGGATGGAGCTATAAAAAATAGAGTTCTTGTGTTGAAAATAAATTGGTATTGTTATATAAAAGAAAAATGTGCTACGAAGATGTTAATTGTGTTCCCCAGAGGAACCAATAAAGAAAAAAACTTAAAAATATGCAAAAAAGAAATAACAGAATCAAACAAGTACACAAGAAAAAAATTCAATTAACCACAGAAAAGTGCAGTAATGGGGAATTGAACCAAAAAGGTGCAGATACATAGAAAACAAATAGCAAAAAGGCAGAAGTAAATCCTTCCCTGTCAATAATTACTTTAAGTGTAAATGAATTAATGTTTTAAAAGTACCCAGGATTTGTTTTAATCAAATATGGTAAGATATACTGACACAAAAATGACTGTCATGAAGAAAGACTTTTTATAATCACAGATACCTAGAAACAGAAAGTATACCATAACACACAGGGCCACATGAGGAAGCACCAGAGTCAGTCATGGGCAGAGCAAGTGAAGAAAAAAAAAAATGAGGGCAAGAGGCTTTATTGTTTTTTTGTTTTGTTTTGCTTTTGTGTGTGTGTGTGTGTGTGTGTGTGTGTGTGTGAAGAAACAAGTGTGGCAGCATAGGTAGGTTTGGAATTGGCTAATTCGAACCATTTCAATGGCTCAGGGATAAAAGGCTGTTTCTAGCTGTCTGTTACCTGGCCCTATTGTGATTAGTGCTGATAATTAGTGTGATATTAGTGAGAGCCTGATAAAGGAGATATTTGGTGGTATGGGTTCTGGATTGGTTGGTTTGCAAATGAAAGGGGTGCTCACAGCTGAGTTGTTTGCTATAGCTAGGAATTAGCTAACCCTGGGAGGAGCAGTCCCTTTAGGGTCAACAAGTCCCAGATATCACAGTTATCAAATACAGAAACTAGAAAACGTGGTTATTAGAACTAAACTCTCCAATTAGAAGGCAGATAGGCAGAACAGAATTTGAAAAAGCATGATCCAACTCTACACTGTCTAAAACCGACTCTTTTTAGATTCAAAGACCAAATTGTTTGACAGTGAAAGAATGAGAAAAGATATTCCATGTAAATAAAAACCAAAAGAGAGCTGAAGTGGCTATGCTAATACCAGGCAAAATGGACTTTAAATAAAAATTGTTATAGAGATAAAGAAGAACATTATACATTGATAAAGTGTCAATCCATCAAGAGGATATTATAATTTTAAGCATATATGCGCCTAATAACAGAGCCCCAAATTACACGAAACAAAAACTGACAAATTGAAAGGAGAAATGGATGGTTATACAATAATAGTCGGAAATTTCAATATCTTATTCTCTTTTTTATGCTTTTTTTCTTGCTTCAAGTGGGGTTAGATTAATATCCTATTCTCAACAACAGAACAACTAGATAGACATTCAATAAGGAAATAGAGGACTTGAACAACACTATAAACCAACTAGTCCTAACAGGCATATGTAAAACGTCCCACCTAATGACAGAAAAATACACATTCTTCTTAAGGGCAGATGGAACATTATCTAGGATATGGACCATATTGAAGCCACAAAACAAAATTCAATAAATTTAAACACAATAAAATCACACAAGGCATTTTCTCCAACCAAAATGGAATGAAACATGAAGTCAATAACAGACAGAAAACTGGAATTCCACATATGTGAATGGCTCAAAGAAGAAATTGTAAGAGTAGAAAATACTCTGAGATGACGTAAAATTGAAACACAACTTATCAAAACTTATAGGATGTAGCAAAGGCAATGCTCAGAGGGAAATTTATAGCTTTAAACACTTACATTTAAAAAGCATAAAGATTCCAAGTCAGCAACCTAACTTTACATCTAAACGAACTACAAAAAGGGGGAAGCTACATATACAGCTATCAGAAGGAAAGAAATAGTAGAAATTAGAACAAAGATAAATAAAATAGAGGGAGTGTCATCAGCAAGATGGCATTATAGAAAGCTCTCCTAACTTGCCAACAAATACACTGTTTCAGCAACAATTCACAAATTTCCTTTGTGATAAATCAGAAGCTAATTGAAATGCTCCTGCACTCTGAGAGAATGCAAAACCAGACTCACATAAGTTGATAGGGAGATTTGGGACACCCTCTTTTAGATACCCTGCCCCCAGCTCAGTGTCATACAGTCAGAAGGAAACCCCCTAACTTCCAGCTTCATCCAGGGGATAAAAAGGGTTGGTTCACATGTCTAGTACCCCTACTTTACCAAGGGGTTCTCCAGAGGACTGGCTCCTGTCTTGCCAGTCTTGGAGCTCTGATTGCTTCAGCATAGTCTAGACACCCAGGAAAGAACAGAGGTGGTGGTTTGGGCTGGTGATTCCATTGATTCTCACCCCTGCTAAGCACAAAACTAGCAGATGAAAACTTCCAGTTTTCAGCTTTCCCCTAGGGAGGGAAACAGGCGACCAGCACATCCAGCACCCCCAATTTCTCTGAAGCTGACCAAAGAAATAGCATTGTATTGCTAGGCCTGGAGCTCTGACAGGTCCAGCACAGTCCAGATGCCCAAAGGAGAATGAAACAGCAGCTTGGACTGAGAGACACCATTGATCCTCCCCCAATCCCACGGCTCAGCACAGAGTGAGAGAACAAAAACTACCGTTGTCTGTTTCCTCATGGGGAGGGAAAGAGTTAGAAGTCTCCAAAATCTCTGGCTAGGCAGATTGGTGAAGGTCTTCTCCTTCATGAGATCAGTCTGTGAAGACTGGGAGAGGTGCCTGCTTTGTCTAATGCTCAGACACCAATATAGTGAGTCAAAACAATTAGATTTTCCAGTGAAAACATATTGATAAATCTTCATAACCTTGTATTTTTTAACGAATTCTTAGAAATGATACCAAAACCATGATAAAGTGAAAAATAGATAAGTTGAACTTTATCAGAATTTAAAACTTTAGTGCACCACAGGAAACCATCAAGAAAGTGAATAGCCAACCTACAGGTTGGAAGAAAACATTTACAAATCATGTATCTGATAAGATAGGTATATTTATATATTTATTTAATTTATAAATTTATATATTCTAGTATCCGGTATACATAAACAACTTCTACAACTCAACAGCAGAATACAATTTAAATATAAATAATGCAATTTAAAAATTGGCAAAGGATTTTTTTTTCTATTTTTATTTTTTTTAGAGATGGGGTTTCGCCATGTTGCCCAGGCTAGTCTTGAACTCCTTAGCTCAAGTGATCCACCCACCTCGGCCTCCGAAAGTGCTAGAATTACAGGCGTGAGTCATCGCACCTGGCCCCAAAATTGGCAAAGGATTTTAATAGACATGTGCGCGCGCACACACACACACACACACACACACACACTCACAGGTAACTTTGATGCAATCTCAAGTGGTCCACAAACATCTCCAGTTGAGAACGCCTGATCTAGGTTAATCAATGTGGTCAGCAGGTGAGAGCTTCTTAAACACTGACCTAAGCCTGGCTGAGGGGCCCCCAGGGAGATGGACTGGCAGGCAGGAACACTGCAGCAAGGATAGGCACCTCCTAGGGCTCTAGAGATGTGGAATTCAGGGGTGAAAGGCTCAGCAGACTGTGCTCCGCAAGTCAGGTGGGATAAAGTAGACAGGGTCCAAGACAGCTTCCACTTGAGC
Source organism: Homo sapiens (assembly GCF_000001405.40). NCBI lineage: Eukaryota > Metazoa > Chordata > Mammalia > Primates > Hominidae > Homo > Homo sapiens. Next base: position 103,339,914 of record NC_000023.11, read on the forward strand.
ACTGTAAATAAGGGCAGAGAACAAGTGTGCCTAGGGTTTGTGTGTTGGCTGTGGGGAGTTGGGGCAGAGAGTGCAGAAGACCTTCCCTGGTAATCAAAGAAAAGGCAAACACCAGTCATAGAGTGGTGATACCACTTGTGGCCCCTTGGATTTAAAGATGGTTAAAAAGCCCAGTGAACTAGGGTAGGTTATATGTGAGGGGATAGTATGATACATGTTCCAGGCCAGGTGCATTCATTTTATTTTAAAAACCTGAAAACTTTTATTATGTATGTAGCCAAACACATTTTGTACTTAGTACAAACTTGGACAATTAAGGTAATGTCATATCTCTACTGAAACAAATGATTTTCTTTAGAAAACATGTATTTTTTTCTTACCTTGAATGCTTGCTTTCACTAAATAAAAAAAGCTTTATTAATTCTTTTATTATCAGAATAAGAGAAGCTGGCAAGAAAATACTAAGACAAAAAACCTTACTTCAATTACACTCATCCCATCTCTACATCCTGCTCTGTATTAATTTCATGCATGTTCAAAGCACAGATGAAATGAATATCAGTGACTATGGAAAAAAGAAGTGGACTTAGGAGGTAGATGTTTGGGGAGCATAAGCAACAAAAAGAAAATTTGTCAGAGAAGATGTGTGAATGGCTGCTAACCCAAAGAAAAACTGTAGCCTCTCTTTGGTAACCAAAGAAAGGGAAATGAATGTCCCGGGGTGAAGGTGCCACTTCTGACCTCTCAGACTGCCCAAGGTAAAAATGTGTAATATGATGGGGAAGAATGAAATGAGAAGGTAGAGATGGTGTGAGTAGAAATTGGTGTCTAGAGACCACATAGCCTGATATGGTTTGGCTGTGTCCTCACCCAAATCTCATCTTGAATTCCCACATGTTAGTTTCTCCTACTCTGAGTTTATCAAACTTCTAGAAATACTCACATCTTTCAGTTGTAGTACATTTATTTATTGTACGTTTCTTCTGAAGAATTTTTGTGTGGTTTGTTTTTATAATTTCTCTTTCTAATTTTGTTCACAGATTGTATTCCTGATTTTCTTTATTCTTTGACCATATTTAGCTTTTGAGCATATTTAGAACACTTGCTTTAAAGTATTTTGTGGTAAGGCTCATATCTGGGACATTTCTATCAGTTTATTTTCTTTCTTTGAGTGAGCTATACTTTTCTTTTTTATATGCATGGTAATTTTTTGTTGAAAAGTGAACCTTTGAATAATATAATGTTTTAATTCTGGAAATTAGATGATCTTTCTTCCTCCAAGGTTGTGTGCGTGTGTGTGTGTGTTTGATTGTTGAAGGCTGTAGTTGTTTATTTAGTGACTTTTCTAAACTATTTTTGCAAATACTGTATTCCTTATTGTTTGCAGAAGTCTCTGTTCCTTTAGCTTGTCTTCAGCCAGTGTTTTGACATATATTTCCTTGAATGCCAGGAGCTGAAAAAACAAAACCAAAAATGAACTAACTAACAAAAAATTAGAACACCTCTCCTAGTCTTTGGGCATTAGCTCTGTACTCTCCAAAACTTATTTACAGATAAACTTAGATCAGTGGTATTTTTTCAGCCTTTCTTCTTTTCCAATATATGCATTTGAGGGCATAGAATTTTTTACTAAGCACAGATATAGCTATATTCCCACAAATTTTCATGTGTTGCATTCTCATTTTCATTCATTTAAAGAGAATGGCACATTTGATTGTCATTTCTTCTTTTATTTACAAATCATTAAGAAGTGTATTGTTTAATTTCCAAACACTTTGAGATTTGTTTATCTATTTGTTATTAATTCTTAGCTTTATTTTTCTGTCATCAGAGAACATATTCTGAATTGTTTCAATACTTTGAAATGTGTTGAGACTTGGTTAATGGCCTAGTATAAGGTCAATTTTAGTAAACACTACATTTGCTCCTGAAAAATATTTATATTCAGCACTTGTAGGTTATGTTCTATGTAACATAATGTCACATTTGTTACTCTTATTGCTTAAATCTTCAATACTTCAACTGATAATTTTTATGATTCTATCAGTTACTTAAGGAGGTATGTTTACATGTCCCACAAAGACTTTACATTTCTCTATTTCTCCGTTTATTTCTAATAGCTTTTGTCTTGTATTTTTGAAGTAATGTTAGTAGAAACATACTGGTTCAGAATTTTCATATCTTTCTGTTAGATTAAATATTTTATTACTATCAAATATATCTCTTTTTCTCTAGAAATATTTCTTGTCTTTAAGTCTACGTTGTTGATTTTTTTCATAGCTACACCAGCTTTCCTTTGATTACTGCATGCATGTATTTATTTTGACTTTCAGCCATTCTCTGTTCTTACATCTAAGTGTGCCTCTTATAAACAGCATATAATTCATAATTTTATCCAATCTTATTTGGAGTGTTCAATTCATTTACATTAATTCTAATTATTGGTATATTTGTGTTTATGTCTCTCATCTTACTATTTGTTTTCTATTTGACTCTCCTGTTTTACATTTCTATTGATTAAATTAGGCCATAAAATCTTAACAGAGTAAAACTACGGACTTCCTAAACTTGCGTTCAAAATTGTGTGCCCATCAGATGTGGTGGATCATACGTGTAATCCCAGCACTTTGGGAAGCTGAGGCAGGAGGATTGCTTGAGCCCAGGAGTTCAAGACCAGCCTGAGCAACATGGCGAGACCCGGTCTCTCCAAAAACAGAAAAAAAAAAATTAGCGGGGCATGATGCTGCAGGCCTGTAGTCCCAGCTACTCAGAAGGCTGAGGTGGGAGGATCTCTTGAGCCTGGGAGGTAGAGACTGCAGTGAGCCATGATTGTGCCACCGCACTCCAGCCTGGGTGACAGAGTGAGACCCTGTCTCAAAAAAAAAATGTGCGCCCGTATATGTATGTGGGTGAGTATACCCATTTGTTCAAGGACGGTTATATACATTTGTTCAAGGTGTATGCATGTGCTGAGGAGAGAGCACATGGCTCTCATTAGTTTCTAAAAGGAGTTTATAACGTTTTTTAACTGCTAGAAAAGAACAGAGTTTGGATTTGGTTTTAATGCCTGGACTCTTAGCAACTGAGCCATATTCCTGCCCTAAATGTTGAAAGTCCCATTTCTTATCAGTCTCTATGTTCTCCTTGGCTGATCTCATCCATTTCTGTAGTTGTTGCTACAGTCCTAGGGATAATGACATTGAATTTTACACCTCTAGCCCATACCCCTTTCTGGCCCTACAGACTTTTATCCATTTCTCCAGTGGAACTCTCTTCCTGGATGTTCTAAGAGTATGTCAGTCTCAACAGGTCCAAAATTAGTTGCCCTGTTAGTCAAGATGAACACTATTTCTCTGCCTCAGACTTCCTGATCGGTGATGCACAAACTGCAGTGCTGTTTCTGGTCACAAGGTGGCCCTTTACTTTACTTTTTAAGTTTATCCCAGTTGTGTTAAAAGAGAAAAATCCACTATTATATCGTAAACAAGTTAGGAGATATTCTTTACTGTACAATACCTATTTATTTTTGAAAATGTTTATGGGTCAAAAATTTTGAAGGAATCTATTGGCACATTTCTCCCTCATGAATTCTGCATTCAGGCAGTAAGTATCTACCTTCTGTTTCCACTGCTGAGAAGTGTCTTAATTTTATATTGGATAGCTTTTCTCTGTGTCCTAGCTTCATAGTTTCGACCATTTCTAGCTTCATAGTTTCAAACCATATCTTCATAGTTTCAACTCCTCCTTAATTTCATATTTCTCATAACCTGGATTTATTGTGACCTCTCAAGTCCTTATGCTAGAGAATTTGCCTTTGCTTTTCTTTTTCAGTTCCCAGCATCAATCACCCGATTATCTCCATTATGCCCAGTTTTATCCAATGTGAGGGAAAACATCATTCCCCTTAGAAAAAACAATGGGATTGGGATTGGGATTTGACACTGCTAAAATTTTAAAAATATACATAATTTAAAAATTATATTTAGGAAAACAAGTGGCTGTCTCCATCTGTTCTAGTCATGGTTTTAATGTATTTATTATTTACTTTATTGAGAGACTGAGAGCACTAATTCTGGAGCCAAACAGTTTTGCTTATATCCTGGTTTTAAAACCTATTAGCTGAACAACTTCAGGTAAACTCTGCATCCATTAGTTTCCTCCTACGTAAAGTGGAGTCATTGATAGTATAGCCCTCACTGGTTTCTTTTGAGGAATTAATTGATTAATACCTGTAAATCACTTAGAACACTGGCTCACACTAAAAGTATGTTATGAGTATTGTTATTATTACCATTATTACCATTATATTCTGCATATTTCAAATTAACATGAATACAGAGGTATTCAGAATTTTTAATGGCAATGTGATTGAAACTGTACAAAAACTTTAAAAATAAAAAAACTGACTTTGAAAAAAAAAAGAACGGAAAAATCACCCTTAATCAAATATTCATTCTGATATGGTGACTTATGTTACACTTTTTCTATTGAATATGCACACATGCATGTATACACCTTACTTTCTTAATTATTAAATTACAGCATCTATAACATACATCATGGATTCAGGAACACTTTTTTGAGAAAAAGTAAACCATCACATAATATCTTCACATCTATTGTATGATGTATCCCAATGTGAGAAATATTGAAAGATTTTTAAAATAGAACCCATATTAGTCTGTTCTCACATTGCTATAAATAAATACCTGACACTGGGTAATTTATAAATAAAGAGGTTTAATTGGCTCACAGTTCTTCAGGCTGTACAGGAAGCATAGCACCTTTCTGCTTCTGGAGAGGCCTCAGGAAACTGTATTACAATCATGGCGAAGGCAAAGGGGGAGTGAGACATCTCAAATGGCCAGAGCAGAAGGAAGTGGGGGAGGTGCCACACACTTTTAAACAATCAGATCTCATGAGAACTCACTATCAGGATGACAACACCAAGGGATATGGTACTAAACTATTCATGAGAAACTGACCCCATGATCCAATTGCTTCCCACCAGGCCCCTCCTCCAACACTGGGGATTACAGTTCGACATGAGATTTGGTGGGGACACAGATCCAAACCATATAGGATCCTAACATAAAATAGGATAATTTACATCTTGTGATATATGTATTGCTAGGCTCTTAGGCATTTTGACGTATTTCCTTGCAATCTTTTTCTATGCATATTTGTACTCAATATTATTGTGCTTCCTCTGTACTACCAGTGGTTCTCCAGTGTTAGTGTGCATTAGAATCTTTCAGGGGAGCATGATAATTGTTTTGGCACCCAGTTAGAAGTTGAGTCATGGAACTTTTGGGGGATGCCAAAGTCTGTCCTGTTAGCAAGAAAGATGACAGGGATTCTGAAACAGGCAGTCTGTGTGACATTCTTTTAAAATCATGCTAAATTATATTCATCTTTTAATCTGGCATGTCATCCTTCCCCTAATAGGCTCCTTAGAAATACAAGTCTTGCCAGGCAGGGTGGCTCACGCCTGTAATCCCAGCACTTTGGAAGACCGAGGCAGGCAGATCACGAGGTCAGGAGTTCGAGACCAGCCTGACCAACATGGTGAAACCCCGTCTCTACTAACAATACAAAAATTAGCTGGGTGTGGTGGCACACACCTGTAATCCCAGCTACTCAGGAGGCTGAGGCAGGAAAATCGCTTGAATCCAGGAGGTAAAGGTTGCATTGAGCCAAGATCGCACCACTGCACTCCAGCCTGGGCGACAGAGCGAGACTCCATCTCAAAAAATATATATAATAAATAAATAAAAATTAAAAATAAATAAATGAAAGAAATACAAGTCTTTGCCTCTAGGGAAATGAGGAGACTTATTTCCTGTTCTTTAGTCAAGAGTAGATCTTGGCAAAGGACTTGAGAGTCCCCACAGAGTAATATTGCCCATATTTAACATGTATTAAACATCCACAATATGTTAGACACTATAATAGATACTACGAGTGTACAGGTGATAAAGACTATACTTGCTATGAGAAAGACACAGTTTTGTAGAAGAGTAATTTCTAATATTTTTAATGAATTTTTTATCTTACCGATTATTTTAAATGCTTTTATGTAGGGAGGAGATCAGTCTTGGGGTGTTACTCAGTTTTGATCTAAGGTGAATATTTCTGTAATTTATATGCTTTGGGGTACATCTGTTGCCCTACTGGGTAGATGTGCCCAGAATTTTTTGTATGAAAAGCTATGAATATCCTGAGAGAGAAGTCACCTCTTGCAAGAGCATGGTAGACATAAAAAGCCAATGTTGTCTCACTACTTTTGGAAATTGCCACTACTAACATAGGTGGCAACTTCCAAAAGTAGTGAATATATAAACAACATCTTTTTATTATAATTAAGGTGATAGGTAGCTAGCTTCAGCTGTTCAAGTCTTCGTTTTATTTTATCCATCATTTACTTTTTTAATGAAGTCTCATATGCTTGTATTGATTCAGTATCCTCCAACCAAATGGAATCATGTCTGAGTCCTCTGGAGAGCAGAGGACCTAAAAGTAAAATAAGAAAGACCCATTTTATGAAGAACGTTGTTAAGATACCAATTACTGAGCCACATTTGTGTGGTACTCATCTTCATAAGGGTAACTATAATCCCAGGGAAATCACTGGGGCTTTGAAATCTTGAGGACTTCAACACACCAACAGCTGTCAGCAGAATGAAAAAGACAAAGGAGAAATAGCAGTAATGTCCAGAAGACATGAAAGTATCCAGAAAAGGGTGACACTTATGTCTTGACTGCCTGAACTTGTTCCTGGGCATGGGTTAGACATGGGTTAGCTTTCCTTGAGCGTTTTCAGGGGTCTGGGGTTCTGAAAGAGTAGGATATAGGGTAGGATCTGAACCAACACAACCCACACATTCAGTTCCTCACCTAATCCACTCAGCAGCCCATGGGGGGCAAATAGTATTCCTTTTTCACAGATAGTAAGGGTGACCCATTAAAGTAATATCATGGTAATATATACTTGGGTTATGTTGCTGAATAAGAAATTCTAAAAATTAACTTGAAATTAATTTTTTGTTTTTCTAACAAGTTTTTATTGAAAGGTAACAGTTTTTAAAGCTGATTGGCACATTGGTTACTTAGGGATACAAGTAATACATACTAATTTTGGAAAAATACAGTTACTAAGGAGAAAAAGTAAAACCATTTGTAATTCTGCAATATAACAGCTTCATTTTAGTATATATACTTTCAGACTCTTAATATGTGTAATACATAACTATACTTGACTTAAAATGAAGCAACAATAATTTTGCACACTGCATTATAACTTGTTTTTTCACTTTAAAATACATAATGAGAATATTTCTATTCAAATATATTAAACACTTCTGCTGACAAAGGATTTGTTGATTTGATCAGAATGTAATATTCAAGTAGAAGCTGGCAATACTAAAAGTTTTGAAGCAACTGAATCAACAAAAGTACACCAAAAAAGGCAAAAAAAAAAAAAAACCCAGAAAGCAGAGTTGAGAAGTATTAACCTCAGAGAAAACTTCTATTTTCAAGGTATAAGGCATCATAATGGTGATAATGAATGAGGTGGTCCCCATTAAGGCCATGGACTATACCTTAACTTAAATCCCCTGAGTTTTTGCCTTAACTCTCTCATCTCCTCCATGAACCATTCCATATCATCTTTATCCGCATTTATCATGTGAATGTTATTGATAAGACTACACCTCCCCTAAAATCCTGGACACTGTCTATTATTTCCTTCAGACTCCTGACCTTCACTCCCTCACAAAGGGCGAATTTCCTCTCCATTTTGCACAGGGGCCTGCTCCCCTCCTTCTGTTTCCTTTTTCATTTTTCCTGGAGGAGGTTTTCCGTGTTGAGATTTCTCTCCAGCTTATTCTACTTGGCACTCCGTCACTCCTAGGAGATAAAAAACGAGCGAAAAGGGCAGTGCTTGGTGGACATATCAGCACCGAGGACAGTGGCCCTACTACGCACCTTTCAAAATTCAGAGCCCTGGATATCGACGGTTTTTAAATTTTTATTTTTCCCACCAGAGAGGACTTATGCGCTCTCCAGGAGGCCTCCTGCTGGAGCACCTCCCTCCCGCTATCTCTTCTCTCCTCCCTCCTTCAAAGCCTAGCATTTTTCTTGTAGATCCTTCCCTAGGCCTATGCAGACACCAAAAGGGAGGATCTGGAGTGGGGCCACTAACTGGGCTCTGTCTCCGCCCGTACACACACTCCGCCCCCACCACTGTCCCTAGCATCGATCTGAACCTATCCTTGCAAGTTTTCTCCTCCCGATTCTCGCCTTGAGGTGCACCGCAGCGACACTTAGCCCGCAGACCTGCAGACGGCCAGGGTGGGGCGAGTGGAGGCTGCTGCCGCAGAGCGCTGGCGCAGACCCGCCACCACCCGGCCCCTTCCCCTTCCAGCGTCTTCCAGCTCCATATTTCCCAACTTTGTCCCTTTTTATCCATCCTTTCTCCGAAGCCATACTCAGCCCCTGGCCCTACTTGCTATTTAAACATCCACGATGGTGGAAGGCGATAATGGGGACTGTTTGAAATAGAACTTTCACCTTCCGTGTGTCTGTTTCCCTCTCCTGTGATTCATTTCCACACCTCTATTAACAAAATCTTTTGCACCAAAATGGGTGTAGGACACAGGGAGTGGGGTTCGTATCCCCACCCCCTGTGGGGAAGGCTATATGGGTATAGCATATACCCATATACCCGTATGCATATTCCGCTTGCCCCAAGAACCACCCAAAATGGACCTTGGGTAAGGAAGGAGTATCAAAAACGCAGATCGGGACCCACTTGAGGATTCTGCCCTCAACAGTCATCCATCACAGCCCCGGGGTTCCCCCAGAGTTCACGCCAGAACACAAACCTACAGCGTCTGGGACAGTTGTTTTCCTTATACGTTGACCAGAATTTTCTTCTTCTCCATAATAGGAATAATTAACCAGAAGATACAAAAGGCAGGACAAAAAGGACTTGAGTAGACTCCCGTTATGTGACAGCAACGTCACAGGTGAGTTGAGACTACCAATTTTCCCTCCCACTCACAAGCAGAACAGCAGGAACCAGCATCCCTCCACTCTTCCTTCACCCTGGGCCTGGGATGTCTGTTTTTCCACCTTGGCATTTCAGTTGGCCAGGAATAGTATTTGGTTTCTCTAATCATCAGGAAGAGGCAGCGTTTTTCTTGGGGTTATTGTCAATTTACAATTATTATGGACTTATCTCTTTCCCCTGTTCTAACCTTCCCCAAAATGGCCCTTTCACCCCACCTTCTCTCCCAGTAGTCATTATTTTTCCTTTGAGCCTCTTACCTGCACATAAATGGCCAAGAAGCTGGGTATAAAGAAAGGAGGCTCGGAGTGGAAGTGGAACATTTTCTTCTGTGTATCCTTCTGTTCCAGTGTTTAATTTAAAATGCTTTCTTTTTACGTTGAAGAATACAATATTTAACACATTTTGAAGATGGGGGAAATGGGCATTTATCCCAAGAGCTCTCTTTTCATTGGGGTGCCTTGTTATTTGGCTAAATTGTCATATATCAGATTAAAGTGTTTTTAATCAGCTACAAAAGGAATCACAAATTTTTAAAACATGCCAATTGTTCACAACCTTTAAAATATACTCTTTAGGGAGAAAAGTAATTTACAATAATAAATAAGATTTTCTACTAAATAAAAAATTCTTCATAATTTGGTTGTGTTTATTTTTATCAGTTAGAAAATGTGTCTGATACTTCCCAAATAGCTTAAAAAAAACAAGATAGAGAGTTTGAAATTTAAAACCTACATTTTTCTAAAATTAATCAACATTTTATGTGTTTGATAAATTAATCCCTGGAGAGCCTGTCAACCTTAAATAATGAAATTCAGAAAACATGATTAAGTATAGAGTTTATTCAAGCGCAAAGCTTGAGGATAGCCGCCCTGAAACACCAGCTCCAAACAAATGGAATCAGTGTTCCAAAGTGGAAAAATTAAGGTTTTACTTATATAGGCAGAGACAGAGAAATTTTAGCAGGGTTGCATTTTCCATACAAGACCTATGCAAATGCCACAGCTATTTATTATTCCATGAGGAGGGGTAATGATCTGAGGGAGTCTTATCTCTGGTGGCATTTTGTCTTAATTATTTACAGGGGGAAAAAAAGGCAGAAGTTGCAGCTTCATGCCCTGTGATTCAAGCTGCATAGCCACATTCCTCTCAAGGCTCAGAATAATTTGAAGTTCCAGCAGCTTTAAGTTTAAATTATTTAATTTCACAAGCCTAACAAGTGTCTTGTTTTTATCCGATTATAGAAAAATGATCTCCTATCTTTTCCACTTATGGAAGTGTTTAATTTTCACAACTAACTAGTATTGTTTTCTTCTGCTAAAGGAATGCAGCCTGCTAGGCCTCTCACCTCTGGCCTCCTCCCCTCCAGGAAACTCAGGAGGAGGCTGGCCTTGCGGTAGGGTCACTGCCTGCCAATCTATCCCCACCCAAGTAGCCCCTCAGCCAGGTTTAAGACAATGTCCCAGGAACTCTCACTTTCTGACCATATTACTTAGCCTAGACCAGGAGTTCTCAACTAGGAAAGTCTGTGGACCATTTGAAATTCTATGCAGGTTTGTGCATGTTTAGGGTTGGTGGGGTACACGCACTTTTGTGGAAAGAGGGTTCGTACCTTAGGAAGCTGGGAAAGCCTGATACATGAGCAAGGTGAAATTATGAGGAAGCTGAAGCCATGAGGTCTCCTCGGTGACATAGGAGGAGAAGGATGAATGAGGATAAGAGGAGAGACTGAGAACAACTGAGCCAAGGTAGTGACAGAGCACTACAGTGCTCAGGTCCTGCTCTTAGACATCCATTAGGAATTTACTGTCTATTCTCAGATTCCCTTGAGATCATAATCTTCTCTACTGCCTCATAAATTTTCACCATAAATCCTGCCTCAACTAAACTAGTCTAAATCTGTGTTCCTTACAACTAGTGAGACTATCTAAAAGATTGGTTACCTGTAATAAAATGTTCCTAAAAGTGAACAAACTACTAGTACACATAGTTACAAACAGCATGAAAACTTGTGAAAGGGCTTCAATAGAGACAAAGAAGACACATACATGGGGAATAAGTATAAATTATTCAGCCTCACTAGGAGTCGAAATGGACAAATTGAAACTTCAAGGCACTCGTTCACCTATGAATTTGGTGAATATTTTTTAAAAAATCATGCCATCCATTTTACATGAGTTCATTCACATGGACTGTCAAGTACACGTGTAAATTGGTTAAATTATCTTCCAGGCCTTCTTGATAATACACATAAAAATAAATAAGATGTTTCAGATTTAGACCCAGCAATTTCATTTTTAGAAATTTTTCCTTAGGAAATAATTTTGGTTGTGTGCAAAGATTTTGGTTAAGGCTTGAGTTAAATAGCAAAAACATAGAGGCAGCCTAAATATTAAACAAGCGGTAGATAAGTTACCATTAATTTTAACATGATGAAGTACAGTATTTATTGGCATAGAAATATTTACATTGCATTGTTAGCTAGAAAATATGTATAAAATAGTGTCCTGGTGTAAATAAATTTTATATCTATGTATCTATTTATCTCTATATATTATATCTAAATAATAATGTGTAATATAATATTACTAATAGCTATATAGTATACTATATATAATATGTAATTTATTTATCTCTACACACACACACACACACACACACACACACACACACACAATATCTCCATCCCATTCACAAGCAAAGCAGTGAAAACTGGCCTCCCCTCCTCTCTCCCTTCTTCCTTATTCTGGAATATATACATTTCAATTTTAAAATTGTATATATATATGTGTGTGTGTGTTTTATATGTATTATTTACATAAAAATTGAATGCCCATATATACAGTGAAGAGTGAATAAAGTCTAGGTTATCTCAAAACTATGTATTTCATTGTTCTATGTATGTAATTCAAGTAAACTGTGGAAAATTTGGAAAATACACAAGAATTATAGACATGAAAGTTTTTAGAAATCTATATTCCCATAAAATTAAATGGGAGTTTAATTTTAAGTTTAAATATTTTCATTTTTTCCCCACTAACATTATAACTTATAGTAATATGCTATGAAGTAGGTAAGTTTGACTAGGTAGGATTTTACCTTATATGCTGACTTTAGAATCCATCCTTGGCTTAAGATGCAACTCCACTGCACTAACACATTCAGTGATAATTGAGAGGAAATCTACAGAAAGGACATAAGGGTTTAGACTGACAACATCTAGTGATCGCCTAATTAATATTTGTGAAACCAATAAGTGGATGAAGTGTATATTTGAGAGCCACCAAATAAATGAAATTGAGTGTATATTATTGAGGGTTTCCTTCCTCCTATATGTATTTTTAAGTATAATTAGGATAGTTTTATATACATTATTTATAACCTGCTTTTAAATAATAGTTATTTTCTTTATTTGCAAAAAATAAAACATTTTTACTGGAAAAAAGTAAGGTAACTATAGATACATGCCACATGTCAAGCAGAGCCAGATCCTTTCTGTTTCTATTCATACATATTTTTTAAAGAATTGAATTGGCAACTAAGAATACTATTTTATAATCTGCTTAAACTATTATATTATTGCCATAAGTATTACTTTCTCTAGCAAAAATATTTCCCTAGAAAATATTTTCATCAGGTCAAATTTAAGAAAGAGATGCCTCCTTCCCCATGTTAAAAATGTAGTAGTACACTTTGACCATCTCAAACTTGATTGAAGGGAGGGATAGTCAGAGGAAGGGGAAGAGACCCTCATTTCTAATGCATACTAGTTACAAACATGTAGTCCTTTGAGGAGGTCAGCGGAGCAAGGGAAGGAAATGTGAGGGATTCAACCATCGTAAGGATCTGAAGTCTCAAACAGGTAGTGGAGTCCCTTAATTCAGACCCTGTTCAGCTACAGAGAAGTATGTATATGAAATATGTGCCATAAAATAAAATCATACTATTTGCAGACATTTCCTTACTGTAGAAGTTACATATGCCCCCTGAGAAAATGTAGAAGAGTCTACAATGAAGTAAAAAAATACATATAAATCATCCATAAGCCCACCAACCACCCAATCATACCTAATTCTAATACTGTTACTGTTAATAACCTGCTTTTTCCTTACATAGCAATATACTATAAAAATTTTCATTTCAATAGATACATGGCTGTCTAATATTTGTCAGATATTTTATTTCTTCTTCATTTTTCACTTTTGTCTCAAACATTTTTCTGAATATTAGTAATTAATATATTACTTATTATTTATTTATTTATTATTATATTTTAAGTTCTAGGGTACATGTGCACAATATGCAGGTTTGTTACATAGGTATACATGTGCCATGTTGGTTTGCTGCACCCATCAATTGTCATTTACATTAGGTATTTCTCCTAATGCTATCCCTCCTCCAGGCCCCCAGCCCCCGACAGGCCCCCGTGTGTGATGTTCCCCACCCTGTGTCCAACTGTTCTCATTGTTCAATTCCCACCTATGAGTGAGAACATGCGGTGTTTGGTTTTCTGTCCTTGTGATAGTTTGCTGAGAATGATGGTTTCCAGCTTCATCCATGTCCCTGCAAAGGACATGAACTCATCCTTTTTTTATGGCTGCATAGTATTCCGTGGTGTATATGTGCCACATTTTCTAAATCCAGTCTATCATTGATGGACATTTTGGTTGGTTCCAAGTCTTTGCTATTGTGAATAGTGCCACAATAAACATACGTGTGCATATGTCTTTATAGCAGCATGATTTCTAATCCTTTGGTTATATACCCAGTAATGGAATCACTGGGTCAAATGGTATTTCTAGTTCTAGATACTTGAGGAATCGCCACACTGTCTTCCACAATAGTTGAACTAATTTACACTCCCACCAACAGTATAAAAGCATTCCTGTTTCTCCACATCCTCTCCAGCATGTTGTTTCCTGACTTTTTATTGATCACCATTCTAACTGGCGTGAGATGGTATCTCATTGTGGTTTTGATTTGCATTTCTCTGATGACCAGTGATGATGAGCATTTTTTCATGTGTCTGTTGGCTGCATAAATGTCTTCTTTTGAGAAGCGTCTGTTCATATCCTTTGCCCACTTTTTGATGGGGTGGTTTTTTTCTTGTAAATTTGTTTAAGTTCTTTGTAGATTCTGGATATTAGCCCTTTGTCAGATGGGTAGACTGCAAAAATTTTCTCCCATTCTGTAGGTTACCTGTTTACTCTGATGGAAGTTTCTTTTGCTGTGCAGAAACTCTTTAGTTTAATTAGATCCCATTTGTCTATTTTGGCTTTTGTTGCCATTGCTTTTGGTGTTTTAGTCATGAAGTCCCTGTCCATGCCTATGTCCTGAATGGTATTGCCTAGGTTTTCTTCTAGGGTTTTTATGGTTTTAGGTCTAACATTTAAGTCTTTAATCCATCTTGAATTAATTTGTGTAACTTATTAGTAATTTAAATATATAAATACAACACTTAGAAAATAAAAGTTCTCTTTATATGAAATACACATTCTCAAGTATATCCTATGATGTTCAGGATATATTCATCTGCATTTCTAATGATATAAAAATACAGTAAGACCCTGAAACAACTTGAGTTTGGATATAACATGATTGGTGATAGCAGGTGGGGAGAGAGTAAAATGGATGGATGATATTTAAGTCCAAGTGCTCAGTGAAGAATTGTTTGTGGCAACAAATCACAGCTGAGTCCTTGATGAATTTGGGTTGTGTAGCCAGCTAGCCAAATAGACTCACATCAGTCATTCCATCCATCCATCTCTCAGTAACATAACCTGGAATTTTATAGAATGAATTTCTGGACTTCACTTATCATGTTATCATGTAATTTAATTGTATACTCATATTTTAAATACACAAATATGTATACTGTTACAAAAATGTAATACCACATATAAAATTAACTTTCAATTTGCCTTTTTTTGTTTAACAATATACATTGAACAATTTTTTTCATGTGAGTAAATGTAACTCCACATCATTTTTTCATCACTGTATAATGTGGCTCTATATGAATGATCAAACTTTTCTTAAACCAATTTCCTTTTAGAAACATATAAGTTTTTGGCTCTTTAAAAAAAACACTATTGCCACAACTACTACAATGACCATATTTGGCATAGGAGTATTAATGTATGATAAATCTCTAGAAGAGGAATTGATGTGTCCAAAAGCACATATCTTCTAAAGTTTGATATTGCCAAAATGACTTCCAAAAATGTTGTACTACTTAATAGTCTCACAGTACATGTGAATATTTGTTTTACCATATGCTCATCAACTCTGAATATAATCAATATTTGTCTTTTCTAATTGTACAGATGAAAAATTAACTCTTATTTTTATTTTCAATAGATCTCAATTCTATGAGCATATGCTATTATTCCCTTCTTTCAGATGAGGAAACTCAGGTTCACAATGTGTACCTGACGATTAATTGATGATTCTTCAGGCAGCACAGCTTCCTGGTAACACCACCATGAGGACTCTGGAATGAAACATTACTCTTTTTTAAAAAATTCTGTATCATTTTCCTCACAAAACTTCTAATATCACAACAGCTTTCACTTTAAAAGCACTTACTATATGCCACATGTACAATAAGCACTGTACATGTATTAACTCATGTCATTAAAGTAATTTTTTCTTTGTCTTTTCTGACTATAAAAAGATAAAAGTTGCCCAGTGCAGTGGCTCAGGCCTGTAATTCCAGCCCTTTGGGAGGTTGAGGCAGGAGGATCACTTGAGCCCAGGAGTTCGAGACCAGCTTGGGGAACATAGACCCTGTCTCTACAAAAAAATTAAAAGACTAGCTGGACATGGTGGCACACACCTGTAGTCCCAGATACTTGGGAGTCTGAGGCAAGAGGATCACTCGTTTCGAGGAGTTTGAGGCTGCAGTGAGCTGTGATCGCACCACTGCAACCCAGCCTGGGCAACAGAGTGAGACCCTGTCTCAAAAAAAAAAAAGAGAAAGAAAGACAGAAAAAAGAAGAGAGAGAGAGAGAGAGAGAGAGATTAAAGTTACCTTTTTAAAAAGGATATAGAAGTACGAAAAATAAAAAGTAAAAATTGCATTCAGAAATCTCACTCTTGTTCCAGGGTCTTTTTTTGTTGTTGTTTCACAACTGCTGCCAAGGCCACCCTGCTCTACAACAGCTAAGAACCAGATTGCAGAGGAAATGGAGGCTAGAGGAGGGACGACTGATGGAGGAGTTATCCTGGGAGTGGAAGAATGGAAGAGACAATTCTCGAAAGAAGTAGAAAAGTTCAGTAGCTCCAGAAAAAGAGGTAGCCCCTCCCTAGTAATCAGAGTCAAGCAAATAACATTTTTCCCGCTGGGATAGGAAACAACAGAAAAGACTGACAGGGCCAAATGTATAAGTGGGGGGCGGGGAGGGAGAGAGGGTGGGCCCACTTCTGCCGCGCTTTTGGTGGGAGTGGAAATTAGGGACCCGAGCTCACTGGTGACGTAGATCTCATGTGACCAGGAGTCGACGTGTGCAGAAGTCCTGGTAATCTGGTCCTTGTTCCCGTCTGGATACCAGCTTCCTTCAGCAGCGCAGGCGGTGGTCCCTGAGGCCCGTGGAAGGAGTCAAACTTGCGGGAATTTTGCAGGTTGGTGTCACTGTAGGTGTTGACTGGGGATTTCTAGTGTGGGGGGGTTTAAGGCAGAGACTTGTGGGAGTGCCGGTCAGGTCCGTCCCTCCACCCTCCACCTCCAGGTCTACGGGAACTGATGACCCTTGGGAAAGGGACTAGGGGTCCTAGGAGAAGAACAGGGAGACCTGTGGTAGTTTAAAAATAATCATCCTCTGCTATCTAAGACTGCTTTCCGGACCCCCACCCTCCTCCCGAACCCCGCCTCAGTCTTAAAGATAGTTTGGAAATAATCTGCTTTCTCACTCTTTGTCTGATGGGAAAAACGAACTGACTTGCATGCACTGTGGAGAGGGGGTGAACTAGGGGAAACAAAAGGTGGGAAACTTTCCATATCCGAAACCCTAAAGGAGGAAAGCTACGTGTGTCAGTCTCTGGCGCTGGTCGGCCCACCAAGCGCTCGCCCCACCCCCACCGTCCCCTCCCGTTTCCAGTTTATCTGCAGGGCTGTTGTTTCCAGCAAGACCCAAAGCTAGAAAAGGAGGAGGAAGAAACTGACCCGATCAGTGCCAGGTAGGTGAGAGGAATATTATAAAGTCTCCTGGGGTGGAGACAAAGGTTGTAAGCGCCACCGTTCCTGCCGGCTCCCTTCCACCCCACCCCTTTCCCCTCTTCTTTTCTCTCCCCCTTCTCCTTTCCCCTCTTCCTCTGCCTGCCAGCCACCTTTCTCTTTTCTGGCCTGGTCCCTGTGTTAGGCCCTATGGGGGAAAAAGGTCTGGGGAGGGCTGGACGGCGGAAAGGAGGGCCTTGGAAAAGGTTAGAGGGAAGGACAAGAGAGAAGTGAGGAGGTGGAAAGTGGAGGTAAAAGGAGTGGGGATAGTGAAGCTCTGATTGCTGACTGGGCTTCTTAGGTGGAAGATATTTTATAACAGCTCTGAATAAAAAAAATTAAATGCTAAGGCCTCTGTCCACAGCACCTGTCCACTCACCAAGTCTTTAACTTACTGTCTTCTTTTTGCTTTCTAGAAGTCATTGTATTCAAAGAAGAATAAGCAAGAAAGAAAAGAAGGAAGGAAGAGAGGTAGACAGATACAAGATGAAATCCTGTCAAAAAATGGAAGGAAAACCAGAAAATGAGAGTGAACCAAAGCATGAGGAAGAGCCAAAGCCTGAGGAAAAGCCAGAAGAGGAGGAGAAGCTAGAGGAGGAGGCCAAAGCAAAAGGAACTTTTAGAGAAAGGCTGATTCAATCTCTCCAGGAGTTTAAAGAAGATATACACAACAGGCATTTAAGCAATGAAGATATGTTTAGAGAAGTGGATGAAATAGATGAGATAAGGAGAGTCAGAAACAAACTTATAGTGATGCGTTGGAAGGTTAATCGAAACCATCCTTACCCCTATTTAATGTAGTTTACCTTGATTTTTATCTGATATTAACAATACCATATAGCTTGCTTTTTATTAGCATTTCCTGATATTCCTTTGTCCATATTTCTACTTATAACCTGTTGCTATTAATGGTTTTAGATGTATCTCTTGTTATCTGCATCTCATTGTTTATTGTATTTTGAACCAATCTACAAGTCTCTGTCTTTTAATAAAAGAACTTTACACATTTGTAAAAAAGAGGTTCTTGGTAAGATATAAAATGGAAAAAGGCTAAGTAATATGTGAATATCATATTTTTGAAAGGTAAAAAGTACATTTGTATATTACATATATGGACATAACTTGTGAAGGATGAAAGAAAGTACAGCCTCTCGGTGGTGGGATTATGAATGATTTTTCTCCTTTTGCTTGTTTGTATTTTCTATATTCCTAAAATTAACACACATTATTATTGCTAGAATAATAAAAGTTTTATAAAAAAGAAGCAACAAGCAGCACGTATTAGTTTATTTCTAAAAGTATTGGGGCATTTAATATTTGTTGACAGAATTTTAGAAGAAATGTGAACTTGAAAGTAACTCCAGACCACTTAGCTAGAATAATAAATTTTACATATTTTCTCATCTTTAAAATAAAGAAAATAATCTCACAAGGATCTGGTGAGGGCCAAATAGAGTAATGACTGTGAGCTATGTTTGACAGAGTTTTGTTCCCATCCCAACTCCGTAAGAGATTAATTTCAGCGATTTGGAAGGGTGGAGAAAGTAGTTCTTATCTGTGATTAAGAACAAACCCAAGGCCGGGCGCGGTGGGTCACACCTCTAATCCCAACATTGGGAGGCCAAGGCGGGCAGATGACGAGGTCAGGAGATCAAGACCATCCTGGCTAACATGGTGAAAGCCCGTCTCTACTAAAAATACAAAAAATTAGCCGGGCATGGTGGCAGGCGCCTGTAGTCCCAGCTACTCGGGAGGCTGAGGCAGGAGAATGGTGTGAACCCAGGAGGCAGAGCTTGCAGTGAGCCGAGATCGCACCACTGCACTCCAGCCTGGGTGACAGAGCAAGACTCCGTCTCAAAAAAAAAAAAAAAAGGAACTGTGAGGTGGGTGCCACCTTTATGTTCATTTCCTGATATGCCTACCCAGCTTCTCATGCCCCTGCCCTTCATACTACCATATATACTGCGTTTTCTGCCCCTTCTGCTGGGTCCTGCACCTTCAGGCCCCTACCACTGTGAATGTGCTAGAATTCTCAAGTAGTGAAGCCCAGCATATTTCTTTGGCACCCCCAGTAAGCTTAGTTCCCAGACTGACCTTTAGAGAAGTTAGGAGATTGCCCATCTCTTCAATTTAGATAGACACTTATGCAGTGCCACATGAGTCATGATGTCTTATAGATATCTTGGCAACTTTGGGATTTTAACTTTCTCCCCATAAGGCTCAGACATGATAGGTCCATCTGGGAGTTGGACCAGAAGACAAATCTGAGTAACAGACATTATGTTTTAGTCAGAATTGCTGCCCTGGATCTGAAGACTACCATTTTATCTTCCTGACTCCTATTTCCTTAGGACGAATGATTTCTCCCAGAAGACTGGTGGCAGGCCCTCCTCATCTGTTCAACAGATATCCCTAGACTTGTATAAATTTTGAAGGAAAATTCAAGTCAGATTTTGGAATAATCCCATCCCTGGCTGGAAATATATGAAAGTGCTGTGTAGGCCTTATTGTATGTCTATATCTACATATCTCTGTCTGTCTGTCTGTCTGTCTGTCTGTCTATCTATCTATCTATCTATCTATCTATCTATCTATCTATCTATCTATCTATCTATCTAATCTTTCTTTCTTTATTTTAAGGTGGAGTCTCACTCTGTCTCCCGGGCTGGAGTGCAGCAGCATGATCTCAGCTCACTGCAACCTCCGCCTCCTTGGTTCAAGTGACTCTTGTGTCTTACCTCCCGAGTAGCTGGAATTACAGGTTTGCACCACCACACCCAGCTAATTTTTTTTTTTTTTTGTATTTTTAGTAGAGACGGGATTTCGCCATGTTGTCCAGGCTGGTCTCAAACTCCTGACCTCAAGTGATCCACCCACCTCTGCCTCCCAAAGTGCTGGGATTACAGGCGTGAGCCACCGTGCCCAGCCCTATCTTTCTTTCTTTACAAAAGGCCCACTATTGTGCCTGTCATGTGTCATTTTCCTCTGTGATGCCATTTTGGGAACTCTTCATGTCTCCAGACCATTCTTCAAGGTGATGGCAGCCTAATGGTTGCTGGTAGGGCTGCAATTCATGTTGGAGTGAGATAAGGTTCCAGGCTCACTGCCAGTTTTACAAAACAGGATAAATCCATCCCCTTGGCCCTCAGAGGGGTGGCACTCAGGAAGGATGTGGAAGGGCTCACTCAAGCCACACTCCTGTCTAGGATAGGCCTGACTTTGGCTTCTCTGCTAGGCACAAGGCCCTCCTCAGCTGATAGCTTGCCTGTCCTGAACAGACATACCTGGAGAAAAACAACTATCCTTTTTGCAGATCAGAGCACTAGACTTCCTTTCTCCCTTTTTTTCCTTCACAAGGAGGTTTGATAGGACTTTTTTATAAGGAAGAAGATAAGATCTCAAAATTCACTAATAGAAACTTTGTCCCAGACATGACTGCTCTGCATGTAATCAGATAACTTATGGTTAAAGTAAAAGAGTCTGGTGGTAGGAGGAAATGATTTTAGATAGTACACAAATCTTTTAAATTGTGGTGTCCGTGTATTTATTTGAACATGTATGAATGAATACTTTCTGTTTAAAGCAAATGATGATAGTTTAGATTTAGGGTGGCATTATAAAGTTTGTTTTTCAAAAAAGTATTCAAATAAGTGAGTCAATGTGAAGAAGAACATTAAGTTAGAACACAGTATTAATAGTGTAGGTGGCACATACTTAAGGCAAAAAAACATCCTGGTGGGAAACATTGCCCCAGCATGGGCATAATAACTTTAGGGATAATAACTGGAAACACCTATCAAGAACTGTGAGGGATTTGAGATTTTACCCTACGTATAAGCTAACAACTTAGCCTACTCTCATTTAATGGATGCTGGCAGAAGACTCTAGACTCCTGGGTCAAAATCAAATGACATCATCACAGCAGAAGCAGTAGCCAGAGCTTCATGTTGGTTTGTATTAGTTCCTTATTATTTCCAAGTTTCATGGGGTGGCATAGGACCCGTGATTGATACCTAAACATGCAGGGCATTGCATTATAGGAAGGAAACCCTGAGTTTGGGGTCTTCAATGCTTTCACAGCAGAAACAAGCCTGCTCTTTGTTCAGGGGAAGAGGTTATCTTATCGCTCAAGGTTGCTTGTTGCAAACACAACTATGAAAAATGGTCTGCCTGGGTAAAGAACACTCAGGGTCTTAAATTCTTGGCATACCCAATAAGAATATGCAGGGATGCTCAGGGTTCATGGCAGATTGCCTCTCCCAATAACAGTTTTCTCTGTACAATAAATCTGAATGTGAATAATAAGCATTTCCTAACACCAAAAGCTCTGGTTTATGATTCCAAATTAAATACAGCACACAATGTATATTGTAGAATATAAACATGGTATCTGTAACTATTTCTAGTTTTTAGTTAAGTACAGGGGATTTTAAATAAATCCTAAGATTAAAAAAGAGCATCAAGTAAGAAACTAAAGATAAACAATCTTTGAGGAACTTCAAAATTACAGTAAGACACAGCTATCATGATACCACAAAATAAAAGAGGTAGGAATGCAAAGCCAATGGATTCTTCAGGACGCTAATAACAAGAGTAATCTCATATAAAACTTTTTACTAGGAAACTGACAGGAGAGTGTGTGTTTGAAAATCAGCCCCAGATCCCATCCACACATAATCACCTCAGTCTCTGTAAAAAGCAAAAGCTAACAGAAAAGCTGGTTTGTTCTCTCTGCAAAGAAAGTTCAAGGTAAGGTAAGAAGGAGGAGGCTAACACACATAACAGTATCCAAAAGCAGTTATTTGATATTCTGACGTCAGCCTTTTGCAAGACCCTTAGCAAAAACAGCTGCATCACTTGAATAATTTAGTTGGGCATGGAGCATCTTTTCATGTGCTTATTGGTGATTTGTATTTCACACTTTGAGAAATGTCTATTCAAATCTTTTGTCCACAGTGTAATGTAGGTAGGGAACTATTTAAAGGAATGAAGTAGATCCATATGTACTACATGTTCATCATGTATTGTTAAAAGAAAAATGAAAAACAGAAGGCACAGTATAATATATACACACATACACATACATACCCATATCCACAAATATTCACATATATCAAGATGAAGCCCTTCAGTTTGCTAAAGAGAAGGATTATTTCTTTTTAAGTGGCATTTTGGTATCTCTTATCAGGCCTCCTGCCATCTGGTTAAGAAATAATTATTTTTTTAAAAAAATTCCCAATCGGTAATTATATTATCCTTGCATTATAATTGCCCAAATAATTATTGGACTTACACAGAGTCTTTCTTCCCTTCCATGAACTCTGAGTCCTTTTCTAGATGTTATATCATTAACCTATTATTTTATAGAAAAGGAAAGTGAGGCCTGGCCGAGGTTGCCCAGCTATTAAATGGAATACTTGCCTAAGGTCAATGTCCTTTTTCCTAATCACTGCTCTGGAATGATTGGTATTTAACAAATAGTAACAATACCACTGTGCTGAGTGAATTCCTATTGGTTCCTCAAGGCTCCATGCCCTTTCAAGTCCCAGTCCTGGTTTCACATTTATCCCTGCCTGAAACACTGCCTCAATTACCCCTCACACACTTAGCCTGGATAACTCCTATTCATCCATCCCAGAATAGATATTATTTCTTTTTAATAACAGCTTTATTGAGATATAATTTGCATACCAAACAATTCACCAACCTAAATTATACAATTCAATGGTTTTTAGTATATTCACACATGTGTGCAACCATTACCACAATCAATTTTAGTACCTTTTTGTCAAGTCAAAAAGAAACACCGCACCCCTTAGTTATGACTCTCCTATGCCGTT
Source organism: Homo sapiens (assembly GCF_000001405.40). Classification (NCBI taxonomy): domain Eukaryota; kingdom Metazoa; phylum Chordata; class Mammalia; order Primates; family Hominidae; genus Homo; species Homo sapiens. The sequence continues at coordinate 103,363,039 of NC_000023.11, forward strand.
ATCTCCCTATCCCTAAGCAAACACTAACCTATCTTCTGCATCTATAGTTTTCCCTGTCCTGGACATGTAAAATATAGTCTCTTGTGACTGGTTTCTTTCACTTAACATAATATTTTCAAGGTTCATCCATGTTGTAATATATATCAGTACTTCATTCCTTTTTATTGCCAAATATGATTCTGTTGGATGGCTAATTCACATTTTAGAGATGGATACTGGCAAGGATATGAAGCAATAGGATCCCTCATTCATTGCTGGTGAGAATGCAAAATGGTATAGCCACTTCGAAAGGCATTTTGGCAGTTTCTTACAAAACTAAACATACTCTTGCTATACAATCAAGCAATCGTGCTTTTTGCTATTTACCCAAATGAATTGAAAACTTATGTCTACACAAAAACCTGCCCACATTTTATTTATTTATTTATTTATTTATTCATTTATTTTGAGACGGAGTCTTGCTCTGTTGCCCAGGCTGGAGTGCAGTGGCGTGATTTCCGCTCACTGCAACCTCTGCCTCCTGGGTTCAAGCGATTCTCCTGCCTCAGCCTCCCGAATAGCTGGGACTACTGGCACGCGCCACCACACCTGGCTAATTTTTGTATTTTTAGTAGAGACGAAGTTTCACCATGTTGGCCAGGCTGGTATCGAACTCCTGATCTCAAGTGATCCACCTGCCTCTGCCTCCCAAAGTGCTGGGATTATAGGCATGAGCCACCGCACCTGGCCTCCACACATATTTTTATAGCAGTTTTATTCATAATTGGCAAAACTCGGAAGCAACAAAGATGTCTTTCAGTGGGTAAATGGATAAACTTAGGTACGTCAAAACAATGGAATATTATTCAGCACTAAAGAGAAATGAGCTATCAACCCATGAAAAGACAAAGAAGAATCTTAAATGCATATTACTAAGTGAAAAGAGCCAATATGGAAAGGCTACACATTTTTTTGCTTCCATCTATATGACATTCCGGAAAAGGCAAACTATGGGCATGGCAAAAGGGTCAGTGGTTGCCAAGGGTTAGAGGGAGAGTGGAATGAAAAAGTGGAGCATAGAAGATTTTTAAAATCCTCTATGTGTGAAACTCTACATAATATGATACTATTATGGTGGGTACACGTCATTACACACTTGTCAAAACCCATAGGATGTACAACACCAAGAGTAAACCCTATTGTAAACTATGGATTTTGGGTGATAATGATGTGTCAGTGTAGGTTCATCACTTTTAACAAATGTGCTACTCTAGTTCAGGATTTTGATAGTGGGGGAGCCTGTGTGTGTGTGTAGTATCAAAGGTATATGAGAACTCTGTAATTTCTACTCAATTTTGTTGTAAATTTAAAACTGCTCTAAAATTAAAGCCTATTTTTTTAAAAAAAATCCCTGTGTATCTTCAATAACACTTTTTTTGTTTTATAGTCTATTTTGCCCAATATTAGTATACTCACTCAAGTTTCCCTGTGGTTGCTTTTTGCATGATATATTTTTCCCATCTCTTACTTTCAATCTACAGTATTAGAATCTTTGAAACTAAAGTATGTATCCTATAGACAGCATACAATCCAATGTTGTTTTTTATCTAGTGTGACAATCTCTGCCCTTTGATTAGATTGTTAATCTAGTCACAATTAAAAAAGAAATGAGCTATCAACCCATAGTAACAATTAATGTTACTATGAATATAATTGTGTTTAAGTCTTCCATTTTTCATTTTGTTCCCTATGTGTCCTATGTGTCCCATGCCTTCTTTTGTTCTATTCCTCCTGTTCTACTTTCATTTTTATTACTGTATGTTTTCTCGTGAAGCATTTATATATATATATATATATATTTTTTTTTTTTTTTTTTTTTTTTTTTTTGTGAGACGGAGTCTCGCTCTGTCGCCCAGGCTGGAGTGCAATGGCATGATCTCGGCTCACTGCAACCTCCGCCTCTCAGGTTCAAGCGATTCTCTTGCCTCAGTCTCTCGAGTAGCTGGGACTACAGGCGCCTGCCACCACGCCCGGCTAATTTTTGTATTTTTAGTAGAGACGGGGTTTCACCATATTGGCTAGGCTGGTCTCGAACTCCTGACCTTATGATCTGCCCACCTTGGCCTCCCAAAGTGCTGGGATTACAGGCGTGAGCCATCACGCCCGGCCCAGCATTTATATTTCGTTATTGCTTTTTTCACTATGTTTAAGCTTTGTTGTGGTTGTGCTAAAGCTTACTATCTATATAACCTTCACTTATCAGAATCAATTTCAGATTCTTGCTAACTTAATTCTAGTCATATATAGAAATGTTACTTCTATTCCTTCCCCCTCTTTTTGTGGCATTATTGTTACACATGTTACATCTATTAATGTTACAAATCCAATAATGCATTGTTATATTTATTACTTTACCCTCTGCAGTCATTTCCTTAGACCAATACTGCTTTATTCCAACCCACCTTTTTTGTTCTGTTATTGGCAAAAATATTACAATTATACGACATTTGTATGTGGTATAGGCCTAACAATACATTAGGTACACATTATTTTATACAATTGCTTTTTAAGCTAGTTAAGAAGGGAGAAAACTTTATTTTATACTTAGGCATACAATATACTCTCTTTTATAATTACATCTTATCTACGCTATTGCTTTTTGTTTTTTGGTAGAATTTTAATCACCATCTGGAGTTTGTTTGTTTTTTTTTTTTTTTCAGCCTAAAGATCTCCCTTTAGTATTTCTTGTAAGCCAGGTCAGCTAGGTACAACTTTGCTCAGGTTTTGTCTATCTGGGAATGTCTAAATTTCACCTTTAATTTTGAAAGATAGATTTGTTTGATATAAGATTCCTGGTTCACTGTTTTCTTTTTCTTTTCTATTTCCTGTAACTGCTGGTCACTAAGAGACGGTTTTCTTTCTTTTGAGCACTTTCACTGTGTTGTTCCACAGTCTTCTTACCTTCATCAATTTTTTTTTGTTTTGTTTTTTTGCTGAGGAGCCAGCTGTTAATCTTATTGAAGTTCCCTTAAATGTGAAGAGTCGTTTTTCTCTTGCTGCTTTCAAAATTTTCTCCTCGTTTTTGACTTTCCGCATTTTCACTATGATGAATCTACTTGTGAATATCTTTGTGTTTATCTAGTTAGGAGTTTTGTTTTTTCTAACCTTCCTCAATGTGTGCATTGGAGTTTTTCAATAAATTTGGAAAGTCTTCTGCCATTATTTATTTAAGTATTTTTCATTTGCCTTTCTCTCCTGTCATTTTGCTACTCCTTTTACATATATGTTGGTGCACTTCATGGTGACCCACATTTCTTTAAGGCTATCTCATCATTTTTCAACATCTTTTTTTCTGTCTATCCCTCAAATTGCATACATTCAATCTATCTTCAAGTTCACTAATTCTTTTTTCTGTAAATTCAAACCTACTTTTGAGCTCCTCTAGTGAAATTTTTATTTAGGTTGTTGGACTTTTGAACTCCACAATTTCCATGTAGTTCTTTTTTTAAAATAATTTGTATGTCTTTATTGACATTTCTATTTCATGCAACATTGAGATCATATCTTCCTTTACTTATTCAATCATAGTTTCCTTTAATTATCAGAATATATTTATAATGGCTACTTTGAATATCCTACATCTGTGATATCCTGCATCTGGCCACTGTCACAGACAGTTTCTGTTGCCTGTTCCCCCACCACCCCCACGCCCCCAGTGTAGGTATGGGTCATTCTTTCCTGTTTATTGCATGTCTTGTAATTTTTTGTTGGAAACTAGACATTTTAGATAATATGTTGTTGCCACTCTGGTTATTGTGTCCTCCCCTTCTAGGGCTTGTTATTATTTGCCTGTTTGTTTAGTGATTGGCTGGCTTATTTTAGTAAAGTTTATTTCTCTTCCTCCAGCATTAATCTTCTAATGTTACCCCTCAGGGATGCTCATCTTTTGATATGCCCACAGACACCCTAAGATGACAATGGTTTCGATAGAGCTTTCCTAGTGTCTTTCCATGACCATAGTCAGCTGTTAGGCTCCTCTAATTGCTAACTGATTGGTCTATTATTTCCAACAATATTCTTGGCCATTAATTGCTCTGCAGACTAATTTAATCAAATGTGGGTTCTAGTGAAAGAACGGTTCTCTTCATCAGTGTTTGACATTTGTTCTGACCCCAAGAGGGCTCCTCCCAGCCAGCTCCCTCTCTGGTGCTCTCCAACAATCCAGCCAGACAATAGTTAACTGCTAGCTTCACCAAACCCATGAATTACTTTCCAAGTGTCCCCACCACAACTTCCACTATTTTTGGAGCAACATTGGCTTGAACTTCTCCATGCTCTGTTGTAAATGAAGTAAGTTCTACTGGGAAAATATTACAAGATAAATGCTTTATGGCTTGTTTCTCTTCTCAGGCAAAAATATTTGAGCCAGGGCTCTGGATCTGGGGGTGGGAACAATAGCATTCTTCTCTCTGACACTCCTGCTTTAGGAGCTGACATTCAGGTACAGGAGGGAACAACAGCCTGAAGGTCCTCTCAGCTTACTTCTCATGTTGTGAAACCATGCCCAGCAAGCCAGGGCAAGGATGATTAGGGCCTCAGCATTCTCAGCAGTGCCACACCCAGGGGATAGCTTCCATTCCATTAGTGGGGACTGGATGGAAGATGGGAGTCTCAACCTCTTGATTGCACTTACCCAGGACTTAGCCTCAGCAACAGGTAGTTGGGGGCAGGATGAGAAATGCTGACATCCTACTCTTCCTAGGAAGAAAGTCCCTGACCGGCAGCTGGAGGGAGAGGATGCCTTGTGTTCTTGGCCACCAGTTAGGAATGCAGTTTATGTTTCTCTGAGCTGGAAGTGGGGAGGGAGCAGATGTCTAAGTTCAAATGCCACAGATTCTCATCTTTCTTATGGAGTTTTTATGGATTTTCTTGAATAGATGTTTCTCCATTGATTTGACAGTATCCTGTGCCACATTTTATATGGCCCTTAGGAGCATTTCCAGAGGCTTTAAATGGTTGTTTTCTTTTGTTTTATAATTTTTACCAGTTTCACTGGAGAACATGTCTGCAGAGCTCTTCCTGCTGTCATACCAGAAATCAATCTCCTAGACATCATTTTGTTTTTGAAGACTTCACCGGCAACTGCATTAGGTCCTCTTACTCTGTGCTCCAAGTGCCCCTTCAGCATTTACAGCACTAAATTTATGGTTTCCTCCCATTAATTCATGAACTCCATGAATATGAATGTTATATTTACTTTGTTCTCTTTTATATCTCCAGGGCCTTGCCTAGCACATGATAGATAATAAATATTTATTGAATTAAATTTTTATTTTTATATTTTTATCAAATGGAAAGAGCTATGTCTTGGGCATCAGAACTCCTAAATATGGCCCTGAGATTCAGAAGTGGATATGGGCAAGCTGTGCCTAGCACAGAAAAGTGTTCAAACAATATTAAATAAGAAATGGTGAATGAAGAAAAGAATGAATGAGATTTAGATTGGGGACTTACTAATAAATAAAACTGAGTAGTGGTTAAGAACATAAACTTAGGAACTAGACTATATGAGTTTGAATTCTTGCTCTGTCACTTCCTGTCTGTTGTTTAACTTCACTGTCCTGCAATTCTTTTATTTGTAAAACAGAGAATACTACTAGCACCTACCTCATAGGATCTTTGAAATGATAAATGAAATAATGAATATACATATACAACAATGCCTTGCATATATCAGCATTTATATGTGTTATTTTATTTTCATCACTATGTATGTGTAAGAAAACTGGGATAATTCTGTATGTGTTATTTTATAACTCAAATTTTCAAAATACTTAATGCTTTTTTTTCCTTCTCCTTGCCAAAAGGAAACCTTTTCCTCGGAGACGATTTAGAAGATAGAAGTAATGATGGCCAATATCAGAAATGCATCTTTAATCTCAAAGATGAAAACAACCAAATGGAAGAGGATGAGAGAGGGGCAGGGGCACCAAGTCACCAGGCAAGGTTTCTAAGTGTAAAATGTAAGCACAAGATACGTTTATGCTACTACTGCCTGGGTCTCTGAGAGTCATGACAGGAAATATAGCCCCTAACTCAGCAGCTGGGGCAGGAGTGTAGTGAGGGAGGAGGAAGAGAGGTAGGAAAAAAAAGGTGTGTGTGAGAGACAGAGATAAAGAGAAAAAAATGAATATTTATCTTTGGCACTTTAATTAAAGATAGATTAAAATCATCTGTATACCAATACCTAAAATATCAGTTTTAGTAGTATTCTAAAATAATGTGTTGCTTATCCTCATGTCCACCTAATTTACTGTAGAATACTTGAAAAATGTGGAAAGTCATAAATTGGAAGATTTATGATTTGTACGTATCACCCATCACCAAAAGAGCCAAAACTTTGGGTGTTGAGATAGCAGAGACTGAGAACACTAAAGGACAGGCTTATCTGGGTCTGTCAACTAGAGGGTTCACATGTAGCATATCCAACATGGCCATCTCAGGGCTTCAAAAACAAATGTTTCCTGTAAATAGGGGTGAAGCTGTATGGTCTTTTATGATTTGGCCTTGTAACTCACATAGTATCAGTTCTACTCTCTTCTACCCTATTGATTGAAACTGTCATAAGCCCTCTTCTAAGATATAAGAGGAGGGACAGAAGACTAAGATTGACAGGTGGCAATCATAGATAAAATATTCAAATATTTCCTTAGATGTTTATGCACAATATGTATAATCCTAGAAGGTAAATAAATAAATAAAATAGGCCAAGTTCTATGGACTGAATGTTTGTGTCCCCCCAAACTTCATATGTTGAAGCTTAATACCCAGTGTGATGGTATTTGGAGGTGGAGTCTGTGGAATTAGATCATGAGAGTGGAGCCCTCATGAATGGGATTAGTGCTCCTATAAGAAGAGACATGAGAGAGTTTGCTTCCCCTCTTTCTGCTTTCCACTATGTGATGTTACAGAGAAAATCACCATCTGCAAACCAGAAAGTGGGTCCTCATCAGACATCGGATCTACTGACATCTTGATCTTGCACCAGAACTGTGAGAAGTAAATGTTTGTTGTTTAAACCACTCAGCTGCTATTTTGTTATAGCAGCCCAAACTGACTAAGACACTAAGAAAACAAGTGAAAAAGAAAAAGATTTCTTTCCTGGGAGTTAGTAGATCTAACAAAGCTATCTCTACATCTAGTTCTACTACTACCCTCTTGGAAACCTGAGCAAGCCCCTTAATTTTTCTGGGTCTCAGTTTCTCAATTTGAATAATAGGACCCTTGTACTAAAATATTTCTAAGGTTGTTTTGGTTTTCATAGTACACAATCTGTGAAGGCCTAGTACTTGAGATCATAAAACCTACCCTATAAATCCAAAATTAGGCAAAGGCATAGAAAACACAGCTATAAAATCCACTGTTCTATAAGCCTACTAATCCATTTTTCTGGCCTCACAGTTTATTTTATTATCCTATTTCAATGGGCTTGAAGAACATACAATGACCTGGGACATAGTCTGTTGGGTATCCAAAGCAGACAATGGCTTGTGACAAAAGTCTGTCTAGGCATGTTGACAGACTTCAGTCTTTCTTCCTGAGATATGAGTGTAGTTAATGAAAGCTCAGGGAAGGGACTAGAGATAATTGTTTTCTTCTTTAATGAGTCTGGACTTTAGATAAATAAGGGAACTTCAGAAAACAACTTCATCCTGTGCTTTGTGAGAGACAGGATTGAGAGTGAAGAAGTGTGTGGGAAAGGTCAGACGGACCTTGAGGTTCCTCTTCAGTTCAGCATGTCAAAGCACCATATCTTGGGGTATCAGTTTCTAAGCCCCAACATTATCCAATATAATGGAAGGTCTTTGACAACAGGGCCCTTGTCTACGCTGTTTCCTCCTGCATCCTTAGTACCTAAAACAGCAATTTGCACATGATAAATGCTCAACTATTATTTGTTAAAATAATAAATTTTTTTATTGGCCATGTTTGTTTCTTTTGTAAACTACTTATTCATATCCATTGCTCATTTTCCCATTGGTATGTTCATTTTTTTCTTATTAATTTGTAAGAGCTCTTTAAATATAATGGATGTTAACTTTCTTTTTCTTTCACATATTGTTGGTTTCCTAGGATGGCTGTAACAAAGTATCACAAACTGGGTGGCTTAAAACAACAAAAATGTGTCCTTTCATGGCTCTGGAAGCTAGAATTTCAAAATCAAGGAGTCAGCAGAGCCATGTTTCCTCAGAGACTCTGGGTAGATTCTTTTCTTGCCTCTTCCTAGCTTTTAGTCATGGTTGTCAACCCTTGGCATTCTTTGGCTTGAAGCTGCATCACTGTAATCTCTGCCTCTGTCCTTGGATTGGTTTTCCTCTTCTTATAAGGACACCAGTCATATTGTATTAGGGCCCAGCTTAATGACATCACCTTAATTTGAATATATTTTCAAAGGCTCTGTTTCCAAACAAGGTCACAATCAGAGGTTATAAGGCTTAGGACTTCAATATATATCTTGGGGGGATACAATTCAACCCATAGCACATATGGTATAAATATATTTCTCCTGTTTCTTCTCTGTCTTTTAAATTTGTGTGAAAAATCAGGTTCCCTGGCCAGGCGCGGTGGCTCACGCCTGTAATCCCAGCACTCTGGGAGGCCAAGGCGGGTGGATCACAAGATCAGGAGATCGAGACCATCCTGGCTAACACGGTGAAACCCCGTCTCTACTAAAAAATATAAAAAATTAGCCGGGCATGGTGGCAGGCGCCTGTAGTCCTAGCTACTCGGGAGGCTGAGGCAGGAGAATGGTGTGAACCCAGGAGGCGGAGGTGGCAGTGAGCTGAGATTGTGCCACTGCACTCCAGCCTGGGCGACAGAGCGAGACTCCGTCTCAAAAAAAAAAAAAAAATCAGGTTCCCCTTGTTGCACTGTATACTAGCAATGGAACTTACATGGGAGTAGTAACAGTGAAATAAGATAAAGTGACTTCATGAACGTTTATGCATGAGTTTTGTTACTCCTCAAAGTTCATCCCTAAGTCCTGGGAAAAGTAAGAAAGGTGCTCACCTCAGCCTAAAGCTAGAAGGGCCAAAGGAGTTCTCTTGGCCTACACATAGTCCAGCTAATGTCATCAGTTTAGGAGACTGCATAGGGCAGAGCTCCTTTTCCACCAGAGTCCTAAACAACAGGAAAGAGTGGCCACGGGTCTCCGGTGTCTCAAGATATTATCTGCAATCCATGAAATAAAGAAAAGAATACCCCTCAGTTCCCCAATAGATAATGAGGTGCTGAATATTTGCTGCTTTCACGTTCAGACATCTTAGTCTCATAGCCCTTTTATTTTTTCAGACTAGATCTCTTGAATTAAATATATTATCTCCCAAATCATTGAAACTCTTACAGTGACACCCTTAAAATTTCATCAGATTCATTCCACATTTTGGAAATCTTGGCATCAAAGTTATAATGGCCATAGCTTAGAGGAAAGCTGGAGTAGGCATAATTTCCTATATTCTTAACACCTAGTTTCAGTCTGTAATCGGTGCTTAAATTTAGAGAGAAAGAGAGAATCACAATAAAAAAGTATCAGTAAAGCATCAGAGAGGTACATAGAGAACCTATTCTAGGCAGGAACAGAGATACTCATACCCACAGGGCCCACTAGGGCTCAGACTACCTTCTCCCAAGCCTAGCATTTACACAGGAGAGATAATGAGAGGAAAACAGGACAATAACCACAGTCCAACCAGGTGCATTTCAGACAAGTACATGTGAGCCATGTCATGGCAATACACATAAAGATTTCAGCAAAAACGAGCTTCCACTGATGGGATACTAATACAATAGAGGGATCTTCACTAGTTGAGGTCAAATCATGAAACAGTTTTATTTTTCCAATAGCTGTATCAGCAGTGTTCTTTCTATCACTCCCTCCCCCACTTCGCATGGGGCAATGGGCTTCTTTAACTACATTTCTGTCCAGTTCTCCAACTTTTCAGTCACTACTGCTTATTAAAATAGTTTCAGTCAGACTAAAGATTTGGTTCTATTCATTTTCAAATGCCAATCTCACTTTTCATTCTGAGTCCTCCTGGTGCCTCCAGGGCAGATTAGAATTGAGGCTCCTGGGCTTGAAACATGTGTAAAACGTGTGTGTGGGGATAAGAACCATCTAATCAGTTCACCTTCTCTCTGCCTTTTGGGACACATGAATCCCAAATGCAGAATATAGTGTCCTTCTAACTTGGCCTTGAAAAAATTTGTTTTTGTTCTCAACAGTGTGCTGTCTATTTCCAACTCCTCAGAAAACTTCAGGGTCAAGAAAACATCTCAATCAACTCCTATTCACAACATTTTAGTAAAGATAACAGCATTTCCCGGATAATTTTCACCTATCTTTAAAACATTACTTTATTACAACTAATCAATATAGCATAATATCCAATCTGGATGTTACAAACAAATGTCTGTTTTCATCCAAGGAAATTTGATGGTTTTGAACACAGGATTTATCCAAGATGGGTGAAAAGGAAAACAGCAAAGCATTTAGCCACCAAAAGAAATAAAAATCCACTTGCTAAACTTCATATCCAATAGTCACATCACAGTGGCTTCTCAGCTTTCAGGAGATTTTTTTCTAGGTAATTCTTAATTTTCATAAAAGCTTTTCCGTATTGCTCTAAATACAGTCCCCAGAATGAAAAACAACCTATTCGCCTCAGTACTGGATACATTCATTCAACAAGTATTCAGTAATCACCTACTTGGTGCAAGGAACACTATTAGTCACTGGGTACACAAAATAGAACACAGCAAGCATGTTTTGGGCCCTCATGGATTTTAAGAACAAGTGGGTCTAGCTAAGGAAAGAATCATACTCTGCTACTCTTTAAATCATGTTAGAAACCATCGAATAACAATAAAAATAATGTCAACAAAAATTGATGATTTACTAGGCTATGTAGTAAATTATTGTTATGTGTAATTCTAACAATCCTTGTTTCACAGAGGAAGCACACAGACCTTGATAAGTAATTGATCCAAAGTTGAACATCAAGTAAACAGCTGACTGAATTTGAAGCCAGACTTGTCTGATACTACTGTTCATGCTTTGAAACTGCATCATTCCAGCTGATATCATTAATATAGCAATCTGTATAAAAAGTTCTTAACTGTGAGACAGAATCCAGGAATCACTAACATTTCTTTAAAAGACAAATATTGAGTGTGATTTTATAATTTGATGTTTTGGAGCTATGTACTAATATATCCATATACCTCTAGAAGAATATATATGTAATTTTATATGGAATACATATCTCCAAAACGTCTAACTACATACACACTGGGCATATACTCTTCCTTTATTCACTGTGTCATCTGGTTTAGCAGGGTAGGAAATTCTACAGGAGTTTGGGGCCAAAACTAGAGTTAGTAAGCATTTGTCTGGCTTGTCTTGCCTCAGTGCTGCATTTAATGCTTTTGGTTCCTTATCATAAACAACAGATATCAAATATTTTTTATAACAATGCCACTTTTCTAAAGACATCTCTATTTTCTAGCTGTGATAATTTTTTTAAAAATGATTTCAAGTTGGAGAAAGGAACATTTGCACTCAGGATAAGGTTCAGTCTCAAGTTAAGTTGTTTCACACACCCCCTGCTTATTTCTAATATATTTTGAAACATTCGCACCAAAGGGTAGATGGTTTTGAAACTACTTTCTGCATAATATGTACTTAACTTCTGAGCTCATACTAAGAAGATATTTGTAGGGATGGTTTGAAAGGTTTGGAAAGGAAAGCAGGGAATAAAAGACTCCCTTTCTCTGATGACTGTGATATCAAAAACATCAAAGTTACATAAAATGGTGAAGATCTGACGACCAGACTGCTCCCTGAAGATTCACTTTACAGATCATTTCGAAAACACCAACTGTGTTCAGAAAGAGTCCCGCCTTTCAGGCGCCTGTAGTCCCAGCTACTCCGGAGGCTGAAGCAGGAGAATGGCATGAACCCTGGAGGCGGAGCTTGCAGTGAGCCGAGATCGCGCCACTGACTCCAGCCTGGGCGACAGAGCGAGACTCCGTCTCGGGGGAAAAAAAAAAAAGAAAAAGAAAGAGTCCCGCCTTTTTATATATTTTTTTCTTTTCTTTTTTTTTTTTTTGGAGACGGAGTCTCGCTCTGCCGCCTAGACTGAAGTGCAGTGGTGCGACGCGGCTCACTGCAACCTCTGCCTCCCGGGTTCAACGATTCTCCTGCCTCAGCCTCCCGAGTAGCTGGGACTACAGGCACGTGCCACCACGCCTGGCTAATTTTTTTGTATTTTTAGTAGAGACGGAGTTTCACCGTATTAGCCAGGATGGTCTCGATCTCCTGACCTCGTGATCCGCCCGCCTCGGCCTCCCAAAGTGCTGGGATTACAGGCGTGAGCCACCATGCCCGGCCAAAAATAAAATTTTAAACGAGCTAGTATGTATCAAAAGTAATGGCTTGATGTTGTGTGGAGCCCAGAAAAAATATTTTGTGTGGTACAGGTCAACATAAACAATGAGAGATTTCATTGTGCAGGATAAAGCATTTCCTTTTTTTTTTTTTTTTTTTTTTTTTTTTTTGACAGGGTCTTGCTCTGTCGCCCAGGCTGGAGTGCAGTGGTGCGATCCCGGCTCACTGCAACCTCCGCCTCCCAGGTTCAAGCGATTCTCCTGCCTCAGCCCCCCGAGTAGCTGGGATTACAGGCGCACGCCACCACGCCCAGCTAATTTTTGTATTTTTAGTAGAGATGGGGTCTCACCATGTTGGCCAGGCTGGTCTCACACTACTGGCCTCAAGTGATCCACCCGCCTCGGCCTCCCAAAGTGCTGGGATTACAGGTACGCCACCGCGCCCAACCAGCATTTCTTTCAAAATTAAAAACTTATAATTTATAATTTTCTGAAGCATGCAGATTTTTTAAGGAAATAAAAAGAAATATATACAGTCCACTCCACTTCCTTGCCCCGCTTTCTGACAAATGCCCTCCTGCCTCCCCACCTTAGCCCTCACTCTAAATTTTCTAGAAGGGTAGGAATTCAGGGGCTACGTGGGCATTGATGGCTGTGCACACGCAAGGGGTAGAAGTGGGAGTGCAGCGCAAAGCATGTTGCCAGGTAGAAAAGGAGAGAAAGCAGAAAAGGCCAAAGCCAAGGCCTGAAGTGAGAGGGGGCAGTGGTGGAGGATGATGCAGACCCTCCCTGGTAACCAGAGGAGGGCAAACTCCAACCGCAGAGCAGTGATGCCACTTGTGGGCCCTCAGATTGGAGAGGACCGAGAAGAGTGACAGGGCTGTGCGCTCTGGGGCACCTCATGCAGACGGGAGTAGGGAGGCTGTTTTTTGCGCGTGCATATGGCGGTGGCGGGTGGGGGGAAGGGGGAGATCCTGCTGCACTGGCCGCCCAAGTTGGGGGGCGAGCTCGGTGGTGACGCGCGGCCCTCACGTGACCCAGAGCTGCAGAGCGACGCAGCCTTCGGTGCAGTCGTCACTCGCGTCTGGCTACCAGCTCCCCGCTGCCCTGAGCTCGGCGGGCTGGCATTCGGCCCGGGGAAAAGCGGAGCAGGTAAGGGCTCCGGGGCCCGTGAGCCCCGGCCATGCCAGCAGCGGCTGACCGACCTCGGCGACAGGCGCAGAACAGCGCAGGGGGTCCCCGCCAGCTTTCTCCACACCCCAACATGCTTGGGAACACAGAGGCCCCCAGGGATGGGGAAGCAGGGGCGGCTGGGTTTCCAGGGGCGGCAGAGCCACCAAGAGCGATGGAAACCCACCCCCGAGTCCCTGCAGGAAAACAGCGAACACCGCGGGGGGCTGGGCGTTCGAGGGTGGGGTGGGGGTGGGGGGCGGGAGACGCGGGGCGCTGGCAGCGAGGGGAGCCCGGGCTCGGAGCACGGAAAGGGCCGGGCGGCGGCGGGTCTTCGCTAGCGTTCCGCTGCAGCAGCCCCCACCCCCCACAACCCCCACCCCGGCTCGACTGCAGGTCTGCGAGGCTAAGTGTCTCCGCGGCGCACCTCGCGGCGAGAATCCGGAGGAGAAGGAGACTGCAAGGATAGGCCCAGGTCGGTGCGAGGGACGGTGGTGGGGCGGGGGTCGGAACGTAAGGAAAGCCCAGTCTGAGACCCCAACCCCCTCCACCCCATCCCCCACTCCTATACCGGTCCTCCATTTTGGTGCCTGCAAAGCTCTGGGAAAGAATCCCGGGAAACGAAAAATGGTGGGTTTGGGGGAAGGGAGGTAAGGGGAGAAAGCTGGAGGGAGGGGCTTTAATTGGAGGCCCCGTAGAGGACGCGCGGAACTTCTAAGGTGGGAAAAAACGAAATTAAAAAATCCTTTGATATCAGGGCTCTGAATCCTGCTGGTCAGAGCACCAAGCATTCAGTCTCTCTCCTTGCCTTTGTCTTACTTGTGTTCAAAGAAAAACAACCAGAAAAAAAAAATCTCATCATGGCAAATATTCACCAGGAAAACGAAGAGATGGAGCAGCCTATGCAGAATGGAGAGGAAGACCGCCCTTTGGGAGGAGGTGAAGGCCACCAGCCTGCAGGAAATCGACGGGGACAGGCTCGCCGACTTGCCCCTAATTTTCGATGGGCCATACCCAATAGGCAGATCAATGATGGGATGGGTGGAGATGGAGATGATATGGAAATATTCATGGAGGAGATGAGAGAAATCAGAAGAAAACTTAGGGAGCTGCAGTTGAGGAATTGTCTGCGTATCCTTATGGGGGAGCTCTCTAATCACCATGACCATCATGATGAATTTTGCCTTATGCCTTGACTCCTGCCATTTATCATGAGATTAATACTGTGATTCCCGCTGTTTTCTTTTTCCTTGCATTTTCCTAATATGCCTTTACTGATCCGTTTGCTGTGAACCCTATGTTATTTCCATGTGTCAAGTGGGTCTTGTGTTGCCAGCTTCTATTTGAAGATTGCCTTTGCACTCAGTGTAAGTTTCTGTCAGCAGTAGTTTCACCCATTTGCATGGAAAAATTTAAAGCTAATAAAGCAATTTAAAAAGCAATCTATACATTTATTGTCTCATTAAAAATGTATACTTACATATAACAGATGAACTAAAAAAAAATCTGAGATTAAATACACTAGAGTGTTAATTGGTGAACATTTCTGTGTGTTAACTAATCCCAGCACTTTGGGAGGCTAAGGTAGGCAGATCACGAGGTCAGGAGATCGAGACCATCCTGGCTAACACGGTGAAACCCTGTCTCTACTGAAAAAAAAATACAAAAAATTAGCCGGTCGTGATGGCACACGCCTGTAATCCCAGCTACTCGGGAGGCTGAGGCAGGAGAATGGCTTGAACCCGGAAGGCGGAGGTTGCAGTGAGCCGAGATCACGCCACTGCACTCCAGCCTGGACGACAGAGCCAGACAGTCTCAAAAAAAAAAAAGTAATATGTGACATTTTTTTCCTTTTATTATCTGGAGTTTGAGAAGCAATGAAAATTATTTTTCAATGAGATTATGAATGTAGTGCAGATACGTAACAATACTGGCTCAACAAATTTGAAGAGTAAACTCTAACTATCCTTCAGTCTTAACTGGAATAATAAACCTTCCCTTTATTACAGATGCATTCCTTTAAAGAGCCCGTTTTCTGCTCTGTGAAATGGGGAACAATGCTTGTCTTACAGGGCTGCTGAGTGGAACTGATGAAATGTGGAACTGTGTTGGGCTGGCTTCTGTCCCCAACTCCCCAACATTTAACAGGACCGGGACCCCCATCAGGTACTTAGGACTGGAGGAATTATCACTCATGTTTACAAGTCCAGACAGTGAAAATAGGTGGGTTCCCCCATATCATTCTTGTTATTTGCAATCCTCCTGCTCCCCTGATTACTGCCTTCTTGATTGGCCACACTTTCCCTTCTGCTGGATCCTATTTCTGTTGCTGTTGATGAGGTGCTAGGGTCTTCAAGGTAACAAGCCCCACTGATTTCTCTGGAGTCTCTGGTGAGCCAAATCCCCCTTTGACCTCTATAGAATTGTGGAGAATGTCTTTATAACTTGAGAGTTATATTTATCCTGGTGAGTACAACTCTTGTGGTTCTTGGGATTACATTGGTTCTTAGAAAAATAGCCCTTTCTGGTTTTCTTTCATAACTCCTTCAAATAACTCAGACAAGAGTGCACTGCGGCCTAACTGAGAAAATGCATCTGAGTGTGCCCTGAATTGCATTACTGCAAACCTCCACAATACAAACAGGCTGAAGGCTTTATTTGTGCCTGTGTTTCTATCCTTGATACGGATTTTCTCAAAGGAGACTCTTGGCAGGCCTGCCCACCCAGTTTAACAGACTTACCTAGACATGTAAATTACATTGGGAGAACAAATTTTCTTTAAAGCGGAAACACACTCCCTTCTTGTCCATACCTGAACCATGAAACTACTCTGTAAGTTCTTAAAAACTATATTAAGTATTTGGCATTGTTATTTCTTTGTGAGTGTGTGCCCTTTTCTCCAGACAGTTTCTGGTATAGTGCCCGACATAGTAGATATTAAATTATTAATTATTTTGATTGATTAATTAACTAAGAGTTAGAAATCCAGCTCAAAACTGTCCCTAACTCACTATCCTTAACTAAGGGGCCAAAGGCAAGTAACTAGTTATGTGGAAAGCATTATATTATTTCCAAAGGAACATAGCAAGGAAAGTTTCTAACTCAAATTCTGTAAACTTTTTTTTAAACCTTGTATATGTTAGTGTTTAGGGAAACATAGACGCCTTACGTGCATCATAATTACCTAGGGAAAGTGTTAAAAATGTTGACAGTTGGGTGCTCGTCCCACCCCCAACCAGCCACTGTGACCACCTGAATCACCAGAATCAGGAATTACTATTTTGACAGTTTCCCAAGTGATTCTCATGCATCTGAGTTTTGACAACATAGGCATAGAGAAACACTGACAGTAATTACACCATTTTACAAATTTCGTGATCCAAATTACCTTACTTACTTGATTCCACAATGCATATACGTTTCCAAAGTACAGCATTCCAAAATTAGACATTAGGCCATCAATGTATGTTTATACTTAAACCAGTACTGTTTTATCTTCTTTTCAAATATCCTATTAAACTAATGCTTTATCATGAATTTATTATTAATAATAAATGTAATAATTATGAAATTATTAAATAAATTATGCATTATCATTTCTGTGCCAACCTGTGCCCTTTCACAACAATGATTTTGTTTTAGTCTCCCTGGAGCTCAGTTTCTAGCACAGTGCCTAATATAGTAGATGTTTCATAACATAATAATTCATTTACTAATTAATTATTAAATTATTTCAGGATTGTAGTTTATCTAAAACAATATATAACAACATTTTTGAGCCTGTGGAGTTTTTTTTAATGCTTTCGTATTTTGAAATTTCTATAAAGAACATTTTAAAATGTTAGTACTTCTTATAATTATTTATATAATGTCATCATACATATTTGGATCATGAATATAGGGAGAATATAAACAAAACCGTAATCCAGTCATCCAAAGATACCATTTGTAAGTTTTTAAATCTTCATCTTATATTTTATCATGACAAAGCTAGGCTTAGAGCCTCTTATGAGGAACACTGCCTCTTTCAAAGCCCCTGCCAAAGAAATATGTTTAGCTTGCCATGTTTGTTACTATTTTTCTAATCTCTCCTCTCCACTTATCAAAGCTGATTGACTCATTTGATCAGCTTTCAGTTAGCTCCTGATTTTCAAAACTCAAGCCATCACATTTCAGAAGTCCACTCACAGTGATCTAATGTCCAATTTTGAAATGTATTTTTTTCTATCTTGAAAAACTACAACAATGTTTGTCTTATAAAGTTCTCATCATGTCTGCATTAAAAAAAATCAATTCCTTTTCCTTTAAATCCTTAGTGATTACTTTCTTTTTTTATTTTATTTTATTTATTTTATTTTATTATTATTATACTTTAAGTTTTAGGGTACATGTGCACAATGTGCAGGTTAGTTACATATGTATACATGTGCCATGCTGGTGCGCTGCACCCACTAACTCGTCATCTAGCATTAGGTATATCTCCCAATGCTATCCCTCCCCTCTCCCCCCACCCCACAACAGTCCCCAGAGTGTGATGTTCCCCTTCCTGTGTCCATGTGTTCTCATTGTTCAGTTCCCACCTATGAGTGAGAATATGCGGTGTTTGGTTTTTTGTTCTTGCGATAGTTTACTGAGAATGATGATTTCCAATTTCATCCATGTCCCTACAAAGGACATGAACTTATCATTTTTGATGGCTGCATGGTATTCCATGGTGTATATGTGCCACATTTTCTTAATCCAGTCTATCATTGTTGGACATTTGGGTTGGTTCCAAGTCTTTGCTATTGTGAATAGTGC
Organism: Homo sapiens; assembly: GCF_000001405.40. NCBI lineage: Eukaryota > Metazoa > Chordata > Mammalia > Primates > Hominidae > Homo > Homo sapiens. The sequence goes on from NC_000023.11 coordinate 103,381,432, forward strand.
CGCAATAAACATACGTGTGCATGTGTCTTTATAGCTGCATGATTTATAGTCCTTTGGGTATATACCCAGTAATGGGATGGCTGGGTCAAATGGTATTTCTAGTTCTAGATCCCTGAGTGAACAGGCAACCTACAAAATGGGAGAAAATTTTCACAACCTACTCATCTGACAAAGGGCTAATATCCAGAATCTACAATGAACTCAAACAAATTTACAAGAAAAAAACAAACAACCCCATCAAAAAGTGGGCGAAGGACATGAACAGGCACTTCTCAAAAGAAGACATTTATGCAGCCAAACAACACATGAAAAAATGCTCACCATCACTGGCCATCAGAGAAATGCAAATCAAAACCACAATGAGATACCATCTCACACCAGTTAGAATGGCGATCATTAAAAAGTCAGGAAACAACAGGTGCTGGAGAGGATGTGGAGAAATAGGAACACTTTTACACTGTTGGTGGGACTGAAACTAGTTCAATTTTGAAATGTATTTTGGCAAATTTAGAAATATAAAGTAAATATATTTATTTACTAGAACAGAACTATTTATTTACGAAACTTAAAAATTGTCTTAGAAGTAGAAAAAGTTTTGAGTTTTATAAATGAAATGGACAAAATTCCACGTCTACTCTGTCTCCTTTCCTGACATCACATGTATTATGTAGTAAATATACTGATTTTGTTTGGAAAAGTCCAGTTTTTAAATTTCAGAAAGATAGCATGTTATGTAGTCAATATTTCATGTGTAACCAGCTGGAATGCTTTCTAAGTGATATAACTATACATAACCCAATAAATAAGGCATCCCTATAAACTTGAAAATCTAATTTTTAAAAAATTTTTGCCAGACATTTGAAAAGTCACAATTAGCATGTTTAGAAATTTACTCTGTTGGAAAATATTTCCAATTTAATAAAAATAAACTTTGCTGAGTTTCATATGAAGAGAGAAATCTTCAGATGTATGCCCATTTAAAAAAATCATTTTTGGCCAGGTGTGGTGGCTCACGCCTGTAATCCCAGCACTTTGGGAGGCTGAGGCAGGCGGATCACGAGGTCAGGAGATCGAGACCATCCTGGCTAACACGGTGAAACCCCGTCTCTACTAAAAATACAAAAAATTAGCCGGGTGTGGTGGCGGGCGCCTGTAGTCCCAGCTATTCGGGAGGCTCAGGCAGGAGAATGGCATGAACCTGGGAGGCGGAGCTTGCAGTGAGCCGAGATGGTGCCACTGCACTCCAGCCTGGGCAACAGAGCAAGACTCCGTCTCAAAAAAAAAAAAATTTGTTTTCACACAAATGAACTTTGTGTTTCTGATTGTAAAGTAATGCATTCTAAAGTGGTTTTTGTTGTTGCTTTGAGCAGAAGACAAACTGTATTAAGAAAGTTTTAAAATATTTTCTTCAACATCTTGTTTCTTTTCCTAAGATCACATGAGTATCAATTAATTTTAAGTTGTTGTCTATTTTTTCCCTAAATTAATACATATTACTTAGTTTGTAATTAAAATTTGATTTTTAAAAGAGGAAGCAAACTAATGTGTCAGTCATTAAAAGGGTGGAAAATTTGTTGAAAAAGAATAATGAATTTCAAACTAGTTCTGGATCCTTTCGCTGATTATGTAAACTTAGTAGTTATTGCCATGGTAATGCATTAGTGTTTACCATACATTGGTAAAATGGAGATGATAATTTCCAGGGCTGCTGTGGGACCCAAAGGAGATAAAGAGCATGTGAGTGAATGGTGTTGGATGACTTCATGTTTTCACCTGCACATTCAGAATCCAAGTACCTCAGATCCCCTTCAGCTGCTGGGAGTAGTAGCCAAACTATGTCACAGTCCCACTCCATCCCTCAGCTATGATGACCCACCCACTTCTCCCAGTTCTGCACTCTCCACTGGCCTTGATCACTACAGATTTCTCTAGACACCTCAATGTGCTAATGTCCCAGTTTATATCCTACAGAGGTGTGCATAAAGACCTACTTGAATTACAGTTGTACTAGCTTTGTTGGGTACTGTCTTAGTGATGCTTGGACCATGGTATGTTTTATATTTTTAGCAAAAGAGGCCTTTTGCTCAGCTTATATTTGTGGTTATAGGATATTAGGGGCCGAGTCTTGTTTTTTTTTATCCACTCTGACAATCTCTGTCATGTAATTAGAGGGCTAAGACAATTTCCACTTCAAGTGACTATCAATATGGTTGTCACACAACCACAATTAATGCTCTGTTAATTTTTCAGTCTTTTCTCTCTGTGTTTCATTTCAAATGGTTTCTTTTGCTATGTCTTCAGGTATACTATTCGTCTACAATGTGTAATCTGCCATTAACTTCATTTAGTATATTTTTTCATTTCAGACATTGTAGTTTTTATCTCTAGATGTTTAATTTGAGCCTTTTAAATATTTTTTATATTCCATGTCTCTACTTAACTTATTCACTCTTTCCTCTAGCTTCTTGACCATATGCAATGAAGTTCTAATTATCTGCTTTTATGTCCTTATCTAATTCTACCATTGTTGTCACTTCTGGGTCAGTTTTGATTGGTTGCTTTTTCTCTCATGATGGGTTTTATTTTCCTGTTTCTTTGTAGGCTCTTGATTGGATGTCAGACATTGTAAGTTTCACCTATTGAGTGCTGGATATTTTCGTATCCCTGGAATTATATTGATTTTTATTCTGGAAAACAGTTATTTGTAAAGTTTGGTATTTTAGATTCTTGCTTTAAAACTTTGTAAGAAAGGATCAGTGTTGTGTTTAGTTTAGAGTGAATCGTTCTCCACTAATGAGGAAAATTCTTTCTGAGTACTCTATCTGATGTCCTATGAATTATGAGGTTTCCAAGTCTGGCTAGTGGGAACATGCACTGTTCCCAAACATGTGTGAACTTAAGGAATTATTTCCTTTAATCCTTTTCGGTAGATCATTTCCTGATCTAGGGTAGTTTCCCTACAGACATGTGATGATCAGAATGATCAGTACTAGTTAAAATACTTGGCAGGCCATTAGACTGAGGTGACTCTAGCAAACTAGAGTTTCTATGGAAGCAAACTGAAACCCAACTCATAGTGAATGGTCATAGCCTAGGAAAATAAAATTTAAGCATCACCAATTAAAAACTGCCAACTAACCTCTAACTAGAGACTTTACCAATCAAAAGCTGCCTATTAACCACTAACTAGAAACCTTTCACTTTTACAAATCAAATCTTTTCTTTGCTTTGCTTTAGAAAACATTTTATAAAAGATTTCCCTCACATGCCCCCTTGGTGGAACACTGAACCACTTGCAGTTTGGCATTGTTCTGTTCATGAATAAACTCTGCTCAAATAAACTCTTCAAAATTTTAATGTGCCTGTTTATTATTTAAGAGTACTCAGGTAAATATTCAAGAGTGGCTCTCCATGGATCTCTGGAATTCCTTCTCTGTGCAGCTCTTTCCTTTCTGGGACACAGCCCTGTGAACTCCAGCTTCCTTGCCCTCCTTGGACTCCCAACTTCTTATTCTAAGCTCTGGGATACCACAGGGCTTTGCCTGGATTCCTACTTCTTGCACTGTGGCCTGAAAACTTTCTTCAGGAAGTAAGCTGGGGCAATTGTTGTACCCGAGCGAGTCAGAAAAATGCCACACTTTGAGACGAATTATGAGTCCTTTTTTAGCCGGCGACCAAGAGACGGCTAACGTTCAAAATTCTCTCGGCCCCGAGGAAGGGGCTTGATTAATTTTTATACCTTGGTTTAGGAAGGGGGGGTGTCCAGTTAGAACAATTTTACAGAAGTTAAGTAGTCAAAAAGTTAAAAGGATAAATGGTTACAGGAAAGTAAACAGTCCCAGGTGCAGGGGCTTTAAGACTATTACAAGGTGATAGACGCGGGGCTTTGGGTGTTATCAATCGGACGAATTCTTGGGGACTGCAGATATAGCTTGCCACAGTATTTTATCAGTTAATTGCATTCTTGGATGTGCTGGGAGTCAGCTTGCACAAGTTAAGTCCTTGAGGAAGGGGCTGCCAGTGAAAGAGCCAAGATGGAGTCTGTCTGGCTCTCTTAGCTAAGGGAGAGTCAATTCAGTTGGAAACAAGGCTAGGTGATTAAAGGAAAAGGGAAAGTCTAAAAACAGAGTTAGTAAAAACCAGGTTGGGCATTACACAATCATAAGAATAACCTCATTTGTTCCCAGTTTCTCAGGGATCACTAAACATTGTTGCCTGTTGTCTAAGGTCTTGAGAACAGCTTGTTCTTGTATTTCATCCAACTTTTTAGTTGTTTCATGTGGGAGAAAAATTTCATCTATCTAGGAGCAGAAATTCTGGTATGCCTTAGGTAAATTCTGTTTTTGTTTGTTTGTTTTTGAGATGGGGTCTTGCTCTGTCGCCCAGCCTGGAGTGCAGTGGCATGATCATAGCTCACTACATCCTCAGTCTCCCCAGCTCAAGCAATCCTGCACCCTCAGCCTTGCAAGTAGCTGGGAACACAGATGTGCACCACCACACTCAGCTAATTTTTTTTTTTTATTTTTAATAGAGACGAGGTATTGCTATGTTACACAGGCTGTCTTGAACTCCTGAGCTCAAGCAGTCCTATCACTTTGGCCTCCCAAAGTGCTGGGATCACAGGCATAAGCCCCCATGCCAACCTTGAATAAATGTTTAATGTGGTCATTGTAAGTCTGTGGGGATCCTCAAATCCTTAGCCCAGTTCTGCCCTTCACGAAAGAACAGCAGGCAAGTCACTTCATTTCTCTAGAAGCAAAGACTTGCATTTCCTACAGCAAATTTAATTTGACACAGCAAATTAAAAATGAAAAAAAATTAGCATTGTATTATAAAATAAACATTGCATTGGATTCTTGTTTTTAAAAAACAGCAAGGAAGACTTTATTCAAGACTCTTGCAAGAGAGGAGAGAGATTGAACTCAGTTCCAAATACTACTGAGACAGCTGGGATTTTATGGCCACTGGGAAAGGTGAGGGAAAGGGTGGAAAACTAGTAAGAAATTTGGTTAGTTATCAGGGGAAGGGGAGGAACTTGATTAGACATCAAAAGTGGCAGAAGAAGAGCTTGATTGGATGGCAAAGGTGGGAGGATTCTTGATAAACTGACTCAGCAGGATTTTTGCTAAAACTGGGCTCAGTTGGCGAAATAGAGGCCCAGTTGAAAAAAATAAGGCTCGAAGACTGACTAAAGTTTTGGTCTAGGAGGAAGGAGTCCATGTCAGTATGTATTGGTGATTTTTGAAGCATTTCACACAGACTGCCTGCTTCACAATCTCCTGTCTTTGTTGTTAACAACATAGAATTTGTCACCCTTCCCCAATATTACATGATTCAAATATACTTCTAACTGGGTCCCAAAACATACATTATTATCATGCTCCCCTGAGAGATTCTAATGCACACTAATACTGGAGAACCACTGGTGGTACAATGGAAGCACAATTATATTGAGTACAAATATGCCTAGAGAAAGACTGTAAGAAAATGTGTCAAAATGCTAGAGAACCTAGTAATGCATATATCATGGGATCTAAATTATCCTATTCTATGTTAGGATTTATTTTTGAAAAATTTTCAACATTTCTCACCTTGGGATACATCATATACTAGATGTGATAGTTTTCTCTTTCTCAGAAAAGTGTTTCTGTTCACTATCTCCATGAGATTAATTTTGTTAGCTCTCTCATAAAAGTGAGAATATATGACATTTGTCTTTTCATGTGTGCCTTATTTCACTTAACATAACGTCTTCTAGTTCCATCCATGTTGTCACAAATCATTGGATTTCATTCTTTTTATGGTGGAATAATATTCCACTATGTATATGTACCACATTTTCTTTATCAATTTATCCTTGGATAGACACTTGGGTTGATTCCATAACTTGGCTATTGTGAATGGTGGTGCAATAAACATGGGAGTGCAGATATCTCTCCAATATACCGATTTCCTTTCCTTTTGATATTGCTGGATATATGGTAGCATTATTTTTAGTTTTTTGAGAACCCTCCCCACTGTTTTCCATAAAGGCTCTACTAATTTATATCCTACCAATAGTGTACAAGCATTCCCCTTTCTTTGTTTCTTCCCCAGCATTTTTCTTTTTTTTCTTTCTTTCTTTCTTTTTTTTTTTTTGAGACAGAGTTTCGCTGTCTCCAGGCCGGAGGGCAGTGGTGTGATCTCTGCCCACTGCAACCTCCGCCTCCTGGATTTAAGCGATTCCCCTTGCTCAGCCTCCTGAGTAGCTGGGACTACAGGTGTGCCACCACACCGAGCTAATATGTATATATATTTTTTGGATTTTTGTAGAGATGGGGTTTCACCATGTTGGCCAGGATGGTCTTGATCTTCTGACCTTGTGATCCGCCCACGTGGTCCTCCCAAAATGCTGGGATTACAGGCGTGAGCCACCAAGCCAGGCCTTCCCCAGCATTTGTTATTTTCTGTGTTTTGGATAACAGCTATTATAACTAGGGTGAGATGATATCTCACTGTGGTTTTGATTTGCATTTGGTGATTACCAGAGGTTGGGAAGGGTAGTAGGGAGAGGGGATAAAAACAGGTTGGTTAGCAGGTACAAAAATACAATTAGAAGGAATAAGATCTAGTGTTCTATAGCACGGTAGGAATGATTATAGTTACCAATAATTTCTTGTATATTTCAACTTGGAATGTTCCCAACACAAACAAATGATAAATGTTTGAAGTGATGGTTATCCCAATTTCTGATTTGATCATTACACATTATATGCTTGTATCAAAATATCACATGTACCCCATAAATGTGTACAACTATTATGTATCCATAAAAATAAAAAATGCAAAAAAGCTGTAGGTGATAAATAAGAACAATTTAATAGATGTTCAAAACTGGGGGAAAAGTGTTTCTGAATCCATGGTGTATGTTACAGAAACTGTAATATAATAATTAAGAAAGTAAAGTACATAAATATATGTGGGCATGTGCACATTTAAATAGAAAAAGATGTAAAAGAATTCACCACTGATAACATTTGGGAATGGATATGTGATTAAAAGTGATTTTTCTGTTCTATTTTCTTCAATGCCAGATTTTTATTTTTAAATTTTTGTATAGTTACAAACTTATTTCCATTAAAAATTCTGAATATATGTTATGTTAATTTGGAATATGCAGAAAATAATAGTTATAATAACAATACTCATAACATACTTTTAGTGTGAACCACGTTCCAGAGAGTGTTCTAAGTGATTTGCAAGTATTAATCCATTTGTTCCTCAGAAGAGACCTGTGAAGGCTGTGAAAGGAAAAAAATCTTGGGGCCCCCAAGTCACCAAGCTAAAGGGAAAAGTCAAGCTGGCAACTGCTCAGGGCAAACCTGCCTCCCATTCTATTCAAAGTCACCCCTCTGCTCACTGAGATAAATGCATATCTGATTGCCTCCTTTGGAGAGGCTAATCAGAAACTCAAAGGAATGCAACAATTTGTCTCTTATCTACCTATGACCTAGAAGCCCCCTCCCCACTTCGAGTTGTCCCGCCTTTCTGGACAGAACCAATGTTCATCTTACATATGATGATTGCTGTCTCATGTCTCCTAAAAATGTATAAAACTAAATTGTACTCTGACCTCCTTGGGCACATGTCGTCTGAACCTCCTGAGGCTGTGTCATGGGCGCGCATCCTCAACCTTGGCAAAATAAACTTTCTAAATTGACTGAGACCTGCCTCGAATATTCGGGGTTTACAAGGCTATACTATCAATGACCCCACTTTACAAGGGAGGAAACTGAGGCACACACAGGTTAAGCACATTACCTGTGGTTGTTCAGCTAATAAGTTGCAAAACCAGGATATAGGCAAAACTGGCTCCAGAATCAGTGCTCTCAGCCTCTCAATAAAGTAAATAAAAAATACATTAAAACCATGATTGGAACAGCTGGAGACATCCACCTATGTTCTTAAAAGCCTTATGACTTTTCAACATAAACAAAAGCTGAGGGAGTTCCTCATTGCTAGATCTGCCCTTCAGGAAAATGCTAAAAGGAGTCCTTCAAGTCGAAATAAAAGGATGCTAGACTAGCAACATGAAACCATATGAAAACATAAAGCTCTCTGATAAAGGTTAATATGTACACAAATATAGGATCCTATAGTGTTGTAATGTTATTGTATGAATCACTTTTAGTGCTGATACAGAATTTAAGAGACAAAAGCATAAGAAGTAACCCAAAGTCTGTGTTAATCACACACAATATAAACAGATATAATTTGTGACATCGATAAGTTGGGGGGTGGATATTTAAGGAGTAGAGGTTTTGTACGTGATTGAATAGGCATTGGTTTAAAATAGATTGTTATAACTTAAAGGTGTTTTATATAATCCCAATGATAACCATCAAGAAAATATCTTTAGAGGAAAAAAAAAAGAGAGAAGAGAATCAAAGCACGTCACTACAAAAACTCAATGAAATACAAAGGAATAGGGTAGGAGAGAAAAAGAGAGACAAAATACCTATAAGAGAAACAGAATACAACAAAACAGCAATAGTAAATCTTTTCCTATCAGTAGTATCTTTACAGGCAAACAGATTAAACCTACCAATCAAAAGACATAGATTGACTGAATGGGTTTAAAAAAACAAGATCTAACTATATTGTGTCTAAAAGGGATTCACTTGAGATCTAAGGACACATATAGTCTGAAAGTGAAAAGATGGGAAAAGATATTCCATACAAATGGTAAACAGAGGGCAGGGGTTGCCATATTTATATCAGATGAAATAGATTTTAAATAAAAACTGTTACAAGAGACAAAGAAAAACATATAATGATAAAAGAGTCAATTCATCAGGAATATACAACAATTACAAATATATATACACCTAACATCAGAGTTCCCAAATATATGAAGCCAACATAAACAGAATTGAAGGGAAAAATAGTCAGCAATACAATAATAGTAGAGGACTTCAATATTTCACTTTCAATAATGGATAGAACAGCCAGACAGAAGATCAATAAGGAAACAGAGGACTTGAACAACACTGTAGACTAATTGGACCTAACAAACATACACAAAATTCTCCACCCAACAACAGGGGAATACACATTTTTCTCAAGTGCACACAGAACATTATCCAGGATAGAAAATGTTTTCCACCACAAAACAAGTCTTAACAAATTTAAGAAGACTGAGAAATCATTCAAAGTATATTTTCTGACCACACTGGAAAGAAACTAGAAATCAATAGCAGAAGGAAAACTGAAAAATCCACAAATACATGGAAATTAATCAACACTGCTAGTCAATAGACAAAAGAAGGAATCACAAGAGAAATTAGAATATGTTTTGAGACAAATGAAAACTCAACATTCTAAACTTATGGGTATAGTGAAAGTAGTACCAAGAGGAAAGGAAGTCTGTAGCAGTAAATACTTACATTAGAAAAAAACAAAGATCTCAAATCAACAACTTAACTTACACATTTAGGAACTAGAAAAAGAACAAACAAAATCCAAAATTAGCAGAAGGAATGAAATGACAAAAATCAGAGCAGAGATAAATGAAATGGATAATTTTAAAAATAGAAGATCAATGAAACAGTTGACTTTTTGAAAAGATCAATAAAATTGACAAGCTCTTAGCTAGATTTACTACAAACAACAGAAAGGAGACTCAACTAAAACCGGAAATGGAAAAGGAACCGGGTGTGGTGGCTCACGCCTGTAATCCCAACACTTTGGGAGGCTGGGGTGGGTACCTCACTTGAGGTCAGGAGTTCAAGACCAGCCTGGCCAACATGGTGAAACCCTGTCTCTACCAAAAAATACAAAAACTAGCCAGGCATGGTGGCATGTGCCTGTAGTCCCAGCTACTCAGGAGGCTGAGGTGGGAGAATCACTTGAGCCCAGGAGGCCAAGGTTGCAGTGAGCTGAGATCTTGCCACTGCACTCCAGCCTGGGTGACAGAGTGAGACTCTGTCTCCAAAAAAAAAAAGAAAAAAAAGAAATGAAAGAGGAGACATTGCAACTGAAGCCACAGAAATAAAAAGGATTATAAGAGTCTGGTGGTGATGGGGAGGGATGGGCAACAGGGAGATGTTGATCAAAGGATACGACGTTTCAGTTAGACTGCAGGAATAAGTTTTATTTATCTATTGCACTGCATGGTGACCACAGTTAATAATAATGTATTGTATATTTCAAAATTGATACAAGAATAGGTTTTTAATGTTCTCACTGCAAAAAAAAATGATAAGTTGGTGAGGTGATGGATATGTTAATTAGCTTGGTGGGATCTTTCTGCAGTGTATACATAGATTAAAACATTACATTGTACCCCATAAATATGCACAATTGTTATTTATCATTTAAAAACAAAAATAAGTGTGATTATAAAAGAATACTGTGAAAAATTATACTCTAACAAATTGGATACCCTAGAAGAAATGGCAAAATTCCTCAAATCATACAACCTACCAAGACTGAATCATTAAGAAATTTAAAATCTGAATATACTTATAACTGGCAAACATATTGCATAAGTATCAAAAACATTCAAATGAAGAAAAGCCCAGGATCAGATGGCTTCACTGGAGAACGATACAAAATATTTAAAGAATTTACACCAGTCTTCTTCAAAATCTTCCACAAAATTGAAGAGAAGGGAACACTTTCATTTTATGAAGTTAGTATTTCCCTGATATCAAAACCTATACAAACACAGTACAGAAAAGAAAACTACATAGCAATATTCTCCATGAACATAGGCACAAAAATCCTTAGCAAATAGAATTTAGTAATATATAAAAAGACTGCCTCAAAGACCTAAAAACTGAAATACCATTCAACCCAGCAATCTGATTACTGGACATGTACCCAAAGGAATATAAATTATTCTATTAAAAAGACACATGGCTGGGCATGGTGGCTCACGCCTGTAATTCCAGCATTTTGGGAGGCCGAGGGAGGCAGATCACTTGAGGTCAGGAGTTCGAGACCAGCCTGGCCAACATGATGAAACCCCGTTTCTACTAAAACTTCAAAAATTAGCCGGGCATGGTGGTGCATGCCTATAATCCCAGCTACTCGGTAAGCTGAGGCGGGAGAATGGATTAAACCCAGTAGGCAGCGGTTGCAGTGAGCCAAGATTGTGCCACTGCACTCCAGGCTGGATGACAGAGCGAGATGCCCTCTCAAAATAAATAAATAAATAAAGACACATGCATGCGTATGTTCATGACAGCACTATTCACAATAGCAAGGACATGGAATCAACCTAAATGCCCATCAATGATAGACTGGATAAAGAAAATGTGGTACATATACACCATGGAATACGATGCAGCCATAAAAACGAATGAGATCATGTCCTTTCCAGGAACATGGATGGAGCTGGAGGTCATTATACTTAGCAAACTAATGCAGGAACAGAAAACCAAATACTGTATATTCTCACTTATAAGTGGGAGCTAACTGATGAGAACATATGGACACATAGAAAGGAACGACACACACTGGGGCCATTCGGAGGGTGGAGTTGGGGAAGAGGGAGAGGATCAGGAAAAAATAACTAATGGGTACTAGGCTTAATCACCTGGGTGATGAAATAATCTGTACAACAAATCCCCATGACACAAGTGTACCTATGTAACAAACCTGCACATGTACCCCTGAACTTAAAATAAATGTTACATAAAATAAAATAAGAATTATACACCATGACCAAGCAGAGTTTATTCCAGAGATGGAAGGCCATTTCAACATTCAAAAATAAACCAATGTTATCCACCCAGTCGAAAAATAATACTGTATCAATTGATGCAGTAAAAGCATTTGACAAAATGCAACACTTATTCATAATAAAAATGATAAAAACTCTCAGTAAGTTAGGAATAGAAGGAAACTTACTCAACTTGATACAGAACATCTACAAATGGTCTACAGCTAAGACTGTACTTAATGGTGAAAAAACTGAATGATTTCCTCCTAAGATAGGGAGCAAGACAAGAATGTCTGCTCTAAGCACTCTTATTCAACATACTGCTGGAAATTCTAGTTATTGTGATAAGGTAGGAAAATAAAATGAAAGGCACATAGATTGGAAAATAAGAAATAAAAGTATCCCCATTTTCAGATGACATGACTACCTATGTACAAAATCCCAAGGAATGTACGTTTGTCTTTTAAATCATCTCCACATGAACTTATGAGGCAATGTGTTTCCAAGAAGAATCTCTTAAAAATAAACTAAGCGTTATTTGCTGACATGTAAAGAATTCTTCTACTCTATACAAGTGTGTCATTGGGCTATTTATGAAATGTTAAGAGGCTTGGTTGTCTTTACTCTGGCCCCAGACTGCAGCCTCAAAGAAGTTTGATATTAAGCTAAGGGAAAACTGAGGTAACAAGGAGAAATCAATCCATCTTACCAAGTTGTGCATTCAGGACGATAGAAGACAGACATTCTTTGCCCACCAGGGAACATCCTTGGGCTTGAGAGCACGTCTGGGTGTCTTACGGTCTGGGTTTGAGTCCCAGCCTTGCCACTTATAAATAATAAGCTGATGCCACAAACATGCCCCTTCAGCCTCCATTTCCTCTTTGGTAAAATAATCGTGGTACCTAACTCATAGGCTTCTAGTGAGGGTTAAGAAACAAGTAGAGCACCTAACATAATCTCTGCCACATTATAAATGGTATTTACTGTAAGGAGTTTTTACAAAATCTGTATAAAATGGGAACCTTTTAGGTAAGTACAAAAAATATGCAGAGGCAGAGACCAGGAAATTTGCTGTATCTTTATGTTTTCTGCTTGTATCCCAAATGACATGGAGATCCATGGTTCTGTGAATGAAACCAGTCAGTTATTATGTTCCAAAAGACAATGGTAATGAAGTACATGTCCTTTTCCCTTTGAGTGCATTCTTTGTTCTCTTCTTCTGAAAGTTGCAGATATCCACTAAGTTTGAAAATCTTTCATCTCCTGAAGTTAAGTTGTTCAATGTTGTTTCCAAATTTGGAAGACCATGCGTAACACTAATGTGATGAGGAGCAGAAGACAGAAGATTAGCTGCAACATGAAACAGTAATAGGGAATCATGTCTGACCAACCAACCATCATGATGGATAGGTTTTTCCACTCAAAGAAGGCCCTCTCTTCACTCTGCCAAGAGCAGGGGTTTCATCAATTGTAAGCGTTCTAAGAGGAGGCTTCCCACAGCCGCAAATTCTCCTTGTTGTCGTCTCCTCTTTCACTCAAAGTTCACAGTGATGGTTGATTTGAGCCTAAACTTGAAAGGGAGTCAGAACAGAGAAGCTCACTGTCTGTTGACTTGGCAACGGAGTGACTTCATTATTACCCACATCTCATGTTCTCTTTAAAATCTGCATTATTACCCTAGCATTTGGAACTGCCTTTTAGACTCTCGGCTTCCAGTTCAGCCTTGGGTGGAGGGGCTACTGCTAGTTTTCCTAGGATCCTTATTCACTGGCTGATTTATTTGGTATTTCCTATTTCACACTGAAAAATTGCTTGTGATTAGTTTTTGCCAGCACATCAGGAAAGAAGACAAATGCTGCAGCATTCATCAAAAGTTCTAACCACTGCTTTGCTGCATGAAATGATCACCCAGGCTTTGCCACGACCATGAATCATTACACTTGTTTTGGGCAGATTATGCTGGACATGGGGTTCCTCTTCCCTTACAGCCCTCAAGAACAGACCTCATTCAAGGGCCCTCCTTTCGTCCACCTCCCCCAATCACTCCTGTGTAGCTGCAGTGATTTCTCAGAAGCCCCTTTCCTGGGCCTCAATAGAGACAGCTTTTCTCAGTTTGCCAGGGGGGCTACATTAATTTTTTTTTTTTGAGATGGAGTCTCGCTCTGTTGCCCAGGCTGGAGTGCAGTGGCATGATCTCGGCTCACTGCAACCTCCACCACCTGGGTTCAAGTGATTCTCCTGCCTCAGCCTCCCAAGTAGCTGGGATTACAGGCGTGCGCCACCACACCCAGCTAATTTTTGTATTTTTAGTAGAGACGGGGTTTCACCATGTTGGCCAGGCTTGTCTCAAACTCTTGACCAGGTTATCTACCTGCCTCGGCCTCTCGAAGTGCTGGGATTACAGGCGTGAGCCACCGGGCCGGCCCATTAATTCTTTTAAAAGAAACTACTCTGTGAACCACATTATTCTACAACTAAATATCTCCTTGTCTATCACTGCTGGATCTGAAGAAAACCTGTTAGTTCCAGCTCCTGCCCAGACACAGCCCTCTCCCGAAGGAGGATCTGACTACCTTCCTGCTCCCTTGAACGAATCCACTGGACTCAGAAAGTTGGTCAGCAGGAGCCATCCAGTTCTCTGGGAATGCAAGGATCATACAGCCATTGTCTCACAAAGGGGTCTGGAGTCTCAATGGGCCTGAGAAGACACAGGCGGATCAGTACATCTGAAGGGGAAAAAAAGAGAATCACTTTTTTTTTTTTTTTTTTGAGACGGAGTCTCGCCCTGTCGCCCAGGCTGGAGTGCAGTGGCGTGATCTCGGCTCACTGCAACCTCCGCCTCCCGGGTTTACGCCATTCTCCTGCCTCAGCCTCCAGAGTAGCTGGGACTACAGGCGCCCGCCTCGGTGCCCGGCTAATTTTTTGTATTTTTAGTAGAGATGTGGTTTCTCCGTGTTAACCAGGATAGTCTGGATCTCCTGACCTCGTGATCCACCCTCCTCGGCCTTCCAAAGTGCTGGGATTACAGGCGTGAGCCACCGCTCCTGGCCAAGAATCACACTTTTTGAGGATGAACCTGCTGAGAGTCAGGAGTCTGCTGGAGCTTTTCCTGGCTAGTAGTGGAGGAGGCAGGAAAGGGTGAACTACAAATGTGAATACATTTGAGGGGGTGGCATGATCTAAAGGGCATGTGGAGAGAAGAAAAAAAAACACTCCCACGTTTCTAATTGCACCGTGAGTCAGTGCCATTTCTATGCGGTGGAATGAGTGCCCTGCTGGGGCCGGGGGAATGGTAGAAAGTTTTTCCGCCATCTCCATCTAACTGAGTCATGGACCCCATGAGTAGAGATTGGGGTAAGGGAATGAAGTCACCACTCACCCCATTTCTTCCTGTTTCCTGGGTTTTCCTATCCCCTTATCTTGCCCTCCTCTTTGCCTGAGAGAACTGTGTTTCCTTTGCACTTCTGAGGGGCCTGATGAAAGCCTCATACTATGTCTGCTGGACAGAACACTGGAGCAAGAGAGACAGGATGTCTCTCTTCATCCTAGTGTCGGACCCAAACCAGTAACTTGGGATATTCCTGTTTCAGGGATAAGTCACTTCCCTTACTAGCCTCCCTGGGAGCCAGGAAGGCTGCTGAACACCCCCCATTGCCTAGAACAGCCCCCACAGCAAAGAGCTCTCCAGCCCAAAATGTCAACAGTGCTGAGGTTGAGAAAACCTGCTCTAGAACAAGGCAAATGTTACTACCCACACTTACCTGCAAAAGGTCATGATAGAACTCAACTTTGGGCTCTGACCACCCTGGATTAGAATAACCATGCTGCCTCTTACTGGGTCTGTGTCCTCGTAAAATATATTTAACCTCCATGAGCCTTAGGAGAGCCTGCCTCTGGGGAGGAATGAGTTTAAGCAGGGAATACTGATACCTAACTTACAGAGCAGTTGTAAGGACTTAGAGAAACGGTATGTAAAGTGCCTAGTATCTGGCCCGTTGTAGGCCCTTGAAGTATTAGTTTCCTTTCCACAGCCCTTTGCAGCTTCTGCTTCTGAGATGACTTTAACCTAAACTATATAGTGCTAAGAAGCATAATTGTGTCCTAAAGAGCTTCTGAAAACATGGCAACAGAAAGAAAAATAAACCTACACAGACTTACATCATGTATAAGAGTTGGTGCCTCTTCTGTGTTGTGGCATCGCGCAGTGTAGGTAGAATGGGGAAATGTTGTCACCCCATTTCTGTAGAATCAGTGTATGTTTCCTGACCTCTTTGGGACTCTCTTGGAGAGTGAGCATCAGAAGTGGTCATTAACTGGGTATCTGGGTTGTTCTTGTGGCTCTATAAAGACACATGCCCAGGGAAGAGCTAAGCATGAGGAGAGGTCTTCTGGAGAGAGCAATGGAGTGAAAGGCAGAAGATGTTGTTTCCAGAGCCTGACAAACTGCTCTCTATGTGATATGGGTAAAACGTGTACCTTCTGCTGGGTACAGACTCAATGTTAGGGCATGTGAGTTGGGATGATCTTCTAGCAGGCCAATTTTGGGTATAAATCATTTAGCTTGCCTCTTCTGAAGCATTCCTGTCCTCATTTAAATTCTCATATTCTAATGCTGCTGGAGGATTCAATGAACTAAGCTATCTCATAGGAAATCTGCGTCATTGCTGAGGCAGAGGGACAAAGTGTACTGGTGGGACACCTACATGGCTCTTATCACTTCTGCTTGGGAGGGGCACGCTCCATTTCCTCTCATCAATCATTGGCCACATCTAGTCACACATGCAAGCTTGATGTCAGTGGAGTGGGGTCAGCGGGCCTAGGAGGGGCCATGGGCACCAGCCAATCCATGTGACCTAACATAAGCTTCATAGGTCAAAGGGCAGGATTTCATCTCCACCGTCCTCTTCCTTGATGTGAAGGGCTGTTGAGTGAGGCCCATAGGGCACAATACTGGGGGAGTGCAAAGCCATCATCTTCCAAATGGGAAGCTGCTGGTGATATTGTGGGGAAGGCAAGAGATAGAATCACATTCCAGTTCTGCCACTTCTCTGAAGAGGGTTTAGTCCCTGTGAGAACGAGCTTGATCATCTGTGAAATAAGGCTCACCACATATCTTTTTCAGAAAACCTGTCAAGTACCTACGGGACATAGTAGGACTTCAACACATAACACTCACGGCTATTTACCTCCTCCCTCCCAGAGAGGAGATGACATTTATCTAAACCAAAGGGCATTACTGCCATAGAGAGTTTGTGGAAAGGTAGCAGCAAGAACTGAAATATGTCCCCATAACCTATGAGCTTTGGGCCAGTTCTGAGTTGTGGGATGAGTTCCATGTGGGAATGGGGAAACAGAAAAAAATCCCCACATCATTTCCTATGACTGCATTTGCCTTCCTGTCCCCTTTCTTTGCCATCTAGTCTGACACTGGAGGAGAAGTTTCCCATTGATTCTGAAGTAGAAGGGACACTACAGAACAAGATACATAGATGCTGAACAAAAGACTGGAGTCAGGAGACCAGACACGTCCCTGACTACAAAACTTTGGATGAGTCATTTCCCTTGTGCTGGCCTCAGCCTAGTGCAATAATTGCCCTATTGCAGTGGCCTGGGGGTTGGGTCAGAAAAAAAAAACAGTTTAAAGCTGAACACCATTGGTTGAACTTTGCATGATTTTTTTGTATGAATCTCCTTGTGGTAGGCAGAATTTTAAAATGAGCTTCAATGACCCTTTCAATCTTGTATAATCTCCTCTTCTCTGAATGTGGGTGGAACCAGTTAATATAACGTGATATCACTTACATGATTATGTTCTGTTATATGGTAAAAGGGTGATAATTTGGCTGGGGGCTGACCTAATCAAATGAGCTTTTTAAAAGCAGAGTATTTTTTTCTGGCTGTTCAGAGGAGGGGAAATCAGAGAATCAGAACCCAGGGAGCATTCAACACACCATTGCTGGCTGGAAGAAGGAGATCACGTATCAGGGAACTGGAGTAGCCCCTAGGAGCTGAGAAGACTCTAAGACGATAGCCGTCAAGGAAACTGGGAGGTGGGTTGTGCTGCAGTGCAATAGTCTTGAGAAAATGACTTCTCCCAGAAACAAGGATGATCTTGGAAGCAAATTTTTACCCAGAGCCTCCAGACAAAAGATCTCAGTCAAGTCTACATAGATACCTTGATTTCAGCTTTGTGAGACCCTAAATTGAGAGCAAGGTCATACAGTGCCAGACTTCTGACCTACAGACCCATGACCTTAGATGTAGCTTTCAGCCACTAACTTTGTAGTTACACACTTAAAGAAAATTGATACATTCCAGTTAAATCAAATCCATATTCAATGCATATACAGTGTGTGTGTGCACATGTACACACGTGTGTAGATGACAACTGGAGGAAACATACCACCATGATTACAGTTTTCACTAGTCCATGGTGGGGTTAAATGTTATCAATATGTTCATATTGGTATATGAGTGCATTTTCCGTATTTTCTAAGTGCACAATGGGTTACTTGTTAATCAGAGATAAGGCCCATTAAAGACTTATTCATGTCAAATATGTTAGATTTCAGGCATTTAAAAACTTATAATAAATACCATAATAGGCAAACATGTGTACAACCAAGTCAAATATTGCAGAGTAAATGCTTCTATGTATCTTCTCTGATTGTCTTACCCCTGAGGGAACCATTATCCAAATCAAATTTTTTTTACCATTCTAAAGTTTTGTTCCATATTTATTATTCATGAACATAGTTATGCATTGCACAACAGGGATACGTTCTGACAAATGTGTCATTGTGCAAACATCATAAAGTGTACTTACACAAACCTAGATGGTATAACCTACTACATATCTAAGCTAGATGGTATAGCCTATTGCTCCTAGGCTACAAACCTATAGGAAGTTACTGTACTGTATACTGTAGGCAATTGTAACACAATGGTAAATAATCTAAACATAGAAAAGTTACAGTAAAAATACAATATTATAATCTAATGGTACCACCGTCATATATGCGGCTCATCATTGACTGAAACGTCGTTATAGGGCATATGACTATACGCTCCTGAACAGAACACATAATTTCTTCACATATTTTAAGCTCTAACTATAGAAGTAGTATATTTAGGTACCACTTATGGAGATTTTTACACTGAAAATAGCGTTTCTGAAGTTTCTTTAATCAGGCAACTTTGGAACTATATTTTAGCCACGCTGCTGTGACCAGGTTTGCATACATGCAAAACTCTCTGAAGTGCAGACCTGAGAGGGCTGCGGCTGACAGGGCCTTGCTTGCTTCTCTCACAGATGCTGTGCAGTGTCTCCACAAAGAGCTTGTACCAATTTCTCCTCTCCTGGCAGTGTGTGGAGTTCTCCTGACTCCATAATTTCAATTTAAACAGGGCACAGCAAAAACACAAACTTACTGATCTGGTTTTCTTGCCAAACTCTACAATTATTCCAGGACATATCTTGAGGCATAAAGTGGAACCATTATGTTTGCATTTAAAAATGCACATGTGAAATATGCCATTTACGTGGAAATAGACGGAGAAAATGAAACATATTCTAACATTACAGCATAGAATATTTCATCAGCAAATATTAATAAAGTTGGAAAAGCCGTTATTGCACAAATCTAAAAAAATGAGTGCTCTCATCTTGGAGTTGGTTGGGATATTCATTAGTAAGGAGATTTTAACTTTCAACTAGACAGCAAATACTTAATATGTTAAATGGTCATACTCTTTGATAAAGATGATCATTTGTAGTAATGTATCCTTTAGATACATCCTGAGAGAACCCTGCCATCATCAATCATGTTTCCCTACTGCTCAGGGCGAAGCTGACCATTTCCCTTGGTGCCTTCAGGACCCCTGACCCTGCTTCATCCATCCTGCCATCCAAACAAGAAAATCTCTTTCAAGGCTGGATGCACAGCCTCAATGAATCATCCATGGATCCACCTCAAGTGTTGATATGCACCAGTGCTCATGTCCTTACTCCTGGAGGGATTTGTAGACCTCTGACCTCATCCTTGTCTGGAAGAAAACTCCCTTCCTATCCCCTTTCTGTGTCCTCAAAGGCCCTTCCCTCCCTACCAGATGCAGGTAGGCCAACCCTTTCTTTAAGCTTAGATTTTCACAGAGGATGGAAGAAATAATGGCTTCAGACAGCTTCTGCTTCCATCCCTGCCATAAACCTCCCCTCAGGCAAGGGGAAGGGGGACAAAGCCTGGCTCCCTTCTGTAGGGAGGGTAAACATGGGAAAACAGAAATTAACCTCACAGCGGTACATGTCCTGATACATTTGCTGAAGTGCTTTCACCAGCAACTCAAGGTACCCAAGCTGGCAGGTTCTATCCCTGGCTCTGGCAGTGGGTGTGGTGAGAAACCTCTTTGCCATCCAGCTCTATGGTTAGGAGTACTTGCTTTGTAGTCACTTACATTCATGAAGAAAGGATAGCAATACCTCACTAGCAGGGCTGTCGAGATTAAATCCAACTACCAAGGTGAAGAACCTGGAGCTGGGCACCTCTAAACAATCTGCTCCATAAATGGTAGCTGTCTTTCTTCCCTCGAGCAGGAACTCATGTGACAAATTTACCTGCCTTTTCAGCCAAGACCCCTTAACCAGCATACACATCAGAGTCACTTTGATGAGCTTTTTTTAAACCCTCAGCTGAAACTCCCTTGTTGGTGGAAATAGGACTTCTGCACAAAGTCCATTCAAGTTATTAAGATGTAATAATACTGGCCTCAGAAAACGGATACATCGGTGTGGCACTAATCGTGTATATGAGTCCGTTTCTTCTTCATTTCACCAACACTAGTTGTTAACAGCTTTTGTCTTTTCTTGCCAATCTGAACTGCTCGTTTTCTCCACACCTGCCCCATTGGAAGTGTCATTTCAGACTGTTGGTAAACTTACATATCCAGAGATTCCTCTTCTAGGGTTGCAAGATTTAGCAAATAAAAATACAGAATTCCCAGTTGCATTCAGATAAATGAAATAATGTTGCATGCCACACCCAGAGAAACAGAACCAGTAGGGCGTGTGTGTGTGTGTGTGTGTATGAGATAGAGAGAGATTCATTTTAAGGAACTGTTTCACATGATTATTGGAGGCTGAAAGTCCAATCTCTGTAGGGTGGGCTTGCAGACTGGAGAATAAGGCAGATCCAATGTTGCAATTCAATTCTGAAGGCTATCTGTTAGCAGTATTCCCTTTTGCTCAGGGATGTCAGATTTTCGCTCTATTCAGGTCTCCAGATGATTGGATGAGGACCACCCACATTATAGAGGGCAGTCTGCTTTATTCAGCGTCCACTAATTTAAATGTTAATCTCATCCAAAACCGTCCTTACAGAAACACTCAGAATAATGATGATGAGATATATGGGTACCATGGCCCAGTCAAGTTGATGCATAAAATTAACCATCATACTTACACTAAAAAATTATTCATTTTTATCTGGAATTTAGATTTAACTGGATATCCTCTATTTTATCTGGTTGCCCTAAACATGGGGACTCTGTGCTGAACCAAGGTGCTCCAGGAAGCAACCCCAACTGAGCTGCAGGTGGCATCAGCACCAATTGTCTTTCATGTGAGTAAACTCTCTTGGATGTCCCAGTGGAGTGTAGCCCCACAGCCCCGCGAAACATACACCACATGCAGCAGAAAACACATTGCTGAGCTCAGTCAACACTCAGATTTCTGAGAGATAATAAATGGTTTGTTTTGGGGTATTCGTTAGGTAGAAATGGTTATCTAAAACATGGTTTGGGTGAACTTTTCCCCTTTTTCTGTACTTTGTTATCATTGGATATCAAAGGGATTCTCTTATCCTTGAAGGCTTGGTGGGACATTGTTATACTAATAATTTTGAGTATAGTCTCTGTGTTTGTTTGTGTGTGTGTATAAATTTCTGAATATTTAGTCAATTCCTTCTTGAAGGAATTTTCAATGGAAGCTATCACAATATATGATTTTCAACCTACTCTGAATTTAGAACCTAATTCCATGAGATGAGCCTCTATTGAAATCACATGAATTAAGGTACTGACAAAGTGTTGTCACAAATGACTCCACGGGGAAAGCCTCAGAGATTGGCTTTGGCTTGGTGAGTATTCGTTCTGAACAAGGGTTATTTACGTACTTTAAGAAGTGTTTCTGAAAGAAGAGATCTTGAAACTCTTTCTCCTGCTACAGGGGATAGCCTTGCAAGGAAGCTACTTTCCATGGGAACACATAGGACTCCTGCACCAGACAGCAGCTTGATATGCATTGCAGTCCTTGGCCTTTATGATTTTCCTGTCATGGCACTACTTGGTGGATAAATCTTTTTCAATTCTGTGGATCCTTCATAGGAAGCCCACATGCCAGCAAATCTAAGTCATCTTCTCCAGTATCTTCTTTATGAGGAATAAAGTCCATGTATTTTTCTTCTTTCATCTATTTATTACTTGATTTCAAGCTTAGACTTGAAGCATGGAGGTAAATTGCTTAAAAAATCCAAGCAATTTGGAGAAAGACAATAGAAATAGTTGAGCCAGTGAGGCACAGAAAGAGGAGTAGCACTGTGGGCCTATTGTAAGATCTACCTCTGGGCTGGGCTCGGTGGCTCATGCTTGTAATCCCAGCACTTTGGGAGGCCGAGGCAGGCGGATCACCTGAGGTCAGGAGTTCAAGACCAGCCTAACCAACAGGGAGAAACCCTGTCTCTACTAAAAATAAAAATTAGCTGGGTGTGGTGGTGCATGCGTGTAATCCCAGCTACTCAGGAGGCTGAGACAGGAGAATTGCTTGAACCCGGGAGGCGGAGGTTGCAGTGAGCCAAGATTGTGCCATTGCACTCCAGCCTGGGCAACAAGAGTGAAACAGTGAAACCCCATCTCAAAAAAAAAAAAAAAAAAAGATCCACCTCTGAGGGCAGGGAAGAACAAGTGCTCCTGAAGAGCAGCTTACTACCAAGAATTTTGAAGGGAGGCAGCCTGGGCAATGCAACCCCTTTTTCTTCTTCCCAACTCACCAATTAGAGAAGTTCCTCCTGTGACAGAAAAGGATTGAGTGTATAGAGAGTCTAGAAATGTTGTGGTCATGAATGTCCCTCCACATGTAGGAATGAAGGATAAGAATTTTCTCAAGACAAACCATTGCATGGTTGAATTGATTAGGTTTCTAG
Organism: Homo sapiens; assembly: GCF_000001405.40. Taxonomy (NCBI): domain Eukaryota; kingdom Metazoa; phylum Chordata; class Mammalia; order Primates; family Hominidae; genus Homo; species Homo sapiens. Next base: position 103,404,331 of record NC_000023.11, read on the forward strand.
GCTTGCATTACTGAAATAACTCTGAGATATCTTAAATGACTTATTTTGTTGTTCCTAGATCTTTTAGTCACATGATTATAGACAGTCTTAGTTTTCTGCCACAGATGGATAACTGATTAGTGTGGTGTGTGAACTGTACATGCTCCTCCTCAGTGAGCTAGCTTATCTCCAAGAGCTCCAGGTCTCTGTGCACTGGTGATATTCCTCTACTGTCACTTTTAAACAAAACTACTGACAACCGGGACATTGTTCCATCAAACCTGGCAGAATTCTATCAATTGGCTCCGTCCCAGCCTAGTTCCTCTAATTATTATAGCTACCCAGGAAGCCGCCTGAAGAGTGAAGCCATTTTCTCTTTGTGAAAGCCAAGGAGTCAAAAGGCCACTCTATGGCATTTCCGGTGTGCTGGACCAGCCTGCGTATCACGGTTGCCATAGAAACCTGACGTCATAACGGCGACCGTGAAGACTTTTAAAATAGAGACCAACGTGGCCGGGCAGGAAGAGCAGGGTCCCGCCTTCAGGTGTTTGGGACTCAGCTGAGGGTGTGGGTGCCCCGCGGTGGGGGCTGAACCTTCCTGGGGTGTGGAGAGACGAAAGGAGCCCAGATCCAAGTTCCCTCGTTCCCGCTTTGGCATAAGTTGCCCTGGCGGTCTCATGAGAGAGAGAAAGAGCTGGGACCCTCCTCGCCCCAGTGAGTGTGATGTCTTGCTCCGGGTGTCCTGGGGCAACTTTCTATACAGGCGGGACGTGGGAGGATCAGACAGGTAAGGACTCTCTGAGCCCAGCGTCCCGTTCTGTAAAATGAGGATAAGAATGCACACCCACAGGATTGCTGCAACCTGCAGTGATAACACAGGTGCAAGATGATAGATAGCCCTGTGGTTGTTATGGGACGATGGGTGCTTTATGGATTCAGGCTATTTCTTTTCTTTTATTTTTTGAAAACAACAGAAATTTATTATTTTACAGTTTTGGAGTTCAAAAGTCCAAAGTAGGTCTCACTGGGCTAAAATCAAGGTGTCAGCAGGGCTATGTTCCTTCTGGAAGTTCTAGTGTAGAATGAATTTTCGTTTTTTTCCAGCTTCTAGAAGCTGCTGGCATTCCTTGGCTCATGCCCTCACATTACTCTAACCTCCATATTGTGGTCACATCTACTTCTCCGATTTTATTGCCTCCCTATTTCCCTCATAAAGACCCTTGTAATTATATCAGGCCCACCCATATGATCCAGAATAACCTCACCATTTTAAGATCATTAACTTAATCACATCTGTAAAGTCCATTTTACCATGTAATGTAACATATTCACTTGTTCCAGAGATTAGGACATGGATTTCTTTGGGGCAGAGGAGTGTTATTCAGCCTACAGCACAGTTGTATATTAGATACTGTGCTGGATAGCCTCAATTTGTCTCTTCAAAGCTTCCACCCCTCACCACCCTACTCTGTGCTTCACAGGTCTGATCCTTATAGATTACATCAACTCAGATCCCTTCTCCTTAGGCTTCCAGTTGGGTTTGGCCAATGGGAGATACTAGCAAGTGAGTGAGGGAAAGATGGGGTATGTGTCCCCAGTGCCAGATTCCTTGGTGTTGGGCTACAGGTTGGTAGTGGTTGTGTTCCTCTACCAAGGGCTCAGGCAGTTTCCTCATTCTTTTTTAAAGTTGTTATTAGGTGATAGATGGAAAGGAGAAGAAAAGGCCCTGGTGAGAAACTCATTGTTCCTTCTGTTGTTATGATCACTACCTGATTGTGTCAGTGTCATTGGTCACTAATTCAGTGCCCAGCATGGTTGCAGGCACAGAGTCACTTCAATAAAGCATAGTGATTGCTGGAGTCTGTCTCTCCCCAGGAAGCACTTCACGGGGGCAACTAAACTTATATCAGGTGTCTGAAGGAGGTGGGTTCTGATGATCTAGGTCATGATGACTGCTGAAGCTTCTACTTCAGATTTGCAGGACAGCAGTCCTCAGGAGATCTCTAGCACTTCCATCCTTGGTGGGATATGATGCCTGGCTCAAGTGAGTTCATAGATCTGAGCAGAAGTATGTTGCAGAATAGTAGCTGTGTAGTTCACAAAGTAGTCTAAAAGTAGAGCAGCCACTTTGATCTTATCACTGGAAAAGAGGCTCAACAGGTGGATTTCATTGCGTGCATCAGCAGCTACATGCTTTGTAGTATCCCTTGAGGCCCATTTGGAGCTACCTTTCTTAAAGCAATGAATTGTTCAGTTGGGGAAGAAACTTGATATTTAACATGCATTTGTAATAAATTTACACATAGTTTTCTGACTGTATAAATAATAATTCATTATTCCCATGTATCTCGGATGGAAGTTGAAATATGCAGGTGGTTAGAAGGTCTTCATAGCAATTTGAGATTGTAATATGCATGCTTTCATGGTTAGCGTGTTTTCATCCATTCTGCAATGTAATTTTTTAAGAGGCCAGGAATTTATTAAGTGTTAGTTAAATGTCAGGTACAAGAATTTAGTATTTTTGAAAATAACAATTACTTGATAGTTTGCCCAATTATAATGATACCTAGTCACATCTCCTAAAATAACCAGATAAGCCTAAGTATTATTATTATTATTTCGTAGGAAATAACATTTTCAGTTCTATAGTACCTGGGGTCCCTACCCCTCCTACCGCCCTGTCTCCAGGCAAACACATTTCTGTCACTGTAGATTTGGTTTTATGTCCTAGAAATGTATTTAAGTGGAATCATAGAGAGGTTTTTTTAAGAGGAATCTGGCTTTTTTCATTCACCCTATTTAATTTTAGATTTATCCATTTCGTTGCATATATCAATAGTTTATTCTTTGTTATTGCTTAATAGCATTCCAGTGTATGGCTATACCACTATTTGCTTTATCCATTCACCTGTTGGTGGATATTTGGGTTGTTTCTAATTTGGGACACTTATAAATAAAGCTGATATGAACATATGTGAATAAGTCTTTTCATAGACATACGCGTTCTTTCTTTGGGGTAAATATTTAGGAGTGCAATTGCTGGATATATGGTAGATATAAGATTAACATTGTAAGAAACTGCCAAGCTGTTTCCAAAGTGGTTGTACCACTGCTGTCACCAGCAGTGTGTGAGAGTTTTATCCTCCCCAACCTTGCCAGTGCTTGATATGGTCAGTTTCTTTAATTTTGGCCATTCTTACAAGAATATAGTAGTATCTCATTGCAGTTTTCATTTACATTTCCCTAACGATTAATGTTGTTGAGTATCTTTTCATGTGTTTACTTGACATTTGTATATATATATCTTCTTTAGTGGAATGTCTATTCAAATATTTTGCCCATTTATTTACTTAAGTGTCTGTTTTCCTCTGACTTTTGTGATATTTTCTATATTCTGGATACAAGTCCTTCATCAGATATATTATTTTAAACACTTTCTCCTAGTCAGGGACTTGTATTTTCATTTTCTTATCCATATATTTGGAAAAGCAAAAGTTTTTGACTTTGAGGAAGTCCAATTTATTGATTTGTTCACTTACGGATTGTGGTTTTCATGTCATATATTAATGTAATAGCATGACTACAGAGAGAATACTTGCAATTGTAATAGCAAGCAGGGATAAGCCCACATTTCCACTAGGTGACAGCTTCACTGTCATTCTGTGTGGGGGAGAGGGTTGTGGGATGGAGCTGAGGAAGACGAAAAGCATCATTGCACAGCTTCCAAGTAACTGAATGGGGACAGGACAGGCATCATCACCCCATCCCCTGTTTTTCATGTGCTTTTTCATCCTCTTACCTTCCTACTCATTCCTTGTGCTTTCTTGTCCTCTTACTCTCCCATCTAGTGTAACATCAGACAAGGGTGTTGACTCTGCAGCACAGAACCAGTAGTTTGTGGAGAAGAATGGAGGTGTGGTGTTGAATCTGCTAGACAGGCTACTGAAGCAAAAGTCAAGAGATCCAGATTCCATCATGGGGACACTTTAGGTAAGTCACTACCCTTCCTTTAGATTAGTCTATACAACAGGATAAAAATACCCAATATTCCTGACCACCAGGAATACTCTGGAGTTTAAGTATGATCTCATGTGGGAAAGCAATCTTCCCCCCTCCTTAGAAAAGTAGTGTACATTTGAGTAATTACATTAATAGGGATATTCCAGATGTCCCAGAATCTGCATGGTAGGCATTAAATTAATGGTGCTCAAGTGTGAACTTTTTTTTTTTTTTTTTGAGATGGAGTCTCGCTCTGTCACCCAGGCTGGAGTGCAGAGGCATGATCTTGGCTCACTGCAACCTCTGCCTCCTGGTTCAAGCGATTCTCCTGCCTTAGTATCCTGAGTAGCTGGGCTTACAGGTGCCTACCACCACACCCAGCTAATTTTTGAATTTTTGGTAGAGACAGGGTTTCACCATGTTGGCCAGGCTGGTCTTGAACTCCTGACCTCAAGTGATCTGCCCACCTTGGCCTCCCAAAGTGCTGGGATTACAGACGTGAGCCACTGCACCTGGCCAAATGTGAAATGTTGAGGTCAGAATTTTTCCAAGTGTGGTCTATGGATCACTTCATCAAATTCATCAGGAGGTGCTCGTTAAAATAGCAGATACTTGGACCTACCCTAGATCTGCTGAATCAAAACCAAGGAGGTGGGATGGGAGGTGTCTCCATTTAAAGTAATATCTTCAGTTGGTCTGGTACTCATCTTAGTGCATTCTGAGCTACTATAACAAAATATCATAACTCGGTAGCTGATAAACAACAGAAATTTATTTCTCACAGTTCTGGAGGCTGAGAAATCCAAAATTAAGGCATTGACAGCTTCAGTGTTTTGCTGAGGGCCCACTTCCTTCATAGATGGATGACTTCTCACTATAACCTCCCCTGGTGGAAGGGGCTAGCTAGCTCTCTGGAGTCTCTTTGATAACAGCATTAATCTCAGTTATGAGGATAGAGCCCTAATGACCTAAAAACCTCTCATAGCCTCACCTTCTAATACCATCACCTTGGTATTAGGTTTTAATATGAATTTGAGGCGGGGGGGGTCACAGATATTCAGACTATAACATCATCCATGTTTGAAAAGCGCTGCTATGGATGTACAGGATCTTCTTACAGTTTTAAATCATTTAATATCTAATTTCATTGATAGTTGCTCCTGCTACTCAGCTTAAATATCTGTCTTCTTTGGTCTGTTAAATAGGCAGCAATTCCTTCAATTAAGTAATATTATTTCAGTGATTATATGTGAAGTACTAAAGTAGGCACTGAGGAAACAGCACAGAGAATAAGATAGGCAGGGTCCCTGGAGCTATCATTCTAGTTTGGGAAAAGTGGCAGTAAGCAGGTAAACAAGTCAATAAGCCATGTGATTTCATATGAGGATATGTGTTTTGAAGAAAATAAACAGGTGGAGTAGAAAATGACTGAGACAGGGATTATTATAGATGGGGTTGTCAATGAGGCTCCTTCTCAGGAAGTGACACTTGAGCTGAGTCCTGAACGATAAGAAGAAGCCAGGCATGGAGAGGCCATTTTGTTAGTGTCCCTGTGCCGTGTGTGGGCACCATTGATCCAGGAGCAGAGGACAAGCTGGAGTGGCTGGAGCCTGGCACATAAGTGCAGACAGGTGGGAGATGAGATTGAAAGGGTAGACAGGAGCCACATGGTTTCAGTCCTGTAAGGGGTTTGAGGTTTTTGTTTGTTTGTTTTGAGACGGAGTCTTGCTCTGTCACCCAGGCTAGATAGAGTGCAGTGGCGCAATCTCGGCTCACTGCAAGCTCCGCCTCCCGGGTTCACGCCATTCTCCTGCCTCAGCCTCCCGCCACCAAGCCCAGCTAATTTTTTGTATTTTTAGTAGAGATGGGGTTTCGCCATGTTAGCCAGGATGGTCTCGATCTCCTGACCTCATGATCTGCCCGCCTCGGCCTCCCAAAGTGCTGGGACTACAGGCGTGAGCCACCGCGCCTGACAGGAGTTTGAGTTTTATTCTCAGTGTGGTGGGTTAGAGTATGGGAGTGATGTGATCTGATTCTTTATGTGGAAGCTGACTCTGGCTGCTGTGTGGAGAATGGGCTGGAGAGGGACAAGATAGGGAGTGGGGATAACCATTAGGAAAATATTGCAGAAGTCCAGGAGAGGGATGTGTGTGGATGAGGCCAGGGCTGCAGCTATGTACAAAGGGAGGGATGGACCTGGACAGGGCGTGTTTGCACGTCGGGCAGGTAGGACCTGCAGTGGCTGTGTGCCTGGGGTGTGTGAAGATAAGGGAGAGTTAAGGAGAACCCCTGGGCTTTTTGTTTGGCCATGCAGAGAAATGGTGGTGCTGTTTTCTGAGATCAGACCTTCCAAGTGCTTTGAGATGTTCTCAAGTTATTTAGTTTTACTATAACTAATATTAGTTATAATAACAATAAGTGATTTAAAAAATATGTTGGTTGATGAAGATGATTCAGCTGTAAGACTATTAAGCTTTTTTTCCCCAGCATCTCTGTAGGAGAATTTTTTAAATAATGTGATTACTCACCATTTATCTTTTTAAAAACTCAAAACACAAGTTAATAAATATATTTTTAATGTTTTGTCTTCTACATTATGTACTGTGTAATGCCAGTTTTATGGATGTAACAAATGAGTGACTATAAGGTGAAGTGAAAGTATTTAAAGTCACTCAGTCTTTACATGGCAGAACTAGGGCTTGTCTCTATTCTGTCTCCAGAGCTCACACTCCTGACCAATACACCTAGGAAGAAGAAAAAGCATTTGTGAGGTATGGTGATTACCCAAGGTCACCATCTAGAGTTAATGGTTTAGATCTGTCACTGTGCCCCAAGTATGTGTCCTGTCTTGCTCCCAGCTCGCTGTTCATTAGACTTGGCATTAGCCTTGTTACTACGTATAGTGAATCACTTTTCAAGGGCTTAGGATGGATGTTTTCCTGAGGTTAACCTGCAGGTAACATAAGAGTACACTAAGTACCTTCAAATGAAAAGAAATGGCGTGTTGATTTTCTTATCAGCCCCAAACTATACTGAAAGAACAGGGGAAAATTTCCTAAATCATACAAGATGTGCTTTTTTTCTGTCTGGCTCCTTCAGCATCTTACCATGAATTTTACATTTATTGTTGTCTATAGTTGTAGATCATTCATTCTCATTAATGTGTAGTATTATGTTGTGTGGATATTTTGCAATTAAATGTATCTATTATGGGGATATGGCTATTTTTCAGTGTTTGACTTATTATGAATGATAGTGCTATGAATGTCTTCTACATATCTTTTTTTAACTGTTATTTTAGGTTCAGGGGCACATGTGCAGGTTTGTTATATAAGTAAACTCGTGTCACAGGGGATTGTTGTACAGATTATTTTGTGACCCACGTAATAAGCCTAGTACCCATTAGTTATTTTTTCTGATCATCTCCCTTCTCCCACCCTCCACCCTCAGGTAGGCCTCAATGTCTGTTGTACCCCTCTTTGTGCCCATGTGTTCTCACCATTTAGCTCCTACATATAAGTGAGAATATGTGGTATTTGGTTTTCTGTTCCTGCGTAGTTTGCTAAGGATAATGGCCTCCAGCTCCATCCATGTTGCTTCAAAGGACATTATTTCGTTCTTTTTTCTGGCTGCATAGTATTCTATGGTGTATATGTACCACATTTTCCTTATCCAGTCTACCATTGATGGGCATTTCTGTTGATTCCATGTCTTGGCTATTGTGAATACTGCTGCAAGTAGCATGTGTCTTTATGACAGAACAATTTATATTCCTTTGGGTGTATACCCAGTAATGGAATTGCTGGGTTGAATGGTAGTTCTGTTTTCTACTCTTTGAGGAATCATCACACTGCTTTCCACAATGGTTGAACGAATTTACCCTCCCGCCAACAGTGTATAAGCATTCTCGTTTCTCTGCAACCTTGCCAGCATCTGTTATTTTGTAATTTTTAATAATAGCCATCTGACTGTTGGAGATGGTATCTCATTGTGGTTTTGATTGCATTTCTCTAATGATCAGTAATATTGAGCTTTTATTCATATGCTTGTTGGCCACATATATGTCTTCTTTCGAAAACTGTTCATGTCCTTTGCCCACTTTTTAATGGAGTTGTTTTTTTCTTGTAAATTTGTTTAAGTTCTTTATAGATGCTGGATATTAGACTTATGTCAGATGCATAGTTGGCAGATATTTTCTCCCATTCTGTAGGTTGTCTGTTTACTCTGTTGATAGTCTCTTTTGCTGTGCAGAAGCTCTTTAGTTTAACTAGATTCCATCTGTCAACTTTTGCTTTTATTGCAGTTGTTTTGATGTCTTCGTCATGAAATGTTTGCCCATTCCTATGTCCAGAATAGTATTGCCTAGGTTGTCTTCTAGGATTTCTATAGTGTTGGGTTTTACATTTAAGTCTTTAATCCATCTTGAGTTGATTTTTGTATATAGTGTAAGGAAGGAATCCAGTTTCAATCTTCTGCATAAGGGTATCCCAGCACCACTTATTGCATAGGGAGTCCCTTTGCTTGTTTTTGTCAACTTTCTCAAAAGATCATATGGTTGTAGGTGTGCAACCTTATTTCTGAGCTCTCTATTCTGTTCCATTAGTCTATATGTCTGTTTTTGTACCACTAATATGCTGTTTTGGTTGCTGTAGCCCTGTAGTATAGTTTGAAGTTGGGGAGTGTGATGCCTCCTACTTTATTCTTTTTGCTTAGGATTTCCTTGGCTATTTGGGCTCTTTGGGGTTCCATATGGATTTTAAAGTAGTTTTTTCTAGTTCTGTGAAGAATGTCATTGGTAGTTTGATAGGAATAGCATTGAACTTGTCAATTGCTTTGGGCAGTGTGACCATTTTCATGATATTAATTTTTCCTGTCCATGAGCATGGAATGTTTTTCCATTTGTTTGTCATCTCTGGTTTCTTTGAGCAATGTTTCGTAATTCCCACTGTAGAGATTTTTTTTTTTAACCTCCCTGGTTAGCCATATTCCTAGGTATTTTATTCTTTTTGTGGCAATTGGGAATGGGATTGTGTCCTCATTTGGCTCTAGGCTTGGTTGTTGTTGGTGTATAGGAATGCTAGCGATTTTTTTTTTTTTTTTTGAGACAGAGTCTCGCTCTGTCACCCAGCCTGGAGTGCGGTGGCATGATCTCGGCTCACTGCAACCTCCACCTCCCAGGTTCAAGTGATTCTTCTTCCTCAGCCTTCTGAGTAGCTGGGTTCACAGGCACACGCCACCATGCCTGGCTAATTTTTGTATTTTTAGTAGAGATGGGGTTTTACCATGTTGGCTAGGCTGGTCTTGAACTCCTGACCTCAAGTCATCTGCCCGCCTCTGCCTCCCAAAGTACTGGGATTACAGGCATGAGCCACTGCACCCAGCCTTCAATTTTTATATGTTGATTTTGGATATTGAGACTTTGCCGACATTGTTTATCAGCTTAAGGAGCTTTTGGGCCAAGACTATGGGGTTTTCTAGATATAGGATCATGTCATCTGCAAACACTTTGTAGCATGGTGGCAGTGGAATCCGTCCTTGTTCACACATGCCAGTAGCAGCTGCAGCTGCACTGTGGTAAGATGCACACTGCTTGGCTGCAACAGGGTGCTAATGGATGCCAGGGTGTCAGCCTTCATGCATGCATTTGCAGCAGCAGCTGGCATTGACAGCATGGCTCAGGGGGATGGGGCCCCAGCCAGTGACTGTGCACACCTTCATGCTGGTGGTGGTGTTTGCACTCTCTGTACAAGTTCCCGTGGGTGGCAGTGGCCACTCAGGGCAGGTGTGGGTCTGCTTTTCTCCATGCCTAGTTTTATGCTAACAGCAATTTTGGTGCTGGCAGGGAGGAGGCTGGCGGGCTCCGTGCCTGCCAATGCTCCGACAACAATGGCGATGTGGCAGGAGGAGGGAGGCAGGGGGAGGGGTAGGGTGTACTCAGTCAGCAGCAGTTGCATTGCAGACTGCACATGCACACATGTGCTGGTGAGGGAGGGAAGGCTGCATCTGCTGATGCACACACACAACAGCAAAGCAATGTAGAGGGTGGCCATGGGCGAGTGTGCAGGCAAAGCTGCATTGGGGAGGCTGCAGTCGGGGGAGGATGCAGGTGGGCTGGAGCGAGTCCACTGGGGCTGCTTTTCTCTGCTGGAGCACTCTGCCAGTCAGGAGCAGTCTGCTAGCGCAGGGGCTATGACATGGGCCCACAGGAGATACCTGGGGGCTGCACTGCAAGCAGGCATGACCAGGCTGGGGCCCCAGGAGAGGCCAACAGACTGAGGGGTGTTCAGGTCAGACCAGCCGTGTCTTATGGGCACGATTGCCCTGCAGCGTTCAGGTCCGACAGTTCCCCTAAGGCTAAAGTCTTCTATAGGAGTGAGTCAAGCCTAGGGAGATGGGCAACCATGGCCATGCTCCACTACAGATGCTCCTGTACCAAACTCTCTGGGCTCCACTCCAGCTGGAGTTCTGCCCCTGCCAGTTCTCTGAGTAGCTCTCACTGCCAATTCAAGTGTCCATGGTGGTCAAGGGGTCTTCTCCTGCAGGGATTCCAGAGGCCCGTGGCGAGAGTGGGTTGCTCCTTGCCTGTTCAACCCCTTCCCCAGGAGTCACTGGGGACCAGGAATGACCTGGTGTATGGTAGCCCTGAGCAGCGTTCCCAGCTTCCTCCTGCTTCCACCCAGTATCTGTATCTCCCTTCTGTCTGCTCTCAATGCCTTCCCTCAAGATCTGCTAGGAGTGTGCTAGTCTTCCTGATGCCCTGTCCCTTTGTGGGAGACATTCCCCCTGGCTGTATCTAGTCGGCCATCTTGCGCCCTTTTTTATTTCTCTGCGTATCTTTGATTGGACATTTATTTTCATTTTTCATATGCATGTACCGGTCCTCGGCCTAAGAATAGAATTTCTGAGTCATAGGGTATGTGTATGTTCAGCTCAGCATATACAGCTAAGCAGTTTTCAAAGTGGTTATTCTAATTTATATTTGTATCAGCAGTGTCATAGTTTCACTGCTCTACATCCTCGCTGACACTTGGTATACCTTGGTAGCTTTTGTTGTTCTGATGGATGTGTGATAGTATATAGTATCTCATTTTTCTGTTTTAATTTCTGTTTGATTTAATTTTCTCTCAAGTTTTAAGTTTCTTTTAATATAGACAAGATCCTTTCTCTCTCTTTTTAACTTTCCAATTTATTTGCTTAAGGTGCTGGAGTTTACATTCTCAGTTTTGCTGATTGTATCCCTATTGAGTTGTTCATGTTACTCAGTTTCCTTTAAATTGGTAATTAGAGTTAAAGTAAAAGGTAATTAGAGTTAAAAACTTAATCCTATTCAAATTTTTTTGACAAGGGTGTCTTAGATGTGGCATTATGTACAGTCATGTGTCACTTAACCACAGAGATACATTCTGAGAAATACATCATTAGGAGATTTTGTCATTGTGTGAACATCATAGAGTGCACTTACACAAACCTAGATGGTGTAACCTACTACCTACTTAGGCTATACAGCATGTTACTGTATTGAATAATCTAGGGAACTGTAGCACAAAGGTCAGTATTTATGTATCTAAGCATATCTAAACATAGAAAAAGTACAGTAAAAATATGATATAAAAGATTAAAAATGTATATATCTATACATGTGTATTGGTCACTTGCAGGACTTGAAGGTGCTCTACGTGAGTCTGTGAGTGAGTGGTGAGTGAATATGAAGGCTTAGGACATTACTGTGCACTACTGTAGATTTTACAAACACTGTACAATTAGGCTACATTACATTTATAAAATAGTATTTTTTTCTTCAATAATAAATTAACCTCAGCTTACCGTAACTTTTTAACTTTATAAACTTTTAACGTTTTTAAACTTTTTTATTTTGTAATAACACTTAACTAAAAACATACATTGTACAGATATGCAAAAATATTTTATTTCTTTATATCCTTATTCTGTTACCTTTCTTTTACTTATTTATTTATATTTATATTTACTTATTTATTTATATTTACTTTTTAAACTTTTGGGTTAAAAACTAAGACACAAACACACACATTAGTCTAGGCCTATACAGGGTCAGGATCATCACTATCACTGTCTTCCACCACCAGTCTTGTCCCACTGGGAGGTCTTAAGGGACAATAGCACACATAAAGCTGTCATCTCCTAAGATAACAATACCTTCTTCTGGAATACCTTTTGAAGGACCTGCATGAGGCTGTTTTATAGTTTACTTTTTTTAATAGGTAGAAGGAATACATTCTAAAATAACAATAAAAAGTGTAGTAAATACATAAACCAGTAACAGTCATTTATTATCATTAATAAGTATTATGTACTGTACATAATTGCATGTGCTATACTTTTATACAACTGGCAGTGCAGTAGGTTTGCTTACACCAGCATCAATATATTCTTCACAAACATGTGAAGAATATATTGTGATATGACAGTTAGGACAGCAACGTGAGTAGGTGATAGGAATTTTTTGGCTCCATTATATCTTATGGGACTGCTGTTACATATGTGTTCTGGAGTTGACCAAAACATTGTTATGCAGCACATGACTGTCCTTCTTATAGCCTCACAGGTATCTTAGTCACTTCAGGCTGCTGTAACAAGTTACCATACAGTGGTGGGTTAAATAGTTTATTAGTCCATACTCACATTGCTATAAAAAACTACCTGAGACTAGATAATTTATAAAGAAAAGAGGTTTAATTGACTCACAGTCCTGCAGGCTATACAGGAGGCATGGCTGGGAAACTCAGGAAACTTATAATCCTGGCAGAAGGCGAAGGGGAAGCAGGCACATTTTACATGGTCAAAGAAGGAGGAAGAGAGTGAAGGGGGAAGTGCCACATACTTTTATTCAACCAGATCTTGTGAGAACTCATTCCCTATCATGAGAACAACAAGGGGGAAGTATGCCCCCAAGATCCAATCACCTCCCACCAGGCCCCTCTTCCAACATTGGGGATTACAATTCAACATGAGATTTGGGTGAGGACACAAATCCAAACCGTATCAAACAACAAGTATGTATTTCTCATGGGTCTGGAGGCTGCAAGTCTGAGATCAGGGTGCCAGCATGGTTGGATTCAGGTTAAGGGCCCCCTGCCTAGTCCTCACATGGCCTTTCCTTGGTGTGTGCATGTGGAAAGGAAACAAGCTCTCATGTCTTTTATTACAAGGGCACTAATCTCATCATGAGGGCTGTGTCCTCATGACCCAATTCCTTTCAAAGGCCCCATCCCCAAACACCATCACATTGGAGATTAGGCTTTTAACATATAAACTGGGGGTGGTGGTGGGACACAAACATTTAGGTAATAGCGCAGCAGGAGCCTCATTGTGTCTGTTTATCTCCTCTACTGTGAAGTTCAGGTTGATCACTGGGCTCAGATTTTGTCAGCCCAATCCATCCATTATAACACTTTCCATGTGTTTTTCTCCTCAGGGTTTTTTCCACTTTCTGAAGATTGTTGTCTAGAGCTATATTTCATTAGAAGTTGCAAAATGGTGATGTTGTAATTTTACAATTTATTCTGCATTTATTAGCTGGGTGTTTCCTATAACATAACTTGCCCCATGCCGTCAACTATTAGGATTCACTGAGGTATGGAGCACACAAGAAGTGAAGGATGAATGTTTAATTCTTTTGCAGTATTTTCACTTTTTAGAACGAATAGCTGTTTCCATAGGAGCTTCCAAAGATGAGTAGAGAGTTGGTATTTTTCGTGTTTTGTTTTTCTTTTCTTGTGACTCAGAGATGTTCCTGTATTTAATATGTTTTAAACCATTGCAGTCACTAATCTCTTTGATGTTCAAATTGTTTCATTTTTGTCCAGTGAGAGCCTCCTCAGTTTGGTTTCTGAATCTTTTTGACATGCTTTCTGGTAGGATAATTTGGTCCAGGCTTATCTGATACAATCCTGACCCCAGACCTGGAATCATCTGTCTCTCTGAGAGAGCCTGATTTCTTTTCATGGGGAATATTTTTAGAGGACTCAATCTGGGTACTAATCAACTGCTTGTAGTTTGTTGCTTTTTTAGTGTACATAGCCAGTAATTATGCATTATATTTTGAAGATGATACACATCTTGGCTTCCATCCTGAATTGCTCCTCTATGCCCTTATAGATAAATCATTTTTACCAGTTTTTGTTTTAATCTTCCAGTTTTTAAAAATATAAGCAAATGTGATGTGTGTATTTATTTCCTCCCTGACACAAGTAGAAGGTGGCATATTCTACACCACCACTATCCAATGGAAATTTCTGCATTGATGAAAATTGTCTGTATCTGCACTGTCCAACACAGTAGCCACTAGTTTACCTGAGGCTGTTGAGCACCTGAAACATGGTGAGTATGAGTGAGGTATGAGTTTATAATTTTATTTGAATTTATTTATTAAAATTAAATGGCTACATGTAGCTAGTGACCACCATATTGAACAACAACAGCTCTCTCCATTTTTTTGCACTGCATTTTTCATTTATAATATGTCCTGGAGGTCAATCCATAGCAGTGTAGAGAAGGGATCTTTGTTGCCTTTTATACATGCATGGTACTCTAGGAAGTACCTTAGATTACTCAATCAGCCTTCTATTGGTGGACATCTGTCTTATATCTAATCTTCTGCTGTTATGAATTGTTCTGCCAGGAATGGCCTTGTGTTTATGCCTGTTTGTCTATTTGCATTATATCTTTGGAATAGATTCTTAGGAAAGAGATTGCTGGTTCCAAGAATTAATGCCTATGTCATTCTATTAAATAGCATCAAATTCCTTCCACAGGGGATGTACCATTTGAAATTACTTCTAGCAATGCATGACAATGCCTGTTTCCTCACAGTCTCTCTAAGAGGAACTCTGCAGGGAGTAAACATCATGTGAGAAATCTGTGAAAACCATTTTGCTAAGTCAGGAGAGTTTGATGTTCAGACTGGGGTCCTAATCCTGTGCTTGTCTTTGAGAACTTGGTCTTTACTCCTATCTCCTGTGGCTCTGGGTCCAGTCCCTCAGCGAAGGAGAGGAGTTCTTACATGAAGCAGAAACTCCATGTCACCTCAGATGGACACCTCAAATGACTAAATGGAAAAAATCACTCCCTTAGGGATCAGGCAGACTCAAAACAAGTTCAGAAACATACCACTCTGACACAGTGAAGAGAAACGGAGAAAGTAAAACTTCTACTTTCTACTTGTGAGAAGAACTAAGACTGTAAGCACACAAGTGTTGCCTTGCCCTTTCCTCTCTATGAGTGAGGTAGGTCAGGAGCAGGTAGTAGTAGCCCTTTAGCCCTAGGCAAGCAGACAGAGGCACGGGTTACAAGGTGCCTCAGTTTCCCAAGGTAGCAGTCTCTTTCCACTCAACCATATCATTTTCTATTTAGATGCTGGGTGTATTAGACCATACTTGTGTTGCTATAAAGACATACCTGAGGCTGAGTAATTTATTTTTATTTTTTGTTTTATTTTATTTTATTTATTTATTTATTTTGAGACGGAGTCTCGCTCTGTCGCCCAGGCTGGAGTGCAGTGGCGCGATCTCGGCTCACTGCAAGCTCCGCCTCCCGGGTTCACGCCATTCTCCTGCCTCAGCCTCCGGAGTAGCTGGGACTACAGGCGCCCGCCACCATGCCCGGCTAATTTTTTGTATTTTTAGTAGAGACGGGCTTTCACCGTGTTAGCCAGGATGGTCTCGATCTCCTGATCTCGTGATCCGCCCGCCTCAGCCTCCCAAAGTGCTGGGATTACAGGCGTGAGTCACTGCGCCTGGCCAAGGCTGGGTAATTTATAAAGAAAAGGTGCTCACAGTTCTGCAGGCTGTACAAGCATGGCATCAACATCTGCTTGGCTTCTGGTGAGGGCCTCAGGAAGCTTACAGTCATGGTGAAAGGCAGAGTGGGAGGAGGCATGTCACACGGCAGTAGTTGGAGCAAGAAAGAGATGAGGGAGGTACCACACACTTTTAAACAAACAAATCTCATGAGAACTCACTCACTATTGCAAGGACAGCACCAAGACATTCATGAGGGATTTGCCCTCATGAGTGAGGTAGGTCAGGAGCAGGTAGTAGCCCTTTAGCAGTATGCAAGCAGGCAGAGGCATGGGTTACAAAGTGCCTCAGTTTCCCAAGGTAGCAGTCTCTTTCCACTCAACCATATCACTTTCTGTTTAGATGCTTGGTGTATTAGGCTTTGCAGGTTGTAGCCCCGTGGCTGATCTCATGGGTTGGACTTGACTGCCTGTGACTTCTCCAGGCTCAGGATATGAGCTGTCCATGGCTCTACCGTTCTGGGGTCTGCAGGGCAGTGGCCCCCTTTTCACAGCTCCACTAGGCAGTGCCCCATTGGGGACTCTGTGTTGGGTCTCCAACCCCATATTTCTCCTCCACACTGTCCTAGTAGAGTTTCTATACTGGGGGCTCTGCCCCTGTGGCAGGCTTCTGCCTAGGCACTCAGGCTTTCTAATACATTTTCTGAAATCTAGGGGGAAGCTTCCAAGCCTCCTTAACTCTTGTATTCCATGTGCCCACAGACTTAACACCATGTGGAAGCTGCCAAGGCTTATGGTGGCTTGCACTCTCCAAAATGGCTTGTTACTTCTTATTGGTCATTTCAGGTTTTGGATTTCTTCATGGTTCACTCTTGGTAGGTTGTATGTGTCTAGGTATTTATCTATTTTTCTAGGTTTTCCAATTTATTAGCATATAGTTGCTCATAGTAGCCTCTAGTGATCCTTTGAATTTTTGCCCTATCATTTGTAGTGTCTCATTTTTCGTTTCTTATTTTATTTATTTGGGTCTTCTCTCTTTTTTCTTAATCTGGCTCAAGGTTTGTCCATTTTGTTTTATCTTTTTTAAAAAACAACCTTTTGTTCATTGACATTTTGTAGTTTTCTTCATTTCAATTTCATTTGTTTCTGATGTGATCTTTATTATTGCTTGCTTGCTTGCTTGCTTTTTTTTTTTTTTTTGAGACAGGGTGTCTCTCTGTCACCCAGGCTGGAGTGCAGTGGCACGATCTCAGCTCACTCCAACCTCCGTCTCCCAGGCTCAAGTGATCCTCCTGCCTCAGCCGCCTGACTAGCTGGGACTACAGGCATGTGCCACCATGCCCAGCTAATTTTGTATTTTTTTGTAGGGACAGGGTTTTGCCATGTTGCCCAGGTTGGTCTCAAACTCCTGAGCTCAGGTGATCCGCCCACCTCAGCCTCCCACAGTTCTGAGATTACACGCGTGAGCCACTACACCTGGCCTGTTATTTCTTTTTTCTACTAATTTTAGATTTGGTTTGCTCTTGACTTTCTTGTTCTTTAAGATGCATCATTAGGTTGTTTATTTGATGTTTTTCTTCTTTTTTGATGTAGGCACTTTTTAACTGTAAGCTTTCCTCTTAGTACTGCTTTTGCTGTATTCCATATGTTTTGACATTCTGTGTTTCCATTATCATCTGTTTCAAGAAATTTTTCAATGTCCTTCTTAATTTCTTTCTTGACATACTGTTCATTTGGGAACATATTGTTTAATTTCCATGTATTCGTAGTCTCCAAAATTCCTCTTGCCATTGATTTCTAGTTTTATTCCATTGTGATCAGAGAATATACTTGATATTATTTGGATTTTTTTGAATGTTTAAGACTTGTTTTGTGGCCTAATGTATCGTCTTTGCTTGAGAATGATTCATGCGCTAAGGAGAAAATTGTACATTCTAAAGTCATTGGATGAAGTGTTCTGTAAATATCAATTAGGTTAATTTAGTCTGTAGTGCAGATTAAGTCCAGTGTTTCTTTGTTGATTTTCTGTCTGGGTGATCTGTTCAATGCTGAAAGAGGAGAGTTGAAGTCTCCAGCTATTGTTGTATTGGGGTCTATCACTTCCTTTAGCTCTAGTAATATTTGCTTTATATATCTAGGTACTTCAGTGTTGAGTGCATATATATTTATGGTTGTTATATCCTCTTGCTGAATTGAATTATGTATAATTATATAATGACCATCTTTGTCTCTTTTTGTAATTTTCATCTTGAAATCTATTTTGTTAGATGTAAGTATTGCTATTCTTGCTCTTTTTTGGTTTCTGTTGGCATAGAATATCTTTTTCCATCCCTTTATTTTCAGCCTGTGTGTGTCTTTATAGGTGAAGTGTATTTCTTGCAGACAACGATCCTTGGGTCTTGTTTTTAAATCTATTCAGCCATTCTATGTCTTTGATTGAAGAGTTTAGTCCATTTACATTCAATGTTATTATTGATAAGTAAGGACTTACTTCTGCCTTTTTCTTATTTGTTTTCTGGTTATTTTGTGGTCTTTTCTTCCTTCTTTCCTTCCTTCCTGTCTTCCTTTTAGTGAAGGTTATTTTCCTTGGTGTTATGTTTTAATTTCTTATCTTTTATTTTTTTGTGTATCCATTGTATGACTTTTGGTTTAAGGTTACCATGAGACTTTCAAATAAAATCTTGAAACCTATTATTTTATTCTTATGTTTGCAGTATATGCTTGTTTGTGCCCATCTTTCTTGGGAAGGCTTTCCAGGTATTTGAAGAGCCTTGAATGTTGTGATCTAAGTTTTTGGTCACTGCAGCCATATCTGCATTGGGACTCACCCCAAGCCAAGTAATACTGTGGTTCTTGCAGACTCTTAGAGGTACTGCTTTGGTGTTCTTGAATAAGATCCAGAAGAATTCTCTAGATTACCAGGCAGAGACTCTTGTTTCCTTCCCTTACTTTCTCCTAAACAAATAGAGTCTCTCTCTCTCTCTGTGCTGAGTCCATGGAGCTGGTGGAGAAGTAACACAAGCATTCTGGTGGCCTACACCACTGGGACTGTGCTGAGTCAGATATGAAGCCAGCATAGCACTGGGTCTCACCCAAACCACTACCTGGCTACTGCCTATGTTCACTCAATTTCCTAAGGCACTACAGTCAGCAGACAGTGAAGCCAGCTAGGTGTATGTCCTTCCCTTCATAGCAGGGAGTTCCCCTGATCCCGAGCAGGTCCAGAAATGCCATCCAGGAGCCAGAGCCTGGAGTCAGAAACCTTAGAAATCTATGTGATGCTCCATTCTATTGTGGCTGAACTGGCACGCAAGCAACAAGACAAAATTCATCCCATTCTTCACTCCCCTTTCCACAGGCAGAGGACTCTCTCCCTGTGGCCACCACCACTGCAGACCCACAGGTGATATTGCCAGGCTACCGACATTGTTCAGTTAAGGCCCAAGGGCTCGTCTGTCAGCTTGTGCTGCATGCTGCCAGGCTTGGGACTTACCGTTCAGGTCAGTGAGCTCCCCTTTGGTTCAGGGCAGGACCAGAAATGCCATCAAAGCCAAGGCCAGGAATCTGGGACCTCAAGAGCCTACCTGGTGCTCTGCCCTGCTGTGGCAGAGCTGGTACCTAAGCTGCAAGGCAAAGTCCCCTTTACTTTTCCCTCTGCTTTTCTCAAACAGAAGGAGTCTCTCCTCATGGCCACTACAGCAGGGAAGTGCTGGGTCACACCTGATGTCAGCACATCTCAAGAGTCTCACCCAAAGCCCCCAGTGTGTACTAGGCTACTGTTGCTGATTATTCAGGGCCCAAGGACTCTTTAGTCAGCAGGTGATGAATGCTTCCTGGACTGAGTGCATCCATTCAAGGCAGAAAGTTCCCTTCTGGCCCAGGGTGTGTCTAGAAATGTTCAGGAGCTAGGGCCTGGAATGGGTGCCACAGTACTCTGCCCAGTGTCCTTTCCTGTGGCTGAGCTGGTATCCAAGTTTCAAGACAAAGTCCCCTGTACTCTTTTCTCTCCTTTCCTCAAGCAGAAAGGATTCTCTTTCAGAGCTGAGAGCTACACTGCCTGGGGTTGGAGGAGGGGTGGCACAAGCACACCTGGCTGGTGTCTCACTGGGTCACATGTCCCCCAAGTCCTCCAGGTCTAGATTGCCTTTTAAGTTTCTTTTGGACCCCCAAGCACTTTAGCCCACAGTGGCAAGGCTTGGCCGAAATTCATGCTCTGACTGATGGGATGGGTAATTCCCTTCTAGCTAGGGCTGGTCTAAATGCTCCCTCCGTGAGCATTGGTTGAGTTCTGCCCAATGCTGCTTTCTGCTCTGACAGTGTAGCACTGGGTTCCAATGCAAAGTCCCACAATCACTGTGCTCTCCCTCCCCCAAGCACACAGATTCTCCAGGCTTCACAGCTGCTGCCAGGGAGTGGGGGAGGGGTGGCATCAGCAATTCAAGACCGTCTTTCTTTCCCTCTTCAATACCTCTTTCAGTGATATGATGTTAAAACCAGGTAATATGATCACTCACCTGATTTTTGGTTCTTATGAAGGTGCTTTCTTGTGTAGATAGTTGTCAAATTTGGTGTTCCCGCAGGGAGGACAACTGGTGGAGGCTTCTGTTTAGCCACATTGCTCTGCCTCCTACCCAATATCATATTTTAAACACCTTCATCAGACTATAGCTTACAAATCATAACATCACACATTTTAAGGATATTTAGATTATTTTTACCAAATGTATAGAGTTGTACAACCATCACCATAATTGGGTTTTTATATGTTTTCATCATCCCCAAGAATCCCATTATGCTTGAATGTAGTTAATCCCTGCACACACACCCAGCCCTATGCAATCACAGATATATTTTCTGTCTATGCATTTGCCAGTTCTGGAGATTTTATATAAATTGAATCAATTAATGTTTGGTATTTTGTGTCTGGCATCTTTTACTTATTATAATGTGTTCAAGGTTCCTCCATAATGTACCATGGGTCAGAATTCCATTCCAACTAATAGCTTAAAAATATTCTATTGCATAGATACACCACATTTTGTTTATTTGTTTATTTATTTATTTATTTATTTATTTATTTATTTTGAGATGGAGTATTGCTCCATCGCCCAGGCTGGAGTGCAGTGGTACAATCTCAGCTCACTGCAACCTCTGCCTCCCAGTTACAAGTGATTCTTCTGCCTCATCCTCCCAAGTAACTGGGACCACAGGTGTGTGCTATCATGCACAGCTAATTTTTTTGTGTGTTTTTAGTAGAGATGGGGTTTCACCATGTTGGCCAGGCTGGTCTTGAACTCCTGACCTTGTGATCCACCTGCCTCGGCCTCCCAAAGTGTTGGGATTACAGGCGTGAGCCACCGTGCCTGGTCCATTTTGTTTATTTATTCACCTATTGATGAACACTCTGGTTATTTCCACCTTTTGGCTATTATGAATAATGATTCTACATACATTTGTGTACACATTTTTATGTAGAGATTCATCTTGGGTAGGAAAGGAATTACTGGGCCATATGGTAACTCCCTGTTTTTCCATTTGAAAAACTGCTAAACTGTTTTCATGATTCTGACAGTGATGAGGGGTATAGACTTAGATTTTTTTTTTCTGATTATACTGAGGTAATGCGTTCTGAGAAAAAATACCAGCATTGAAGTGCCCTTCTTGTCACTTCATTTCTGGTAGTACATGATACCCATCTCACCTCACTGGTGATATTAACCTTAATCACTTGGTTAAGGCAGTATTTGCCAAGTTTCTCCAGTGTACAGCAACTGTTTTCCATTTGCCTACTTTTATTCTATATAAGTGAGTTACTAAGTCTGTCCTGTCATCAGGTGATGGGAGGTGGAATTAAGCTTCACTTCATAGAGGGAGGGTATCTATGTGTACTATTTGGAATTATTTGATAAAGACAATTTGTCTCCTCACACCTATTTCTTTATTAATTTACACGTTTACTTCTGTAAGTATACATATATGTATATTTATTATATAGATTGGGTTATTTACTGAATGGATTCATTCCAAAAGAAAATCTGGCATTATGATTTCTGTGATGCAGTATAAGTATTTTGACTTAAGAGTGAGGAACCCACAAAAGAGTACCCTATCACTATCATAATATTTCAACACTATCATATCATCTAATTGTAGTATATTAGACAGGGTTTGTAGGTGATACATTTAACCAGACAAATATGACACATTATAATTTCAGATTATTGATTTGCATACTTGGAAATCCCTTCAGAAAGAAATAAAAACAGATAAGATTGAGGTTATTGAAGTGATCATGAAAAATTATTGTTATCATTCAGTAAACCTACTCACAAAATTCCTTTCACTGAAGCCAAAGTATGGGGTGTAGGGGAAAATGTGTGCTTCATTTGAAAGCACAATGTTCTATAGCACAGCCTTCATGTCATCAGAGTCTCCAGAATGGATCAAGCAAATAAAGTGTGGAAAGGGTGGTGCAGTAAATTCAGATGTCAGATCTAACAAAAGATGGTTCATTCCTATTAATATTTCAGCCTCATAAAGTCTCTTACAATTGATGATTGTAACACATAATTTAATGCCCTGGACCTCTCTCTACATCTCTAGTTACTACCCTCTTTATATATATTCTCTTCCTTGTAACCAAAGTTCTACAAAAATTATCAATTCTCAACTCATATCCCTCTACATCTTCCCCCAACTCAGTTGTCACTCCACTCTAATGGTACTTTGTTCCCCCACCCTTCTACTGAAATGAACCTTGTCAAAGTCAACAACCACATCTTTGATGCTTTATATAGATCAAGGGTACTGAAATGAACGTTCAAATGGAGACAACATTTTTGTTTTCCAAGGCAGAATTCATCTGCTTGTGTACAGACAAGGATTATATTGCAATGCTGTCATTATCTAAAAGTTAAAGTTGTAAGATAGCTTCCATTCTGGAGAAGTCTAAAACTTAACCAAAGAAATGGTGTACAGTTTGTCCTTAATGCCTGTTACCTGTATGAATGTATGTATGTATGTATGTATGTATGGAAGCATGATGTGTGAAATATGTGCTGGTAATTCATGGATTTCCATCTTGGATCAGTAGGAAAGCAAGATTTACTTGGTTATGGTGTGATGTGCAGCTGAGAGTCACACAGTCTGCACAAGGACATATAGGATACCAGTCTCTACTTTTCCACTTAGTAGCAGGATGACCCTCAGCCAGGTTACTTAACCTCCCCATACATTGTTTCTTCAGCTACAAAACAGTGTAGCAATCGTATTCCCTACCCCCCAGAAAATACATGAGATGAAAAAGTACCAGCATTCAGGAAAGGTGAGTCCCATGGCTCTCTGATCTGAGGTCAGGAGTCCTGCCCTTCTATGGGGCTTCTAACTATTCATGTGGCTTTGCAACTTGCCCCTTTTCATCAAAAATAGCTTCTGTATAAGTTTTAATTTGCATTTCATTAGTGAATGTGTTTTCAAATATTTCTTGGGCATGTGTATTGCTTTTTACATGAATTATCTGTGTATATCTGTATTATTTATCTATTCTTACATAACAAATTTCCCCACAATTTCACTGCTTATAACAAATATACATTAATTCACACCATTTATTTGGGTTAGGAATAATGGCATGGATAAGATTCTAGCTCAGGGCCTCTCACAAGGCTGCAGTCAAGGTCTAGGTAGGGGCTGCAGGCATCTCAAGTCTCAACTGAGGGACGATTCAATTCCAAGCTCATTCATATGGCTGTGGGCAGGCCTCAGAGCCCGATTGCTTCTTAGCCAGGGACATAGATTACTTGCCATGTGGGTAGCCCACGACATGGCAGCTGGCTCTCCTTAGTGCAAGAATAAGAATGTACCCAACAAGCAAGACACAGCCTTAGTCATTTAATGTGAAAAATGACA
Organism: Homo sapiens; assembly: GCF_000001405.40. Taxonomy (NCBI): domain Eukaryota; kingdom Metazoa; phylum Chordata; class Mammalia; order Primates; family Hominidae; genus Homo; species Homo sapiens. The sequence goes on from NC_000023.11 coordinate 103,427,993, forward strand.
TCCATCTCCTCTCACATATTCTGTCTACTAGTAGCAAGTCACTAACTCCAGCCCAAAGATGGGACAGATTGCACAAGGAAGTGACTATCTGGAGGTGACAATCACTGGGGGGAAGTCTTAGAGGCTATCTACCAATGTCATCATTAGAGCCTCTCTCCATATTGGTTACTAAGAATGCTTCATATATTATGAGCATCAGCCCCATATAATTTGCAAGTGTTTGCTATAGCCTGCACAGACAACTTTAATGATTTCTTGTGTCATATACAATGTTTTAAAATTTTCAATATTATAATTTAAAATATAGCTTATTATATAAATAAATTAAGGAGTACCCTGAGCAGCTTTACATGTGAGTGCTCAGGGAGATTAGAGAACTCAGATTCCTGGTGGCTTCAGGGCTCAACAGGAAAAGCTTTAGTGAAATTCCAGAATCTATTACTGAGCAGGCATTAACAAAGCAGTTTCTCTGATTTATTGAACCTCTCCTAATTTCCTATAGCCTGATCTAAAGTATATTTAATAATAGATTACTTGAATAAATGATAAGATTAAAGGAGATACAGCTTATGGTACTTCTTGCTTGTATTAGTTTTGTCAACATTGATTTCCTACCTTCATGTTATCTGTTCCAGAGGAAAAACCTGTTTTCCTGACTGAGTCCCTTTGCTTCCCACCTTAAAAGCCAGTCAATTCATGTGGTCCCCATTCCCAGGATTCTTGACCCCAGGCTGCGTATTTCATTCCAACCGTCATCACTAAGAAGGTTTGTTGAGTGAGTACCCATGGGAGATTGTAAAATGACCAGTCCCTAAGCCCTCATAGCCTATCATCTACACAAGAGGTCACTGGGTATATGCAGTGCTTCTCAACCTTCTTTAATCATCTTCTTGATGGAGGCCCTTTTGGACATGTTTTTTCTTATATACCCTTTCTGCCCAGAACATGAAATTTTAATACCACAGATGAAGTGTAACTATTTATATACTATGGTCTTTGTAATACCACAAACCATTGTAATATCTACCATCCCTCTACCCTCAAGAACCAGTTTTCAACCTTTCACTTGCGTCCGTGTGAAGAGACCACCAAACAGGCTTTGTGTGAGCAATAAAGCTTTTCATTTCACCTGGGTGCAGGCGGGCTGAGTCCGAAAAGAGAGTCAGCAAAGGGAGATAGGGTTGGGGCCGTTTTATGGGATTTAGGTAGGTAAAGGAAAATTACAGTCAAAGGGGATTGTTCTTTGGCGGGTGGGGGCGGGGGTCACAAGGTGCTCAGTGGGGGAGCTTTTGAGCCAGATTGAGCCAGGAGAAGGAATTTCACAAGGTAATGTCATCAGTTAAGGCAGGAACAGGCCATTTTCACTTCTTTTGTGATTCTTCAGTTACTTAAGGCCATCTGGATGTATATGTGCAGGTCACAGGGGATATGATGGCTTAGCTTGGGCTCAGAGGCCTGGCATTCCTGTCTTCTTATATTAATAAGAAAAATAAAACGAAATAGTGGTAAAGTGTTGGGGTGGTGAAAATTTTGGGGGATGGTATGGAGAGATAATGGGCGATGTTTCTAAGGCCTGCTTCGAGCGGGATTAGGGGCAGTGTGGGAACCTAGAGTGGGAGAGATTAAGCTGAAGGAAGATTTTGTGGTAAGGGGTGATATTGTGGGGTTGTTAGAAGAAACATTTGTCGTATAGAATTATTGGTGATGGCCTGGATACGGTTTTGTATGAATTGAAAAACTAAACGGAATAGGAGAAGGAGAAAAACAGGTATTAAAGGACTAAGAATTGGGAAGACCCAGGACATCTAATTAGAGAGTGCCTAAGGAGGTTCAGCATAGCACTGCCAGCAAAGATTATTTATTTACTTTAAGAGTTAAGAGTGGCGGTTTGGGGATAGCACCAGGAGATATTAGCTGCGATGGCTTGGAGAAACAGTGTAAACCTGCAGTGTAAAGAGCAGGGCATTTATGAGTAGTTGAGAACGGTGAATAGGATTATGACTAGACAGAAGATAGTAGGGATGACAAGTTTTTTGGGGCACAGTCCAAGTTGGGCTGGTGTCTGGAATGAGACTGGGGCCTAGTAAAAAGGAGCATCCATACAGGAGCTCAAATGGGCTGTACCCTGTAGCATTCTGAGGACAGGCCCGAATTCTGAGAAGGGAAAGTGGTAAAAGTATTGTCCAGTCCTTTTTAAGTTGGTGGCTGAGCTTGGTGAGGTGTGTTTTTAAAAGACTACTCGTCTGTTTTACCTTTCCTGAAGATTGAGGATGGTAAGGGATATAAAGGTTTTACTGAATACCAGGAGCCTGAGAAACTGCTTGGGTGATTTGACTAATAAAGGCCGGTCCATTATCGGACTGTATAGAGGTGGGAAGGCTAAACTGAGGAATTATGTCTGATAGAAGGGAAGAAATGACTGTGGTGGCCTTCTCAGACCCTGTGGGAAAGGCCTGTACCCATCCAGTGAAAGTGTCTACCTAGACCAAGAGGTATTTTAGTTTCCTGACTTGAGGCATGTGAGTAAAGTCAATTTGCCAGTCCTGGGCAGGGGCAAATCCCCGAGCTTGATGTGTAGGGAAGGGAGGGGGCCTGAGAAATTCCTGAGGAGTAGTAGAATAGCAGATGAAACACTGAGAAGTGATTTCTTTGAGCATAGATTTTCACGATGGAAAGGAAATGAGAGGTTCTAAGAGGCGGGCTAGCAGCTTGTAACCTACAAGGAAGAGGTTATGAAATGACGACAGAATAGAATGGGCCTGTGAGGCTGGAAGGAGATATTTTCCTTGGTCTAAGAACCATTTGCCTTGTGTGGGAAGAGATTGATAGGTGGAAGTTTTAGTGGGGGAGTAGGTAGGAGTGGCCAGATGAGAAGGAGAAAAACTGCCATGAGGGATAGAAGTTGGAACGCTAGTTGCTTTTTTAGCTATCTTATCAGCATAAGTATTGTCCTGAGCAATGGATCTGATGCCTTTTGATGGCTGTTTTTTTAGCTACCTTATCAGCATAAGCGTTGTCCTGAGCGATGGGATCTGATGCCTTTTGATGGCCCTTGCAGTGAATGAGTCTAGCTTCCTTTGGAAGTAAAGCCGCTTTGAGAAAAGCTTTTATTAAAGAGGGCATTAATGATGGAGGACTCTTGCATAGTGAGGAAATTTTTTTTCCCCATATAACAGCATGGTGGTGTAGGATATGGAAGGCATATTTAGAGTCAGTATAAATATTGATGCATAGTCCTTTTGCAAGAGCGAGGGCTCGAGTTAAGGCAATGAGTTTGGCTTGCTGAGAGGTGGTGGGGGGCAGAAAGTATATGCGTCAGGTGTGAGGAAGAAAATAGATTTGGGAAGTTTTGAGAACTGTAGAGAGTGAGTTGAGCATAGTTTGTGATTTTGAGGGCCTCTAAAAGTATTAAGGCAGCGGCAGCCGCCGCACGCAGACATGAGGGCTAGGGTAAAACAGTAAGGTCAAGTTGTTTATATAAAAAGTCTACAGGGCGTGGTCCCGGTCTGTGTGTAAGAATTCCAACTGCACAGCCCTGCACTTTGGCTGTTTGTAATGAAAAGGGTTGGGATGAGTCAGGGAGAGCAAGTGTGGGGGCAGTTTCTAGGGCTGTTTTTAAGGAACTGAAAGGAGTGGTGAAAGGATTTAGGATCTGTGGGGTGCTTTTGTGAGTTTATATAATGGTTTAGTCAGGGTGGTAAAACTAGGTATCCAAAGGCGGAAGTACCTAACCATGCCTAGGAAGGAAAGGAGTTGTTGTTTTGTAGAAGGGATTGGGGTTTGGGAGATTAGCCAGACACGATCAGCAGGGAGAGCATGTGTGTTTTCATGAGAATTATGCCAAGATAGGTAACAGATGAGGAAGAAATTTGGGCTTGACTGAAGTAATGGGGGCCGTCTGTGAAGCCTTGTGGCAGTACACCCAGGTAAGTTGCTGAGGCTGAAGGGTGTCAGGGTCAGTCCAAGTGAAAGCGAAGAGTGGCTGGGATGAAGGGTGCAAAGGAATCGTAAAGAAAGCATGTTTGAGATCCAGAACAGAATAATGGGTTGTGGAGGGAGGTATTGAAGATAGGAGACTATATGGGTTTGGCACCATGGGGTGGATAGGCAAAACAATTTGGTTGATAAGGTGCAGATACTGAACTAACCTGTGAGGCTTGTCTGGTTTTAGGACAGGTAAAATGGGGGAATTGTAAGGAGAGTTTATAGGCTTTAAAAGGCCATGCTGTAACAGGCAAATGATAACAGGCTTTAATCCTTTTAAAGTGTGCTGTGGGATGGGATATTGGCATTGAGCGGGATAAGGGTGATTAGGTTTTAATGGGATGGTAAGGGGTGCATCATCCATCACTAAGGGAGTAGAGGTGTCCTATACTTGTGGATTAAGGTGGGGAGATACAAGGAGAGGATGTGAAGGAGGCTTTGAACTCGGGGAAAAGGTGGTAATGAGGTGTGGCTGTAGCCTAGGAATAGTCAGGGAAGCAGATAATTTAGTTAAAATGTTTTGACCTAATAAGGGAGCTGGGCAGGTGGGGATAAATAAAAAGGAGTGCTTAAAAGAGTATTGTCTAAGTTGACACCAGAGTTGGGGAGTTTTAAGAGGTTTCGAAGCCTGGCCATCAATACCCACAACAGTTATGGAGGCAAAGGAAACAGGCCCTTGAAAAGAAGGTAATATGGAGTGGGTAGCCTCCATATTGATTAAGAAGGGTACGGACTTACCCTCCACTGTGAGAGTTATCTAAAGCATCTGTGATGGTTCCTGTAGGCTTCTGAGGCGATCGGGCAGCATCAGTCTTTAGCCACTAAGTCAAGAAGATCTGGGAAGGAGTCAGTCAGAGAGCCTTGGGCCAGAGTTCCAGGGGCTCTGGGAGTGGCTGCTGGGTGAGTTGGACAGTCTGATTTCCAGTGGGGTCCCATACAGATGGGACACGGCTTAGGAGGAATCCTGGGCTGTGGGCATTCCTTGGCCCAATGGCCAGATTTCTGGCACTTGAAGCAAGTTCCTGGGGGAGGTGGTCCTGGAGGAATGCCTGGCCGCTGTGGTTTAGGCGTTTGGAAGTTCTTGTGTGCTGGAGATGTGGCTGGGGTTTCTCCCACAGTGGAGGCAAGGAATTGCAACTCAGAAATATGTTGCTACTTGGCTGCCTCTATTGTATTATTGTATACCTTGAAGGCAAGGTTAATTAAGTCCTGTTGTGGGGTTTGAGGTCCGGAATTTGATTTTTAGAGTTTTATTTAATGTCGGGAGCAGATTGGGTAATAAAATGTATATTGAGAATAAGATGGCCTTTTGACCTTTTAGGGTCTAGGGCTCTAAAGCGTCTCAGGGTTGCTGCCAAACGAGCCATGAACTGGGCTGGGTTTTTATATTTGATGAAAAAGAGCCTAAATGCTAACTGATTTGGGAGAGGTCGGATAAAGAAAAAGGAGCATTAACCTTGACTGTGCCTTTAACTTGAGCCACCTTTTTAAGAGGAAATTGTTGGGCAGGTGGAGGAGGGCTAGTCGCAGAATGAAACTGTAAGCCCGACCAGGTGTGAGGAGGGGAGGTGATAAAAGGATTATAGGGTCGGGGAGCAGAGGCTGAGGAAGAATTGGGACCTGGCTTGGCCTGGCGAGGAGCAGCCTGGGGAGGAGAGGAGGGGTCAGATGGGTCCGTAGAAAAGGAAGATTGGAAAGACTCAGCAACGCTTGGAGTTGGGACTGAGGGGACAGGCGGGAGGGAAAGAAGCAAGATTTGGGACGAGTTGCATTGGGAACAGAGACTAGGGAGGATCCGATGTGTAAAAGAATGCCTGGACGTCAGGCACCTCAGACCATTTGCCTAGTTTACGACAAGAATTATTTAGATCTTCTAGGATGGAAAAATCGAAAGTGCCGTTTTCTGGCTATTTGGAACCACTGTCGAGTTTGTATTGGGGTCAAGTGGCATTGCAGAAGAAAATAAGGCATTTAGGTTTTAGGTCAGGTGTGAGTTGTAGAGGTTTTAAGTTCTTGAGAACACAGGCTAAGGGAGAAGAAGGAGGAATGGAGGGTGGAAGGTTGCCTATAGTGAAGGAGGCAAGTCCAGAGAAAAGAGAGGGTAGAGACATGGAGAGAAGGAGTGGGGGGTGCTTGCTCCCCAGGAAAGTGGAAAGAAAAGAGAGGGTAGAGACATGGAGAGAAGAGGTGGGGGGTGCTTGCCCCCCAGGAAAGTGGAGAAGGGGTGGGGACATGGAGAGAAGGGGTGGGGGGTGCTTGCCCCCCAGGAAAGTGGAAAAGGGGTGGGTAGAGACACGGAGAGAAGGGGTGGGGGGTGCTTGCCCCCCAGGAAAGTGGAGACAGGGTGGGAGGTGCTTGTCCCCCAGGAAAGTGGAAAAGGGGTGGGAGGTGCTTGCCCCCCCAGGAAAGTGGAAAAGGGGTGGGAGGTGCTTGCCCCCCCAGGAAAGTGGAAAAGGGGTGGGAGGTGCTTGCCCCCCCAGGAAAGTGGAAAAGGGGTGGGAGGTGCTTGTCCCCCAGGAAAGTGGAAAAGAGGTGGGTAGAGACATGGAGAGAAGGGGTGGGTGAGCAGCCAAAGCAGGCATCCCCGCAATTGATTTGCCACCAAGGGAATGTGGGTGAATGACCAAGGCAGGCATCCCCACGGTGATCAGACACCAATGAAATGTAGGTGAATAATCAGGCAGGCATCCCCGTGTGATTAAACACCAAGGGAAGACCGTCTTCCCGAGTCCGTGACCGGTGCCAGAGTTTTGGGTCCACAGATAAAATGTGTCTCCTTTGTCTCTACCAGAAAAGGAAAGGAACTGAAATTAAGAGAAGGGAGAGATTGAAGTGTGGTGCCAAGATTGAAAGGAGAAAGAGGTTGAGGGATAGTGAGAGAGGTTGGAGAAGAGAGTAAAAAGAGGCTGCTTACCTGATTTAAAATTGGTGAGAAGTTCCTTGGGCTGGTTGGTCTGAGGACCAGAGGTCGTAGGTGGATCTTTCTCATGGAGCAAAGAGCAGGAGGACAGGGGATTGATCTCCCAAGGGAGGTCCCCCCGATCCGAGTCACGGCACCAAATTTCATGCGCATCCGTGTGAAGAGACCACCAAACAGGCTTTGTGTGAGCAATAAAGCTTTTTATTTCACCTGGGTGCAGGGGGGCTGAGTCTGAAAAGAGAGTCAGTGAAGGGAGATAGGGGTGGGGCCATTTTATAGGATTTAGGTAGGTAAAGGAAAATTACAGTCAAAGGGGGTTGTTCTCTGGCGGGTGGGGGCGGGGGTCACAAGGTGCTCAGTGGGGGAGCTTTTGAGCCAGGATGAGCCAGGAGAAGGAATTTCACAAGGTAATGTCATCAGTTAAGGCAGGAACAGGCCATTTTCACTTCTTTTGTGATTCTTCAGTTACTTCAGGCCATCTGGATGTATATGTGCAGGTCACAGGGGATATGATGGCTTAGCTTGGGCTCAGAGGCCTGACAACCCATTAGTGGTAATATCACCCCTCTTAGGAATGCATAAAATACCATCATAAAGACAAAAGCTTGAACCCCATTCCTGCCCCTCACTTCATGTATGATAGTGGAATCTTTTTTCAGCCTTTGTCAGCCTGCCCTTGGTCATCTGTAAAAGGGAACTCACAGTGCCTTCCTTAGGAAACTGTTCTGTGGGGTAAGTTAGAAATTTGTATAGAGTAGATGGCACCTAGTAGGACTTCAACAGATGGTCATCCTGGCCCAACTTTCTCCTCCCTTCCAAAGAAGTGATGACAGCTACCTAAACCAAACAATATGACTGACATAGAGACCACCAGAAAATGGAGCAGGAAGTAGAATGTACTCACAATTGCATTATGAATGAAGCTTTGGAGCCATTTCTCTGTTACAGGAAGACTTTGCTGAGGGATATGGGGAGAGGGAAGAATATTGCCAAACCATTTCTTTAATTTTGCATTATTTTCTGTTCCCTTATTTGATCTTCCAGATTGATATTGGAAAAGCCATTTCCTATTGAGCCCAAAATGAAGAGAGTGCAAATAAAGAGAAGGCAGGGATCACAAGCCCTTGACAGACACATTGCCACCTACAGGACCCTGCACCCAGATTTCATCTGCACAATCAGCTTCTTCAAAGAGAGAGAGGCTGTTGAGTTAGTACCCATGAGGGCACAATACTAGAAATGTGTAAAACTATAAGTTTTTAAGTCCTAGAAAGTCATCATCTGTAAATGAGACTTTTGGGTATGCTTTGGGGAGGTTAAGCGGTAGAATCCCATTTCTGCTCCATATTAGATGAATCTGAAAAAATTGATTTTCCATCAGTGAGTTTGATTTTGTCATCTGTAAATTGAGAATAATTATGCCTTCCTCACAGAGTCATTGTGAGAAAATTATGCAAAAATGTAATTGTTTGTACATGTTTATCTATATATGTGTCATAAAAAAATGTGCCCTTTTGCACTTTTTTTCTCTTAAAATAGTGTTTCTGAGATATCTGTAAATAAGACAACTTTGAGGCTATTTTGATATTTTTAGCCATGCTGCTGTGACCATTCTTACACAAGAGCCGGAGACTCTCTGCAGTTCAGAGCTAAGAGCATAGTACCTGATGGGGAACTCACTTGATTTTCTCAAAAATGTTGCCAAGTATCTCCACAAAGAAGTTGCACACATTTCTCCTCTCCTGGAAGAGTAATGGAGTTTTCATGGCCCCACATTGTCCATATAAAGAGGGTTCAGCATAAACACAAAATCACCAATTGAGCTTTATTTTTAAACTTTAGAATTATTCCAGAATATTATATGAGTTATAAAGTGGGATCATTATATTTGTATTTAGAAATGTACATGTGAAATATGCTGCCATGGTTAGAATGTTTGCCCCCTCCAAAATGCATGTTGAAATTTGATTGATTGCCATTGTGACTTTATTAGGAGATGGTGTTACCAGTGGGAGGTTCTTGGTTCTCAGGGTAACAGGAATTAACATGAGGCCAGGCAAACTTTTCCCAGGCAATGTTTATTAAGACTTATGCCCAGAAACACTGGGCATAAGGGAGATGGCACAGGAAAAAGAGTCCTCCAGCTGGCTCCCCAAGGGGAGCTTCTCAGCGTTTTTTATTGGGTAGGGTACAGAGATTGACATCAGGAACCTCTGCCTCCTGGAGTGATTTCTTCCTTCCTGTTATGGTGTCTGTGCATGCTTGGTCCTGGTTGAAGTCTTGGTCCATGCTCAGTGGGTTCAAGATAGTGGTGTTGCTCACTACTGCTGGCCCAGGAAGGTCATATAGTGGCCATTCTGGGGTTTCCTGTGCATGTGGATGTTAGGGTCAACTGCCTTGGGGAAGATTTATGGTTGGAGTGTTGCATATCTTAACTTCTTTAAGGTCCTGTTATCAGCAGGTATGGTGCCTTGAGTAAGATTTATAGTGCAAAGTCTGGATGGTCTAGTAGGGGTCCCTGCTGGCCACAGGGCCCCATATCAGCTTGCATTAGAGGTCCTTGGTGGAACCCAGGGGACCTCAGGCTGTGGACGTGCTGATGTGGGTGCCCTTGGCTAGGCTGAAGTTGGCAGGTGTGGACTGAAGCTGCTGCCTGCTATCGCCAGTGCCCTTGCTGTATCCAGCAGTGCCTGGCCAGCCAACCAGCAGCAGTAACACAAGGTCCTGAGGGCGACTCATGCATAGTGCATTACCAGTGCAGAGCTGTGCACAACACTGTCATCTTCCTGGCTCCAGGCTGCATCCCAATGCTCCAGGGACAGGGTGTGTAGTGAGCTCACGACAACATGTGTGGTGGGAACCCAGCAAGTCTGGAAAACAAAAATGCATTTGTGAGGGTGAGGGCTATAAACCAAAAATAAAATTCAAATGCCCTCCACACAACCATCCGAATGGACTTCCTGTTCTGCCAGGGAGGGCACTCTAAAATTTAACTTGAAGGACTGGTTCAGGTCATCACGGGAAGTGGTGGTTGGACATGCCTCATTATACCCCTCCAGCATTAATATCAACACAAACGTTAAGTCTGATATGAAACATTTATAGTCTATTCTCTCTAAAGCCTGCTACTTGGAGGCTTCATCTGCATGATAAAACCTAGTGGCTCACACCTGTAATCCCAGCACTTTGGGAGGCTGAGGCGGGTGGATCATGAGATCAGGACTTTGAGACTGGCCTGGCCAACATAGTGAAAACGCGTCTCTACTAAAAATACAAAAATCTAGCCGGGCGTGGTGGTGGGCGCCTGTAATCCCAGCTACTTGGGAGGCTGAGGCAGGAGAATCGCTTGAACCCGGGAGGTGGAGGTTGCAGTGAGCCGAGATTGCGCCATTGCACTCCAGCCCGGGACAGTGCGAGACTCGGTCCCAAAAAACAAACAAACAACAACAACAACAAAAACCTAGGTCTCTGCAACTCCTTATCGTAACCCAGACATTCTTCCTCTACCTATGATCTGGAAGCCCACATCCCCAACCCCCACCCCCACCCCCCACTTTGAGTTGCTCCACCCTTCCAGATTGAACCAATGTAAACCTTACATGTATTGATTGATGTATTATGTCTCCCTAAAATGTACAAAAGCGAGCTGTACCCCGACCACTTTGGGCACATGTCATCACGACCTCCTGAGGCTGTGTCATGGGCACATCCTTAACTTTGGCAAAATAAACTTTCTAAATTGATTGAGACTTGTCTCAGATAATTTTTGGTTTAAAGAGGCAAGTCTCATCCCTACTGTGTCTCAGTGGGACTGTCAATGAAAAAAGTCAAACTCGGTACAATATTTGAAGAGATTTATTCTGAGCCAAATATGAGTGACCAGTGGCTTATGATACAGCCGAGGGATATTCTGGGAAAATATGCCCAAGTGGTCAGGCTACAGCTTGTTTTTGTTTTGTTTTGTTTTTTGAGACAGACTCTTGCTCTGTTGCCCAGGTGGGAGTGCAGCAGCATGATCTCAGCTCACTGCAACCTCCACCTCCTGGTTTAAGCAATTCTGTCTCAGCCTCCTGAGTAGCTGGGACTACAGGTGTGTGGCACTACACCCAGCTAATTTTTGTATTTTTAGTAGAGACTGGGTTTTGCCATGTTGCTGGGCTGGTCTCGAATTCCTGACCTCGGATGATCCACTCCCCCGCCACTCGGCCTCCGATACAGCTTGATTTTATACATTTTAGGGTGACATAAGTTATCAATAAATATATATAAGATGTACATTGGTTTGGTCAGGAAAGGCAGGACAACTGGAAGCCAGGGAGGGGGCTTCCAGGTCATAAGCGGTTTTAAAGATTTTCTGATTGGCAATTGGTTGAAAGAGTTATTATCTAAAGACCTGGAATCAATAGGAATGTCTGGGTTAGGGCAAGGGGTTGTGGAGACCAAGGTTTTATCATGCAGATGCAGCCTCCAGGGAGAGGCTTCAGAGCTCTTATCAGACCTAAAAAGGTGCCAGACTCTTCGTTAATTCTCTGCTGGATCAGAGGAAAGACCTGGAAAGGATAGGGAATTCTCTACAGAATGTAGATTTTCACCAGAAGGGACAACTTTGCAGGGCCATTTCAAAATATGTCAAGGAGATATGTTTTGTGGTAAAGTACTTTGATTCCATTCAGGGCCTGCTATCTTGTGATGCTATACTAGAGCCAGTCTGGAATTTGGTGTCTTATTTGGTGTCTTTATTGCTACAAAGTCTTGTTTTGTCAGTCTTAAGATCTCTTTTAATGTTAATGCTGGTTAGTTGTGCCTGAATTCCAAAGACAGAATAGTATAATGAGGCATGTCTGACCACCCATTCCTGCCATGGCATGAACTAGACTTTCAGATTTACTTTGGAATGCCCTTGGCCAAGAGGGGAGGTCTATTAGTCTGTTGGGGGCTTAGAATTTTACTTGTGGTTTACAGAACCTTTGAGAAGTGTTTGGGCTGTGAAGGCTCTACCTTCATGAATGGATTGTCATTATTACAGAAGGTGGTTCATTATTGCAGGAGTGAATCTGTTATAAAAGGGTACATTCAGGTCTCTTTTGCCTCTTGCCCTCTGCCCTGTGATGATACACCAAGAAGGCCCTCACCAGATGCTGGTCCCTCAATCTTTGATTTCTCATCCTCCGTAACTGTGAGCCAATAAAATTCTGTTAATTAGAAATTACCCAGTCCCAGGTATTGTCTTATAGCAGCAAAAACAGACTAAGACAGGAAATTGGTGTCAAGAAGCCTGGCTGTTGCTATAAAAAATACCTGAAAACGTAGATGCAACTTTGGAACTGGATAATGGGTGGAGGCTGGAAAATTTTGGAGGAGCAGGGTAAAAAAGCCTAGATTTCCATAAATGGAACAATTCAGGTGAGGGCTCAAAGAAGAGAACTGTAGGGAAAGTCTGAAGCTTCTTAGAGATTACTTAAGTGGTAATTGCTGGGTGAGGTGTCAGAGCCCCAGCATCAGAAAGTGGTTGACTTGCAGGTTGGTAAGAATTTACTGACAACAGTATAGGTTTGAAAAAGGAAAGTTTTATTAGAAAAAAAGTATGTTGCAGAAGAAATGCAGCATTTACGGACCTTAAAGTGGGAGCTTAAGTGTAATTTGGACCATATTAGCCATGTAGGTCATAATAAGTGATTACATTTGTAGACATTTTGGTTCCTTAATGTCAGCAAGGGTTGTACAATGAGTTTTGACATGCATGGATTCCAGAGATGTACAGAAATTCTAGTTACTTAGAAAATTTTTGAAAGAGGCCTGGAACCTTTAGGCACTAGGGAAGTTTAATTACTTCTAAATTCCTCAGATAAGGAATTTTGCCTCAGAATGGCCTGTTTGATGGTTGCCAGGTGTTTTTGGCTTTCTTCGTTACACTTCTAAATTCCTCAGATAAGGAGTTTGTGTCTCCAGGGCTTACTCGATGGCCACCTGGTGATTTTGCTCTCCTGACTTTCCCCCTGACAAATATTTTGGTAAAATCTTTGACCCTCTAGTAATGATCAGAATGTTCATAGAAATATGGACAGTAAAGGCCATTCTGATGAGGTCTCACATATAAATGAGGAACAAAGTATTATAAACTGGAGGAAAGGCCATCTTCATTATAAAGTGGCAAAGAACTTGGCTGAATTGTTTCCAAGCCCACACAAGGGCTTTGTGGACGGCATAGTTGAAAAGCAGTGAGCTAGGAAATCGGTGAAAGAAACATCTAAACAAAAAAACGTTCCATATGTTGTGTGTCTTCCTTCAACTGCATACAGTAAAATGCTAGAGAAAAAAATGATTTAAAGATGGAATTTATAATTAAAAGGGAGCCAGGCACGGTAGCTCACGCCTGTAATCCCAGCAATTTGGGAGGCCAAGGCAGGTGGATCACTGGAGATTAGGGGTTCGAGACTAGCCTGGCCAACATGGCGAAACCCCATCTCTATTAAAACTACAAAAATTAGCCAGGTGAGGTGGCACATGCCTGTAATCCCCGCTACTCAGGAGGCTGAGGCAGGAGAATCGCTTGAACCCAGGAGGCGGAGGTTGCAGTGAGCCAAGAGCACACCACTGCACACCACCGTGGGCAATAGAGTGACTTCATCTCAAAAAAAAAAAAAAAAAAGTGGCGGTGGGGTGGGGAACAAAACTTAGAGATTTAAAGGATTCTCAGCCTAGTCAGGTGGTAGAGAATCAAAGAGCACTTTCAGGAGAGGAAACCAAGGATGTTTCCAAGTGACCGTTTCATAAGGAGATTGGTGTGGATAGAAGGAAGCCAGGGGCTATTCATCAGAACAATGGGAGAATGAACCCAAAGTCACTTCAGAGATTACCAGTGCCACCCTTCCCATCACAGGCTCTGAGTGCCAAGACCTGGGTGAAGGAAATATGTCAAAAAGAGAGGCTGAGGACGACCTTAGAACCTTTGGACTCACGTCCCAGGGCTGCTTCAATTTTCTGCTCCCCATATTCCAGTGCAGCATTTCTTGACTACCCCAGTCATGGCTCAAATGGGCCAAGGTGCAGCTCGACCTGCCACACTGGAAGGTACAAGTCATAAACTGTGGTGGAATCCACATGATGCTAACTCTGCAGGTGTGCCGTATGCAAGAGCTGTATGGGCACGTCTTCCTCTACCTAGATTTCAAAAGATGTTTCAGAAGCCTTGGTGGACAAGCAGAGACTTGTTGCAGAGGTGGAGCAAAAGCAGAGAGCCCTCACTAGGGCAATGCCCAGTGGAAACTCAGCTTTGATGTGGAAGTTCTGCTGGGCATTTCCTTAGTCAGGGCTCTCTCCAGTCAGAACTGTGGGGTCAGAGCCACTGCAGAGAGTCCCCACTGGGACAATGCCTCGTAGAATTTTGGGAGTGGACTGCCTGAGAGACCCCAGAATTGTAGGGCTACTACTGTGCAACACCAGCCTAAGAGAGCTGCAGGCATGAGACTCCAACCTATGAGAATTGCTGTGTGGGCTAAGCCCAGAAAAGACATAGGGGCAGAGCTGCCTAAGGCCTTGGGGGCCCAATTTCACCTCAGTGTGTCCAGGAGATGGGACATGAGGTCAAGGAAGCTTATTCTAGAGCATTAAAATTTAATGTTGTTCACCCTGTTGAATTTTGGACTTACGTGGGACCCTCTTTTCTTGTCTATTTCTCCTTTTTGGAATGGGAGTGTCTATCCATTGCCTGTTCCACCACTGTATTTTAAAATACATAACTTGTTTTGATTTCACAGGCTCACATCTGGAGAGGAATTTGCCTCAGCATGAATCATGCCTTCCGTTGAGTTAAATAAGACTCTGGACTTAGGCCTTTTTAGTTGATGTTGGAACGAGTTAAGACTTGTGGGGCTATTGGGATGGAATGAACGTATTTTGTATGTGAAAAGGACATAAGTTTTGAGGGGCCATTGATGAGATGCTGTGGTTTAAATGTTTGTCCCCGCCAAAACTCGTGTTGAAATTTGATTGCCATTGTTACAGTATGGTTGAGTATAACTTTTTCAAAATGCTTGGGATTAGAAGTGTTTTAGCTTTCAGATTTTTAAATATTTGCATTATACTTACCAGTTGAGCATCCCAAATCAAAAAATTCAAAATCTGAAATGCTCCAGTGAGTATTTCTGCAGGTTATATTTGCACTCAACTGCTTCTGATATTGGAGGATTTCAGATTTCATATTTTCAGATTTGAGATGCTCAATCTGTATTAAGATGTGAGATAATTAAGAGGTGATTAGTTAGCTAGGCATGGTGCTGTGTGCCTGTGTTCCCATCTGCTTGGGAGGCTGAGAGAGAATCACTTGAAATTTGAGGATACAGTGAACTATGATTGCAGCCTGGGTGAGAGAGTGAGGCCCTGTCTCTTTAAAAAACAAAAAAAAAAAAGAGAAAGAAAAAGAAAAAAAAAAAAAGAAGTGATTGGGCCATGAGGGTTCTGCCTTCATGAATGGATTAATGCCATTATCACAGGAGTGGATTTCTTATCACAGGAGTAGTTTTGTTATACAAGGGCAAGTTTGGCCCCCTTTCACTCTCTCATTTGCCCTCTTGCCTTCCACCTTGTGATGACACAGCAAGAAAGCCCTCACAAGATGCTGACATCTTGATCTTGAACTCCCCGGCCTCCAGAACTGTGACCCAATACATTTCTGTTCATTATAAATTACCTAGTCTCAGGTATTTTGTTACAGCAGTGCAAACGAACTAAGGCATATGCCATTCATAAAGAAATAAGATAGGGAAAAGTGAAAAGTAATAATGTTGTGAAATACATTATTTGCACAGACCTAGTAAAACAGGTACTTTCATCCTGTATTTTGTTGGGAGACATTAGTATAAAAGATTTTAAAATTTAATCAGGCTAGCTTTTAATGTTCATGCTCTTTGACAAAGCAATGTTCCTATGGCAACTTATCATCCAGATACAGCCTGAAGAGGCCATAGCCATCATCACTTACATGTCCCAGCTACTTCAGACTGGCCATTTTTCTAGCTGGCTTGTTGCCTTCAGCCCCCTGCCGCCCACCCTGCTTCATCCATTCTTCCATCCAAGCAAGAAAATCTGTCTCATGGCTGGATCCACCTCAAGCATTGATATAGAGCAGTACTCATGTTCTTCTACCTCTTGGTTCAAACTAGAAAATCTACCATGACAAGATGCTACAAAACACGTACTCCTAACCACAATAGACAGCCATGGAGCTACTTCAAGCATTGATATGGAACAGTGCTCAGGTCTCTACTCCTGGAGGGCCTTGTAGACATCCAATCTCATCCCTGCCTGAAGAAGTCTCCCACCTGTCCCCTTTCTGTGTCCTCAAAGGCACAGGCAGGTGAGGGGCCTTTGCTTCTGCTTCTGGCCCTGCCATAAACCTCCCTTCAGACAAGGGGAGGGGGCACAAAGGCTGGCTTCCTCCTGTAGAAAGGGTAAACACAGGGAGAACAGAGATAAACCTCACAGCAGCACGTATCCTGATAAATTTGCTAAAGATCCCTCACTAGCAATTCAAGGTACCTAGGCTGGTAGGTTCTGTCCCTGGCTCTGGCAGTGGACCTGGTGACCAACCTCTTTACCATCTAGCTCTGTGGTTAGCAGTATCTGTTTTGTAGTCACATACATCCATGAAGAGAGGATATTGATACCTCACTAGCAGGGCTGTCATGAGATTAAATCCAGATGCTAACATGAAGAACCTGGAGCTAGGACCCTCTGAACAACCTGCTCCATAAGTAGAAGCTGTGTTTCTTCCCTGGAACAGGGAACTCATGTGACAACTTGACCTGCCCTCTCAGCCAGGGCCCCTAATCAGGATGCAAATCAGAGTCACATTGATGAGCCTTTTGTAAACCCTCAGCTGAAACTCTCTTGTTGGTGGTAATAGGACTTCTGTACAAAGGCCATTGAAGTCATTAAATCATAATAATATGGCCATAGAACCAGATATGTCCATTTGATGCCAACAGTGTATGTGAGTGCCCATTTCCTCTTTACTTTTCTGACTAGCTTTTATTGTTATTTCCAGGGTTTTTCGTTTGTTTTATTCCCAGATTTTGTGTTAGTTTTTCATCTGATCATCCCATTTTCCCCAGTTCTGCCCCATTGGAAGTATTATCTCAGATGGTTTTTAACTTACAAATTCAGA
This sequence comes from Homo sapiens, assembly GCF_000001405.40. NCBI lineage: Eukaryota > Metazoa > Chordata > Mammalia > Primates > Hominidae > Homo > Homo sapiens. The sequence goes on from NC_000023.11 coordinate 103,445,062, forward strand.
GGCTTATCCCATAGGATGGTCAGATTTAGCAAATGAAAACACAAGATGCCCATTTAAGTTTGAATTAAAAAAAAAACAAAATTATATTATGTGTCACATATACTAAAAAGTACTAGTTATTTTTCTGGATTTCAAAGTTAATGAGTCTTTTGTATTTCATCTGGCAATCCTATACATGGTGTTGCAATATAGGGTAGGACCAAGGTGCTCTGGTCTGGTCAACAGCCCCATGTGAACTCTCAGCAGGTGCCAGCACCAGTCATCATCCATGCAAGTGATCTCTTTTGGATGTACCAAACGAGTGAAGCCTCCAGATGATTAAGGTGACAGCACAGGGAGAGGCAGCCCTGGGTGGCAGACACCATATAGAACAGAATAACACCCAAATGAGCCTGTCAATACTCAGAATCTTGAGAGATAATAAATGGCTAATGTTTGGGATGCTTTATTAAGCAGAAATGGTTATCCGTGGTTTGGGTGTACTCTTCCTCCTTTTCTGCAGTCTGTTATCATTGGATAATATAGGGATTCTATTATCCATGAAGACTTGGTGGGACTTTGTTATAATTTTCACCATAGTCTGCATGTGGGTTTATGTATGGGTATCAGTTTCTGAAAATTTCCTCAATTCCTTCTCAAATGGATTTTCAAAGGAATTTTCATGATATATTATTTTACCCCACTCTTGGAATGTGGAACCTACTTCTAATTCCCCTCCATGAAATGAGGCTTCACTGCAGTTACACAGGTTAAAAAATTGAGAGGCTGCTGCTACGAATGGCTCCATGAGCCACATGAAAAACCATATTCTTACAAGGTTGCTAGGTGAGTATTTAATCAGAACAAGGGGTATTTATTCACTTTGAGAAGTGTTTCTCAAAAAAGTGTCCTGAAACTATTTTATCTGCTATAGGGATAACCTTGCAAGGAAGCTACTTTCCTTCAGCACACATAGACAGGACTCTACCAGATAGCAATGTACACTGCAGTGTTTGACTTTCTTGACTGTCCCCACACAGCACCACTTAGTGGATAAGTCTGTCCAACTCTGGGGTTCATTAAGAAGAAATGTCTTCTCAGCAGATCTGAGGTACTTTTTCCAATTTCACCTTTATAAAGAATAGAGTCAATGTATTGCTTTCTTTATCATTTTTGCATATTTTTTAGTTGGCTTAGAGCTCAGACTTGTACAAGGGGTATATTTTGGGAACCCCTTTAAGTCCCAAGCATTTTGGAGTAAGAACATAGTAATAGTTGGGGTGCCAGCAAAAAGAGGAAAGGGGAGAAGAGCTGCAGGCCCACTGTTAGACCTATCCCCCAACCCCCAAGGGACATAGCAGAACATATGCTGGCTAACTGCTTATTACTACCAAGAATTTTGAAGGGAGAGAGCCTGGGCTGTGCAACCCCTGGTTCTCCTTTGAAGTACTAATCACATAAGTGATTTTTGCCATAGAGAAGGAGTGAGTGCACAGAGAGTGTATAGAGAAGCTAGAACTGTTTTTGTCATGGATGTGCCTCCATATAGGAGAAAATACCAGGAACAGAGGATAAAAATTTCCCAGGGTATCCCAATATATGACTCAATTGAATGAGTTTCTGCCAGCTAAATAAGTATAATATTCTAGCCCTGCTTCCCTGAAATAACTTTAAGATTCCTTACATGACTTTTTTTTTTTTAATCTTCCTAGGTTATTCAGTCACATGATTATGGACAGTCTCTTAGTTTTCTGCCATGGATAGCTAATTGCTTCATGGTATGTGTTTTACACATCACCCTCAGAGGGCTAGTTCGTCTCAAAGAGCCTTAGGATACCTCCCTCGGTCTCTGTGTAGTGATGGTACTTCCCTACTGTCACTTTTAAAGCAAGCAAAACTCCTGACAATGGGGAGATGCTTTGTTTCACCAAACTGGGAAGAATTCCACAAATCACCCTTGTATGGGGTTAATTCCTCTAATTCTTAATATTTCTCAGGTGGTGGCCTGAAGACTGAAGGTGTTTTGCTTTCAGGAAAAGGCAAGAGCCAGAAGGGAGGGCTGTGTGGAGGCATTTCTGGTATGCAGGACTAGCCTGAGCATGGTGGTTGCCATAGAAACCTGAAATCATTATGGCAACCATGACAACTTTTTATTGTTTTTTTCTTTTTTATTTTTTTTTAAAATTTCAATAGTTTTTGTGGCACAGGTGTTTTTTTGGTTACATGGATGAGTTATTTAGTGGTGGCTTCTGAGATTTTGGTGTACCTGTCATCTCAGCAGTATATACGGTACCCAATATATTGTCTTTTATCCCTCACTACTCTCACAATATCCCCCTCCCCGTGTCCCCACAGTCCATTATATCACTCTATATGTTTTTGCATCTTCATAGCTTAGCTCTCACTTATAAGTGAGAACATATGGTATTTGGTTTTCCATTCCTGAGTTATTTCACTTAGAATAATGGCCTCCAGTTCCATCCAAGTTGCTGCAAAAGACATTATTTCATTCCTTTTTATGGCTGAATAGTATTCCGTGGTGTATATATATGCCACATTTTCTTTATCCACTCTTTGGTTGATGGGCACTTTGGTTGGGTTCTATATCCTTGTAATTGCGAATTGTGCTGCTATGGACATGCATTTGCATGTGTTTTTTTCATATACTTACTTCTTTTCCTTTGGGTAGATAGTAGTGGGATTGCTAGATCTACTTTTAGTTCCTTAAGGAATCTCCATACTGTTTTCAATAGTGGTTGCACTAATTTGCATTCCCAGCAGCAGTGTAAAAGTGCTCCATTTTCACCACATCCATGCCAACATCTATTGTTTTTTGACTTTTTAATTATGGCCATTCTTGCAGGCATAAGGTGGTATCTCATTGTGGTTTTAATTGGCATTTCCCTGATGATTAGTGATATTGAGCATTTTTTCATATATTTGTTGGCTGTTTGTATATCTTCTTTTGAGAAATGTCTATTCATGTCCTTTGCCTACTTTTTGATGGGATTATTTGTTTTTTCTTGCTGATTTGAGTTTCTTGTATATTCTGGATACTAGTCCTTTGTTGGATGCATAGTTTGAGGGTATTTTCTCCCACTCTGTGGGTTGTCTGTTTACTCTGCTGAATTTTTTTTTAGCTGTGCAGAAACTTTTTGATTAGGTCCCATTTATTTATTTTTGTTTTTGTTGCATTTGCTTTTGGGGTCTTAGTTACAAATTCTCTGCCTAAGCCAATGTCCACGAGAGTTTATCTGATGTTATCTTCTAGAATTTGTATGGTTTCAGGTCTTAGATTTAAGTGTTTGATGCATCTTAAATTGACTTCTGTATAACGTGAGAGATGGGGATCCAGTTTCATTCTTCTACAAGTGGCTAGCCAGTTTTCCCAGCACCATTTATTGAATAGGGGTCCTTTCCTCAATTTATGTTTTAGTATGCTTTGTCAAAGATCAGTTCGCTATAAGTATTTGGCTTTATTTTCTGGGTTATCCATTCTTTTCCATTAGTTTGAGTGCCTATTTTTATACCAGTGCCATGCTGTTTTGGTAACTATAGCCTTGTAATATAATTTGATGTCTGGTAATGTGATGCCTCCAGATTTGTTCTTTCTGCTTAGAATTACTTTGACTATGTGGGCTGGGCAGGTTTTTGTTTGTTTGTTTGAGATGGAGTCTCACTCTGTTGCCCAGGCTGGAGTGCAATGGCACAATCTCCACTCACCACAACCTCCACCTCCCAGGTTCAAGTAATTCTCTTGCCTCAGCCTCCCAAGTAGCTGGGATTACAGGTGCCCACCACCAGGCCCAGCTAATTTTTGTATTTTAGTAGAGATGGGTTTCACCGTGTTGGCCAGGCTGGTCTCGAACTCCTGACCTCAGGTGATCCACCCACCTTGGCCTCCCAACGTGCTGGAATTACAGGCATGAGCCACTGTACCCAGCTTATATGGGCTGTTTTACGGTTGCATATGAATTTTAGGATTTTTTCTAGTTCTGTGAAAAATGTTGATATTTTGATGGGAATTGCATTGAATCTGTAGATTGCTTTGGGCAGTATGGTCATTTTCACAATATTAATTCTTCCCATCCGTGAGCATGGGATGTGTTTCCATTTGTTTGTGTCACGTATGATTTCTTTCAGCAGTGTTTTGTAGCTTTCCTCGTAGCGATCTTTCACCTCCTTGGTTAAGTATACTCCTAGGTTTATTTTTTTGTTTTCTTTTTTTTGCAGCTGTTGTAAAAAGGATTGAGTTCTTGATTGATTCCCAGCTTGGTCATTGGTGTATAGCAGTGCTACTGATTTGTTTACATTCATTTTGTAACCTGAGACTTTACTGAATTCGTGTATCAGATCTAGGAGCCTTTTGGGTAAGTCTTTTGGGTTTTTTAGGTATATGATCATATCATTGGTGAATAGCAACAGTTTGACTTCCTCCCCTCTCTTGTCTGATTGCTCTGGCTAGGATTTCCAGTACTACGTTGAATAGAAGTGGTGAAAGTGGGCATCCTTGAGTTATGACTTTTTTTTTTTTTTTTTGAGATGGAGTCTCACTCTGTCGCCTGGGCTGGAGTGCAGTGGTACGATCTCGGCTCACTACAACCTCCACCTCCCAGGTTCAAGAAATTCTAGTGCCTCAGCCTCCCTGAGTAGCTGGGATTACAGGTGCCCACCACAACGCCTGGCTAATTTTTCTATTTTTAGTAGAGATGGGGTTTAACCATGTTGGCCAGGGTGGTCTCAAATTCCTGACCTCAAGTGATCCGCCCGCCTTGGCCTCCCAAAGTGCTGGGGAGTGACAACTTTTTAATATAGACCAACATAGCCTGGCAAGAAAAGCAAGGTCCTGCCTTCAGGTGTTTAGGACTCAGCTGAGGGTGTGGGTGCTCTGTGGTTGGGGACTGAACCTCCCTAGGGTGTGGGGGACAAAGGGATGCCAGATCCAAGTTGCCTCGTTCCCACTTTGGAACAAGTTGCCTTAGCAGTCTCATGAGAAAGCTGGGACCCTCCTGGCCCCAGTGAGTGTGGTGTCCTGCTCGAGGTGTCCTGGGGCTACTTTCCTTGTAAAGGTGGAACACAGGAGGACGAGAGAGGTAAAGACTCGCTGAACCCAGCTTCCCCCTCTGTAGAATGGGGAGAAGAATGCTCACCTACAGGATTGCTGGAACCTGCAGTGATACACATGCAAGATGATAGATAGCCCTGTGGTTATTACTGGATGATGGGTGCTTGTATGGATTCAAGCAATTTCCTATTTCTTTTTAAATTTGTTATGAGACAGACAAAGAAAGATGAAAAGGCCCCAGTGAGAAAGCCATTATACTTCCTGGTTGTTGTGATCACTACCCAATTGTATCAGTGCCACTGGTCACTAACCTAGTACCCAGCATGGCGCCAGGCTTATAGTTGCTCCAGTAAAGCACAGTGATTGCTAGATTCTCTCTTTCTCTTTGCAGTTCTTCATCGGGTAATTGAGCTGATATCAGGTGTCTGAAGGAGGCAAGTTTTGAAGATGTGGGTCATGATGGCTGCTGAAGCTTCCACTCCATATTTGAAGGTCAGCAGTTCTCAGGAAACCTCTAGCACTTCCATCCCTGGTGGGATGTGATGCCTGTCTCAGGTGAGCTCACAGATGTGAACGGAAGCATGTTGTAGAAAAGCACTTGTGAGGTTCACAAAATAATCTAAAAGTAGAGAAGCTATTTTGATATCACCTTTGGAGAAGAGGTTTATCAGGTAGACTCTTACTTGGTAGTGAGGCTTTTATACATTCTATGGTAAAATTTTGTAGTAGCCAATAATTTTTGAAGTGTTAGTTTAAAATGCCCATTTAAAAATTTGTTATTTTAATAAATGACAATTACACTAGAATTTATCCTATTATAATGATACATAACCATGTTGTCTAAAATAGCCAGGTATTCTTAAATACCACTTTATTTTACCAAGTTATTACATTTTAGTTTTGAACTTCAGAAGGAAATGCACATCAACTTTCTCTACATATTTAGATGCACCTCATTTCAAATGATTATTTCTGTTGTGGACATATATAGTGTGAACGACTTGATAAGACATAGTGTCCATCTGCTAATGTGACAAGGTCATGTTAGTGGGAATTGTTCTCCTGATTAATTCAGTATCATCAAATCTCAGAAAAATACAAGTATATTTCAGATGCTTTATTGAGGTATGTTTGATATGAAATATACTAAGTATATTTAAAGCCTTTACTTTAGTAAGCTTTGGCATATGTATGCACCAATGAAACCAACACCATAGTCAAAGTAATGAACATATCCATCACCCCAAAAAGCATTTTCCTGCCCCTTTGTAATCATCCCACCTACCTGTCTCCCTCCAGCTTCCATGTCCCTCCTATCTCTCTCCATTTCCAGGCAACCACTGCTCTTCTGTCATTGTAGATTGATTTACATTTCCTATAATTTTATGTAAATGGCATCATACAATATGTATTTTTTTGGTCTGGCTTCTTACATTCAGCCTATTAACTTTTTGATTTATCTTTATTGTTGCATGATTGAATAATTCCTTTTTAAAATTGCTAAGTAGTATATGGATATACCACAATTTGTTTTATCCATTCACTTTTTCATGGACAGTAGGTAGTTTTCAGTTTGGGGTTCTTCTAAATAAAGCTGCCATAACCATTTGTGTAAATGTCTTTATATGTACACATGCTTTCTTTCTCTAGGGTAAATACTAGGAGTCCAATGGCTGGATCATGTGGTAGATGTGAGATTAACATTGTAAGAAACTGCCAAACTGTTTTCCAAAGTGGTAGTACCATTCCTTATTCATTCCCATCAGCAGTATATGAGAATTCCATTCTCCACAACCTTGCCAAAGCTTGGTATGGTCAGTCTTTTTTACTTTAGCCATTCTCATGGGTGCATAGTAATATCTCATTAGAGTTTTAATTTACTTTTTTTTTTCAAGACATTGTCTTGCTCTGTCACCCAGGCTGGAGTGCAGTGGCATAATCTCAGCTCACTGCAACCTCTGCCTCCTGGGTTCAAGCAATTCTCCTGCCTCAGCCTCCTGAATAGTTGGGATTACAGGCACCCACCACTGCACCTGGCTCATTTTTGTATTTTTAGTAGAGGCAAGGTTTCACCATGTTGGCCAGGCTGGTCTCAAACTCCTGACCTCGTGATCTGCCCACCTCGGCCTCCCAAAGTGCTGGGATTACAGGCATGAGCCACTGCACCTGGCCTACATTTTCTTAATGACTATTATTGTTAAACATCTTTTCATGTGATTACTTGCCATTTGTATATATTCTTTGGTAAAGTTTCTGTTTCTATTATTTTCCCATTTATTTATTGGAGTGTCTGTTTACTTTTTACTTTTAAATGATTTTATATATTCTGGATATAAATTCTTTGTCAGTTATACGATTCTTCAAATACTTTTTCCCAGTCATTGACTTATCTTTTCATTCTCTCAACAGTGGCTTTTAGAAGAGCAGAAATTTTTAACCTTGAGGAAGTGCCATTTATAATTTTTTTATTTAGGGTTAAGATGTTTTTATTGATGTCCTATCTAAAAAATGTTTACCTACTCACAGTCACAAGGATTTACTCCTGTCTTTTCTTGTAGGAGTTTATACATTTGGATTTTATAGTTAGGTCTCATATTCAGTTTGAGTTGATTTTGTATATGTTGTGATATATGGATTACAGTTTATTTTTGTGTATGTATATGGATATCTACTTATTACAGAACCATTCGTTGAAAAGACTATTTACTTTTCCACTGAATAGTCTTTACATCATTGTCAAAAATCAGTTGTCCGTGTGTGCATAGGTTTACTTCTGGATTCCTTATTCTGTCCTTTTGATCTACTTTTCCCCTTCAATGGCAATAGCACACTGTCTTGATTACTGTAGGTTTATAATGAGTTTTGAAATTAGGTAGTGTTTGTCCTATACCTTTGTTCCATTTTACAGTTGTTTTTCACAGTTTAGGTGTTCTGTATTTGTATATGATTTTAATATCCACTTGCCAATTTCTTTGAAAAATGTATAGAACATTTATTGGGATTGCACTGAATCTGTATATTAGTTTGTGGGGAATAAACGTCTTAACAATACTGACTCTTCTGACTCATGAACACAGTATGTCCTTTACTTCTTTGGGTCTTCCTTCTCTCAGCAATGTTTTGTAGTATTCAATGTACAAATGTTCCATATCTACGAACAGATAATTCATAAATATTTCATACTTATTGATGCTGCTGTCAATGGTATTATTTCTTAAATAGAATTCTTAATCATTACATTTTCATGGAACCACCAGCAACCAGATTATTAATAATGACTATTGAAGAATCTTGGTAAAAAGCACAGGCTACTCTAGGATGGAAAAGGTATTTGATGCTTAATGTGCATGTACATGTATTTCTATATCAGCTTTTAGAAATCATTGGCAATACACTGAAACTAGGGATAAAAATGTACCCCTGACAGTTCTACAGGTAATCTCCAGAAAAATCAATGACTAAAATAATATAGGTTAGTAGCTTTCAACTTTATGTTTCTGCTATATTTGAATATGTTAAAATGTGAGGTTGTACTTTTTTGTCCCCAGTAAACCCACCTTAAAAAATTCCTGGGATCTTGGATGGTGAGAGAGCACTGGGGAGAGGCAATGCATCTATATGAGTATTTGTGAATGTATCAATTTGTGTGTTGCTGAAGCTGCCAGGAATGTGTATTATGAGATGTTGAGACAAATTACTATGTATTACGTCAGTGTTATTCATTTCCTAGCACATGTTGGTAACAAGATATAGGGGGTTGTTTGTTTTTTCCCAGTGTTCCTTGGCTAGCCTGGTTACCATGGTGACTCCATGACTCTTATGGGATTTAGTGTAGAGTGAGTGTCCATTTATGATTTTTGCCTGAGTCACTTATTTCGATGATAGTTGTGAAGTGTTGTTTTTAAAATTCTGATATTCCTTTCAAAACTATGAGTTGGCATTTAGAAAAGGGCAGAGTTTTCTCTTCTTATTTATCTGTGTATGTATGTATGTATATCAGTGTGACTCAGAGATTCTCATTTTTCTGAAAGGATTACCCTGTGCTATTATTATTATTATAAATTTCGATGCTCAAATTGTCCCAGAATTGGCCAGTGGAAGGACCTTGAAGTTGGCTTCAGTGTCCAATTAACACCTCCCTAAAATTCCTTGAGCATGTACTTTGCTCTCTGAACCTGACTATATCCCCATCTGTAGAAAGGAAGTAATGATGTCTACCTTAGAGCATGGCTTTGAGCATTTGAAGAGAAAAAGTCTGAAGATAACAACCCATATCGTGTTGCATCTAGTAGGCCTTCAACAAATGTAAGTTCCCCACTCCAACTTTGCCTCCTTCATTCTGTCAGTGCGATGCCTCTGACATTAAAATTCACATCATGAATACCAAAGAGAATACTTGGAAATGTGACAGGAAGCAGGCGTAAGTCTACATTTCTTTTTTTTTTTTTTTTTTTTATACTTTAAGTTTTAGGGTACATGTGCACAATGTGCAGGTTTGTTACATATGTATACATGTGCCATGTTGGTGTGCTGCACCCATTAACTCGTCATTTAGCATTAGGTATATCTCCTAAAGCTATCCCTCCCACCTCCCCCCACCCCACAACAGTCTCCGGTGTGTGATGTTCCCCTTCCTGTGTCCATGTGTTATCATTGTTCAATTCCCACCTATGAGTGAGAACATGTGGTGTTTGGTTTTTTGTCCTTGTGATAGTTTGCTGAGAATGATGGTTTCCAGCTTCATCCATGTCCCTACAAAGGACATGAACTCATCATTTTTTATGGCTGCATAGTATTCCATGGTGTATATGTGCCACATTTTCTTAATCCAGTCTATCATTGTTGGACATTTGGCTTGGTTCCAAGTCTTCGCTATTGTGAATAGTGCCGCAATAAACATACGTGTGCATGTGTCTTTATAGCAGCATGATTTATAATCCTTTGGGTATATACCCAGTAATGGGATGGCTGGGTCAAATGGTATTTCTAGTTCTAGATCCCTGAGGAATCGCCACACCGTCTTCCACAATGGTTGAACTAGTTTACAGTCCCACCAACAGTGTAAAAGTGTTCCTATTTCTCCACATCCTCTCCAGCACCTGTTGTTTCCTGACTTTTTAATGATCGCCATTCTAACTGGTATGAGATGGTATCTCATTGCGGTTTTGATTTGCATTTCTCTGATGGCCAGTGATGATGAGCATTTTTTCATGTGTTTTTTGGCTGCATAAATGTCTTCTTTTGAGAAGTGTCTATTCATATCCTTCGTCTACTTTTTGATGGGGTTGTTTGTTTTTTTCGTGTAAATTCATTTGAGTTCATTGTAGATTCTGGATATTAGCCCTTTGTCAGATGAATAGCTTGCAAAAATTTTCTCCCATTCTGTAGGTTGCCTGTTCACTGTGATGGTGGTTTCTTTTGCTGTGCAGAAGCTCTTTAGTTTAATTAGATCCCATTTGTCAATTTTGGCTTTTGTTGCCATTGCTTTTGGTGTTTTAGACATGAAGTCCTTGCCCATGCCTATGTCCTGAATGGTATTGCTTAGGTTTTCTTCTAGGGTTTTTATGGTTTTAGGTCTAACATGTAAGTCTTTAATCCATCTTGAATTAATTTTTGTATAAGGTGTAAGGAAGGGATCCAGTTTCAGCTTTCTACATATGGCTAGCCAGTTTTCCCAGCACCATTTATTAAACAGGGAATCCTTTCCCCGTTGCTTGTTTTTGTCGGGTTTGTCAAAGATCAGATAGTTGTAGATATGTGACATTATTTCTGAGGGCTCTGTTCTGTTCCATTGGTCTATATCTCTGTTTTGGTACCAGTACCATGCTGTTTTGGTTACTGTAGCCTTGTAGTATAGTTTGAAGTCAGGTAGCGTGATGCCTCCAGCTTTGTTCTTTTGGCTTAGGATTGACTTGGCAATGCAGGCTCTTTTTTGGTTCCATATGAACTTTAAAGTAGTTTTTTCCAATTCTGTGAAGAAAGTCATTGGTAGCTTGATAGGGATGGCACTGAATGTATAAATTACCTTGGGCAGTATGGCCATTTTCATGATATTGATTCTTCCTACTCATGAGCATGGAATGTTCTTCTATTTGTTTATATCCTCTTTTATTTCATTGAGCAGTGGTTTGTCGTACTCCTTGAAGAGGTCCTTCACATCCTTTGTAAGTTGGATTCCTAGGTATTTTATTCTCTTTGAAGCAATTGTGAATGGGAGTTCACTCATGATTTGGCTCTCTGTTTGTCTGTTATTGGTGTATAAGAATGCTTCTGATTTTTGCACATTGATTTTGTATCCTGAGACTTTGCTGAAGTTGCTTATCAGCTTAAGGAGATTTTGGGCTGAGACAATGGGGTTTTCTAGATATACAATCATGTCATCTGCAAACAGGGACAATTTGACTTCCTCTTTTCCTAATCGAATACCCTTTATTTCTTTCTCCTGCCTGATTGCCCTGGCCAGAACTTCCAACACTATGTTGAATAGGAGTGGTGAGAGAAGGCATCCCTGTCTTGTGCCAGTTTTCAAAGGGAATGCTTCCAGTTTTTGGCCATTCAGTATGATATTGGCTGTGGGTTTGTCATAAATAGCTCTTATTATCTTGAGATACATCCCATCAATACCTAATTTATTGAGAGTTTTTAGCATGAAGCATTGTTGAATTTTGTCAAAGGCCTTTTCTGCATCTGTTGAGATAATCATGTGGTTTTTGTCTTTGGTTCTGTTTATATGGTGGATTACATTTTTTGATTTCCGTATGTTGAACCAGCCTTGCATCCCAGGGATGAAGCCCACTTGATCATGGTGGATAAGCATTTTGATGTGCTGCTGGATTCGGTTTGCCAGTATTTTATTGAGGATTTTTGCATCAATGTTCATCAGGGATACTGGTCTAAAATTCTCTTTTTTTGTTGTGTCTCTGCCCGGCTTTGGTATCAGGATGACGCTGGCCTCATAAAATGAGTTAGGGAGGATTCTCTCTTTTTCTATTGATTGGAATAGTTTCGGAAGGAATGGTACCAGCTCCTCCTTTTACCTCTGGTAGAATTCGGCTGTGAATCCATCTGGTCCTGGACATTTTTTAGTTGGTAAGCTATTAATTATTGCCTCAATTTCAGAGCCTGTTATTGGTCTATTCAGAGATTCAACTTCTTCCTGGTTTAGTCTTGGGAGAGTGTATGTGTCGAAGAATTTATCCATTTCTTCCAGATTTTCTAGTTTATTTGCATAGAGGTGTTTATAGTATTCTCTGATGGTAGTTTGTATTTCTGTGGGATCAGTGGTGATATCCCCTTTATCATTTTTTATTGCATCTATTTGATTCTTCTCTCTTTTCTTGTTTATTAGTCTTGCTAGCGGTCTATCAATTTTGTTGATCTTTTCAAAAAACCAGCTCCTGCATTCATTGATTTTTTGAAGGGTTTTTTGTGTCTCTATCCCCTTCAGTTCTGCTCTGATTTTAGTTATTTCTTGCCTTCTGCTAGCTTTTGAATGTATTTGCTCTTGCTTCTCTAGTTCTTTTAATTGTGATGTTAGGGTGTCAATTTTAGATCTTTTCTGCTTTCTCTTGTGGGCATTTAGTGCTATAAATTTCCCTCTACACACTGCTTTGAATGTGTCCCAGAGATTCTGGTATGTTGTGTCTTTGTTCTCGTTGGTTTCAAAGAACATCTTTATTTCTGCCTTCATTTCGTTATGTACCCAGTAGTCATTCAGGAGCAGGTTGTTCAGTTTCCATGTAGTTGAGTGGTTTTGAGTGAGTTTCTTAATCCTGAGTTCTAGTTTGATCACACTGTTGTCTGAGAGACAGTCTGTTATAATTTCTGTTCTTTTCCATTTGCTGAGGAGTGCTTTACTTCCAACTATGTGGTCAATTTTGGAATAGGTGTGGTGTGGTGCTGAGAAGAATGTATATTCTGTTGATTTGGGGTGGAGAGTTCTGTAGATGTCTATTAGGTCCGCCTGGTGCAGAGCTGAGTTCAATTCCTGGATATCCTTGTTAACTTTCTGTCTCGTTGATCTGTCTAATGTTGACAGTGAGGTGTTAAAGTCTCCCATTATTATTGTGTGGGAGTCTAAGTCTCTTTGTAGGTCACTAAGGACTTGCTTTATGAATCTGGGTGCTCCTGTATTGGGTGCATATATATTTAGGATAGTTAGTTCTTCTCGTTGAATTGATCCCTTTACCATTATGTAATGGCCTTCTTTGTCTCTTTTGATCTTTGTTGGTTTAAAGTATGTTTTATCAGAGACTAGGATTGCAACCCCTGCTTTTTTTTGTTTTCGTTTGCTTGGTACATCTTCCTCCATCCGTTTATTTTGAGCCTATGTGTGTCTCTGCACGTGAGATGGGTTTCCTGAGTACAGCACACTGTGGGTCTTGACTCTTTATCCAATTTGCCAGTCTGTGCCTTTTAATTGGAGCATTTAGCCCATTTACATTTAAGGTTAGTATTGTTATGTGTGAATTTGATCCTGTCATTATGATGTTAGGTGGTTATTTTGCTCATTAGTTGATGCAGTTTCTTCCTAGCCTCAGTGGTCTTTACAATTTGGTATGTTTTTGCAGTGGCTGGTACCAGTTGTTCCTTTCCATGTTTAGTGCTTCCTTCAGGAGCTCTTTTAGGGCAGGCCTGGTGGTGACAAAATCTCTCAGCATTTGCTTGTCTGTAAAGTATTTTATTTCTCCTTCACTTATGAAGCTTAGTTTGGCTGGATATGAAATTCTGGCTTGAAAATTCTTTTCTTTGAGAATGTTGAATATTGGGCCCCACTCTCTTCTGGCTTGTAGAGTTTCTCCCGAGAGAGCAGCTGTTAGTCCGATGGGCTTTCCTTTGTGGGTAACCCGACCTTTCTCTCTGGTTGCCCTTAACATTTTTTCCTTCATTTCAACTTTGATGAATCTGACAATTATGTGTCTTGGAATTGCTCTTCTCGAGGAGTATCTTTGTGGTGTTCTCTGTATTTCCTGAATTTGAATGTTGGCCTGCCTTGCTAGATTGGGGAAGTTCTCCTGGATAATATCCTGCAGAGTGTTTTCCAACTTGGTTCCATTCTCCCCGTCACTTTCAGGTACATCAATTAGATGTAGATTTGGTATTTTCACATAGTCCCATATTTCTTGGAGGCTTTGTTCGTTTCTTTTTATTCTTTTTTCTCTAAACTTCTCTTCATGCTTCATTTCATTCATTTCGTCTTCCATCGCTGATACCCTTTCTTCCAGTTGATCGCATCCGTTACTGAGGCTTGTGCATTTGTCACGTAGTTCTCGTGCCTGGTTTTCAGCTCCATCAGGTCCTTTAAGGACTTCTCTGCATTGGTTATTCTAGTTAGCCATTCATCTAATCTTTTTTCAAGGTTTTTAACTTCTTTGCCATGGGTTCAAACTTCCTCCTTTAGCTTGGAGTAGTTTGATCTTCTGAAGACTTCCTCTCTCAACTCGTCAAAGTCATTCTCCATCCAGCTTTGTTCTGTTGCTGGTGAGGAGCTGTGTTCCTTTGGAGGAGGAGAGGCACTCTGATTTTTAGAGTTTCCGGTTTTTCTGCTCTGTATTTTCCCCATTTTTGTGGTTTTATCTACCTTTGGTCTTTGATGATGGTGATGTACAGATGGGTTTTTGGTGTGGATGTCCTTTCTGTTTGTTAGTTTTCCTTCTAACAGTCAGGACCCTCAGCTGCAGGTGTGTTGGAGTTTACTGGAGGTCCACTCCAGACCCTGTTTGCCTGGGTATCAGCAGCGGAGGCTGCAGAACAGTGGATATTGGTGAACAGCAAATGTTGCTGTCTGATCGTTCCTCTGGAAGTTTTGTCTCAGAGGAGTACCCGGCCGTGTGAGGTGTCAGTCTGCCCCTACTGGGGGCTGCCTCCCAGTTAGGCTACTCGGGAGTCAGGGACCCACTTGAGGAGGCAGTCTGTCCATTCTCAGATCTCAAGCTGCGTGCTGGGAGAACCACTACTCTCTTCAAAGCTGTCAGACAGGGACATTTAAGTCTGCAGAGGTTATTGCTGTCTTTTGTTTGTCTGCCCTGCCCCCAGAGGTGGAGCCTACAGAAGCAGGCAGGCCTGCTTGAGCTGTGGTGGGCTCCACCCAGTTCGAGCTTCCTGGCTGCTTTGTTTACCTACTCAAGCCTGAGCAATGGCGGGCGCCCCTCCCCCAGCCTCACTGCCACCTTGCAGTTTGATCTCAGACTGCTGTGCTAGCAATGAGGGAGGCTCCGTGGGCATAGGACCCTTCGAGCTAGGTGCGGGATATAATCTCCTGGTGTGCCGTTTGTTAAGCCCATTGGAAGAGCGCAGTATTAGGGTGGGAGTGACCCAATTTTCCAGGTGCCTTCTGTCACCCCTTTCTTTGACTAGGAAAGGGAATTCCCTGACCCCTTGAGCTTCCTGGGTGAGGCAATGCTTTGCTCTGCTTCAGCTCACGCACGGTGCACTGCACCCACTGTCTGGCACTCCCTAGTGAGATGAACCTGGTACCTCAGTTGGAAATGCAGAAATCACCCATCTGCTGCGTCGCTCACGCTGGGAGCTGTAGACTGGAACTGTTCCTATTCGGCCATCTTGGCTAAGACTTAAGTCTACATTTCTATTATCATTTCTTATTATGTGCAATCTTTTTTTTTTTTTTGAGATGGAGTCTTGCTTTGGTGCCCAGGCTGGAGTGCAATGATGCAATCTCGGCTCACTGCAACCTCTGCCTCCTGGGTTCAAGTGATTCTCCTGCCTCAGCCTTCCAAGTAGCTGGGACTATTATAGGCACATGCCACCATGCCTGGCTAATTTTTTTGTATTTTTAGTAGAGACAGGGTTTCACCATGTTAGCCAGGACGGTCTCAGTCTCCTGACCTTGTGATCTGCCCACCTTGGCCTCCCAAAGGGCTGGGATTACAGGCGTGAGCCACTGTGCCCAGCCTGTCATGTGCAATCTTGAGTATCACTGCTGTGTGGTGGTGGGGACAGTGAGATGAAGCTGAGGGAGAGGAAAAACCTCATTGCTTAGCTTCCAGTTAACTGAATGGGGTATAGGCAAAACATCATCACACGTACAACCTCCTTACCTGTCCTCTTTCTTTCCTCACTATTCCATGTGCTTTCTTATCTCCCTTCTAGTGTAACATCAGAGAAGGGGTGTACTCTGTGCCCTAGAACTAGGAGCTAACAGAGAAAAACCAAATGTGATGTGGAGTCTGCTAGACAGGCTACTGGAGCAAGAGTGAAGCGATGAAAGTCTCATCATTGGGACATATTAGGTGAGTCACTTCCCTTACACCAGCCTCATCTATTCAACAGGATAATAATTCCCAATCTTCCTGACCACTCAAGAATACTCTGGAGATTAACAATGAACTCATATGGGAAAGCAAACTGTGATCTTAGGTGGGAGGGAAGGACCAGTCACTTTTGAGTAATTACCTTAACAGAGACAATCCAGATGTCCTAGAGTTCTCCATGGTGGGCATTAAATTAATGGCACAGTAATGTGAGGTGTTTTCATCAGAATTTTGCCAAGTATGGTTCGTGGACTACTTCATCAAAATCATCATGGATTGCCTGTTAAAATAGTAGATATTTGGGTCTACCATAAGTCAGCTGAATGAAAAACAGGGAGATGTGGTGGCAGGTATCTATATTTTGAGAAATTTTTCCAATTGGTTGTGGTACTCATCCATGTTTGAAAAGCACTGCTGTGGATTTGCAACAAGGTCTATGAAAAATTTGAATCCTTTCATGTCTAATTTCATCATTGGTTGCTCCTACTACTTTGCTTTTAATATCTGTGTCATTTCTGTTTTGTGAAATAGGTACCAGTTCCTTTAATTCAGTAATTTTCATTCAGTGATTTATGTGTGGAGCATTGATCTAAGCACCGGGGAAACAGCACAGAGAACAAGACAAACATGGTCCCCGGACATATCATTTCTAGTTTGAGAAAACTGGTAATAAGTAGGTAAACAGATCAATGAGCAGGGTAATTTCATATGGGGATTTGTGTTTTAACACATATAGAGTATTAAATGACCAAGATAAAGATAATTACAGATGGGGTTGTAAGTGAAGCTCCTTTTCAGGAAGTGACATTTGAGCTGAGTCCTGGATAACAAAAAGAAGCTAGGCACAGACTGACTTTTTGCCAGTGTGTATACAATGTGCATGGGCACCGTGTGTTCCAAGAGCAGGGAAAAGCTCAAGTGCCTAGAGCCTGGCAGACAATGCACAGACTGGTGAGATGAGGTTGAAGGGGCAGATAGGAGCAATATTGTTTAAGCCATTGTAAGGAGTTTGGATTGTATTGTGAGTGTGGAGGGTTAGAGAATGGGAACAATATCATCTGACTCATGTTTTCAGAAAGTGACTCTGGTCACTGTGCAAAGAATGGACTAGAGAGGGAGAAGATAGTGTGTGAGAATAACCATTAGAAAATATTGCGGAAGTCTAGGGAGGAGCAAGCTGATGGTATCAATGCTGCAGCCATGTGTAGAGGGAGAAATGGACCTTGACAGTATGTGTTTGGAGGTAGGGAGGGTAAGACCTGTAGTAGCTGTGTGTGTGAAGTATGTGGGGATAAGGCAGAATAAAGTATGACCCCTCAGCTTTTTGTACAGCCATGTGGAAAAACGATAGTGCTATTTTGTGAGATCAGTCATTCCAAGTGCTTTTGAGATGTTCTTAAGTTAATTAAAATTTAGGTCATCCAAGGTTGGTTGTAGTGAAAATTAGAGATTTTAAGAATGCAGGTTGTGTATTTCAAAATAGTTAAGAGAATAATTTAGATGTTTCTAGCATAAAGAAAACAAATAGTTAAGGTGATGGATATCTCAGTTATACTGATATGATCTTTACAAATATATGAGTGTGTTAAATTTTCACATGTACCCCCCAAAATATGTAACCCTATATTATATATCAATTGAAAAAATAAATAAAGGTAATAGTAATGTTCAAAAAAAGAGATATCCTTGCTGATTCCCACTTTATAGATGAGAAACTGAGTGGCAGAGAGAATAAGGACTTTGCCTGAGACTACACAGTTAGGGAGTGGGACAGCTTGGATTTGTGTCCAGGATGTCATGCTTCAGAGCCTGAAAACTGTCACAGATTTCTTAGGTGAAAGAAACAGTCTGCACAAGCGTGCATGTTTTAGGAATGCATTTAAAGTAATACTTAGTATGTTAATAGATGTATACAAACACTGGCCCTAGTAACAAAAAGGTGAATGGTGACCTTGGTAAGATCACATTCATTACAATCCTGGCAATGGAAGTCATAGTGCAGTGGGATAGGGGGTTAGTGGCGAATAAAGAATGTTAACAAGGAATGCAGAAAACTATTTTTAGAGCTTTAACTTTGAAGGGAAAAGAGGAGAGAGAGAGAGAGAGGAAGAAGAAGAGGAAGAGGAAGAAGGAGGAGGGAGAGGGAGGGGTATCTTAAGTGGAAAAGATAGGTTGTCAAAGAAGATGAGGACTGTGATTGCACTTTTGGAGAGGACTATGATGTGTGTTGGGGGTCGAACATGTTCGTGTGCACGTCACCTACAGGGATGCGTCTGGAGAGCGTGCATTATCCTAAGGGACAACAGACCCCTTGGGGCCAGGGGGTAGGAGTAGGGTCAGTGAGAGATGCAGGATGATTTAAATGTATTGAAGTGCTTTTGCATAGTGTTTGAAATTTTGTATTCGGGGGGAAAAAGTATTTTAATAAAAATTGAAAACAAAATACTTATCATCAGATTGACAAAAGTAATGTGCACATATATTCCATATATATATATATATTTTTTTTGCTTTGGAAAAGCATTCATTGTAGCCAATTTTATGGGGAAACAAAGCAGATTTTAAAAAATGAATGGAGTGTGTGTGTGTGTGTGTGTGTGTGTGTGTGTGTGTGTGTGTGTGTTTCTAGCTAGTCTAGCTCCACCACCTCAAGTACAGCTCACAGTTGCAGTATTATCTTCAGTTCAGACCAGGACTGGCTTCTGATCTCAGATTTAGATATCCCACAAAAAGTGCTTCTGTTAATATTCCAGAAAAAATGATGGATACAGAAGGATAGCTGGATGTAAGTGAAAAGTTCCAGAAAACCATGTCTGATCCCATTAATCAAGCTCCCAACTTTCATCCCTCCCTGCCCGCTGCTGAGTCCCCTGGTCTACACTCAGAGTTGCAATCCTGACTCTGGCCACCAAGAGGCATTACAGCTATCTCCACGTTCCTTGCTCTTTCTTAATGAAAAGGGGTAAATTTCGCAGAGTAAGTAATGTTATGAAACTTTTCTTTACTGTGATACCAATAGTTCGGAATACCCATTTGTATATTAAAGCAGGCCAATTTGCTGTTGATTCCAAATCTACAGCGCATTCAGTAATTTATTTTTTCCTTCATTAGCGTAGGTTGAGGTGTCCACGCTGTAGGGGGGGGTCCCTCCTGGAGAGCAGGGTGTTCACCACCCATCACTCCAACCCTGTACAGGCTTCTCAGACTCTCTCCCACTCCCTCCCACTGACCCCCCTCTCCAAGACATTGTGGACACATCTGCCCAGACCCCACTCCAGCGCCTCATCCTTTCAGTCACTTCCTGCTGCCCTGGGCTCCCCCAATCCTGCCTCCCAGCAACAGCCAAGGCACATCAGACCTACCTGGTGTTTCATCCTATGGATGTCCCACAGTATGTTTTTACACTCTTTTTTACACCTGTCAGGGTTGTTTTTTTTTTCCAGACAGAATCATTCTGCAGTTCCTTTCATAGACTGGGTTTTAGGGGAGGATACCGTATTTTTCTGCTCCTTGCTTACACTTTGTAGAGAAGTTTGATAATAGTGGTACAGTGATGCCCCCTCATGACAGAAGCCTGAACTGCAGCAGCTTGAACATCGCTGAGCAGGAAGGTGGGAGGGAGGTGCTGTGGCCCATGCACACCCTACAGAGTTTTCTGGAAGTGTGAGTAGAAAAATGGGCATTCCCACTGTACAGGGATACTGACGGCCACCAGACAGAAAGTGTAGCCTCTTTATGTGCTATGTGAAAGCACAAAATGATCATTTCTGTGTTTATGCTTTCAAACCTCTGGATAAATAGCTATAGACCTATATAAGCAAAAATGCATCTTGGCCACTAAGTGATCTTTGTGACCCACATTTGCCCTCATTGTGATCATCTTTGCATACACATGCGTTTCCATAATAATGTTTTAAATTTCCTTCCAAAAATAATTGTAGTCTCTTTTTTTTATCAACCAGGTGGTTCATCATGTGGGTGCCCCAAAAATTCATTTAATTAGTATCCCAGTCATAAAAATGTAGTTGCTTTAACATTTTTTCCTGTTACAAACAATAGTATACTTAATATCCTCCTCATATATATGCAAATATATTTGTAAGCATTTCTGTCAAAAAAAAAAAAGTTCCTGGAAGTGGTCTTTCAAAACCCTGGGAACTGTAAAATTTTATATTAACATAGTGAAATCCAAATACTATTTCTAACTTATATTCCTTACATAACAGTATGTAAGGACCTTGTGTCTTCACACATTAGAAATAATGTGAATCATTGCTAATCTTACAGGCAACAAATCACCTCTCATCGTTATCTTCATTAAAACTTGTTTTGCTGAATTCTAGAATTCCATCCTATGGATATGACATCAGTTTTCTCAAACCTGTGTTAGTCAGAGTGTTCTGATATTCCCTGTTATCTACACTGTGTGGAAGACATCTTTTCAGAGTCTGTGCATGGCTGAAGGGCACAGTTCCTGTAGCTGTTTACACTGGTGAGCCAAATGGGTCCTCTTAGAGCCTTACTAACTGTCTTGGAGGTTATTACAGTACTAATAACAGAACCTGGTTGCTGTACATGTGTGTGTATTTGTCACTGCTTGTGTGTGTGCACAGCATTTCCCTCTGCTTCCTTCTGCCCCTTCATAATTTGGTGTACCGGTTGGTCTTTCTTCCTAAATTCAGGCCCAGAAATAAAGGAAGGGAATTTTCAGAATGACAGTACTTATAACCAGATGCTTATCAGCATCCTTCACAATGTCCTGAAGATAAACTTCTAAAAGGTAAATTGTTGGTGCAAAGGGTGTGCACCTATGTAGCCCTTTGATAAGTATTGCAATACTGACACCCAGAGAGGTAATGCCATTTAGATTCCTCAGGTGGAGTCACAGGAGAAAATCCCAAGAGGAGTAAAAAATAATAATGCTGATGTCATGTTAGAGTGGAGGCCCTGGATGCTGTTGTGGACCCACTCTCCAGTTTCTTCCACAGTTAGAAGATGTGGAAGTGATCAGGTGCAACTCGAATTTTTCATACAAGCAAAGCCCGAGTCAGCGTGAGGGGTGGTGGTGGTGGGGCAGGGAGAGACTGCCATTGCTTGGAGTTACTTAGGACACAGTCAGCAGGGCTGGGATACAGCTACGGTTTTATATATATTCATGGGTATAGAAAACATGGGCATCAAGGCCTTCATATGAAAAAGTTTGGTCATTACTGAGGTACAACAGAAGGCTTTCTTGCAATATAATTACAGACAATGAAATTCGCAGTTTTAAGGATACAACTTGATGATTTTCAGTAAACAAAAGTTGTGCAACCATCACCGTAGTTGAGTTTTGGAGGTTTCCATCACTATAAAATGTCCCATCATACTTGAACGCAGTTAATCCCTGCTTTCACCCCCAGCTCCAGGAATCACAGGTATGCTTTGTGTTTCTGTGGATTTACCTATTCTGGACATCTCATAGAAGTGGAATCATGCAATATTCATCTTTTGTGTCTGGCTTCTTTCACTTCACATAATGTTTTTAAGGTTTATCTATTTTGTAGCATGTATCAGTACTTTATTCCTTTTTATTGATATACCACATTTTTTTATCCACTCATCAATTGGTGAACACTTGAGTTGTTTCCAGTTTTCGGCCATTATGAATTATGATGCTACATATATTTTTTGTGCAAGTTTTTATGTAGACATAGGTTTCCGTTTCTCTTGAGTATGTACCTGGGAGTAAAGTTGCTGGGTTATATGGCAGTTCTCTGCTTGACAATATGAGGAACTCTCAGAATATTTTATTGACCTTGACAGTCTTGAGGAGTACAGCCTTAATCTGTTGTCTTTTTCTCATGATTAGACCAGCATTATGGAATTTCAGAAAGAATACCACAGAGTTGAAGTGCCCTTCTTATCACATAATATTTGGGTTTACATGATGACATGACCTCACTGGTGATGTTAACCTTCATCACATAGTTAAAGTCGTGTTTGCCAAGTTTTCCAATGTACAGTAACTTTTTCAATTCACGTACTATGTTCCTGAGAAGTGAGTCACTAAGTGTGACCTTCATTCAGGATTAAGCTTCACCTCTTGGAGGGTTAGTAGCTACAAATACTATTTGCAATCATTCCATAAAGACTGTTTGTCTTCTCACATGCTTTTCTTTATTAATTCACCAAACATTTACTTATATCAGTATGGATTTATGCATACTTATTTTAAAGTTGAAATATTTTACTTAATGGATATATCCCCGAAGAATTCCAGCATCATTATTTCAGTGGTACAGTAAAAGAATTTTGACTTAACTATCAGGAAACTGCAAAAGAGCTCCCTATCACCGCAATTATATTTCATCACCACTATATTTTCTAATTGTGATATATTAGTGCTTTTAGATAATATATTTAATCATGGCAAAGTTTGGAACAGCATTATAATTTCACTTTATTTCATTGCCTACTTGGTACCCCTTGAGACAGAAATAAAAAACAGATAAGGCAAGATTATTGAAGTAGCCATAAAAATTACTGCTAACATAAAGTAAACCTATTTATGAACTCCCTGTCGATGAAGCAAAAGTATAAGCTGTGTCAGGTAAAATGTGTGCTTCATTTGAAAGCATGTCGTCTGCAGCTTAGCCTTCTGGTTATCTGACTCTGAAAGCTGTTTTACAACTCTACCTTTTAGGTAACTGATAGCATTGCATGCTATCTTTGTCTATAGACACAAGGAAATGAATTCTGTCTTGGGGGAGGGAAACCTTTTCCCCCTGGGAAAGTACCTGTTTATCTCCATTTGAACATTTATTTCAACACTCTTGATCTATAAATGTGACAAAGAGGTGGCTGTAGACTTGGGAGAGTTCATTTCAGTGGAAGGGTGGGGGAACCAAGTCCCAGTAGATGAGAAATGAAGACTGAGGTGTAGGGAAGTGCAGAGGGAAGTGAGTTGAGTATTGAGAATTCTTCATAGAATATTGATTGTAAATGGGAGAATATATGTAAAGAGGATATCAACTAAAGATGTAGAAATGGGTCCATGGCACTGAACTATGTTTTACAATCATCAGTGATGAGTCTCTATGATTAATCTGTTAGTGGGAAGGAGCCATCTCTTCTTAGATCTGCCATCTGAATTTACCACACCCTCCTTTCCACACTTCACTTTCTTGTTTCTATTCTGGGGAAGCCTAAAACTTAACCAAAGGGATGGTGTAGAGTTTGGCCTTAATGCCTAGTAACTGTTAACTGAGGAATGACTGAATGGGTGGATGCACAATGTGTCAAACATGCTGATAATTCACAAATTTTTATCTCCCAGCGCAGAGCTTTTATGCAGATGACTGAACCCGTGGAGTTAGGTGGCTGAGAGGATGCAGCTTCCCAGGTCTCTACAACTGATGGCAGCAAGATGGGAGCACCCAGCTACAGTGTTCAGAAGTAGATTTAGGCAGACTACCACACCTTACATGCTAGAGGGATCCACACTGACCTGAGTAGGTGAGGTCTCAGACAGGCTTGTTTTCTATCATGGGGACAGGATTACAGCCTACTCAGAAGTAAGTTGTGGTCCAGCTCTTGTGTCATTCAGAAAGACTCCAGAACGTGTAGATCCAGCTCCTCTCTAAACTTGAACTCAACCAATATCCCAGAGAGACATTCTTAATCTTCTAGGCAAATGCACTGTCATTAGGAGCCACCAGAGACCACACAAACACACACAAATACACACACACACACACACACATATACACCCTGGAGCCTTAATGCCAGCAGTAGCCCTAGGAGAACCTACAGGCTCATGTGCTTGTTGCTTATTGTCTGTTAGGCTGCATATGTAACTGGACCCTTTTGCATTTAAAAAAATAGCAATAATGATGATTAACAGAGTGTTTATTAGGGAATTATTTAAAAATTACCTTAGTATCCAGTTAAATATGATGAAAATGAGAGAATTTCCACCTGTCATGTTATCAAAGTATTTTAAAAAACCATCGAGGATTTCAGTGAGGTGTGCATATGGGTAGGTCTACTCTGTCTCATATTGGGGGAGGGGATATCACTTCGTACAACCTCTTTCCAGGTTGATTTGGCAATATCTTTTAAATAGTCTGTGCATCCCCACTCTGTATGTATTTGGAGCCTGTCCCTTCAAGTATTCATCCTCAGTGTGACAACTGCCCCTCTATTAGAGGATGCATATTCCTCATGATGTAGGTTGTCTGGGAACTCTACTTTCTAAAGCACTGACCCAGACACATTCCCTTGTCTTTGCAGAGCAGGATATTGATGTACAACAAGATTCTCTGATCAGAAAGAGAGGCAGAACTAGCAGCCTGGCTTCAGAGGTGAAGATACAGATGTCAGTAGTGACCCAGGTCAGCAGGAAAGCAAGATTTACTTGGTTATCATGTGATATGCAGCTCAGCATCATACAGTCTGCATGGGGCCTTACGGGGTGCTGGTCTCTACTTTTCTACTTATTGTAGAATGCTCCTCTGTTGAGGACCAGCCTCAACACCACCCGTAGGGTACCCAAAGTCCGGTGGCGATGAAGGAATGAGAAGAGACAGGTTAAGAGTGCATAAAGAGTGGGGGCCAGGGGACCAATTGCAAAATGGAGGCTGCAAAAGGCGCCAAGCTCTGGTCTCCACACTATTTGTTGAGTACAATCACTTAGATCTAAGAAGCAGGCGTTCAGGGCGAAACGGTGAAAGGGAGGCAGGTGTAATCTATAGCAAATGAATCTCCTTTGTGCTCAAACAGCGTATCTTTAACTTATGGGAGAGTAGCTAGTGGGAGCGGGCTTAACTAGGAGCCTGCACATCTGGCCATATTCCAGTGCTTCAAAGGAGTGTCTTTCTCCTTGAACACAGTGTTTATAGATAAGAGAGCAAGTCTCGCTCAGAGCATGGGAACATAATGGCGATAAGAAGACTTTCCTCCTCAGAGGCCTCTTGTGGCTTTCCACAACTTATTGTCCCATATTTTTATGGCCAGTTTATACAGGTACCCCATAAGCCTTTCTCCCAACACTCCCCAGCCAGACTACTTAACCTACAAACATTATTGCTTCTCTAGCTATAAAATCACATAGAGGTTATTACCTCTACCTCCTGATAATGTTGTGGAAATACATGAAATAAAAATGCACCAGCATTCAAGAAAGGTGAGTCCCCGTGACTCTCTTAGGTCAGGCATCCTGGCCTTCTATGGGATTTTTAAGCTCTCATCACCCATATGGCTCTGCAGCTTGCCTTTTTTCAGAAAAACAGCATCTATCCAGGTTTTTATTTGCATTTCATTAGTGAATGTGTTTTTAAATGTTTCTTGGGCATGTATATTGCTGTTTACATGAATTCTCTGTTTATATCTGTATTAGCTATCTTGCATAACCAATTACCTCCAAATTTTGCTACTTAAAGCAACAAACATATTAATACACATCATTTCTGTGGGTTAGGAATCATGGCACAGTTTAGGTTCTGGCTCAGAGTCTCTCACAAGGCTGCAATCAAGGTCTAGGTAGGGACTACAGCCATCTCAAGGCTCAACGGAGGGAGGATCCAATTCCAAGCTCATTTATATGGCTGTTAGCAGGCCTCAGGGCCTCAATAGTTCTTGGGCAGAGACATCGATTGTCACATGGATAGCTCATATCATGGCAACTGGCTCTCCTTAGCGCATCTATAAGAATGCACAACACAGCTTTTTGTCACTTGATCTCAGAAGTGACATCCCATCCCTTCTCACATATTTTAATTTTTAGTAGCAAGTCACTAACTCTAGCCCACACTATGGGACAGATTATACAGGGAGTGAATACACAAGGAAAATGGGGATCATAGGGGACAATTTTAGAGGGTGCCTACCATAACATCATCAGACCTTCTTTCCAT
Organism: Homo sapiens; assembly: GCF_000001405.40. NCBI lineage: Eukaryota > Metazoa > Chordata > Mammalia > Primates > Hominidae > Homo > Homo sapiens. The sequence goes on from NC_000023.11 coordinate 103,471,272, forward strand.
ATTGGCTACTGGGAATGCTTTATATATCATGAGAATTAGCTCCATATAATTTGTACATATTTACTCTAACCTACTGAGACAAGCTTTAATGATTTATTTTGTCATATACAGTGTTTTAAAATTTTCAATATTATAATTTAATATACAGATCATTATATAAATAAATTAAGCAATGACCAGGGCAGCATTGATTGTTATTGTCCAGGGAGATTAGAGCATTCAGATTCCTGGAGGCTTCAGAACACATGAAAAGCTTTAGTGAAATTCCAGACTCCACTCCTGAGGAGACAATAACCAAAGCAGTTTCTCTGGTTTACACAACCTCTCTTAATTTCCTATAACTTGATCTAAACTATGCATTTAATAATAGGTTACTTGAATAAATGTTAAGATTAAAGGAGATACAACTTAGAGTACATCTTCTTTATAATTAGTTTTGTCAACATTAGTTTCCTACCCTCCAGATCTTTGTCCCAGAGGAAGCACCTATTATTCTGAATAAGCCTGTCTGCCATCTTAAATGCCAGTCAATTCACATGATCCACATACCAAGGTCTCTTGGCCCCAAGCAGAGGATTTCACTTCCACCATCATCAACCTCATCATCATCACCAAAGGGGTTGTTGAGTGAACAGGCATGGGGATTGTACAATGACCAGTCCCTAACCCTTGGTGGGGCATCATATACAGAAGAGGTTGTTGGGTGCTATACTTTGAATGTCCCCTCCAATTGAAATATAACAGCCATTGTAACAGTATTAAGAAGAGGTGACTTTAAGCAGTGATTAGCCCATAAGGGATCCACCCTTATGAGTGGATTAATGCTGTTATTGTGGGAGTGGGCTAGTTATCATGAGAGTGGGCTCCTAAACTACTGAATGAGTTCAGTCCTACTTCCTCTTTCTGTCTCATGTGCTCACTTGCCCTTCTGCCAAGTTATGATGTAGCATGAAGGCCCTTGCCAGATGCTGGAGCCATGCTTTTGGACTTCCCAGTCTCCAGAACTGTGAGAAATAAATTTTATTTATTTATAAATTACCCAGTCAGTACTATTCTGTTATAACAGCAGAAAATGGACTAACAGAAAATTGGTACCGAGACATGGGCTGTGGCTATAACAAATACCTGAAAATGTGGAAGCAGCTTTGGAGCTAGGTAGTGATGGGTAGAGACTGGAAGAATTTGAATGAACAGGCTAGAAAAAGCCTAGACTGCCATAAATGGAGCTATAATGGCAATTCTGGTGAGGACTCAGAAGAGCAGAGCTGTAGGAAAAGTCTGAATCTTCTTAGATAGTATTTAAGCCTTAAAGTACTTCAAGGGATGGTGACCAGAATGTTGGTAGAAATATGGACAGTAAAGGCCATTCTGATAAAGTCTCAGACAGAAATGATGAACAGCCTGGGCACAGTGGCTGATGCCTGTAATCCCAGCACTTTGGGAGGCTGAGGCGGCTGGATCACCTGAGGTCAGGAGTTCGAGACCAGCCTGGCCAACATGGTGAAACCCTGTGTCTACTAAAAATAAAAAACAATTAGCCAGGCATGGTGGCAGGTGCCTGTAATCCCAGCTACTTAGAAGGCTGAGGCAGGAGAATCGCTTGAACCCAGGAGGCAGAGGTTGCAGTGAGCCAGGATCGCGCCATTGCACTCCAGCCTGGGCAACAAACTGCATTAAAAAAAGAAAGAAAGAAAAGAAATGAGGAACAATGTAGGAAACTGGTGTAAAGGCCATCCTGTTATAAAGTAGCAAAGACCTTGGCTGAATTTTGTCCATGTTCTAGGGCTTTATGGAATGCAGAACTTAAGAGTGATGAAGTAGGGTATCTGGTGGAAGAAATCTCTAAGCATCAAAGTATTCAGGCTGCCACACAGCTACTTTTAACCACATACAGTGAGATGTGAGAAGAAATAAGTGACTTAAAGTATGATTTGTAATTAAAAGAGAAGCAGAGCAAAAAAAATTAGAAAAATTTACAGCCTGGCCATGTAGAATGAAAAGGGTGTTCAGGAGAGAATACTAAGGGTGTGGCCAAGCAACTATTTGCTAAAGAGGTTACCATGGATGGAAGGGAGCCAGATGCTATTCATCAAGACAATGAGAAAAAGTCCCCCAAAGTATTTCAGAGATCTTTGAGGCTGCCCCTCTTGTCACAGACCCAGAGCTATAGGGGGACCAGCCCAGGATGCCTTCCATGGGCTTGCTGCAAAGAGACACTTGGGTCTCTTCTTCCCACATTTCAGGACAGTGCTCCTCAGCCACCCCAGTTGCTGTGGCCCAAGTGACCGCAGGTGTGGCTCAATCTGCAGCTTCAGAAGATACAAGCTGTAAACATTAGTGGTATCCATATGCTGCTAATTCTAAAGGCATACAGAGTGCAAGAGCTGTGAGGGCATGACTTCCTCCTCCTAGATTTGAAAGGATGTCTCAGACAGCCTGGAGATCCAGGCAGAGACTTGCAGGGATGGAGCTACCACAAAGAGCCCCTACTAGGGCAATACCTAGTGAGCTGTTGAGTATGGCCATCTCAGAGACCCCGAAACTATAGAGTTACCAGTGTGCAACTCCAGCCTCAGAAAGCTGCAGGCATGAGACTCCAATTTGTGAGAGCTGGTGAGTAGACTGAGTACAGCAAACCCATAGAGGCCGGACTGCCTATGGCTTTGAGGGCCCAGTTCCCATCCCAGTGAGCCCAGTATTCAGGACATGGAGTCAAAAGAGAATGATTCTCTAGCTTTAAGACTTAATGGGCCTTGCACAGTGGCTCACATCTGTAATCCCAGCACTTTGGGAGGCCAAGGCGGGCGGACTGCTTGAGCTCAGGAGTTTGAGACCAGCCTGGGCAATATGGTGAAACCCCGTCTCTACAAAACATACAAAAATTAGCTGGGCATGGTGATGCACATCTGTGGTCTCAGCTACTCGGGAAGCTAAGGAAGGAGGATTGCTTGAGCCCTAGAGGCAAAGGTTGCAGTAAGCCAAGATCATGCTGTGGCACTCCAGCCTGGGTGACAAAATGGGAAACTCTGTCAAAAAAACAACAACAAAAAAAGACTTAATGTTTTTGGCCCTGTTGGGTTTTGGACTATGCTTGAGGCCTGTTACTCCTTTGTTTTTGCCTGTGTCTCCCTTTTAGAATGGGAATGTTTACTCTACACCTGTGTCACTATTGTATTTTGGGAGTAGACAGCTTGTTTTGATTCACAAGCTCACAGCTGGAAGGAATTTGCCTTAGGATGAATTGGGTTTTGAGTCTCAATCATAACTGATTTAGATGAGACTCTGGATCTTGGACTTTTGAGTTGATGCTAGAATGAATTAAGACTTTAGGAGCTACTGAGCTGGAATGAATGTATTTTGTACATCAGGAAGAAATAGCCATCAGTGGCTAGTGCCTACCATATTGGGCAGCAGCAGCTCTACATATTTTTTTCTTTGCTTTTTATTCACTTAACAGTATGTATTTTGGAGATCACTACATAATAGAGTGGGAGTTCTCATTGCTTGTTATATCTGCATTATACTCTAGGAGTAGATGTATCTTAGGTTACTCGATCAGTCCCTTATTGGTGGACATCTGTCACATTTTGAGTCTTCTGCTGTTACAATTTGTTCTGCCAAGAATGAACCTTGTGCTCCTGCCTTTTTGTCTTTTTGAATTGAATCTTGGGGTTACATTCTTGTAGGTTCAAAGAGAAAATACCTGTGCGCTGTGAAATAAATTTTAAACAGAGAGCATCTGGAAATGTAGCAGCAAGAAGTGAATGTTGGTCCTATCTCATCATTTCTTTTATTCCACATACTTTCTGCTCTCTTATTTTCTTTCTAGTGTGACATGCATAAAGGAATTTCTTATTGAGCCCCAGGAAGAAGAAACACTACATAAGAGCAAATAATAAAATCGGTCAGATAGACAGAAGATGGGAGTCATCAAACCTGTATCCCTCTTGCCAGACCTATCAACTGACCATACGTCATTCAGTGAGTCCTTTCCCTTTCTTGGTCTAAGTCCTAACACAGAAAGACACTCAATATAGAAACAGTGGATAGGGAACCCTTAAATCATCTGAAACTTCATGTTTACTGACTTTAAACTAGTTGCCCTCCAGAGCAAAGGACTATTATCTTGTGATGATGTGGTTTTCACATACATGGCACACTCCCACTGGCACACCTAGTGTTGTCCACAATTCTCAGCTGTATAGCTATGAATAACTCCACCCCTTTCTCTCCCACTCAGAAAATTATTTCATAATTCAAGAGAGTGAGAGAGTTTTTATAGGTACAACACTGATTCATCTATAACATAAACAATCCTCAAGCTTCAGTAAAGTATTACAAGTAACAAGTTACTTATAATACACACAATGATTGTGACACATTAGCTTGTCATGGCACCATGAATAAGAGGCTCTCATGTAGAATGGCAGCCATTGCAAGAATGTCTTGACAACAGCTCTCATTGGAAGCCAAAAATACTGTACATCCAACCGTCTTGAGCTATTGCTACTATTAGAAATAAAAATAATATATGGCATTAATTAAGTGATTACTCTGTGCCAGGCCCTGTGTTATGTTACATGTTTTATCTTAATTAATACTTTCTTTGTATGTGTCCACCATTTTAATCTTTTTTGTAGAAAGGAAACTGAGGCTTAGAGGGTGTAAGTAATTGCTTAAGATGTAGTAAGTGACAAAACCAAACACAAATACAAGGCTGTCTAATGTCAAAGGATGTTCTTTTAACCAATGCTTTCCTTTACTAGAGGAAATTTCTCCAAATATTTGAGAATTATTTACCTATAAAGTCTTCTATATGCAAAGTAACCTCCATTTCTCTCCAGACTCCAAACTGCCCTTCTAGTGGCACCACTATTTTGGAGTTATTGTGTATTTGTCCAGAAAAAAACCTTTTCATGTAAAACCTGTATGTGTATGTGTTTATGTACTTATAAAATATTAATAATAATATTTTTTAAAAGAAACGGTGGACTGGGGTGTGGGCTTTGGGATTACAAAAACTTGGATTTGACCCTGGGAACCATTAACTGCTGTTTGTGTAATTTAGAGCAAGTAACTTATCTACCATATGTCCTATAATTGTTGTCATCTTATATTGTCATTTATTATTATTACTATTTGTGCTATCCATCCAAAGGCTGGATGATAGGAGTGGAGATTATACTGTCTGGTATTACAATGTTCCTCAAACCTGTAATTTTATAACTGTTGGGTAGCATGCAAATTAAAGGAAGTCTATAGAAAGCTCTTGAGTACACCCAGGCATATAACATTATTTAATATGCTGCAGGTATGGCATTTCCATTCCAATGCATTGTTCAAGAATTGGGGCTGGGTCAACTGGAAAGAGTAAGATGTTCGATCTTATACCTTGTCATTTAATCAGAACACTTCATCACTGTGTTAGTATTTAAGATAAAAGCAAAAGATATAAAAAAAGACAATAAACTGCACATATGGTTATAGTAGTTACATGAATTGTATATATAATTTGCAGTACATGTGTATATATGCACGAAAAAATAACCACTGGAATGACATAACACAATCTTAATTTCAATCATGATAGAGTTACTGGGTATTGATATTTTTAACCTCTGTACTTGGCTCAATATTAAACATTTGCTGAGTATGGATTATATTTATGATTAAAAACTGTAATCCCTTAAACCTCCGCTACTTATGAAATATTTTAGAGGAAATGTATAGAGAGCTATAAAGATAATCCATGTTAGGAAAAAAGTTTACTCCTCCCTGATTGTGTCCCTTTCTTTCTTCCCTAGAGATAATCATATCCACAGTGAGATAATTATAATTCCCCTATACTACTTTTTTCTTTTACTCCATATGAGAACTCCCTAAACAAAATGTAGTATTGTTTTGCATTTTTTCACTCTCTGCACACACACACACACACACACACACACACACACACACACACCCCTAATCCTTACATTCAAGGAAGCATTATAAGGAGTTTGTTGGGAGACCTTCCTCAAGTCCAAGCATGGTATTTGGTGCATCATCCACAATGCCAGTATTTGCTTTTTTCCCATCCCAACACTTTGATCTTTAACAAGGATGTTATTGCTTAGCTCATTCATTTCTGCTTTTGCCCTTAACTATTTTTTTCCATCTGCATTATTTTATTTACTTTGTGGGTTTTTAAATCAGGATTTTAAAATTGAATATTTAATTTTCTTTTTTATTCATGTAGATATTTAATGCTTTATAATATCTTCTGACAGCTACTCTAGCTAGATTTTGATATGTTGCTTTCATCATTATCCTCATCAAATTCTGCAATTTTAATCTATTCTCATTGGGCCCAAGATTTTGTTAACAGCCTCAGATAGAATCCATTTTCATGAATGTTCCATGCTCATTTGAAAAGCATGTGTATTGCTTAATATCAGGCTTCATAGTTCACTGTGGCTATTTATAAGCTCTACTCTTGGGACTTGGTTGTTTAGGTCTTCTCTATAATTATTAATTTTTTTCTCCACTTGAACATTTTTGAATTCAGGGAAGTATTGTGTGCTTTGGTATATAAGTATTAGTATCTCACATTTTCCTTGTGAATTGTAGCCTTTAGCATTATCAACTGTGCCTTTTTACCTCTTTAAATCCATTTTGGTCTCAATTCTACTCTCTCAAATATCAAGATTATAACTCCTGCTTTCTTGATATGGTCAATTGCTTGGTATATATTTACTTATTTTTAAACTGTTAACCTACCTGAATTCATTTGTTTAAGGTATATCTCATGAAAAAGCATAATTTTGGATTTTGCTTCAATGGGAAATTTACAAATACTTTAATAGGTGAATTAAGTCCATTTACCTTTATTCTTGTTGTTCCTGGAACCAAGCCAGGTCCGGCTGCATTTTCTCGAGGCCCAATAACAAGAAGCAGACAAACTAGGAAAGAAGAGAATTTATTACTGTAACTGGATACAGGGAGGAGGCCAGAGATAATTCCACCAGACCAACTCAAGGTGTTAAATTTTCTTAAGGCTTATATAGGTTGGGGTTATGTCCCTACGTGCAGTACGGCATTCGCCTAAGTCTATTGGTAACTAATTTTGTTTCAACTAGAAGGTCAGAGGCAAAAAAATCCTTGCTAAGTCTGATTAAAAGGGCCCCAGTACCTTCAAGGACTGTCTACTGTCGTACCAGAGTGATTGTTTCTATCTTGTCTCCTTTACAGCTTGGTCCAGAGAGCTGCCTTAGACTCTCTAATGAATCTGTTCAAACAGCTGCCTCTGTTACCTTGACTTCTCTCAGATTTTGTCGACCCGAGATGGGTCCTATTGTAAAACTGTGTCTATTATTTTGGCTTGCTCCAGCAAGGGAGAAGCCCACACAAGGCTCCTACTGACCATATGTGTCATTTCTAGCTTTGATGTCTGGGCAACAATTTCCCTAGGTTTAACTATTTGCTCAATGTTAAGGCAGCGCTGTGGAAATTTGTCTGTGTAACTGGGGTGCTATGCAGGCCTGTCTGTGTGACTGTCATGCAGGCCTGCCTATGTGATTGTCAGGGAGAATTGACTTGCCACAATATGATCAAAGTCTTTGGTCATTTAAGTTCAGTTCTGTAGTATTGTCTATAAATATAAGGAAATTATATAGCCTTTCACTAGGTCATGTGTTTGATTTCCTCTTCCTATTTATTTAGTAGTTAGCATGGTTATTGTTTTGTTTCAGTGGTTACTTTTATATTAAATCCTTAACACTACATCCTTGATATGGAATGAAGTCTTACTAATGAATAGAGAAAATAATATTAACAGATAATTCACATTAAAAAACAATTGTATACCCATTAAATTTTCAAAACTATGCCAGATTACAATAACTAAAGGACTGAAAACTAATATCCTAGGCTACCATGCTGAGTGAGAAAGAAAAATTGCTGAAACATACATATAATCTGATAACTTTGGGAAATAATATATATAAATGAGTATTTTGTGTAATACCCCATTCCTGCCTCTTGATAGCTGAATATGACCCTCTAGCAGTGAGTTACCCTTATTGAACCTGACCTTGCTAACCTATAAAATGGGCATAATGACATTTACTTCAGAGAGCCAAGAGGAGGAATGAGCAAACGTAAATAAAGCACATGGTACCTAATACTTCAACAAATATATGTATAATCTCCCTTATGTTCTCCCTCCCACAAGAGATGACTTAAACATCAACATCTCAAAGAGATCAATGGATTTGAACCATCAGAAAAAGAAATGCATACATATTTATATGACGTATAAGCTTTGGTGCTATTTCTTTCTAAGATGAGATACTGAGGATGGTGGAAATAAGGAAGCAAATTATAGCCTCATTACTTTTTATTTGTTGTGTTCTTCTCTTCTTTTTAAACTTCTATTTGGATGCTGAAATAGCAGCTTCCCACTGTGGGCCAGAAAGGAGACAGCACAGAATAACAGAACATGAAGATGGGTCTGCTGTGCAATGGACTGAAATCAGGAGACCTTGGCCCCCAATACCAGATCTGTCCTCGTGTACAGGACCATGGGGAGTCACTTCCCCTGTGTTGGTCTCTGTCCTTACACAGAAAAAGATTGTATACCTAATGGTTAAGGACGTGGGCATTGGCATCAGTAAAGTGAGGAGAAAATTGGGGCACATTTAATTACTGGTTTTATGATGTTTAGGAAATGTTGAGTCTCCAGATAAATGAAACTCATACATTAAATATGACTGCGTAGAGAATAAAACGGGAGGAACTGCACAAAAAAGGATACATTCTTCAAAATTAATGAGCGGTGGGTCGGTACTTAATTCTTTATCTCTTGACTTAACTATGTTTTCCACAATTTCTAAATTAGTATGGTTCTTTTTAAAAGTCAGAAGTAAGCTTCATTGAAACAGTTGTTATGAAATATTTCAGAAATACAAAAATTATAGAATGTAAGAGACATCCCTGTTCTCATGTTGACATACCTAATATTATATATGCAGTTGAAACTCACTTTGAAGACTTCTCTGATTGCAAGCCTCCTTCTTTCTCAGAGGTAACCACTATGCAGAATTCGGGTTTTAGATTTTAAAGACATTTCCCTATACTTTTATTACATATGCATATATCTGTAAGTGAGAATGGTATTGTTTTGTAGCATGTTTTTTCTATAGATGCCTGGCTACCTCATGGAAAAAAAGGAAAAAAAATGAAGAAACATGAGGAGAACAAACACACAATCACATTTCAACAGTGGGAGCTGCATGGCCTCCTTGTCATGTGTACTCTTGCAGACTTACTAAAACAGACATATCCATTTTCTCAGTTTATACGCTATAGGGAGCACAAACAACCTGTAGATACTGTTTTCAAATGCTTTTTCCCAGCGTGTTCAAAGTCTTAGAGTTTCTCTGGAGCTAACTGGCCTAAAACAATGTCTCAGTGTTTCCTGATATGAAACAACTTCCCATTTGTCTGGGCCAAATTATCTGTCTTTCATGCTCACTGTAACCCTTCAAGGCCTAATCCAGAACCTAATCTGGGCTATGCTGGTAAAAGATATGCCAGTCTACCACCCAAATCCCTTATTGGCTTAGGGGTGAATCTTATTTAGAACTTGATCTGATTTTGTGTTAGAATTGTTGGGTTTGTGTATATTTTCCTTCCTTTTCTTCTAATATTTTTAATTGCACAGGGAAGGTATTTCGCAAGTGTTTTAATTCACATGTGCTGATTGTTCCTGCAGTTCTTTGCTGAGTGAGACTGTGACTCAACTTTTACCCCAAACCCAGCTGTGTTAGGATCCTTCCTCTCTGGAAGCTGTGGTGCTGACCCCTGGGTGGTTTCATGCAGTCCCTCCCTCTTTCCCACCCCTGTGGCAGTCACTGCTTGGCTAACTAGGTGGGTAAACAGAGGAGCCTACTCTCCATTCAAGGGGCTTTCTTTGGGAGAGTGCAGAGAGAAGCATGCTGTGAAACTACTTTCATCTTGTGACCATCACTGAAATCCTGGAGAGTGGATTTCTGTGGATACTGACTGCTAAATGTAAGCTTCATTTGAGAGACATGTTGGCCCTTCTCCTAGGTGTCTGTAATTTCCCTGAAGCTGCCCAATTGGGGTTACCATGTGGATAGATTCATACATTAGTTCTGGGACCACCCTACTACTTAATTCCCTTGGCTTAGAGGTGTTCCCCATTCCAAAGCTGAACCGTCTTATGGGGTAGGGCTGGTGATATTTATTTTTTCCGATTATTATTTTCACCTCCAAAACCAAGACACTTTTGTTGTAGATAAAAATGGAAAAGTGAGGAAAGCAAAAAAAAAAAAAAATTAAAAACTAGTAAAAGTCTACTACTTATGGAGAAGCACTGTTAACAGTTGAATATATATACAGTCACGTGTCACTTAATGATGGGGATACATTTTGAGAAATGTGTTGTTAAATTGTTTCAGTGTGGTAATATCATGGAGTGCAGTTATACAAACCTAGCCTTCTACATACTTAGGCTAGATGGTACAGCCTGTTGCTCCCAGGCTACAAACCTGTACAGCATGTTACTATACTGAATACTGTAGACAATTATAACAAAATGGTCAGTATTTGTGTATCTAAACATATCTAAGCAATAATAAACAGTAAAATTATGGTATAAAATATACAAAATGGGGCCAGGTGCAGTGGCTCACACCTGTAATCCCAGCACTTTGGGAGGCCGAGGCAGGTGGATCACATGAGGCCAGGAGTTCGAGACCAGCCTGGCCAACACGGTGAAATGCTGACTCCACTAAAAATACAAAAACTAGCTGGGCATGGTGGCGGGTGCCTGTAATCCTGGCTACTTAGGAGGCTGAGGCATGAGAATCACTTGAGCCAGGGAGATGGAGGTTACAGTGAGCCCAGATCGTGCTACTGTACTCCAGCCTGGGCGAAAGAGTGAGACCCTGTCTCAAAAAAAAAAAAGAAAAGAAAAAGAAAAGAAAGAAAAGATACAAAATGGCACACCTATATAGGGCACTTACCATGAATGGAGCTTGCAGGACTGGAAGTTGCTCTGGGTGAGTGAGTAGTGAATGAAAGTGAAAGTCTAGGACATTACCGTACACTCCTATAGACTATAAACACTGTACAGTTAGGCTATACTAAATTTAATAATAAATTCAATACTAAGTTTACTGTAACCTTTTTACTTTATAATTTTTTAATTTTTTTAACTTTTTGACTCTTTGGTAATAACACTTTGCTTAAAACACAAACACATTGTAGAGCTATAAAAAATATTTTCTCTCCTTTTTTTTTTTTTGAGACAGTGTCTTGCTCTGTCGCCCAGACCGGAGTGCAGTGGCCTGATCTTGGCTCACAACAGCCTCCACCTGCCAGGCTCAAGTGATCCTCCTGCTTCAGCCTCCTGAGTATCTGGAACTACAGGCATGCACCACCACACTCTGCTAGTTTGTTTATTTATCTATTTATGTAGAGACTAGGTCTCATTATATTGCCCAAGCTGGTCTCAAATTCCTAGGCTCAATGGATCCTCCCACCTCGGCCTCCCAAAATTCTGGGATTACAGGCATGAGCCACCGTGCCTGGCCATTTTCTTTCTTTATATCTTTATTCTATATGCTTTTTGCTATTAATTTTTTTAAAAACATTTTTTGTTAGAAACTAAGACACAAACACACATATGAGCCTAGGCCTACATGGGGTCAGGTACACGGGGTCAGGATCATCAATATCACTATCTTCCACCTCCACATCTTGTCTCACCAGAAGGTCTTTGGGGGCAAAGTAACAGGCATGGGGCTGTCATCTCCTATTGATAGCAATGCCTTCTTGAATACCTCCTGAAGGACCTGCCTGAGACTGTTTTACAGTTAACCTTTTTTAATATGTAGAAGAGTATGTTCTAAAGTAATGATAAAATGTATAGTACAATAAACACATAAACCAGCAACATAGTCATTTATTATCATTATCAAGTATTATGTATTGTACACAATTGTATGTGCTATACTTTTATACAACTGGCAGCATAGTAGGTTTGTTTACATGGGCATCACCAGAAACATGAGGAATGCATTGAGCTACGAATGTTACAACAAGAATTTACATGCAACAAGAAGTTTTCAGCTCCATTATAATCTTGGACTGCTATTGAATATGTGGTCCTTCATCAAGTGAAATGTTGTTATGTAGTGTGTGACTATATATTTTTTTCATAAATTCTATTATGCAAATATAACCATGCATATTTAGGAATGCCGTGAGATGATATCCTACTTAGAGCTGTGCAAATTGCTTTTTTTTTAACAGACATCGTAATATGAATGGCAATCTATGCCAATCAATAAAAATTCACATAATAATAAAAATGGCAATACGTTAACACTGATTTTTTAAAAGGTTAATATTTATTATTGACATCCTCAGTTCCTGACACTGTTGTTAAGAGCTAAACCTATACTTATTTAATCCTCAGCATCATCTGTAAGGAGGAGCTATTGTTGCCTGCGTTTAAACATAAGGGAACTGAGGCACAGTGAAGGCAGGGCTAGCAAGTGTCGAGACTTAGATTTGAACATTGGCTGTGTGGCTCTCAAGCCCCTACATCTAACCAGTATGAGCAGCTGCTTTTCATCCGATAAGATCAGGGCACAGCAGCACAACAAAACAAATTAAGGTTTCCTGTTTTTTCTCGGTTAAGCAGGCAGACCCTTAAATTTTTTTTTTTTTTTTTTTTTTTTTTTTTTTTTTGGTAGATGGAGTTTTACACTTGTTGCCCAGGCTGGATTGCAATGGTGCAATCTTGGCTCACTGCAACCTCTGCCTCCTGGGTCCAAGCAATTCTCCTGCCTCAGCCTCCCAAGTAGCTGGGATTACAAGCATGCATCACCACGCCCAGCTAATTTTGTATTTTTAGTAGAGACGGGGTTTCACCATGTTGGTCAGGCTGGTCTCGAACTCCTGACCTTAGGTGATCCACCCGCCTCTGCCTCCCAAAGTGCTGGGATTACAGGCATGAGCCACCGCGCCCAGCCGACAATTAAATATTGGTAATATTCTGTGTGGTTTTGAATTTGGGAGAAATATGTTCAGTAATACTGTGGAAATGTCTTATCTCCCTTCCTGCCTTAGGGATGTTCCTGTTCTGAAGTAAATAGCTTTCTTGTGGTTGGGAACACAGAATGGTTATGTTTTTCAGACATTTTAATATTTGTGTAATTGAAAGAGGAATAGTGCTTATTATAGGTAAAAATAGAAGATACAGAGCAGAAAAAATAGCCGGGCATGGTGGCTCACGCCTGTAATCCCAGCACTTTAGGGGACCAACGAGGGCAGATCACATAAGGTCAGGAGTTCGAGACCCGCCTGACCACCTTAGTAAAACCCGTCTCTACTAGAAATACAAAAAAATTAGCCAGGTATGGTGGCAGGCACCTGTAATCCCAGCTACTAAGGAGGCTGAGGCAGGAGAATCACTTGAACCTGGGAGGGGGAGGTTGCAGGGAGCCAAGATCGTGCCATTGCACTCCAGCCTGGGTGACAAGAGTGAAACTCCATCCCAAAAAAAATAAAAGAAAAGAAAAAATAATACCCCAAATCCTACCACCCAAAGATAAGCCCTTGTAATGATTTCACCTACATTATATTCTTCTAGAAGTTTTCTTTTGCAGGTACATGTATAGGTACATATGTAAGTATGCGTGCATTTATATATTTACATACAAAAGATACTTCATCTTACATTTAGTTTTGTAACTTGCTTGCCTCACTGTAATGGGTTGAATTGTGTCTCCTCAAAAATATGCACTAATTCTAACACCCACTATACCTTATTTGGAAATAGGATCTTTGCAAATCTAATTAAGCTAAAGATCTAAAGATGTGATCATCCAATTGCCAGTATCATTATAAAAGAAAGAGGGATATTTGACACAGATAGGGAGAAAGGCCATGTGAAGATGGAGGAAGAGATTGGAACTATAAAGTAGGAACCACCAAAAGATATAAGAGGAAAGGAAGGATTCTCCCCTGAGTCTTCAGAAAGAGTTGGCCCTGTCTAGACCTTGGTTTTGTACTTTTGGCCTTGGTTTTGTACTTTTGAACTCTGAAATAATAAATTTATGTAATTTGTTATGGCAGCCCTAGAAAATTTATACACTCACTAACAACATACCACAAACGGTATTCCTTGTGAATAAACTTTAGTCTATATCCTATTTTTATGACTATAGTGATACTAATGCCAATAAAATATATAAAGAGAAATGAGTAAAATTTCTTATGTACCATATGCATTTATGTATTGAGTCATTAAATTTTCACAGCACCCTTACAAGGTAGAAATTGTGGCTAATCTCTGTTTTATAGATGAAAAACTGATGACAGAGAGAATATGGACTCTGCCTGAGACTGTACAGTTAGGGATTGAGACAGCTTATATTTGTGTCCAGTACATCATGCTCCAGAGCCTGGGAAACTGTGAAGGCTCTGTTGATAGGTGGAAGAAGCAGTCTGCACAAGCATGCGTGTTTTAGGAGATTACTTTTAAAAAGTAATACTCATTATGATAATATATTTACACACACACACACACACAGACTGAACCTGGTGACCAAAAGGTGGATTTTAACCTTGGTGAGATCATGTTTGTTGCCATCCTGGAAACAGACATCATAGTGCAATGGGATAAGGACCATGGGAAGTGAAGAATGTTAACAGAGTGCAGAAAATCCTTTTGGTACTTTGAATTTGAAAGGGAAGAGAGAGACCTAGAGATACAGACAGACATATTTATAGAGAGAAGCATTCTGTGGCTGAATAGGAATGAAGGGTTCAATGAGAGACTTTTTAAAATCTTCAATTCCATGAAACTTGAGCAAGTTTTCAAATTAATGTGAAGAAGCTGTCTTATCTCAGGTTTATCCCTCGAAGCTTTCCATATATTGATTTCCCTTCTCACATTCTTATTTCCACTTTGGAGAACATGAGACCCTTCCAATGGACTAATAGGGGTTTTGAGCTCAATATATATTTACTTGTTAGTAAATGAAAGAATGGACATTGTATGAAAGAAATGCTAGTAACTCTTGGATTTTTGTCCTTCAGGGAGGCAGCAGGTGGCTGAAATCCTGGTGTGATGTGGCTGGATCATGCATGATCTGAGGACTCCTGCACAGGTGACTGCAGGATGAGTACAGAATTTTTCTATAAATATACTAAAATACCAAGTAAGCCAGGAGCAGCCACTAGGCAAACACCAAACCTTGCATTCCTGGCCAAACCTATCACAGAGCTCATCAGGTAAGTTCAAAGACACACCTGTCTTCCCAGCATTGGGAACTGGATTGGGGTCTACTCAGAGGCATGATGTTGACCAGATTTTATGAAACACCCAAGAATGTAGAGAACATTCTGTCTTTAAAACCTTGAATTCAAAACATATCAGAGAGAGATTTACTTCCCTTATATGGATGTCTGTGTTCTCATTAGGAGAGAAACAATGAAAAATGACTTTTCACAATGCCTGCCTTAGCCGTGAGGCTCAGCCAACCCCCACTTCTATGTCTCAGCATTTAAAGGGCAATTGAAGTCCCACTCCATGCTATATACTCTCAAGAGGTTTTCTCATTTACCCTTCAGAACAGCTCTGTAAAGATGGTATGGTCAGTCCCATTTCACAGATGACTAAGCTCAGGCTCACAGAGCCTAAGTCACCCCTCCAGGTAAGTGGCAGGGTTGGAATGAGGTTCTATTCCTCACCCTCCCTAGAGAACCCTGAGCAGCTTCCGTTTTAGAAGATGGGTTTCCAGGGCTTGAGAAATGGTCAGATTCCCCCCTGATATTGTGGCCCCACAGGTCCTCACTCCACAACCCCTCTGGGTGATGAGGAAGACAGAAGAGGTGAAATCCTGCGCTTTGTGCCATGAGATCTGGGTGTAGGGCCACAGGAGTTAGCTAATCCTTGAAGTGGTGAGTGGGCTCAGGCAGAAGCTCAAGTGTTGGCCTTGGGACAGGTGAGCTGGAGAGAAGGAAAGTAACATGCACTGAACCACTGTAAGCAAATGCAATTTACAGCTCATCTCCTTTAATCCTAACAACCATTTAAGATACTCATCATTCTGACCATTATTCAGATCAGTGTGCTGTCTTTAGGGGAGTTTATGTAAGTCAGGGAAACAACCTAGTTGTCCTGTGATCATCAGCTAACTCTGGAATACTCCAAAGTTGTATCATTTTCTCTTGATGTCTCCAGGGCTCTGAATGTTCTAATCTCCCTGCAGGCTGATAGCGCCTGCTCCTCATGGTGTTATTCAACATTTTTTCTTTTTAAATTATGACCTGTATATTTTTGTCACATTATTGACATTTAAAACACTTTCTCAGTAAAAATAAGGCTAAACATTTTTTAACTTAAGGGAGAAAACATTTGCAAACTACATCTCAGATACTGGGTTAGTATCCATGATTTGTGAACCACATTCTGTAACAAAATGACTGGCAGCTGTTTTCAACAGACATTCTCATTAAAATGTACATGAACAATAAACATGTTAAAATATGTCAAAACTGGAAGTACTAATAAGATGCAAATATAAATCTTCAAGAGAATATTATGTGGAAGAAAAAAGTTGCAAAAAAAATTAGTACTGTGATTCACTTTTGGAACAGATTGTGTGTTTGCGTGCACCTCACCTACAGGGACACATCTGGAGAGTATGCACCATTCTGTTGACAACAGACCCTTTTGGGTCAGAGGGTAGGCTTCAGGCCAGTGAGATATGCAGATTCATTTCAATTTATAAATATACTTTTATACATTGTTTGAAATTTTGTATTTAGGGAAAAAAGCATTTCAATAAATACTTTTGAATAGATTGGCAACAGTAATTGTAATGTATTTCATTAATTCGAAAGTACATTCATTGTATTCAATTTTGTATTGAGACAAAGTAGATAAAAATGGAATTGATAATGTCTATGTGTGTGAGTGTGTGTGTGTGTGTGTGTGTGTATCTTCTCTTGCTCTATCACCCAAATAAACATACGTGCAGCTTTACCTTTAATTCAGACAGGGGATGGAACCAATATCAGTTTTAGATATCCCAGAAAATAGTGGATACAGAGAGACAGCTACCATGAGCTGAATAATTCCGGAAGACTCCAGCTGATACCTTCTGGGAGCCAAATTCCCAAACTCCATCCCTCTTTCCCTCTTACCGAGGCCCTTGGCTGACAGAGATGCAATCCTGTCTCTGGGCACCAGATGGCATCGATCTCTTTATTTTTTTTTTTTTAATAAAAAGGAGTATATTTTGTAGAGTAACGAAGGACTTAAAATGGTTTGTTTACCATGATCATAATTCTGTGTGCAAAATTCATATATTTTATTTATTTATATAAATATATTTATGAATTTATACAAACTATATGAATTTTATTTATTTATATACTATATATTATATATCATATATACAATATATTATATTGTATATATAATATATCATATATTGTGTATATATCATATATTGTGTATATAGTATATATTATATATAATATATTATATATTGTATATATAATATATTGTGTGTATGTAATGTGTATTATATATTATATTATATATATTATATATGTTATATATTGTATATATTATATATCATATGTAATATATTACATATATATCGTGTATATATTATATATTGCATATATAATATATGTTATATATAATATGTTATATATAATGTATGTATGTGATATATTACATATTGTATGTATGTGATATATATTGTATGTATGTGGTGTATTATATATTGTATGTAATATATTATATTGTATGTATGTGATATATTATATATTGTGTATATATGATATATATTATATATTGTATATATATATATAATATATATTTTAAAGCAGTTGCATTATGGTGCTCCAAGAATCTCATCGCATTCACTGATTTATCTTTTCCTTCCTCAGGGTAGGTTGAGGTGTCCACACTGTAGAGGGGTCCCTCCCTCCCAGAGAGCAGGCAGTTTGCCCTCCGTTACCCCACTCCTGTACAGGCTTCCCAGACCTTCTCCACCCACTTTCAGTCATCCCCTCTCTGGGACACTGTGGACACAGCCACCCAGACTCAGTTCCACCTCCCTCATCATTTCTTAGTCACCTTACGCCTGCCCCTGTGCTGTCCTATGCCAGCCGGTGGCTCCCAATGTGTGCTAGAGCTACCTGGTGTTTCATAGTATGGATGCCCCCAGAGTATATTTATTTAGTGTTCTTTTGCATCTGTCAGTTTTTTCAGACAGAAAATTTTGAAAATAGGTTCACAAGCTGTGTTTTAAGGGAGGTATGGTATTTCTTTTTTTTTTTTTTAATTTTTTTTTTATTAAAGTTTTAGGGTACATGTGCACAATGTGCAGGTTAGTTACATATGTATACATGTGCCATGCTGGTGCGCTGCACCCACTAACTCGTCATCTAGCATTAGGTATATCTCCCAATGCTATCCCTCCCCCCTCCCCCCACCCCACAACAGTCCCCAGAGTGTGATATTCCCCTTCCTGTGTCCATGTGATCTCACTGTTCAATTCCCACCTTTTTGCTCATTGTATATATTGCTTTGCAGTCTGATAATGGTGATATGTTAGTGCCCCCTCGTGACAGAAGCCTAAACTGCAGCTTGAACATCCGGGAGCAGGAAAGTGGGAGGAAGGGGTTGTGGCCCAAGCCCACCCCACAGAGCTTTCTATAAGTCTGGGTGGAACAGAAGTATATCCAGTGTTCAGGGATACTGATGGCCAAACAGAAAGTCCAGCCTCTTACTATGCTAAATAGAAAGCTATATTTGAGAGGAATAAAAAAAATCATTTTTATTTTTATGCTTTCAGACCTATGGATATATAGCAATAGACCTATACAAGCAAAAATAGATACAGAACTACTTCTGACTTTTGTGGGGTTTTTCTCGTCACCCAGGCTGGAGTGCAGTGGTGCAATCACAGCTCACTGCAACCTCTGCCTCCCAGGCTTGAGCGATCCTCCAGCCACAGCCTCCCAAGTAGCTGGGACTACAGGTGTGAGCCACCACCCCTAACGAATTTTTTTTTTTTTTTTTTGAGACGGAGTCTCACTGTCTCCCAGGCTGGAGTGCAGTGGCGCCATCTCGGTTCACTGCAAGCTCGGTCCCCCGGGTTCACGCCATTCTCCTGCCTCAGCCTCCGGAGTAGCTGGGACTACAGGCGCCTACCACCACGCCCGGCTAATTTTTTGTGTGTGTATTTTTAGTAGAGACAGGGTTTCACCGTGTTCGCCAGGATGGTCTCAATCTCCTGACCTCGTGATCTGCCCGCCTCGGCCTCCCAAAGTGCTGGAATTACAGGCGTGAGCCACCGCGCCCGGCCACCCCTGACTAATTTTTATATTTTTTGTAGAGACAGGATTTCACCATGTTACCCAAACTGGTCTCGAAATCCTGAGCTCAAGGGATCCGCTCACCTCCGTCTTCCAAAGTGCTGGGATTACAGATGTCAGCCACTGCACCCGGCCATACTACTTAGGACTTTTGTAACCTGTGTTTGCCTTTACTATGACCATCTTTCAAATTCAATTTCAATTTTTTGTATAGAGTTGGTGTTTCATCATATGATGCCCTAAACTTTATTTTCCCAGTACTCTAGTGGTGAAAATTTAATTCCTTTTAATATAGTTTCTATTACAGACAATAGTATACTTAACACCAGCTTTTATATATGCAGATATCTTTTAAAGCATTTCTTTATAAGCTCCTGAAGAGTCCTTTCAAAACCCTGGAAATTAGAACATTTTATATTAACATAATGGTTCAAAATACTACTACTAATTTACATTCCTAATGTAACCACAGAACCGTTCAATATGCTTTGACTTTGTAACAAAGTGATGAGTTGTTTTTTAGATGCAGTGGATCCCCAGGTTGCAAGTCATATAACCTGAGCATGCCCAGATGAACCAAGTATGCCTGATTGGTGAACCTGGAACTGGCCAGAACAGAAAATGTCAACCACATGTGGAATCTAAGTATTCAGATTGAGAAATGAGGACCAAAATGAGAAGTGAGTGGTTCCCTGTTTTTTTCCCAGTACAAACTTAAAAGCCAAGGACTTGGCACCACTTCTTTGCATGATCCAATCAGATCATGCCTGGTTGCATTTCCCTATGTCCCCCATAGTTACTCTCTGCCTTCAGACCCCAGCTCGAGGAAACAGATTTGAGTGTTGCTGGTCCTGTCTCCTTGCTGGTCGACCTTGCAATAAAGCTTTTTCTTTCCTCAAAAGCTAGTGCCATAGTATTGGCTTCTATGTGCATTGGTGACCAAGCCCATTGCTCAGTAACACTAACATCACAGTATGAAAGTGCCTGTTTCTACACACATTGAAATAATGGGCATGGTAGCTAATCTGATAGGCAAAAAATTCTCTCTCATCATTGTCTTCATTGTAACTCATTTTATTGCTTACCTACAATTTCATGCTGTGGATGTAACATAATTTTCAGAACTCCATGTTATTCAGAGTGTTCTGATACTCCCTAATGTCAACACTGTGTCGATGGCATCTTTTCAAAGTATGTGCTCCGCTGAAGGGCACAGTTCCGGGCACAGTTCCTGTGGCTGTTTGGACTGGTGAGCCAAATGTGTCCTCTTGGAACTCACCAAACTGTCATAGAAGAATACTAGTATTGTGATAAAAAGAGCCTGGTCCATGTATAAATGTGTGTGTGTGTGTGTGTGTGATTGTGTATGTGCTGGCGTGATTGTGTGTGTGATGACAACCACATTTTCCTCTGCTTCCTTCTTTTCCTTCATGGCTTTGCATCTCATTTGGTCTCCCTTCCTAAATTCAGGCTGAGAACAAAAGTTCTCTGAAAAGGAATTTAGAGGAAAGAGACTTTATTCCAGTGAATAGTTTGCAAATCGGGGAGATGTAGCCTTCAGTATAAAATGAAGGTGTGTTCCAGAGGACAAAGGGAAGGTTTGTCTTTTATGAAGAAAATTCTCACCCAGGTTCCCACTCAGGTCAACTTATGCAAATGAAGGATTCCAACTTGCTTAGTTCTGATTGGTTGACATAGGTGAAAGCTTATTGGTTGGTTCAAGCACCATAAAAAGGAACAGGCAGCTATGAAAGTCCCAAAGTTAAGCAGACTTTCAGGTTTTCTGGGAACTCGAAGTCATGTGTGACCTCTACTCAGCAAATGGCCACTTGGCTCTAATTTGAATTTAGGCCCAGTTAAACACCCAGGATTTATCTTGAAGGACTGGTTCTTTCAGGCTTCACAAGGCCCAGAAGTAAAGGAAGGGAATTATCAGAATAGCAGTTCTTTTTACCATATCCTTATCCACATCCTTCCTTACATTCTGAAGATAAACTTGTTCAAGGGAAATTGTTTGTGCAAACAGTGTGTCCATATGTAGGTTTTTGATAAATATTGCCACACTGACACTCATCAAGGTAGTGCTATTTAGACTCCCTAAGTGAAGTCATGCAAGAAAACACACAGGGGAGTGAAGAAAGTAATAGTAATGACATCCTGTTAGACAGTAAATGCCCTATACTTTGTTGTAGACCTACTCTCAAGCCATTGCCACAGTTGGAACATGTGGAAGTGATCAGATGAAAATCAAACTTTACACCCGAGTAAAACCCGAAGTAACATGTGGGATAGTGTTAGGAGGGGAAAATCCTTGGAGGAACATATGACAAAGAGTCAGCAGGGCTGGGATACAGCTACCGTTTTACATGCATTCACATTTATATAAAAGATGTACATCACAGCCTTTGTATGAAAAAGTTTGGTCACTACTGTGGTACAACAGAAGACCAGGGCAATATCATATTTTTAAACGGCTTTCTTGTAGTATAATTTATGGACAATAAAATGCATGCTTTTGAAGATAGAATTTTGTGATTTTTAGTAAATGTATAGAGTTGTGCAATGATCTTCATAATTGAGGGTTTTAAAATCTTTTATTTTTAATTTTTGTGGGTACATAATAGGCATATATATTTTTGGGGATACATGAGATTTTGGTACAGGTAGGGAATGTGTAATAATCACATCATTAAAAATTAGGTATCCATCCCCTCAAGCATTTATCCTTTGTGTTACAAACAATTCAATTATACTCTTTTAGTTATTTTGAAATGCACACTTAAATTATTATTGACTATTGTCCCCCTGTTGTGCTACCAAGTACTAGGTCTTATTCATTCTTTCTAATTTTTTTATACTCATTAACCATATGCACCTCCCCTCCAGCCTGCCACCATCCTTCCCAGCCTCTAGTAACCATCCTTCTAGTCTCTACCTCCATGAGTTCAATTGCGTTCATTTTTATCTCCCACAAATAAGTGAGAACATGCAATGTTTGTCTTTCTGTGCCTGGCTTATTTTACTTAACATAATGACTTCCAGTTCCATCCATGTTTTTGCAAATGACTGAATCACATTCTTCTTGATGGCTGACTAGTACTCCGTTGTGTATGTGTACCACATTTTCTTTATCCATTCATCTCTTGATGGACACTTAAGTTGCTTCCAAATGTTAGCTATAGTGAACAGTGCTGCAACAAACATGGGAGTGCAGATGTCTCTTTAATATACTGATTTCCTTTCTTTTGGGTATATACCCAGCAGTGGGATTGCGGGTCATATGGAAGTTCAATTTTTAGTTTTTTTGAGGAACCTTCAAAATGTTCTACATAGTGGTTTTACTAACTTACATTCCTACCAACAGTGTACAAGGTTTCCCTTTTCTCCACATCCTTGCCAGCATTTGTTATTGCCTGTCTTTTGGATATAAGCCATTTTAACTGGGGTGAGATGATATCTTGTTGTAGTTTGGATTGGCATTTCTCTGATGATCAATGAAGTTGAGCACCTTTTCATATGCCTGTCTGCCATTTGTATGTCTTCTTTAGAGAAATGTCTATTCAAATCTTTTGCCCACCTTTTAATCAGTTTAGTTATTTTTGCTATAGAGTTGTTTGAGCTCATTATATATTCTGGTTATTAATCCCTTGTCAAATGGGTAGTCTGCAAATATTTTCTCCCATTCTGTGGGTTGTCTCTTCACTTTGTTGATTGTTTCCTTTGCTGTGCAAAAGCTTTTTAACTTGATGTGATTCCATTTGTCCGTTTTTGCTTTGGTTGCCTGTGTTGGGGTATTACTCTAGAAATCTTTGCCCAGACCAATGTCCTGGAGAGTTTCCCCAAAGTCTTGTAGTTTCATAGTTTGAAGTCTTAGATTTAAGCCTTTAACTGATATTGATTTAATTTTTGTATATGGCAAGAAATAGAGGGTCTATTTTCATTCTTCTGCGTATGGATTTCCAGATTTCCCAGCACCACTTATTGAAGAGACTGTCTTTTCCTCAGTATAGGTTCTTTGTTGAAAATGGGTTCACTGTAGGTGTGTGGATTTGTTTCTGGGTTCTTTATTCTGTTCCACTGGTCTATGTGTCTGTTTTTATGCCAGTACCATGCTGTTTTGGTGATATAGCTCTGTAGTATAATTTGAAGTGAGGTATTGTGATTCCTCCAGTTTTGTTCTTTTTGCTCAAGATAGCTTTGGGAATTCTGGGTCTTTTGTGATTCTATATGAATTTTAGGATTGTTCTGTTTCTGTGGAGAATGTCATTGGTATTTTGATAGGGATTGTATTAAATCTGTAGATTGCTTTGAGTAGAATGGACATTTTAACAATATTGATTCTTCCAATCAATGAACATGAAATACTTTTCCATTTTTTGGCGTCATCTTCAATTTCTGTCATCAGTGTTTTATAGCTTTCATTATAGAGGCCTTTCACTTCTTTGGTTAATTCCTGTGTATTTAATTTTATTTATGGCTATTGTAAATGGGATTACTTTTAAATTTATTTTTTAGATTGTTCACTCTTGGCTGGCATATAGAAACACTACTGATTTTTGTATGTTGATTTTGTATCTTGCAACTATACTGAATTTGTTTATGAGTTCTAATCGTTTTTTGATGGAGTCTAGGTTTTTCCAAATATAAGATCATGTCATCTGCAAACAAGGATAATTTGACTTCTTCTTTTCCAGTTTGGATGCCCTTTATTTCTTTCTCTTGTCTGATTGCTGTAGCTGGGACTTCATCGTTGAGTTTTAGACATTTTCATCACCCTAAGATTACCCATCCTGCTTGAATGCAGTTAATCCCTGTGCCCACCCCCAGCCCTAGGCAATCACAGATATGCTTTGTTTCTCTGTGGATTTGCTTGTTTTTGACATTTTATATAAGTGAAATCAAACAATATTTGGTCTTTTGCATCTGGCTTCTTTCACTTTACATAATGTTTTCAAAATCTGTGTTGCAGCATATATCAGTTCCTCATCCATATTTATTGCTGAATATACCACATTTTATCCATGTATCAATTGATGAGCATTTGGGTTGTTTCCACTCTTTGGCTATTTTGAATGATGATCCTGTATACATTCAGGTACAAGTTTTTATGTAGGCATATTTCTTTTGGCTATGTACCTAGGGGTGGAATTGCTGTGTCATATGGTAACTCCCTGTTAACCATTTGAGGTATGGCCAGACTATTTTCATAAGCTTGATTTCATGAGAAGTACAGGCATAACTTGTTTTTCTCATTATTAGACTGAGGTTATGGGTTTTCAGAAGGAATACCGCAGAGATGAATTGCCCTTTTTATCACACCATATATGGGTTTACATGCTACCCATATGATATCAATGGTGATGTTAACCTTCATCACTTGGTTAAGGTACTGTTTGCCAAATTTCTCCAGTGTGTGGTAACTATTTTACATTCCTATACTCTTTTCTGTAGAAGTAAGTCACTAAGTCAGCCCTGTTCTTAGGAGGTAGAGGACAGAATTAAACTTCACCTCATGAACTGAGGGTTAGCCACATATATTGTTTAGAATTATTTGATTGAGACAATTTGTCTTCTCTGACCCATTTCTTTGTCAATGGAAACACTTAATTTATATCAGTATGGAATCATGTACACTTATCATATAGTTGTGATAGTTTACCAAATGGAAACATTCCAAAAGGAATTCCAGAATTATGATTTGTGTGGTGCAGTAGAAGAATTCTGACCTAATCAGGAGACTGCAAGAGTTCCCTCTATCTACTATTATATTTCACCACCATTATATTACCAAATTATGGCATATTAAACAATCAGACAATGCTTTTAGGCAATATATTTAACCACGACAAATTTTGAAACAACATTTTAATTTCAGGCGATTACATTGCATACTTAGTAATTCCTTCAGAAAGAAATAAAACAATAAACAGAATTTATTGAAGTGATCATAAAAATATTGCTAACATGCAGTAAATCTATTTGCAAAATTCCTTTTATTGAAGCAATAGTATGGGATATGTTGGGGAAATGTTGTACTTCAACTGATAGCACAGTTCCTGTAGCACAGCCTTCACGTTATCTGACTGACTCTTATGGAAGCTATTTTACAATGCTAGCTTTTAGGTAAATATAGCATTGCAATATAATCTTTGTCTATACAAAAGCAACTGAATTTTGTCATTGCGGGGGAAGCTTTGTCTCCATATAGATGTTCATTTTAACACTCTTGATCTATAAATGGGACAAAGGGGTGGCTGTTGGTTTTGATGGGGTTCATTTCAACAGAGGGGTGCGGGAACAAAGCACCATTAGATGAGGAATGAGGACTGAGGTGGAGGGAGGTGCAAAGGGATGTGAGTTGAGTATTGAGAATTCTTCATAGAACTTTGGTTGCAATGGGAGAATATATGTAAAGAGAACAGTAACTAGGGTTGTAGAGAGAGGTCTAGGGTTTTAAATTATGTTTTAAAATTATCAATGATAAGAGGCTCTCTCAGGGTGGAAATATTAAGGAGAAGGAGCCATCTCTTCTTAGGTCTAGAAACTGAGTTTACCACAACCCCCTTACTTCCTTGTTTCTATTCTGGGGAAGTCTAAAACTTAACCAGAGGGATGGTGTCATTTGACTTTAATGCCTGTTAACTATGGGGATGGATAGATGGATGGATGGATGGATGGATGGATGGACAGATGGATGGATGGATGCACGATGTGTCAAACAGGTGCTGGTATTTTATCTTCCAGCACTGAGCTCCTCACACAGGTGACTGAACCCGTGGTTTTGGTGTCTGAGAAGATGCAGCTTCTCCAGTCTCTGCAACTGACGGCAGGAAGATGGGAGCACTCAGCTTCAGTGTTCAGAAGCAGATTTAGGCCAATTGCCATACCTTACGTTCTGGAGGGATCCACCCTGACCTGAGCAGGTGAGGTCACAGAAAGGCTTGCTGTCCATCACAGGGACAGGATTACAGCCTGCTCAGAAGCATGTTGTGGTCCAGCTCTTGTGTCACTTAAAAAGACTCCAGCTCTTCTCTAATATTGAATTCAACTAATATCACAGAGAGATGTTCTTAATCTTCTAGACAAACACACTGCCATCAGTATTCCCCAGAGGCCACAAACACACCCTGGAACCATAATGCCACCAGTAGCTCTAGGAGAACTTGCAGGCTAATGTGCCTGTTGCTCATTGTTTTTAGGCTACATATGAAAATGGACCAGTTTGCAATAAAAATATAATGCAATGATGATTATCAGAGCATTTTGTATACTAGGGAATTTTTTAAGTTATCTGAACATCAAATTAAATATAATGACAATGAAAGAATTTCCACCTGTCATATCATCAAAGTATAAAAAGAAACCATTCAGGATTCCAGTAAGGTGGGCATGCGGGGAAGCCTACCCTGTTTCATATTGGTGGTGGGGATGTCATTTAGTACAACCTCTTTCAAGGTTGATTTGGTAATTTCTATTAAAGACTCTATGCATCCCCGATCTGCATGTGTTTGGGGCCTGCTCCTTCAAGTATTCACCCTCAGCATGGCCCCTGTCCCTCTGAGAGTGCATATTCTTCCTGATACAGGAACTGTCTGCGGACTCGTTTCTAAAGCAATGGCCCAGACACACTCCCTTGTCTACAGAGTAGGAAATTTAGGTCTGACAAGGTTCTCTGTCTTTCATAAGAGAGACAGAACTGGCAGCCTGGCTTCAGAGCTGAAGATACAGATTTCAGTAGTGACCCAGGTCAGCAGGAAAGCAAGATTTGCTTGGTTATGTTGTGATGTGCAGCTCAGCATCACAGTCTGCCTGGGGGCATATAGGATGCTAGTCTCTGCTTTTCCACTTAGTGGCAGGATGCTCCCCAGCCAGGTTGCTTAACCTGCAAACATCCCTGTTTCTTAAGCTACAGGATGGTGTAGAGATTATATCCTCTACCTCCCAGGAATGTTGTGGGAAATTCATGAGATAGAAAAGTACCAGCGTTCAGGAAGGGTGAGTCCCCACAGCTCCGTGAGGCCAGAGATACTGCCCTTCTGCGGGACTTTGTTACAATCACCCTATGACAATGCACAAATAAATGGTCATTCAATTACAAAAGAGTACAAGGACTTATATTTACTCAGTTCATCCAATATCAATTATTATAATAATCAACAGTGTAAATTGGAAAGTAACTACGTGGAAACCACTTCTCCTTCTTTCCCATCTAAGGTCTCAGAAGTGCTTTCCCAGATGTGATCTCATTAACCTCTATATTGATCTGAGAGGTGTTAACCAAAACTGGCCAGCACAGGGGAAATGACTCACCTAAGGCCTTATAATGGGCCTGCCCCGCCATGTTCTATTGCATTGTTTTTCTGCAAAGCCTCATCTTGCGGGGTTACACTATACATATTTTTCCTCTCTTTTCGTTTTACCAAAGAGAAAAATATATACTTTTTTACTGTTAAGAAACATTTTCTCAAATAAGTACGTATTTCATTCCTTACTGAAATGGTTTTTTCTTATTGATCCATTGAAACCATATTGGCTATGTTCAACATAACTAGAGATATCTTTGGTGTTTTCCTCCCTTAGCTTCATATCTTGTAGAACATCTCGTACAAAAAAAGTAGATTTACAGAAAAACATACATATAAATCACGTATTAATCCCCAAATGTAGTAAATAACATAGCAAAAACTTTATCAAATCCATTTCATGCACAAGCTGGACAGATCTGTTATATACAATCTCTATATGCATCTGCAGTGTTTTATAAATTGGTGCTTTGACATTAAAAAGGAGGTTTACAAAAAGGCCCCTCTTGTACTATCGATGACTGAATTATCTCACTATCATTGCTTCTCAAATTTCCTTGAATTTATACTCATCATTGCCATATCACCATTCTAACAAAGGCGGTTATTTTAAGGAAAAAGTTGCAGCGTGATTATGATATAAGTAACATTCAAAATTTCACGTTATCAAGAGTTGAGCAAAGTACTAATTTCCCCTTTATAAACACACGTTTAAAACAAGAGCTTCATGCACATCCAAATAGAAATTCAAAGTCAAACTGTGTAATGTGTTTTTATTGACAGAAGGCATCACACACATTCCCAAGCAGCATGGTTCCCGTGAGAAACTGAAAACTAATTTCTTGAATCTACAATGCGACTTCCATCTTCCAGGTGTAACCAGAGTTTTTCCTGGAGCGATTCCAGCTTGTTTCCTTTTGGTGCCTTCCTTAAGAAATTTTGCAGCTGTTTCTGGTGCAGTTTTTGGGTGGGCTCTGGGGTGGGCAGACGATCTCCACTTTGCAGAGGCTGCTCTTGTGAGTGGAGCTGGTGGTGAGGGAGTAGGAGAGGCCTCGCATCATCCTGGCATTCAGGCCCTTAGCCATGGAGAAGGACTTGAGGTGGCTTCTTAAGGTACTGGGGAGCGGGAGCTTGTCCACCAGATGCACAGGTGTGCAGGACACGATGGTGCGGCAGCAGAGGTCTTGCAAGCTCAGTACCTTGCTCGGCCTCCCGAGCCAATTCATCCTGTGCCGCAGCAGCACTATCCTGGCCAGCTCCGTGAAAGACTCTATGATGTTGAAATTGCACAGAGGGCTGACCTCAAAGAAGGTCACACCCAGGCGCTCGGCGTAGGCCTGGGCCTGCTCCCTGGGCACCTGCCTCTTGAATGCCAGATGTAGGCGATTCCCCACCAGGATTTTAGGGACACCAGGGGCATGTTCCTCAATCTTCTTAATCCATCGATCCATACCCTCGAAAGACCAGCGGTTTGCAATGTCGTAGACCAGGATCACTCCTTGTGCACCACGAGAGTAGGAGCGGAATATGGTACAAAATCTTCCCTGCCCCGACGTATCCCAGAGCTTCAGCTTCACCCGCTGGCCGTCCAGCAGGATGGTGGTCGTCTTGTAGTCGATCCCCCCGAGATGGCTGTACGGGGACTCAGCTGCACCATCCTGCAGGCTCTCCAGGATCTCACTCTTGCCTACGTCCCTGTCGCCCACCAGCAGGAACTTGAGCAGGAAGTCATAGGCCTGGTCGGGGCTGCCCGGGGCGCTCATGGTGCTGGCCCCGCACTCCCGCCTGAGCCAGGCCCGCGGGGTTGTGCGCAGAGGTGGTGCCGGGCCTGTTCTTCTTGAGAAATTAGCATAGAACATAAAAAATGAGATGGGGAAGTCTGTGAAATAAAGCGAAATGAGGTGGTGGCTTTGATGGATTTCTTTTACAAACCCTAGGAAACTGATTCAGCGATTGTTTTCCTTTTTCTTACCCAGCACAGAGTAGTGACACAGCAGTTAATTCATCATGGAAACCTATACATTTCCCTTAAAACTTTCATGTGATCGTTATGGAACCATGCCTTTTGGATTATGTCAAAGGAATCTCCTTTAAAGGAAGGACGGGTATGGGATAGGAAAGGGACTAAGATGTGTTGAGTACTGTACGTACCCTATGCTGTGTATGACGCTTAAAATATTTTGTTCTTTTGCTTTCAGAACAGTTGTCTTTGGTAGCTATAATTGTTTCCATTTTACAAATGAGAAAAGGCAAACTCAGAAATGTTATGTAATTTTTTAAAACATTGCCATTAATATAGAGATCACAGAAATCACAATCCTGAGCCAGTGCTCTCCTCATATAACGCACTACACACCCTTTCTACTCTGTGGCCATGCCGGGTTTAGGAGTAAGTGTGAACTGTCTGTGCATGTGATCCTTGACAAGCCACGCATGTTTACATGGGCACTAATACTTTTCTTGCTGCAGGGGGACATCTCCCATAAATATAAGAGCCAAGATCTCAGAAGAGATATCTAGGACATGGATTTTGCTAGAGTGTCTCATAAATAATATTCACCCAACAAAGATGTGTTGAAATAATGCATGCATCCATCAGTGAAGGGTTTTAGGTTTAACACATGTACAGCTCCTATAACAAAATAACAAAACTGAAAAAATATGTATATGGTTCACAGGTGAAGAAACGCAAATGGCCAGTAATCACAAGAAAATGCATTCTAGCTCACTAATACATTAAAGAATGCTAATGAAACCATCTAAATATCCTTTTATCACCTATCATCTGACAAAATTTAAATGTAGAAAAAAACCGAAAAAGAATTTTTTTTTAATTTGCAAAAGAAAAAGATGCAAAAGAAAAAGGCTCTGTGTGTGTCTGTGTATGGGGGCAGGATGAGGGACCAAATACATCAAGGAAATGGAAACACACTTATCAGTTATAAATACACTTAAATATTGTAACTACAACAGGTACAAAGATGGTTAAAGAAATGAGAATGCTCATACACATATAAGGGAGTTTAAATTATTGAAATCAAGCCCCAAGGGATAGATGTTTACAAATGTAATGGAGGAAAAAATTTTCACATGTCCAAAATAGCCAGGTAAGTGGTTATTTGAAATAGCATTGCTGAAATCTTTTTAAAAAGGAAAAAATGAGAAACATTCTAAATACTCATCAATACAGAACAAACGTGAATAAAGGATAAGAAAAACATTTCTATTTCTCTGTGGGCTTCAGGGCAAATAGAGAAAAAAAAAACCTTTAGATTAATTCCAGATTTAGCTGACAATAAGGAGATAATAAAGTTCTCTCCCTGATTTACACAAACTCCCTTAAAGACAGCACCCTGATTGGAATAATGATCATAATCATCGGTACCTTGAACAGCCGTTAGGATAAAGGAGATGAAATATAGAGTGCATTTGCCTAAAGTAGTTCAGTGCAGGTTACTTTCCTTCTCTTCAGCTCACCTGTCCCAAGGCCAACACCTAAGCTTCTGCCTGAGCCCACTCACCACTTAAGGGATCAGCCAACTCATACGGTCCCACACCCAGTCTCTTGGCATAAAGTGCAGGATTTCACTTCTGTCTTCCTCATCACCCAGAGGGGTTGTGGAGTGGGGGACCCATGGGGCCACAATAGCAGGGGAGTGGAATCTGACATTTCTCAAGCCCTGGAAGCCCATCTTCTAAAAGGGGGTGCTCAGGGTCCTTTAGGGAGGGTGAGGGATGAAACCTCATTCCAATCCTGCCACTTACCTGGGAAGGTGACTTAGGCTCTGAAAGCCTGAGCTTGATTATCTGTGAGATAGAACTGACTGTATCATCCTTACCGAGCTGTCCCAAGGAGCAAATGAGAAAACCTGTTGAGAGTATACGGCATGAAGTGGGACTTCAATGGCCCTTTAAATGCTGAGACACAGAAGTGGGGGCTGGCTGAGCCTCTGGGCTAAGAAGGCATTGTGAAAAGTCATTTTTCATTGTTTCTACTAATGAGAACACAGACATCCATATAAAGAAAGCAAATCTCTCTCTGATATGCCTTGAGTTCAAAGTTTTAGAGACAGAATGTTCTCTACATTCTTGGATGTCTCATAATCTAATAAAAGCTGTTGAACATCATGCCTCTGAGCAGACCCAAATTCACTTCCCAAGCTAGAAAGAAAAAAATTGATTGATAGATGTAAAACAAGACTGTAAAAACATATGCGCCAGGGCATGAAACACCAGGTAGCACTGACAGGGCTGTAGAAAGGTGACAGAGAGGATAGAGGTCACAGGAGCAGGGTCTGGGCAACTGTGTCCATAGGATCCTAGAGAAGGGAGGACTGAAAGGGAATGGGAGGAGGTCTGGGAAGCTTATGCACGGGCAATGGAGGCTAAATGCCCTGCTGTCTGTGAGGGACCTCTCCACAGCATGCACGGGACAACGTATACTGAGGAGGGAAGAGATAAATCAGTGAATGCCATGTAGATTTGGAGTCCACAGCCAATGGACCAGCTTTAATATACGTATATTTTTCAAACAGAACTGGCATCGTAGTTTGTCACTCTTTGCAAAATGTCCTCCTTTAAAAAAAAAAAAAATGGAGATAGCTGTGATGCCTCCTGATGGCCAGAACCCGGATCACAGCTTTGAGAGTCTCAGACAAGGGGCTCAGGGAAAGGGAGAGGGATGTTGGAGGTGAACTACAAAGATATTAGCCAGAGTTTTCTGGAATTATTCACCTAACGATAGCAATCTCTGTGTATTAGTCATGTTCTGGTATATGTGAAACTGAGATTGGCTCCAGCCCCTGTCTGCATTAAAGGTAAAGCTGCATCTGTGAGTGTGTATTTGGAGTGATACAGCTAGACCTAGACACACACACACATGCAAATACCCTGTCAAATTATTTCCTGTTTTCACCATAAAATAGAATATAATGAATGCTTTCTCAAATTAATAAACATGTGCACAGTACTTTTGACAATCTGTTCAAAAGTATTTTGTCACAGCCATAAAAAAGAACAATATAATGTCCCTTGCAGCAACATAGATGCATCTGGAGGCTATTATCCTAAGTAAATTAACACAGGAACAAAAAACCAAATACCACATGTTTTCACTTATAAGTGGAAACTAAACATTGGGGACTCATGGACGTAAAGATAGCAACAACAAACCCTGGGGCCTACTGGAGGAGTGGGGAGAGGTGGGGCAAGGGTTGAAAAACTATTGGGTACTATGCTCACTACCTGGGTGATGGGATCATTCATATCCCAAACCTTAGCATCACACAATATACCCATGTAACAAACCTGCACATGTACCCCCTGGATCTAAAATAAAAGCTGAAACTTAAAAGAGAAGAACATTCTGCCTCCTATAATGAAGAAACATCTCAGCTAACTTATTTTTTGGAAGACAGCAACATTTTTTCAAAGTTTGGGTACATCATTTTTTAAAATTCACTATGCCTCTTTCTTTCAGGTCCATTTCATTGACTACAGAAAGGCATCAGAATATATATATATTTTTATTTTATTTTATTTTATTTTTTGGACAGTCTTGCTCTGACGCCCAGGCTGGAGTGCAGTGGTACAATCTCAGCTCACTGCAACCTCCGCCTCCCAGGTTCAAGCGATTCTCGTGCCTCAGCGTACTGAGTACCTGGGATTATAGGCATGCGCCACCACACCCGACTAATTATTATATTTTTAGTAGAGATGGGGTTTCACCATGTTGGCCAGGCTGGTCTTGAACTCCTGGCCTCATGAGATCCACCCGCCTCAGCCTCCCAAAGTGCTGGGATTCCAGGCGTGAGCCACCACACCCAGCTAGGCATTAGAATTTAACTTCATTGCCTTGAATATTTTAATTAATGTTTTATATTTAATCTTAAAGAAGGGGAAATTTTTATATCATTGAAGAGACACTTATGTTTACAAGAACTTTTAATAATAAAAGCAGAATTTACTAGTAAAAAAGGGAAAGAAATAGAACATTATCTTCACTTCAGGAGCTTCCTTTATGCCCTTACAAGTCATTATACCTCCAAAAGTAAACTACATTAACTTCTAACACTAGAGATTTGCCTGTTTACGAACTTTTCATATTTTATTTACCTGAAATTATACTTTTTTGTTTCTGCTTTGTTTTGCTTAATATTATCCTTGTGAGATATATCCATGATTTTGCATATGGCAACATTAAAATGAGCATTCTAATTGTGGTAGAGTATTTCATTTTATGAATACTACAAGTTATCTGTTGGATGATATTTGGGTTATGCCCACAGTTTGACTAATGTTATAGTACTACTACATACAGTTTTGTGCCTGTCTTTAGTGGGTATATGTACACGATTCTGTTGAGTATATCAAAGATTGGAATTGCTGGCTCATAGGTATGCATATAGTTAGCTTTAGCAGATATTGCCAAATGATTTCCCAAACTGTTCTCACCAATTTACTTTCAGTAATAGTATATAATGGTTCTATTTGCCCCTTACTCTTTTTTTTAGTCCATGGGGTTACTGTAGTATCTCATGACAATTTTAATTTGCATTGTCCTAAAAACTAAAAACGTTAAGCGCCTTTTTATACGTGCAGCTGTCGTATGGGATTCTTATATTGTAAAATGCCTGTTTACTTCTTTTGCTCATTTTCTACTTTTCTCCTTGTTTCCAAAAAATTGAATCACTGTATATATAAAATCTTTCACTCTGTATTTCAATATTTTCTTTCTTAAGAGTATGTTTTGAAAGACAATCTTTAATTATAATGTAGCTCAATTTATTATTATTTTTTCCTTTGGGATTAACAGTTTTTTGTCTAGTGATTATTTGCCACCCCAACTACATAAAAATATTTTCCTCCATTGTTATAGGTTATTCTTTTACTTTTGCATTTAGACTGACAATCTACCTGAAATCAATTCTTGTACGTATCTAATTTAGGTAGCATACTTAAAATATCATCCTTCTCCCTTCACTGCACTGTCACCTGTGTCATAAGTGAAAATGACCACATATGGATTGGGTCTATTTCTTGACTCTATTAATAAAGTCCATTGGCCTGTTGTTTCTATCCTTACACCAATTCTACATTCTCTTAATTACAATAGCTTGTTTCTTTAGATCTCAATTAAAAAAATTTTTAATAGCTTCAGGAGTACAAGTGGTTTTAGTTATAAGGATCAATTTTATAGTGGTGAAGTCTGGACTTTCAGTGTACCCTTCACCCAAATAGTTTACATTGTACCCAGTAGGTGATTTTTCATCCCTTACTCCCTTCCCTCCCTTACTCCCACCTCCCCCTTCTGAGTTTCCAGTGTCCATTATTAATTATAATAGCTTTATATTTTAATCTTAGTTTGTAATATAATGTTTAAACTTTGTCTTTTTTCACAAAGGTTTTAAAAAACTGACATGCTTTTAAAAAAATATATGATTTAAGTCCTTGGGGAATAAAATTTAAATCCAAACAGATCTATTTAAAACATAATCCAACATATTTTACGACAAATGAATAGATCATTGCCAATTCTTTACTTGCCAGTTAAATTTTTAAAAACCCTAAACTCCTTACTTAAAGTATCTTGTGTGTTCAAATATTCACTAAAATACTTTTATTCTCAAATATGAAACTTCAAAAACTATACAAGAGTATATTCACAAATCAAATTTAAACTGCACCTCTCACTGGCCCAACTCCCATCCCTTGACCCCAAGGGGTCTGTTGTCCCTAGAATAGTGCACACTCTCCAGATGTGCCCCTGTAGGTGAGGTGCACATCAACACATTCACCTTCACACACAGTCTTCTCCAAAAGTACAATCATAGTCCTCATTTTTTGCATCTTGTCATTATAAATTCTCAGGATTTAAAAATATTTGCATCTTGTTAGTTCTTGTGGTTTTTGTAATTTTTTTTAATTTTATTTCTTCTAAAAAAATGGGATACATGTGCAGAACGTGCAGGTTTGTTACATAGGTATACGTGTGCCACGGTGGTTTGCTGCACCTATTGACCCATCCTCTAAGTTCCCTCCCCTCACCCCCCACCCCCCAACAAGCCCCGGTGTGTGATGTTCCTCTCTCTGTCCATGTGTTCTCAGTGTTCAGCTCCCACTTATGAGTGAGAACATGTGGTGTTTGGTTTTCTGTTCCTGTGTTAGTTTGCTGAGGATGATGGCTTCCAGCTTCATCCATGTCCCTGGAAAGGACATAATCTCATTCCTTTTTATGGCTGCAGGTTTTTGTATTTTTTAATGTTTATTGTTCATGTATTTACTTATTTAAATTTTCTGTTCAAATCATTGCCAATTGTTTTGTTACCAAGTATGTTTCACAAATCACAGCTACTAACCCAGTATCTGAGATGTAGTTTACATATGTTTTCTCCCTTGTTTTAATACAGTCTTTAGTGGTTTTTTTTCCTTTGGAAAGTGTTTTAAATTTTATTAATGGGACCTAAACATTATAC
This sequence comes from Homo sapiens, assembly GCF_000001405.40. Lineage (NCBI taxonomy): Eukaryota > Metazoa > Chordata > Mammalia > Primates > Hominidae > Homo > Homo sapiens. The sequence goes on from NC_000023.11 coordinate 103,507,468, forward strand.
AGGTCATATTTAAAAGGAAAAAACATTAAAAAACACCTGCGGAGTAGATACTGCCAGCGTTGAAGGAGATTAGAGCACTCAGAGTTATGGAGGCATCAAGACAAAATGAAAATAACAACTGAAAAAAAACCCTTAAGTAATTCCAAAGTTAACTGCTGATCAGGAGATTAAAAAGTTTTCTCTCTAAATTACATAAACTGTCCTTAAACTTAGTTTCCTGATTTGAATAATTATCAGAATGATGGGTTAAATGGTTGTTAGGGTAAAAGCAGATGAAATATAGAGTGCATTTGCTTACAGTAGTTCAGGGCATGTTACTTGCCTTCTCTCCAGTTCACCTGTCCCAAGGCCAACACCTGAGCTTCTGCCTCAGTCCACTCACCACAAATCAAATTTAAACTGCACCTCTCACTGGCCCAGCTCCCACCCCTTGACCCCAAGGAGTCTGTCATCCCTAGAATAGTACACACTCAGGTCTGCAGGTTTTTGTATTTTTTAATGTTTATTGTTCATGTATATACTTATTTGAATTTTCTGTTAAAATCATTGCCAATTGCTTTGTTACCAAGTATGTTTCACAAATCAGGGATACTAACCCAATATCTGAGATGTAGTTTACAAATGTTTTCTTCTTTGTTTTAATACAGCCCTTAGTGGGGTTTTTACACACTAGGTCTACACCCAGGTCTCTTGGCACAAAGCACAGGATTTCACCTCCTCTGTCTTCCTCATCACCCAGAGGGGTTGTAGAGTAAGGACCTGTGGGGCCACAATAGCAGGGGAGTGGAATCTGACCATTTCTCAAGCCCTGGAAGCCCATCTTCTAAAGGGGAGGTGCTCAGGGTCTCCTAGGGAGGGTGAAGGATGGGACCTCATTCCAATCCTGCCACTTACCTGGGGAGGTGACTTAGGCTCTGAAAGCCTGAGGTTGGTCATCTGTGAAATGGGACTGACCATACCATTCTTACTGAGCTGTATGAGGGGTTAATGAGAAAACTTTCCCAGAGAATATGACATGAAGTGGGACTTCAATGGTCCTTTAAATGTTGGAACACAGCAGTAGGGGCTGGCTGAGCCTCAGGGCTTAGGTAGTCATTATGAAAAATCATTTCTCATTGTTTCTCCAGACGAGAACACAGACATCCAGATAAAAGAAGCAAATCTCTCTCATATGCCTTCAGTTCAAAGTTTTAGAAACAGAATGTTCTCTACATTCTTTAGTGTTTCATAATTCATAAATACTGTTCAATATCATGCCTGTAAGCAGACCCAAATCCACTTCCCCATGGTGGTAAGACAGGCATGTTTGTGAACTCACCTGGTGAGCTCCATGCCAGATCGCATCCGGGACACAAGGGGCAGTGATTGTCTAATGAGTGCTCCAGCACTGTTTAGTGTGTGTGTGTAGATATATAGATATAGATATGAATATTCTGGACATATCCTGCAGTCACCTGTGCAGGGTCCTCAGTTCATGCATAATTCAGCTACATCACATCAAAATTTCAGCAACTTGCTGCCTTCCTGAGAGACAAAAATCCAGGAATTACTGGCATTTCTGTAACACACGATTGTCCACTCTGTTATTAGGTAATAACTAAATATGTATTGAGCTCGAAAAACATAGTTCATTGGAGGTATCTCATTAACTCTAAAGTGGAAATAAGAGAGCAAGAAGGGAAATGAATATATGGGCAACTTCACAGGTTAAATCTGAGATGAGACGACTTCTTCACGTCAACTTTTAAACTTGCTCAAATTTCAAGGAATTGAAGTTTTTAAAAATCTCTTTGGATCCCTCATCACCCAATCAGCCACAGGATCTCTCTCTCTCTCTCTCTCTCTCTCTCTCTGTCTCTCTGTCTCTCTGTCTCTTCTTTCCCCTCCCCTCTCCCCTAACCCCTCCATTCTTTCTCCTCTCCCCTTTCCTTCCCTCCCCTCTCCTCCCCTTTCCTTCCCTCCCCTCTCCTCCCCTCTCCCTCTCCCCTAACCCCTCCATTCTTTCTCCTCTCCCCTTTCCTTCCCTCCCCTCTCCTCCCCTCTCCCTCCCTCCCCTCTCCTCCCCTCTCCCTCTCCCTGTCCATCCCCCTCTTCCTCTCCCTCCCTCCTTCCCTTCCTCTCTCTTTTCTCCTTCAAAGTCAAGAACCAAAAAGAGTTTTCTGCATTTTCTGTTAACAATCTTCACTTCCCACTGATCCTTATCCCACTGCACTATGGTTTCTGTCCCCAGAATTGTGATGAAGATGCTCTCCAAGGTCACATTCCACCTGTTTTTCATTATGACCAGTTTTTTCATCATGAGCAGTTTTTTTTGTATAAATGTATTAACATATGAAATATTCCTTTTTTTTTTTTTAAGACGGAGTCTTGCTCTATCACCCAGGCTGGAGTATAGTGGGGCAATCTCGGCTCACTGCAACTTCCACCTCCCGGGTTCAAGCGATTCTCCTGCCTCAGCCTCCTGAGTAGCTGGGATTACAGGCATGTGCCACCACGCCTGGCTAATTTTTGTATTTTTAGTAGAGACAGGGTTTCACCATGTTGGTCAGGTTGGTCTCAAACTCCTGACCTCGTGATCCACCCGCCTCAACCTCCCAAAATGCTGGGATTATAGGCATGAGCCACCGTGCCCAACCGAAATATTCCTTTTAATGAACTCCTAAAATATCCTTGCTTGTCCAGTTGCATCTTTCACCTAACAACAGAGATTTCACAATTTCTCAGACTCGGGAGCATGATGTACTGGACATAAATCCAATTGTCCCACTCCCTAACTGTGTGGTCTCAGGCAAAGTCCTTATTCTCTCTGTCCCTCAGTTTTTCATCTATGAAATGGAGATTAGCCACAGGATCTACTTTGTGAGGGAACTACGAGCACCAAATGACTCAATACCTAAAAATCACTCAGATCATAACATATTTTAGACATTTTTATTTCTTTTTCTCTATCTTTATGGGCCATTAGTATCTCTACTATCCCTATGGTGCAGCCTGATATTTACTCACAACCTTTCATGTATGTTGTTTGTTAGCTTGTTACAAAAGTAAATAGGATGAAAGTGAGTAGAATGAAACTTTGTCTTTCACAAATACATATATAAATGCATGCAGTTCTGCTTAAATATATAAATACCTGAATAAGGAAACTTCTAAAAGAATTTATACAGATAAACTCATTACCAGGACTTGTCTTTGAGTGTTCTGTTTGGGAGTGATGTTATTTATTTCCTCTCCTAAGCTATCTATTTTTAACTATAATAAATAGCTACTGCTTTTGCAATTATACAAAATAATAAAATGGTGGTGAAACTTAAACATTTTCAGCCCTAAGCACAGAAAAGACACTGATACTTAGAATGAGGAATGTTCCTGAGACTCAGAAAGGGAGAGAAGATTTTGTGGGAACCTCATCTACATTATAACACGGCATATTTTCCCCAAATTCCCACTCACACTGATAATTATCAATTTTAATTTTTGCCTAGTTAACTGGGAAAAATCAAGGTATTATCATTTGGTTGCATTTTGTTCCCCCAAAAGATACATTGATGTACTAACCCCAGATACCTTTGAATGTGACCTTATTTTAAAAATAGAGTCTTTGACATGCACACGTATGTTTATTGTGGCACTATTCACAATAGCAAAGACTTGGAACCAACCCGAATGCCCATCAATGATAGTCTGGATAAAGAAAACGTGACATATACACCATGGAATACTATGCAGCCATAAAAAAGGATGAGTTTGGCCGGGCACGGTGGCTCATGCCTGTAATCCCAGCACTTTGGGAGGCCGAGGCGGGCAGATCATGAGGTCAGGAGATTGAGACCATCTTGGCTAACACAGTGAAACACCATCTCTACTAAAAAAAAATACAAAAAAATTAGGCAGGTGTGGTGGTGGGCGCCTGTAGTCCCAGCTACTTGGGAGGCTGAGGCAGGAGAATGGCGTGAACCCAGGAGGCGGAGCTTGCAGTGAGCCGAGATCATGCCACTGCACTCCAGCCTGGGTGACAGAGCGAGACTCCGTCTCAAAAAAAAAGAAAAAAAAAAAAGGATGAGTTCATGTCCTTTGCAGGGACATGGATGAAGCTGGAAACCATCATTCTCAGCAAACTAACACAAAAACAGAAAACCAAACACTGCATGTTCTCACTCATAAGTGGGAGTTGAACAATGAGAACACATGGACACAGGGACGGGAACATCACACACCGGGGCCTGTTAGGGGGTGGGGGCTAGGGGAGGGATAGCATTAGGAGAAATACCTAATGTAGATGATGGGTTGATGGGTGCAGCAAACCACCATGGTACATGTATATGTAACAAATCTGCACGTTCTGTACACGTACCCTAGAACTTAAAGTATAATAAAAAGAAAATAGAGTCTTTGCAGATGTAATCAAGTTAAGATGAGACTATTAGGGTGAGCTCTAATCCAATATGACTTGTGGTCGTATAAGATAATGAAAATGCCACTAAAGACAGAGACACACAGGGAGAGCAATATGTGGTGACAGAGGAAGAGACTGGAGTGATGTCCCTGCAAGCAAGCAACATCATGGATCTATGGCCATCACCAGATACTAGGAACAGGAAAGGAAAGATTCTTCCCATAGACTCAAAAGGAGCAAGGCCCAATTGACACCTGGATTTCAGACTGATATTCCTTGAGTTCGATGTTTTGTAGACAGAAGGTTATTGACATTCTTGGGTGTTTCAAAAGTGTTGCATCCAGAACTGTGAGAGACTAAATTTCTGTTATTTTAAGCCACAAGTTTGTGGTACTATGTACAGCAGCCATAGGAAACTAATACAAAGCCTTAGTTTTGGTTAGCTGTTTTTTTTTTTTCTGTGCCCTGATCAACAGTAAGGCTGGAGATCTAATGAGCAGGAGTAGCACATGCTGGTTAGATAAATTTACTGGGGAGCCACACAGCCTGTGTTCAAATCTCAGCCTCACAACTTGCTAGCCCTGCCCTTGTTGTACCCCAGTTCTCTTGTGTTTAAAGTTGGAAACAACCGCTCCTCTTTATAGATGGTGGTGAGGATTAAATGAAGTATAGATTTAGAATTACAGCAGTTGCAGGAACTGAGAAAAATCACAATAAATATTAACCATTTCTATCATTATTTCATACCCGGATTGACTAGTACTGTTTCTACTGCCATTTTTTATTATAATGTGGATTTTAATTTGTTAGCATGAGTTGACCTTCACAATATATATTTGTCATAAAAAAGCAGTTTACAAAGCTAAAAGTAGGATACTATTTTATTTCTATTCTTAAATATATAATTACATTTGCATAATATAACTTCTGAAAAAAAATTCAAATCTTGACAGTGCTTATCCATGCATAATAAAATTTTAAGGTTTTTTAAAGATTTTATTCCCTTCAGGCATTTTCCATTTTTATCTAGAAGAAAAGTGTCTTGGTTTTGGAAGTGAAAAAAACAATAAAAACAAAATACCCCTGCCCTTTTCAAGGAAAGTTGCTCACCGTTAGGAATGATAACATGTGTAAGCCAAGACAATTAGGTACTAGGGTGGTCCTAGAATTAAAGTATGAATCTATATACATGACATCCCCAGGTGGGCAGGTTTAGGGAAATTACAGACACCCGGGGGAAGGGCAAGCACGTCTCTCAGATGAACCTCACATTCAACAGCCAGATGACATTTCTACTTTTCAAGATTTTAGTGAAGGTCATGAGATGAAAGTGGTTTCACAACATGCTTCTTTCTGCACTAGCACAAATAAAGTCCTTTGAATTGACAGCAGGCTCCTCTGTTTACCCACCTAGTTGGCCAAGCAGTGACTGCCACAGGGGAGGGAAAGGGGAGGGACTGCATGAAACCACTAGGGCTCAGCACCACAGCTTCCAGAGGACAGAATCCTAACACAGCGGGATTCAGGGTAAAAGTAGAGTCACAGTCTCACTCGGCCCAGGGCCCCAGGAGTAATCAACACACGTATGAAGTACCTCACTTATACAATTAAAAATATTAAACCGAAAGAAAATATACACATGCCAATCACATGTAATAACAAATCATATCAAGTTCTAAATGGGATGCATACCTAAACTAACCGAGGGATTTGGATAGTAGATTGGACACATAAAAACCAACTCCTGGCAATCACTGACTTTTTTTCACCAAGACTGCCCAGATTAGTTCCAGATTTACAGACATAGATGTGTAATAGCATGAATAAAAGTTGGGAAATTATGCCTGGACAATGGGAAGATATTTCACATTCGAGATACACTGCAAATCCCAGCTACTTGGGAGGCTGAAGTGAGAGAAACACTTGAGCCCAGGAGTTCTAGGCTGTAGCGTGCTGTGATTGTGCCTGTTAATAGCCACTGCACTCCAGCCTGAGCAACATAAGGAGGCTAAAGAGCTCCTGTCTCAAGAAAACACACACACACACACACACACAGACACATTGCAACATTGTTTTGGGCTGGCTGTCACCTGGGAAACTCTTAAGACTTTGAACACATCACATTTTTTTTAAATGACTGAAAAATGATATGTACCAATTCTGTTAGTGCTCTCTATAGCATGTAAACTGGAAAAGTGGTGTGTCTGGTTTAGTAGCTCTGAAAGACAGTACACATGTAAAGAGGCATATATGGCAGGTCACAGTGTTGAGATATGAATGGGTATTTGTTCTTCTCATGTTTCTTCCTTTCTCCTTTCCGTCAGATAGCCAGACAACTACAGATAAAACACGCAACAAAATAACACCATATTTCATGCAGAAATATATACATATGTAACAAAGGATAAATAGTGAAAAGTCTAAATGCTTGTTAATGATTACTCCTTTGTAAGAAGGAGGCTAATGCAAGCTGAAGAAACTTTGAATTTCTTTTTTTTGTTGTTAAGACAGGGTCTTACTCTGTCACCGAGGCTGGAGTGCAGTGGTACAATTATGGCTCAGCACAGCCTTGACCTCCCTGGCTCAGGTGATCCTCCCACCTCAGCCTCCCAAGTAACTGGGGCTACAGTCCTGTACCACTATGCTCAACTAATTTTTGTATTTTTTTGTACAGATGGGGTTTCACCATGTTGCCCAGGCTGGTCTCAAACTCCTGGTCTCAAGTGATCCACCCGTCTCAACCTCCCAGAGTACAAGGATTACAGGTGTGAGCCACTGCACCCAGCCCAGACTTTAAGTGAATTTCAGTTGTACATATAATGGTTTATTTCTTAATATGAGTATATACAGTATATTCTTTTTGTAAGTTTCTTTATGTCTAAAATATTTCAGAACAATAAATGTTTCTATGACTAGTTCTGATTATAAAAATGATTTGTATCAATTTAGAAGTTGTGAAAAATATAGTTATGTCCAGAAATAAATATATAATTAATCAAGTAATCCTATTACTCATTAACTTAAAAAAAGAGTATTATGTTTGTATATTACCCCCATTATACTCTGTATGTATGCATCATAATGTACATTCATTGCATGTGAGTCTAATATATTGAGACATTCAAGATTTGCCAGACAGCATGAAATGAGTTATTAAATGATTCCAAGTTCAAACTAAACTCTGACTCTCAAGTCACCATCCCTAACCATTGGGATATACAATCTTTTTCTGAATAAGGGCTGTGTCCAGCTCAGGGAAAGTGTCTTCTAGACAAGGACAGGTCTGGCATTCAGTCCCCAGGTCTCCTGTTCAGTCTGTTGTACAGAATACTCATCTTTATGCTCTTTTATTCTGTACTGCCTCCTTTCTGGGGTTGAAACAAAGGTTTCTATTCCAGTGTCAAAATGGAAGGTAAAAAGGAATAGAAGAACACATCAAATAAAAAGTAACGAAGTGATTATTTGATCCCAAACTTCCACCATTCTCAGGTATCTCATCCACAAAGAAATGTCACCAAAGGTTCTATAACATATGAGTATGTTTGTTTCCTTTCCCAATGTTTCAAATTTAAATAATCTCTGTGGGATGTTCATGTTTAAGTCTTTTGAGGAAGGGAAAACAGAGGGGAGACCAAATATATATTTATTGAAGTATTATGTATCAGATGGTTTCTTTAGTTTTGCTCATTTCTCATAACACTCCTGTGAGGTAAATAGCAATATGCTAATTTTATTGATGAGCAAGGTAAGGTTCACTAAGTGTAACTCACTACCATACCATCATACAATAGAAAAGAGTGAGTACTCATCCCTCATCCCAACTTCATCACATTGCATAGCACAGAGATGGCACCTAACCTCCTACATAATATAGATGAGTGTGTGTGGTTCCCTTACATTCCCAAATACTCACTAAAATATAGTGATGCTATCCAGATTATGAAACAACATCCCTGTTAAAGATCAGAAGAGGTGAGATGGGAAGGAAGCAAACACTGGCACTGTGAATGACACACCAAATACCGTGCCAGCATCTTGACAAAGATCTCCCCTTGAACATGTCATAATGCTCTCTTGAGTGTAAGGATCAGGTGTATGTGTGTTTGTGGTGAAACATGCAAAACAATACTATGTTTTATTTAGGGAAGCTCTCATATGGAATAAAAGGATAAAGCAACATATGGGAATTATAATCATTGCTTTCTGGGTGCTGATTATCTATAGCAGAGACGGAAGGAGATACAATTAGGGAGGAGTAAAGGTTTTCCTAAGCTGGACTAATTTCATAGTTCTCTCTGTTTTTTATCTGAAACATTTCACAAGTAGCAGAGGTTTTAGGGGATATAGTTTTTATCATAAATACAGACATTCCCTGACTGTTGATGTTTTGACTTATAATTTTTCAATTTTATGATAGTGTGAAAGTGGTACACATTCAGTAGAAACTGTACTTCAAGTTTTAAATTTTGATATTTTCCTGGGCTAGCAAAACGCAGTATTATACTCTTGTGATGCTGGTTAGGGAGCAGCAGTGAGCCACAGCTCCCAGTCAGCCATGCAATCACGAGGATAAACTACTGAGACCCTATAGTGTACAGTGTTGCCAGGATTTTTTTGATATTGTATTTTCACATCTCATCTTGTCTACAAATGCCCATTTTTGACCTACAATTATTTTCAACTTACAATGAGTTTATCAGGATGTAACTCCCATAGTAAGTCAAGCATGGGGTATGGAGTATGTACAATCCATACTCTCACCTTAGCAAATGTTTAATATTGAGCCAAATGCAGAGGTTAAAAATATCAATAGCCAGCAATCCCATCATAATTAAAATTAACATGGTACTAGATCTTTCTAAGGATTTTTTATACATGGATATATGCACATGTACTGTACATGCATTACAAATACAATTCATAAAGCTGTTATAATTATATGTACAGTATAGCATCCTGGGTTTTTTGTTGTTATTTTCAGTTTTGCTTTTGTCTTAAGTACTAACATGTGGATGAAACATTCTAAGTACATGACAAGGTATAAGATATAATCTAACTTTGCTTTTTAATGAACCCTTTACAGCTGGCCCAGACCCAATTCCTTAACAATGCATTTGAGTAGAAATGCCATACTTGCAGCATCTTAAATGACGTTATATGCCAGGGTCTACTCAAGAGCTTTCTTTAGACTTCTTTAACCTGCATGTCAACCACTCTGTCCAAAACTTATGAAATTATACGCTCAAAGAACACTTTAATACCTGGCAAAGTAATCCCCACTTTTATCATTCAGTCTTTGTATGCATGATAGGAATAATAATAAAAGACATAAATAGTTACAGGGCACACGGTAGATAAATTGGTTGATACAGATCATGCAACCAGCAAGTAATGGTTATCAGGGTCAAATCCAAGTCCTTCTCACCCAAAAGCCCCCTCCCCTAACCACTATTTCTATACTGAGTATCCTTCTGTGTTAGACCAGAGGCCAACAGAGGGAAGAGACTCACCCCAAAAACCACAGTCAGTTGATGGGTCGAGTAACTAGGGTACAAATCTGATGACTCCTGTCTTCTGTCTAGCTGACTCATTATTATTCTTTGCTCTTCTGTACTATTTCTTCCTCCCATGGCTCAATAAGAACTCCTTCACCCACGTCACACTAGAAAGAAAATAAGAGAGCAGAGAGTACATGGAATCAAAGGAATGATAAGATAAAACCAACATTCATTTATTGCTACTATATTTCTAAATGCTCTCTGTTTCAAATCTTCTATTTCATAGGGCACAATTATTTTATCTTGGAACCAACAATCTTCGGAGAATGTATCCCAAAGATACAATTCAAAAAGATAAAAAGGCAGAAGCACAAGGTCATTCTTGGCAGAACAAATTGTAACAGCAGAAGACTGGAAATAAGACAGATGTCCACCAATAAAGGACTGACTGAATAATCTAAGGTGCATCTACATCCTAGATTTCAATGCCGGTATAACAAGCAAGGAAGATTCCCTCTCTCTGCTGCTATGTAGTGATTTCCAGGATATACCATTAAGTGAATAAAGCAAAGTGCAGAAAAATGTGTAGAGCTGCTGTTGTCCCATACCATACCCACTGGCCACTCATGGCTATTTAAGTTAACTAAATTTAAATGGAATTTTAAATTCACTTCCTCAGTCACACTCACCACATTTTAGGTGTTTAATAGTCACAGGTAGCTAGTGGCTACTATGTTGGACAGTTGAGACATAGAATATTTTCACCTTTGTAGAAATTCTATTGGACTCCACCAGTGTAGAATATGTCACCTTATATATATGGAATAGGAGAAAACTAATAGAAACATTCTATTTGCTTATATTTTTAAAATTGGAAAGTTTTAATGAAAATTGATTTAAAAAATCATTACCTATAAAGAGAAGGAAAAACAGCCCAGGACAGAAGCCAATAATGTCTTTTCCCTTAAAAATATAATATATATACACTGGCTCCATGCACTAGAAAGGTGAAGAAACATGATAGACCCAGTAGCAATGAGCAACTCTAGTGCCCATATTGAATCCACTTAAAACACATCACACTGAAAGGAACTAGGTTATCTTAGAGAAATGACTGAGTTTAGGTCTGTGTAGCCATTCTACTAGATGAATCTGGACCAAACTATCATGCCAGAGAGTGCGTCAAAAAGACTCAGAAGCCAAGCTTAAGGGGCTCTCGCTGGACAAAGATGAAGCAATTTGAACATTAAATAAAATAATGACTACTATGGATTAAAACACATTATAATATAAAAACTTCTACAGCTCATGATGACACTCTAAAAGAAAAATAAAATAAAACAAACAATATCAACTCATTGCTTGCCTTTGGAGAACCCTAGGGAAACAACTCATTGTTTTGAAAAGTGGAAATATTGCAAAAGAATTAGGCACTCATCCAACCCTTTCTATACATACTATCCCTCAGTGTAACCTAATGGTTTATGAAAGTTTATTTAATAGAATAATTCCAGCTAATAAAGCAGAGAAAATTATAGAATTAGAATATCATCCTTTTATGACCTTTAATGAATATAGAACTAAGCAACAATCCTTAGACGCTGCAGAAAAATCGAGGTGAAAAAGGGATGGGAAATTTTATAATGGATGGATCAGCTTAACAATACTTGAACATAGTAATTAATCTTAACATCACAAGAGGAGAGACAATTAGACACAATGAGCCCCCTGTGTAACACTATAGGAATAAACAATACCACATATGAAGTACTTCTGACCAAAACAAATCTAAATTGAATCAAGCCTCTGAATCTAACACCATTTTGTTAAATTTTTTTATTATACTTTTAAGTTCTGGGATACATGTGGAGAATGTACAGGTTTGTTACATAGGTATACACGTGCCATGGTGGTTTGCTGCACCCATCAACCCGTCATCTACATTAGTTATTTCTCCTAATGGTAATATAAAAAGAGAAAGAAATACTTGGAATTTGATTTGGAAAACCTTTCTCCTGTAGCCAGTCCACCTCCATGTGCTTGATACAGTTGACACTTCTTACCCTACAGGAGATTATTCAGCCTATCAGCCAATCTAGAAAATAAAATCATGAGGATCCATGTTTGGTGGTATAGGAACTATTAAGTTTATATTGGAACATTTTGCAAAACATGTTAAAATTAAGTTAAAATGAATGTGGCTCGAAATTAGGATTGTAAGATTTCGGATTTCAACTCAGTTTCCACAGAGAAGTTTGGTTGACCTAAATTTTAAATATGTTAGGAATAAGCCCCTGCTGCACATCATTATATTCAAAGTTCTCTGTAGCTTCATTTGTGAAAACAAATGGATGAATGGGTATATATTTGTAAAACATGTCTTTGGGATAAAAAGGCATTTTGAGTTCTTGGTTTTCAGGATGTTCCTTCTGGTATTCTTCAAATAAATGCTTCTATAGTATTATAAAGATAATTTCATTAACCTGCTAAAATGGGAATGTATTTGTCTATAGCTACAAGGTAAAAAGTGTTATGAATAATAATTTTAAGATGACAGATATTAAATAGTTCAAATATTATTGATAATAAGATTTTTTTAAAAAAGAAAATATATGTTCATCCAAAAGAATGAACATGAACATTCATAACACCATTATTCATGAGATGTCAAAAACTGGAAAATACACAAATCTCCATCACAGATAAATATAGTGTGAAATATCCAAATAATATAATACTTTACACCAATGAGAATAAGCAATCTACAATATAGACCACAATAAATATTAATTTCACATACATTATGTTGACTGAAAGAAGCAAGACACAAAAGAGCACATGCTGTATGATTCCAAGAATTTCTCTTCTAACCTCCCAATAGAGATTGGGGCAGGAGAGGAATATCAACAACTCATTTCCTTTTATTTCAAGGTACTTAGTGTCTTTTTATGTTATCTGTAGCTTAACCTCAGATAAGTGAAGCAACTTTCTTCTGAGCCCTTGAAAAGTGATTAATTACACATAAGATGAAAAGCTAATACTATATCTGATGGACAGGCAATGTGGTGTGAGAGATTCGGGCAAGAATCCTAAATGGATGCTCAGTCTGCACCAAATCACACCGCAGTCACTGAGTCACCATGGTAACCATTCTGGCCAAGGAAAGCTGAGAAAAAACAAACACCACTATCCCGAGCTTGTTCCTAATATGTACTAGGAACTAAATAGGATTGACATGATGCACAGTAATTAACCTCAAGTAGTCCTTACAATAAAAATTCCTGACAGCTTCAGTGACATACAAATGTATACATACTCACATACATATATGCTTGCTCACCCTCTCACCACTCCAAATTCCAAGAATTTATTGAGGTTGATTTACTGGTGGGTAAAGAAGTAAATCTCGCCAGGCATGGTGGCTCGTGGCTATAATCCCAGCTACTCAGATGGCTGAGGTAGGAGGATTGCTTGAGGTTAGGAGTGTGAGAGAAGTCTAAACAACATAGCAAAACTCTGTCTCTGAAAAATGTTTTTAAGTTTAGCTGAGCATGGGGGCACACACCTGTAGTCAGTTATTCAGGAGGCTGAGGTGAGAGGATTGCTTGAGCCTGGGAGTTCAAGGCTGCAGTGAGCTATGATTGCACCATTGCACTCCAGCCTGAGCCACACATTGCAACAAAATCATTTCTGACCACACATATAAAGTTGAAAGCTACTAAACTATGTTCTTTTGGTGTGATTTCTGAAGATGACCTGTAGAATTGTCTCTGGAACATTTTCCTCCATAGTTTCAATATATCGCCAATGACTTGTAAAAGCAGATACGGAAATACAGGTAAACACAGGTTAAGGATCAAATACCTTTTCCATCCTAGAGTAAGCTGTGCTTTCAACCAAAAAAATGCCTCACTGATGTTAAACACTTGGTTGCTGATAGTACTGTGAAAATATAGTAATTAGCAATTGTGTTTAACAAACAAAGCCATGTATAGCATCATCAAGAGTATGAAATATTTATGAACAATCTGTCCACAGATGTGCAGTGCCTGTACACTGAACACCACACATCATTGCTGAGAGAATTAAAGACCTAAATAAGTGGAGGACTTACCATGCTCATGGGTCACAAACAATACTGAGAAGATTCAGTATTGTTAAGATGTCAATTCTTCCAAAACTGATCTATAGATTCAGAGCAATTCAAATGGAAATCCTATTAAAAAATTTTTAAAGAAACCGACAGGCTGATTCTAACATTCATATGGACATGTAAAAGACCTAGACTCTATTAGTCTGTTCCCATATTGCTAAAAACAAACACATGAAACTGGGTGATTTATTTTAAAAAAGGGGTTTTCATGGCTTACGGTTCTGCAGGCTATATAGGAACCATAGAGGCATCTGCTTCTGGAGAGGCCTCAGGGAGCTTTAACTCATGGCGAAAGGTAAAGCGGAAGCAGGCGTTTTACATGGCAGGGAAGGTGCTACACACTTGTAAACAACCAGATCTTATGAGAATTCTATTATGAGAACAGAACCAAAGGGAGAAATCCACTCTCACGATCCAATCACCTCCCACCAGTCCTCATATCCAACATTGGGGATTACAATTTGACATGAGATTTGGGTAGGGACACAGTTCCAAACCATATCAACTATGAAGTACAACTTTGATAAAGAACAAAATTAGAAGACAAACACTACCTGATTTCAAGACTCCTTACAAACATACAGTAATCCAGACAGTGTGCTATTGGCATCAAGATGGATTAGTAGATCAAAGGAACAGAATAAAGAGTCCAGCTATAGACCCACAAGTATATGGACAACTGAGTTTGACAAAGATGCAATGGTGATTCAGTGGAGAAAGGATTATTGTTTCAACAAATGGTGCTGGGACAAGTGAATATTGACATGCACAAATATAAACTGTGACTCAGATATCACACTATATACAAAAGTCTATTCAAAATGGACCTGAGATCTAAATATAAAATTTGATGCTATAAAACTTCTAGCAGAAAAAAAAAAAACAGGAGAAAATCTTTTTGACAATGGGTCAGGTGAAGATTTCATAGATGAGACAACAAAACCACAATCTATAAGCAAAGAAATTGAAAAATTGGACTTCCTCAAAGTTAAAAACTTTAGCTTTCCAACTACATGGTTGAAAAAATAGACAAGTAAGCTGCTGACCGGGGTAAAATGTTTGAAAATTATATATTTAATAAAGGACTTGTATCCAGAATATGTTTAAAATCTTAGTAAGAAGAAAACACACACCAGTAAAGAAACAGGCAAAATATTTGAATAGACATTCCACTAAAGAAGACATACAAATATCATGTAAGCACAGGAAATGATGCTCAGCATCACTCGTTATAAGGGAAATGTAAATGAAAATTTCAATGAGATCCTACTAAACTCCTGTGAGAATTAAAAAAATTAAAAAGACAGATTATACCAAGCTCTGTCGAGGTTGTGGAGGATGAAACAGTGATACATTACTGGTGGTAATGAAAAATGGTACAAACACTTGGAAACAGGCAGTTTCTTACAATGTTAATCTTACATCTACCACATGATCCAGCCATTGCACTCCTAAGTATTTATTAGAGAAAGAAAGCCTATTTCCATGGAAAGACTTATTCACAAATATTCATAGAAGCTTTGTTTACAAGAGATCCTAATTGGAAATAATTAAAATATCCAACAACAGGTGAATGGATAAAAAATTTATGATATAGCCATATACTGGAATACTATTCAGCAATAAAAAAGAATGAACTATTGATATGTGCAACAAAATGGATACATCTAAAAATAAATTGGGTGAATGAAAGAAGCCAAACCAAAAATCAAAAACAAACGCAGAAAAACATTTCTACAATTCCATTTAAATAAATGTCTAGGACATAAAACTTAATCTATAGTGACAAAGTATTGTGTTTGTCTGGGGACAGGGCAATAGGAGGGATAGAGAGTCCTAGTAGTACAGAACTGAAAATCTTATGTTCTGGGAAACAATGATAATAATATTTAGGCCTAGCTGGTTATTTTAGGGGACATGACTGGGTATCATTATAATAGAGCAAATTATATGGAAATTATTATTTTTCAAAATATTGAACTTTTGTATCTGACATTTTGACAGTTTTAACTAATACTTTGTACATTTTTGCCTTCTTAAAAAATGTATTACAGAATGGATAATAACATGGTTACCATTGAAAAATGCATATTACAATCTCCAGTTGCTTGGAAGACCTTCTGACCAACTGTGTATTTCAATGCCCATCTGAGAGATACATGGGAATCACTGATCATTATTTATACAGGCAGAAAACATATGTAAATTTATTTCAAATACATGTTAAACATCAAGTTGATTCCCCAAATGAATTATTCATTGCTTTGTAACAACGAAAGGCATTTTAAACATGGGCCTCAAGGGCGGCTTCAAAGCACATAGCTGCTGATGAAAGGAAATTCCACATGCTAAACCTCTTCTCCAAAGATGGGATCAAAGGAGTTTCTCTGCTTTTAGACTATATTATAAACCTCACAGAGGTATTCCACAACATGCTTCTGTCCAGATCTATGAGCTCACTTGAGCCAGGCATCATATCCCACCAGGGATGGAAGTGTTGGGGGTCTCCTTAGGACTGCTGCCCTTCAAATCTGAAGTAGAAGCTTCAGCAGCCATCACGACCCAGATCCTCAAAGCCCATCTCCTTCATACACCTGTTATGAGTTCAATAACCTGATGAAGATCTGCACAGGGACAGAGAGAATCCAGCAATCACTGTGCTTTCTTAGAGTAACAGTGTGCCAGGAACCATCTTAGGCACTGGGTCAGTGACCAGTGACACTGATACAATTGGGTAGTGATCATTACAACCAGAAGATACAATGGGTTTCTCACCAGGGCCTTTTTCTCCTCCTTTCCTCCTCTATCTCCTAACAACAAATCTGTAAAGGACTAAGAAGAGGCCTGAATTCACACAGGCATTCCTGATCGTGCAGTAACCACAGGGCTATGGGCTTGCACCTGTGTTATCACTGCAGCTTGCAGCAATCCTGCGGGTTGGCATAATTATCCCCATTTTACAGAGGGGGACACTGGGCTCAGAGAGTCCTTACTTGTCTCATCCTCCCACGTCCCACCTTTACATAGAAAGTAGCTCCAGGACACCAGGAGCAGGACACCCCACTCACTGGGGCCAGGAGGGTCCTAGCTCTCTCCCTCATGAAACAGTGAGAGCAACTTGTTTCAAACTGGGAGTGAGGGGACTTAGATCTGGGATCCCTTCGTCTCCCCACATCCCAAGGCACTTCAGCCCCCACTGTGGGGCACTCACACCCTCAGTTGAGTCCCAAACACCTGAAGGCGGGACCCTGCTATTCTCACCAGCCCACAGGGGTCTCTATTAAAAGTCATCAAGGTCACAGTAATGACTTCTGGTTTCTATGGCAACCGTGGTGCTCAGGCTTGTCCTCCACATCAGAAATGCTTCTGCACAGCCCTCTGTCCCCTTGCCTTTCTCAAATAAATAAATAAATAAATAAATAAATAAATAAATAAATAAATAAATAAATAAAAACTTCACTCTTCCACTCTTCAGGCTACCTCCTGAGAAAGCTTACTAATTAGTGGAACTAGCCTCAGACAAGGGTGATTTGTGGAATTCTGCCCAGCTTGGTGAAACAAAGCATCTCCCCATTGGCAGGAATATTGTCTGCTTTAAAAGTGACAGTAGTTGAGTATCATCACTACACAGAGCTGCAGGGAGGTATCCTAGGGGCTCCTGGTGATGAGCTAACCTTCTGAGGATGATGTGTAAAACTTACACAACACACTAAGCAGTTAGCTATCTGTGGCAGAAGACTAAGAGACTGTCTATAATCATGTGTGTAAATGATGTAGGAACACCAAGAAATGTCATTTAAGATATCTCAGTTATTTCAGGGAGGCAGGCCTATAATAATGTAATCATTTAGTAGGCAGAAATCTAGTCAATTGAAACATACATTGGCTCATTTTGGGGAATTCTTATCCACCATTCTTAATATTTTCTTCCATGTGGAGAGACATCGATACCCAAAACACTTCTAGCCTCTTGATACGCTCACTCCTCTATCGCAGGAATGTCTCATCTAGTTGGTGGGTTTGGAAGGAGAAACAGGTTGCACAGCCCAGGTCCTCTCCCTTCAAAACTCTTGGTTGTAATCTTCACTTAACCAAGCATATGTTCTGCTCTGCCCTCAGGGGTGGGGCTTACAATAGGTCCACAGCTCTACTCTCCTGTGTCTCGCTGGCTCCCCAACTATTCCTATAGTCTTGCTTCACAATGCTTGGATCTTTAAGGGGCCCCCAAAAATGCCCTCCAGTTCCAAGTCTGAGTTGTATACCAACTGAGAAATACCACAAAAGAATAAGAAGAACAATAAATTGACTTTATTCCTTATAAAGGTGATACTGGAGAATGTGACATAGATTTGGTGGCACATGGGTTTCCTATGAACAAACCCCAGAATTGGACAGACTTATCCAGTGATACATTGGGACCATCACAAAAAAACAAGGCCTGCATTGCATATCTATCTGCTGTCTGCTGAAGGAGCCCTGTCTATGTGTGCCCAAGGAAAGTGACTTCCTTGTTAAGGGCTATCCCTGTAGCAGGAGAAAATATTTCAGGATACCTTCTTAGAGAAACACTTCTCAAAGTGAATAAATATACCTTGTACTCCTTGCATACTCACCAAGCAACCTGCAGAAGATACAGCTTTCCATATGGCTCAGGGAGCAGTTTATATCAACATTCTCTCAATTTCTTAACACAAGTGATTGCATCAGAGGCTTATCCTATAGAGAGAGATTGGAATTATGTTCTAAATTGCAAGAATAGATAGAAAAGCATATTTTATGAAAACTTCCCTTGAAAATCCCATCAAGAAGGAATTAATGGGATGTTCAGAAATATATACCCACACATAAACTAACACGTAGACTATAGTGAAAATTATAACAAAGCCCCCTGCCAAGCCTTCACAATCTGTGATCTGAGAACAGATCACAGAAAATGAAGAAAAGGTCACCAAAACCATAATGTTTTAGATAACCACTTGTGCTTAACAAAATGTCCCCAAACAATAGCTATTTATTATCTCTCGGGATTCTATGAATTGACTGGGCTTTGCTGGGTGTTTTCTATTCTGTGTGGTGTCTGTCACCTGGGGCTGCAGTCATCAGCACGCTACACTTGCCTGGGACATCCAAGAGAGCTCACTCACATGGATAGCGAATGGTGCTGGCATCTGCTGGGAGCTCAGCTGGGACTGTTGCATGAAGCACCTTGGTTCAACACAGAGCCCTCTGTGAGTAGGGCTGTCAGAAAAAACAGAATACACTCAGTCAAATTTGAATTCCAGATAAACAATGAATAATTTTTTAGTGTAAATGTGATGGTGACTTTATGTGTCAACTTGGCTGGGCCACATTGTTCAAGTATCTCAACATTATTCTGCACATTCCTGCAAGGGTGTTTTTGGATAAGATCAACATTTAAATTGGTGGACTTTGGGAAAAGCAGATTGCCCTCTATAATGTGGGTGGGCCTCATCCAATCAGATGGAGGCCTGAATAGAGCAAAAATCTTAGCTCTTCTAAGCAAAAAAAAAATTCTACTAGCGGATAGCCTTCAGACTTGAACTGTAACACTGGATATTCTCTAGTCTCCAGTCTGCCAGCCCACTCTGCAGATTTTGGACTTTCAGCCTCCATAGTCATGTGAGCCAGTTCTTGAAAATTAATCTCTCTCTCACCATATACGTGTGTGTGTGTGTGTGTGTGTGTGTGTGTATACACATTAGATTGGTTCTGTTTCTCTGGATGTGACATGCAATTTTTTATTTGAATACAACTGGGCATTTTGTATTTTTATTTGCTAAATCTGGAAACCTTAGGAGAAGAGCCTCTAAATATGTAAGTTTAGTGACCATCTGAGATGACCTTCCCAATAAGTCAGGGCAGGTCATGGGACAATGAGCAGATCAGATTAAAAAAAAAAAAAGACAAAAGCTGGTAATACCTAGTGTTGGTGAAATAAAGGAGAAACAGACTTTCATATACACTATTGGTGCCACATCGAGGTATCCATTTTCTGAGGCCCATATTATTACAGCCGAATGACTTGAATGGCCTTTGTACAGAAGTCCTATTTCTACCAACAAGGGGGTTTCAGCTGAGGGTTTAGAAAAGGCTCATCAAGGCGACTCTGATGTGCATGCTGGTTAAGGGGCCCTGGTCGCAGGGGCAGGTCAAATTGACATATGAATTTCCTGCTCCAAAGAGGAAAGATAGCTTCTACTCATGGAGCAGAGTGTTTAGAGGGGCCCAGCTCCAGGTTCTTTATGTTAGTGTCTGGATTAGATCTCATGACAGCCCTGCTAGTGAGGTACCAGTATCCTCTCTTCTTCACGGATGTCTGTGACTACAAAGCACATGCTCCTAACCACAGAGCTGGATGGCAAAGAGGTTGCTCAGCAGGTCCACTACCAGAACTTGCCAGCCTAGGCACCTTGAGTTGCTGGTGGCAGATCTTTAGCATCAGGACATATATTGTTAAGGAGCTTAATATCTGTTCTCCTTGTGTTTACCCTCTGTATTAGTCCGTTTTCACACTGCTATGAAGAACTTCCCTGAGACTAGGTAATTTAAAGGAAAGAGGTTTAATTAACTCACAGTTACACATGGCTGGGTGGGCGTGTGTGGGGGAGCTCAGGAAACTTACAATCATGGAGATATGTGAAGGAGAAGCAAGTACCTTCTTCACAAGGCGGCAAGAAAAGATAGAGTGTGAAGAGGAAAGTGCCAAACACTTATAAAACCATCAGCTCTTGTGAGAACTCACTCACTATCATGAGAACAGCATGGGGGAACCACTCCCATGATCCAATCACCTCCCACCACATTCCTCCCTCAACACCTGGGGATTACAATTCAAGATGAGACTTGGGTGGGGACCCAAAGCCAAACCATATCACCCTCCCTGCATTTCCAGAACAACAACAAAAAAAAGACTTGGGCCTCTTTCCCCCTGTCTCAGGGAAGGTTTATAGCAGGGCTAGAAGCAGAAGCTGTCTGAAGCCAGTGTTTGCTTCATCCTGTGTGAAAACTTAAACTTAAGGAAAGGATTGGACTGCTTGTACTTGGCAGGGAGGGGAAGGGTCCTGAGGACACAGAGAAGGGAGAAGAAGAGAGATTTCTCCAATGCAGGGATGAGGTCAGAGGTCTACAGGTCCCTCCAGGAGTAGGGACCTGAGCATTGCTCCATGTCAATGCGGAGAAGCTCCGTATATGGTTCATCAAGGCTGGGCATTCAGCCATGAGACAGATTCTCCTGTTTGGTTGGAAGGATAGATAGCTCAGGGTCAGGAATGGGGCTGGGGCTGAAGGTAACAAACCAGCTAGGGAAATGGTCAGCTCAGCCCTCAGCAGTAGGGACACATGAGTGATAATGACAGGGGCCTCCCAGGCTGTATCTGGAGGATATGTTTCCACAAATGATTATTTTTGGTCAAAGAGCATGACTATTTTTAGTATATACTGTCTAGTTGAAAGTTAAAATCTCTTTACTAATGAATATCCCAACCAACTACAAGATGAGAGCACCTGTTTCTCTAGATTTGTGCAATAATGGGTTTCCCAACTTTATTAATATTTGCTACTTTTATATCCTATCACTATAATGTTAAAATACTTTTCATTTTTCTCCATTGATATCCACATAAATGGCATATTTCACATGTGCATTTCTAAACACAAACATAACAGTCCTACTTTATGCCTCAGAATATGTCCTGGAATAATTCTAGAGTTTGATGAGAAAACCTGAAAAGTGAGTTTGTATCTATGCTGTGTCCTGTTTACATTGAAATTGTGGAGTCATAAAAATCCTATACACTGCTGCAGGAGGACAAAACGGTACAGAGTATATTTGCAGATATACTCGGCAACATATATGAGAGAAGCAAGCATAGCCCCATCAACTGCTGCCCTCTCAGGTCTGCACTGCAGAGAGTCTCTGGCACGGGTGCAAGAATGGTCATGGCAGCATGGCCAAAATATCAAAACAGCCCCAAAGTCACCTTATTAGAGACATCTCAGAAACAATATTTTTAGAAGAAAAAATTTCAATAAGTGTTTGCTACGGTTTGGATGTTTGTCTCCTCCAAACCTCATGTTGAAATTTGGTCCCCAGTGTTGGAGGTGGAGCCTAACAGGAAGTGTTTGGGTCATGGGGGTAGATCCTTCATGAAAGTCTTGGTGCCAACCTTGCTGTGATGAGTGAGTGCTTGCTCTATTAGTTCCCACAAGAGCTTGTTGTTGAAAAGAGCCCAGCACCTCCCATCTCTTTCCCCTCTCCTGCCATATGATCTCTGCACAAGCCAGCTCCCCTTGGCCTTCCGTCGTGAGTGGTAGCTTCCTGAGAACCTCATCAGAAGCAGATGCCTAATCTTGAACTTTCCAACCATCAAAATTGTTAGCCACATAACAATTTTATTATGTTTTGTTTTGTTTTTTTTCTTTATAAGTTATGCAGCCTCAGATATTCCTTTTTAACAATACTAAACGGACTAAGATAGTAGTATAAAAATATATAGTTTATTCCATTTACCCATCAGGAGAGCAGTGTGAAGAAAATATGGTGAGTCCCATCTCACAGATTATCAAGCTCTGGCTCACAGAGACTAAGATCCTCTACAGATAAGTGGCAGAATGGCAATGAGGTTCCATCTCTTGCCCCCCACCCCCAGCAGCTTCCCATTTGGAAGATGATAATTTTACACTTCCCCAGTATTGTGCCCTAAGGGTACTCACTCAACAGCCCTTCACGTTGAAGAAAAGGACGGTGGAGATGAAATCCTGCCCTTTGGGCCATGAGGCATAGCTGTGGGATCATATGGATTACCAGGTTTCTGAGGTTAACTGTGGGGTGAAATAAAGAAACATGTGGAACAAGAAAGAACAGCGAAGAGAACAGAAAACAGCAGGCCCTCCAGGGATCACCTCTACCTCTCTCTGTCTTTGCTCCTTTCCCCACCCCATTTGTCCCCTGCTCTTTGTGACAGTATGGGATGTAACAGGAATCCAAGGTACTCTGAGAGACGACCGAAAGATGGGAAGACCCAGACCATGAGAAGGGTGAATCAGGCAGCACAAGTCTTGGAGCCTGTGCCCTGGGTGTTGGCTCACCCACCAGGCACTCCATCTCTACCTGCTTCTGTGTGCCTCACCATTACTCTACCACACAGCAATGAAGCTCCCACATAACAGAAATATGCACTTTCTAAGGGAGGCTAGCAGGAGAAGTGACTTACCCCTCAGTCAAGAATGTCCCAGAGTTACTGGTTTGGGTTTGGTGCCAGGATGCAGAGAGATCTCCAGTATCTCTTGCTCCAGTGTCCTGTCCAGCAGACATAGTATAAGGTTTTCATCAAGCCCCTCAGGAGCGCAAAGGAAACATATTTCTGTCATATACAACAGGGTGGGGGGAAAATAGGAGGTAGGAAAAACTATGAAACAGTAAGAAATGGGGTGAGTGATGACTTCATCCCTGTACCCCAAACTCCACTCATGGGGTCCATGACTCAGTTGGATGGAGATGGTAGAACCGCTTTCTTCCCTTCCCCCAGGCCCAGCAGGGTGCTCATTCCACCACATAGAAATGACAGTGACTCACAGTGAAATTAGAAACATGTGTTTTCCTTCTTCTCTCCATATGCTCTCTCGATACAGGAAAAATAGTTACTGTACACTGGAGAAACATGACAAACACCATCCTTAACCAAATGATGAAGGTTAACATCACCAGTGACATCATGCAGGCATCGTATACTCCCAGATATGATGCGACAAGAAGGGCACCGGAACTAGTGGTATTCCTTCTCAAAATCTGTAACCACAGTCAAATCACAAGAGAAGCAACAGACTGAGCCTGTACTCCTCAAGACTGTCAGGGTTATGAAAGTCGTCTGGCAGTTCCTCAGATGAATAAACAGAGATTTACCATATGACCCAGAAATCCCAATCCTAGGTACATAGCCAAGAAAAATGAAAACCTATGTCTACATAAAAACTCGTACATAAACGTATATAACATCATCACTCATAACAGGCAAAAAGCAGAAATCATCTAAATGACCATCAATAGACAGATGGATAAACAAAATGTGGTATATCCTTAGAATAGAATATTATTCAGCCTTTAAAAAATGAATGAATTCTGCTACATGCTACAATACACATGAACCCTAAAAACATCATGCTAAGTGAAAGATGCAAAAGACCAAATACGGCATGATTCCATTTATATGAATGTCCAGGATGAACAAATCCACAGACACACAAAGCATAACTGTGGTTCCAAGAGCTGAGGATAGGTGCAGGTTTAACTGCATTGAAGCACAATGGGAGTTTTGGGGACAATTGAAATTTCTGAAACTCAATTATGGTGATGGTTGTACAACTCTATACATTTAATAAAAATCACCAACCTTAAAATGAATGGGTTCCATTGTCTATAAATAATATTGCAAGAAATTTGTTTAAAAAATATTGGCCAAGGCTTCTATTGTACCACAGGAATGACCAAAATTTTTCATAAAAAGGCCTTGATGCACATGTCTTATATAAACACGAATGTACATAAAGCTGTAGCTGTATCCCAGCCCTGACTCTACGTCCTGTGTTCCTCCAATGACCTTTCCCCCACCCCACATGCTACCTGAAGTCTAATTCAGGTCTGATCATTTTCATGTCTTCCAAATGTTGGGATGGCTTGAGAGTGGGACCACAACAGGGTCCCGGGCCTTCCCTCTGTGACAGGATGCCAGCATTATTACTTTCCTCACCCCTCTCCAAACTTTTTCACATTGTTCCACTTTGGGGAGCCTAAATGGCACAACATTCTGGGTGTCAGCATGACAATACTTATCAAAAGGTTACATAGGTGCATACACTAAGCACCAACAATTTCCTTTTTAAAAGTTTAACTTCAGGATGTAGTGAAGGATGTTGATAAGGGTCTGGTTATAAGGACTGCCATCCTAACAATACCCTCTCTTCACTGCTAGACCTGAATTTAGAAAGGGAGACCAAACAGGATGCAAAACCATGAAGAGGCAGAAGGAAGCAGAGGCAAGTGTGGTTGTCAGCACACACACACTTGCACACATTCACACACACTCCCCCACATTCATGCGCTAATTGGGTTCTATTATCACAATACTAGAATTTTTCTAAGACAGTTTGCTGTGTTCCAAGAGGACACATTCAGCTCAGTGCAAACAGCCACAGGAACTGTGCCCTTCAGCAGAGCACAGACCTTGAAAAGATGCCAGTGTAGATTAAAGGAAATATCAGGACACTCTGAATAACATAGGGTTGTGAAAATTGATTATGTCACATCCATAGGATGGAATTCTAGGAGGCAGTAAAAATAAGTTATAATGAAAACAATGATGAGAGATGATTTCTTGCCTAACCAGTTATCAATAATCAACATTATTTCCAGTGTGTGAGCAGACACTTTCATACCATATTAGTAGGAATATATATGAGTAATAATGTTATCATGTATTGTGTTAATATAAAACTTTATAGATTTCATAATAAAAGAGCATTTTGACAATCTCATAAAGAAATTCTTACAAATACATTTGCATATATGTGAGCAAGGATGTTATGTTTGCTACTGTTTATAATAAAACATGGTAAAGGAACTACATTTTTATCTCAAAGTGAAATAAATGTGGTACCATCCATAAGATGAAACATCCAGTTGATGGCAAAAATAAAAACTAAAATTATGTTGTAAAGTAATTTAAAATGTTATGGTAGACATGTATTTTCATGGAAAAATTGTCATAATAAAGTCAAAGGCAGGTTACAAAGATCATAAGTAGCCAGGATCCATTTTTGCTCATATCCATCTACAGCTATTTTTGCAGAGGACTCAAAGCATACAAATAAAAATAATATTTTTCTTGCTCCCACATAAAGCCTTCTCCTCAGCATAGTGAGAGGCTGCACTTTGTTTGGAGGCCATAAATATTCTTTTAGCCTGGAATTGCTCCATTTTCCATCCAGACTTCCAGAAAACTCCATAGAGTGGGCTTGGGCCAAACTGCTCCTTCCCACCTTCCTGCTCAGACGTAAAAGCTGCAGTTCAGGCTTCTGTCACGAGGGGGCACCAACGTACCTTCATAATCAAACCTCTACAAAGACGTTTACGCAATGAGCGAAAAAATAAAATACCCTCCACTAAAACCCAGTCTATGAACCTATGGACAGAATGATTCTAATTCTTCCAGAAAAAAATTGATAGGTGTAAAAGAACACTGCAAAAACATGTACTCCATGGCGTCTATACAATGAAACACCACGTACGAGGAGCGAGCCTTGGCAGTCCTTAGCAGGCTGGTGTAGCGCAAACCAGGGCAGCGGGAGGTGAGTGGAAGAGAATGGGGGCACTGGAATGGGGTCTGGACGGCTGTGTCCATAGCGTCCCGGAGAGGGCATGCCTGAGAGGAGGTCTGGGAAGCCTGTTCAGGTGTGGGGTAATGGAGAGTGAACAACCTACACCCTGGGAGGGACCACTCTACAGTATGGACACCTCAAACTGCACTAACAAAGGAAGAAATAAATCAATGAATGAGATGTGGATTTAGGGTCAACAGCAAATGGACCTGCTTTAATATACATGTGAATTTTCCAAAGAAAACTTACAGTAAACAAACAATTCCAAGACATTTGCCACTCTTTGAAAAATGTACTCTTTTTCATTAGAAAAAGGAAAATAATAATGGAGTTAGATATCACGTCGGGCCAGAGTCAGGATTGCAGCTCTGAGAGTTTCAGACTAGGGGGTTCATCAACTGGGAGGGACAGATGGAGGTTAGGAGCTTGGCTGAAAACTTCAGTATCAGCCAAAGTTTTCTGGAATTATTCACCTAATGGTAGCAATCTCCCTGTATCTTTCATTTTCCTGTATATCTAAAAGCAAGATTAGTTCTAGACCACCAACCTCTAAATTGAAGGTAAAACTGTACCTGTCAGTGTGTATTTGGAGTAATTTAGCTGGAGGAGACACAGATACAAACACACACACATGTAGAAACACAGTCAATTCGATTTTTATCTATTTTGTTTCACTATAAAATCGAATACATTGAATGTTTTCACAAATTAGTGAATACATGTATACAATTCTTTTGTCAGTCTCTTCATAAGGATTTTTTGTGTTCAAGTTTTTATCAAAATACTCTTCTCCTTAATATAAAGTTTCAAAAAATATGCAAAATTATACTCAAAAATAGGAATTTTATCCTGCATCTCTCACAGACCTGACTCCTGCCCCCTGACCCCAAAAGGTCTGCTGTCCCTAGGATGGCACATACTCTCCAGACGTGTCCCTGTGAGATGCACATAAACGCGTTCACCACCCCCCCCCACACACACACATTGTCTTCTCCAAAAGTGCAATCACAGTTCTCATCTTGTCATTTCCACTTATTATAATTTATCAGGATTTTAAAATATTTGCATCTTATTAGTTCTTGTGGTTTTTGCATATTTAATATGTTTATTGTCCATGTATATACTTATTTGAATTTTCTGTTGAAATCATTGCCAATTGTTTTGTTAATGAGTATGTTTCACAAATCACAGACACCAACCCAACATCTGAGACGTAGTTTGAAAATGTTTTCTCCCCTGTTTTAATACAATGGTTACTGGGTTTTTATCTTTCACTTGGAAAATGTTTTAAATTTCCATAATGGGACTTAATAATTATACATGTCATAATTGAAAAACAAAAAACATTCCAAAACACCTGGGGAGCACGTACTGTCAGCCTGGAGGGAGATTAGAGCATTCAGAAACCTGGAGGCATCAAGAGAAAATGATAAATCTTTAGAGTATTCCAGAGTTAGCTGCTGGTCAGGAGATAACAAAGTTTCTCCTGGATTGCAAAAACTCCCCTAAAGGCAGCACCCTGATCTGAATAATGGTCATAATAATGGGTACCTTGGATAGCAGTTAAGATTAAAGGAGGCTAGTTAAGGTGGTTCATGCCTGTAATCCCAGTGCTTTGGGATACCATGGAGGGAGGATCTCTTGAGGCCAGGAATTCAAGACAAGCCTGGGCAACATAGCAAGACCTTGTCTCTACCAAAAAAAGAAAAAAAAAAAGATTAAAGCAGATAAAATATAAAGTGCATTGGCTTACAGTAGTTCAGTGCATGTTACTTTCCTTCCCTCCAGCTCTCCTCTCCCAAGGCCAACACCTGAGCTTCTGCCTGAGCCCACTCGCCACCTCAGGGATCAGCCAACTCATGTGGCCCTACACCCAGGTCTCTTGGTACAAAGGACAAGATTTCATCTCCTCTGTCATCTTCATCACCCAGAGGGGTTGTGGAGTGGAGGACCCGTGGGGCCACAATAGCAGGGGAGTGGAATTTGGCCATTTTTCAAGCCCTGGAAGCCCATCTTCTAGAAGGGAAGCTGCCCAGGGTCCTCTAGGGAGGGCGAAGGATGGAACCTCATTCCAATCCTGCCACTTACCTGGGGAGATGACTTAGACTCTGTGAGCCTGAGTTAGTCATCTGTGAAATGGGACTGACCATACCATCCTTACAGAGCTGTCCTGAGGGGTTAATGAGAAAACCTGTGGAGAATATATAGCATGGAGTGGGACTTCAATGGCCCTTTAAATGCTGAGACACAGAAGTGGGGGCTGGCTGAGCCTCAGGGCTAAGGCAGGCATTGTAAAAAGTTATTTTTCATTGTTTCTCTCCTAATGAGAACACAGACATCCATATAAGGAAAGCAAATCTCTCTCTGATATGCCTTGAGTTCAAAGTTTTAGAGACAGAATGTTCTCTACATTCTTGGGTGTTTTCTAATCTCATAAAAGCTGTTCAGCATCATGCCTCTGAGCAGACCCAAATCCACTTCCCCATACTCAGAAGGAAAAAAAAATGATAGGGGTAAAAAACAAGACTGTAAAAACATATGCTCCAGGAAATCCATGCCATGAAACACCAGGTAGCTCTAGTGCATCTTGGCAGTCACCAGTCGTCATTGGTCAGTGCAGGGCAGGCAGGAGGTGGCTGAGAGTGGATGGGTCACTGATATAGGACCTGGGCAGCTTGTTCATAGTGTCCAGGAGAGAAGATGACTGAGAGGGGTTGGGAGAAGGCCTGGGAAGCCTGTACAGGGGTGCAGTAATGAAGAATGCAACACCCTGCTCTCTGGGAGGAACCTATCCACTTTATGGACACCTCAACCTACACCGTGGAGGGAAGAGATAAATTAATGAATATGATGTAGATTTGGGGTCAACAGCAAATGGACCTGCTTTAATATGTGAATTTTCCAAATAGAACTGGTGTCAGAGTAAACAAATCACTTCATAACATTTGTTACTCTTAGCAAAATGTACTCCCTTTTCATTAATAAAAGAACAAAAGACATGGAGATAGCTGTGATGCCTCCTGGTAGCCAAAGACAGGATTGCAGCATTGAGAGTCAGACCAGAGGCTCAGCAGGGAAGGGAGAGGGATTGAGGTTGGAAGTTAGCTTCACTATATCAGCCAGAGGTTTTTTTGAATTATTGATCTAATGATAGCAGTCTCCTTGTATTCATCATGTTCTAGGATATATAAAACTCAGATTGGTTGCAGCTCCCATCTGAATTAAAGATAATGCTACATCTGTGAGTGTGTATATGGGGTGACAGAGCTAGAGGACACACACACACACACAGATTCAATTAAATTTTTTATTTCTTTCATAATATAACACAATGAATTCTTTTTCAAATTAATGAAAATATGTGCATATTATCTTTGACAATCAGTTCAAAACTATCTTGTGTTCAAATTTTTATCAAAATATTTGTATTCCCAAATACTGAATTTTAAACAATATATGAGTACATTCATAAATTGAAATTAATCTGCACTCTCACTGGTCCAACTCCCACCCTTTGATTCCAAGGGGTCTACTGTCCCTAGGATGGTGCATACTCTCCAGATGTGCTCCTGTGAGGTGCACATGAACACATTCACACACACACGCGCACACACAAACACACACATATTGTCTGTTCCAAATGTGCAATCACGTCCTCATCTTTTGTATCTTGTTGTTTCCAATTATTATAAATTCTCAGGATTTTAAAATATTTGCATCTCATTAGTTCTTGTGGTTTCTGTGTTTTCTAATATTTATTGTTCACATATATACTTATTTGAATTATCTGTTGAAATTGTTGCCAATCATTTTGTTACTATGTTTCACAAATCACAGACACCAACCCAATATCTGAGATGTAGTTTGAAAATGTTTTCTCCCTTAATACAATTGTTACTGGTTTTTTATTTTTCATTTGGAAAGCATTTTAAATTTCCATAATGAGACTTAAAAAATTATACATGTCATAATTTAAAAAGAAAAAACTTTGGAAAATACCTGGGGAGCCCGTACTGTCAGCCAGGAGGGAGATTAGAGCATTCAGAGACCTGGAGGCATCAAGAGAAAATGATAAAACTTTAGAGTATTCCAGAGTTAGCAGCTGGTCAGGAGATAAAGTTTTCTCCTCGATTCACAAAAACTCCCCTAAAGGCAGCACCCTCATCTGAATAATGGGTACCTTGGATAGCAATTAAGATTCAAGGAGGCCAGGTGAGGTGGTACATGCCTGTAATCCCAGCACTTTGGAAGGCTGATGTGGGAGGATCACTTGAGGTCAGGAATTCAAGACAAGCCTGGGCAACATAGTGAGACACTGTTTCTACCAAAACAGACAAAAACAAAAAGATTAAAGGAGATGAAATATAGAGTGCATTTGCTTTCAGTAGTTCAGTGCATGTTACTTTCCTTCTCTCCTGCTCACCCGTCCCAAGGCCAACACCTGAGCTTCTGACTGAGCCCACTCACCACTTCAGGGATCAGCCAATTCATGCGGCCTAACAACCAGGTCTCTCAGCACAAGGGGCAGGATATCATCTCTCTGTCTTCTTCCTCACCCAGAGGGGCTGTGGAGTGAGGATGCATGAGGCCATAATAGCAGGGCAATGGAATCTGACCGTTTCTCAATCCCTGGATGCCCATCTTTTAAAAGGGAGGCTGCTCAGGGTCCTCTAGGGAGGGTGAGAGATGGAACCTCATTCCAGTCCTGCCACTTTAGGTGGTTTAGACTCTGTGAGTCTGAGCCTGATTATCTGTGAAATTGGACTGACCATACCATCCTTACAGAGCTGTCCTGAGGGGTTAATGAGAAAACCTCTTGAGAGTATATAGCAAGGAGTGGGACTTCAATGGCCCTTTAAATGCTGAGACACAGAAATGGGGGCTGGCTAAGCCTCAAGGCTAAGGCAGGCATTGTGAAAAGTTATTTTTCATTGTTTCTCTCCTAATGAGAACACAGACATCCATATAAGGAAGGCAAATCTCTCTCTGATATGCCTTGAGTTCAAAGTTTTAGAAACAGAATGTTCTCTACATTCTTGGGTGCTTCATAATCTCATAAAAGCTGGCCAACATCAGGCCTTTCAGCAGACCCAGTTCCCAATGCTGGGAACATGGGCATGTTTTTGAACTCACCTGGTGAGCTCAGATATCAATCACAGCAGAGAAGCAAGGTGTGGTATTTGCCTAAGGGCTGCTCCTGACTGCTCAGTATATGAATATATTTGCAGAAAAAAATGTGGCCCCATCCACAGTCATCAGTATAGGGGTCCTCAGATCATGCATTATCCAGCCACAGCACGCCAGAATTTCAGCTGCCTGCTGCCTCCCTGAGAGGTAAAAGTCCAAGAGTTATGAGCATTTCTTTCACACAGTTTTCCCACTTTTAATTACTAATAACTAAATCTGCATTGCACTCAAAGCCCATAGTATTCCAATGGAGGTGTCTCATTAACTCCATAATGAGATGGTAGTAGGGAAATAAATACGTGGGCAACTTCAAGGTTACATCTGAGATTAGAGAGCTCCTTTACATTAGTTTTTGAATGTACTTAAGTTTAAAGGAATTGAAGATTTTAAAATATCCCTCCTTAACCCCTTATTACCCATTCAGCAATAGGATATTTAATTCATTCTCTCTCTGTCTCTCCCTACCCCTCCTTCAAATTCAAGGTACCAAAAACAGTTCTCTACAGTCTCTGTTAACATCGTTCACTTTATTGACTCCTTATCCCCCTACCATGGCTTCTGTTCCTTGATTGCAACGAACAGGCTCTCCAAGATCACAAACCACCTTTTGTCACTAAGTCCAGTGTTTGCATAAATGTGTAACTATATTAAAATACTTAGTATTACTTTTAATGACCTCCTAAAATATGCTCACTGTGCAGACTGCTTTCACTTAACAAATTTGTGACAGCTTCCAGGCTCTGGAGCAACATGTACTGGACACAAATCCAAGCTGACCTACTCCTTAACTGTGTAGTCTTGGGCAAAGTCATTCTCTCTGTCCCTCAGTTTTTCGTCTATAAAACAGAGATTAGCCACAATATCTATCTCGTAAGGGAGCTATGAGCAGTGAATGACTCAATACATATAAAAATCACTTGGTACAAGAAATTTTAGTCAATTTAAAAATTTCTTTAATGTGTCACTGATATTACTATCTTTATAGCCATAACAATATAAGACATAGACTGGTGTTTATTTACAATTAATGACATTTTAGATATTATTGACATTTAGATATTGTTTAGATGTTGTTAGTGAGTATATTAGTTTCCTAGGGTTGCCACAACAAATTACCACAAAATTTGTGGCTTTAAACAGCAGAAATTTATTTTCTTACAGTTATGGAGACCAGAAGCCTGATGTCAAGGTTTTGACAGGGTCACACTCCCTATGAAGACTTGGGAGGATAATTTTTTTCTTGCCTCTTCCAGCTTCTGATGACTCATAGCTTTCCCTGGCTTATGGCAGCATAACTCCAATCTCTGCCTCCTTCTTCACATGAGCTTCTTTCCTGTGTATGTTAAACCTCCCCATCCTCTCTGTTACAAGGACACTAGTCATTAGATTTAGGGCCCACACTAAATCCAGAATCATCTCATCTTGAGATCCTAAATTATATGTGCAATGACTCTATTTCCAAATAATATCACATTCACAGGTACTAAGGGCTAAGGCTTGGACATATATTGTTGGAGGATATTATCCAACCCACTATATTGACACAGGCAGGTTAAAAAACTAAAATGAGATCTTATCTTTTTCATATAAATATATAAATGCATCCATACATGCATAAGCATATACATTCCTACATGAGAAAACTTCTAAGAAAATAATGCAGATGAAAACATTAGCAGGTCTTATCTTTAGGTGTTATGTTTGAGGAATGGTTATTTTATTTTATGTCCTATGTTTTCACTTTTTTAACTGTAATAAACACCTATTGGTCTTATAAATATACAAAAGGATAAAATCACTGGGAAACATAACCATTCTCTGCTCCACCTACAGCAAAGCCCCTCCACTCAGAATAGGAACGTCTTTTGAGAAACAGGAAGGGAGACAAGATGCTGGTCAGCCCCTTCCACAGTATTCCAGGACACATTTCCCCAAATTCCAAATCACATTCATTTTTTCAATATTTTAAATCTCTGCTTAGTCAAATGGGGGAAGACATAGTATCTTAATTTCATGTATTTTGCTTTATTCTGATAAATAATAAGGTTGGTGTTCTCATATGAGAGGCAGTGGCATATACTGATTACATGTAGGAGCTCAGGAGCCACACTGCCTGTGTTCAAATTGAAGTCTCAGCACTTGCTAGCCCTGCCCTCACTATGCCTCAGTTCCCTTATGTTTAAAGTCAGACAACAACAGTGCCTCATCATATAATGTGGTGAGGATTAAATGATTAAGTATATGTTTAGCACCTGCGACAGTATCAGGCATTGAGGAAATCACAATAAACATTAGCTATTATTATTATTATTATTATTATTATTATTATTATTATTATACCTGAATAGACCATTACTGTTTCTATGGCCATTTTTGTTATTATGTGGATTTATATTGATTGATATAGATTGACCTTCAAAATATGTTTTTCATAAAAAGGCAGTTTATAAAGCTGTAAGTAGGATATTATCTGATTTTTGTTTTAAGTATAGTTACATTTGCATAGTAAAACTTCTGGAAAAATGTTTATTTCTCTTAGTCCATTTTCTGATGCTATAACAGAATACCAGAGACTGGATAATTTATAAAGGAAAGAAATGTATTTCTCACTGTTCTGAAGGCTGGCAAGTCCAACAGCACAGTGCTGGCATCTGGCAAGGGTCATCCCATGATGGAAGTGTGGAAAGTAGAAGTGAGTGCAGAAGACAGAGGAAACCAGGCTGAAGTCATTCTTTTATTAGAAGCTTATTATCACAATAATGGCATTAATTCATTCATGAGGCTAGAGCTATCATAACCTAATCACCTCTCAAAGGCCCCACCTCTCCACACTGTTATAATGTCAATAAAATTTTAATATGAGTTTTGGAAGGGACATTCAAACCATAGCAATATTCAAAAGTTAACAGTTCTTATCCATGAGTAATAGAATTTTTAGGGTTTCTAATGATATTTTTCCTTTTGTGCATTTTCCAACAAAAGCATGTTAGGTTTGGAAGTGAGAAAAATAATCTAAAAAAAAAAAAAAAATCTCCAGTCCTTCCCATAGGAAAATGGCTTAGCATCAGAATGAGGAACATCCCTAAGCCAAAGGAACTAGGTAATATGGTTGTCACAAAACTAATGTATCAATCTATCCACATGATAGCTTCAGGAAAAGCTGAGCAGCATCAGGGAAATTACAGCCCCAACTGAGTAGCTTCAGCGACATTACAGATGCCCAGGGAAAGGAGAAGCATGTTTCTCAAATGAACCTTACATTTTGCTGTCAGACAATGTCTCTTCTTCCTAGGATTTTAGTGAAGGTCATGAAATGAAAATGAAATGAAAGTAGTTTCATAACATGCTTGATACAGTTTGGATATTTGTCTCCTCCAAATCTCAAGTTGAAATGTGATCTCCAATGCTCAAGGTGGGGCCTGGTGGGAGGTGTTTAGGTCATGGGGGCAGATCCCTCATGAATGGCTTGGTGCTATCCTTGTGGTAATGAGTGAGTTTTGGCTCCATTAGTTACCATAAGATCTGATTGTTAAAAAGAGCCAGGCACCTCCTCTTTTCTCTATTGTTTCCTCTCTTGCCGTGTGACATGCCACCTCCCCTTGCCTTCTACCATGAGTAAAAGCTTCCAGAAACAGATGCTGGCACCATGTTTCTTGTACAGTCTGCAGAACTGTGAGCCAAATAAACTTCTTTTCTTTATGAATTACCTCGCCTTAGGTATTATTCCTTTATAGCAACTCAAAATGCACGAACACAATGTCTCTCTCTGTATTCTCCCAAATACATCCCCTTAAATTGAAAGTAGGCTCCTCTGT
Organism: Homo sapiens; assembly: GCF_000001405.40. Lineage (NCBI taxonomy): Eukaryota > Metazoa > Chordata > Mammalia > Primates > Hominidae > Homo > Homo sapiens. Next base: position 103,542,910 of record NC_000023.11, read on the forward strand.
TTAGCCACCTAGTTAGCCAAGCAGTGACTTCCACAAGGGATGGAAACGGGGAGAGACTGCATGAAACCACCCAGGGCTCAGCATCACAGCCTCTGGAAGGGGAGAATCCTGACACAGTGGGTTCGGGGTACAAGTTGAGTCAGAGTCTCACTCAGCCCAGGGCCCAGGAACAATCAATATATGCACATTAAAACACTCTTAAAGTACTTTCCTTGTGCAATTAAAAATAATAAAAGGAATGGAAAAGATACACATGCCCAGCACTTATAACACAAAATCAGGTCAGGTTCTAAATGGGATGCATCCCTAAACCAACCAAGGGATTTGTGTAGTAGTGTGGACACATGAAAACTAAATTCCAGAAATCACTGCCTTTTTGCACCAAGATTTTCCAGATTAGGTTCCAGATGTACAAGTATAACAATGTAATGAGTAATAGTGTAAATGAAAGATGGAAAACTAAGCATGGACAAATGGAAAGATGTTTCATGTTCATTACTTGGGGCTAGATGGCACCTGGGAAACTCTAAGACTTTGGACACTTTAGATTTAAAAAGTGACAGCAAATATTATCTGCAGATTCTGTTAGTGCTCCCTGCAGCATATAAACTGAGAAAATGGGTATGTGGAGGCTAAAGTTACTCTATCTTGGATGCTAATCTGCCATATTTACTTCTGATTAACCTCAGTTCCAGGAAAGCCTCTAAAATTTTCCAGTTTATCTATTGTTCCTTGTGTAAGAGTACATATTTACCATAATTCTTGCCCTTAGGTCAAAACAATCTTGATGTTATTGTACTTCAATTTTCCTACACATTTCTTCTTAATCATGTATACCCTTTCCTTATGATATGTAAGCCCTGGATTTGGAGGGTAATTAGGTGGGAATCCACCATCTTGTCTCACCACTGTCTGAGGCACAGACATAGCTTCTGTTTGTTAGTCCCTATTACATGTTTCTTTCTAAGAAACTGGATTTATCAGCCTCTTTCTTTGGCCTCTCAGCTTCCTTGGACTTTGGGGGGTAGGTTTTCCTAGACCTGTCCACCACAGAACACGGTGTGCCTGTTTGAGCAAGTCTGAAAGAAGATACACATAACAAGGAGGCATATATGGCAGGTCCCACTGATGAGATGTGAACATGTGTTTGTTCTCATAATTATTTTTTCCTTCTTTTCCATGAAGTAGGCATCTATAGATAAAATCATGCAACAAAAGAATATCATATTTTACTTTAGGAGGAACTATAAAGAAAAGTCTCAAAAATTAAAAAAAAAAAACTGACCAAGATGGTGGAGTAGGAGATATCAGCCTTCATCCCCCAACAAAAACAAATACAAACATCTATTCACAAACCAAAATAGACCAGAAAGGGCTCAAGGGTCCAGTAAAAAGTCTGCAGCAGCACAATGGAGAAAAAAAAGGAGATTACCCACAGAGAAAGTATTTCTGGTGAGAACAGCATACTTGAGACACCAGGAGACAGCTATGAGCAAAGAAGAAAGGTGCCATGTCATCCATGCACAGGGAACTGTCGTGGTACCCAGAGGAGTGCTCCACAGAGGACACCAGTATCCCTTGCCACTGAGGTAACCAGCAGCCATTCCTACCAGGGAAATCCAGAGAGGGAGACACAGCTGCATACCTCTCCCTCTCCACAAGAAGTGGCCACCCCATTGAGCTGCTTCAGGAAAGGAACCACCACCTCTTCCAACCCTGAGCATTCCTTAACATAGAGCCATAACCTCTTTGCGAGTGATCACACTCCAGACCCAGGCTCTGTGGCTACACTGGGCCCACTGATGACTCAGACACCAGAGCCATTGCCATAATGAGCTAGTCCACACTCCAGGCTCAAGAACCAAGTCCTCGCTATGCATGACCCAACCCAAGGTGCTAGCTCAGATGCCACAGAGAACGAGACCTTCCCCTAATGACAGAGTCTGTCTTTGTGTGCATCTGTGCTCCCATTCTTGGCTCTCTAGCTACTTCATGAGAATTTTCACCTTACATATTGCCATAACACAACAGCAGGAGTGCCAGCACCCCAGACATCAGGTACATTACTGCACCGAATACCAGAGCCATAGTCCTTTCATGCATACCTGTGCTTTGTACCTCAGCAGAATATACATTCTTCTCAAGCACATATGGAATATTCTGGAGGATAGATCATATGTTAGGCAACAAAAGAAGTCCTAACAAATTCAACATTAAAATAATACCAAGTGTATTTTTTACCACAATAGTATAAAACTAGAAATCAATAGCAGAAGGAATTTCAGAAATTTTATAAAAATATGGAAATTAAACAACATTGTCCTAAACAAGCAATTAAAATTGCTTGTTTTAGTAAAGAAATTAAAAGGGAAATTTTAAAATACCTTGAGACAAATAGAAATGGAAACACACCAAAATGGAAACATACCAAAACTTATGAGTTGTGGCAGTATCAGTTCTAAGGGAGAAGTTTATAGCAATTAATGTCTACATCAAAAGAGAAGAAGATTCCAAATAAACCACCTAATGTTATACATCAAGGAACTAGAAAAATAAAAAAAAAACTAAGCCCAAAGTTAGTAGAGGGAATGAAATCATAAAGACCAGATCAGAAATAACTGAAATAGAGATGAGAAAAACGATAGAAAAGATCAACAGCAAGAGTGGATTTTATGAAAAGATTAAACAAAATTCAACAAAACTTTAGCAAGACTAACAAAGTAAAAAAGACAGATGGCTCAGATAAATAAAATTAGAAATGGGCCCGGTGTGGTGGCTCATGCCTGTAATCCCAGCACATAGGGAGGCTGAGGCGGGCATATAGCTTGAAGCCAGGAGTTCAAGATCAGCCTGCTCAACATGGCAAAATTCCGTCTCCATAAAAAATACAAAAATTAGCTGGCGTGATGGTGCACGCCTGTAATCCCTTGAGAGACTACTTGAGAGGCTGAGGCATGAGAATCACTTGAACCCGGGAGGTGGAGATTGCAGTGAGCCGAGATCGCGCCATTGCACTCCAGCCTGGGTGACAGAGCAAGACTCTGTCTCGGGGAAAAAAAAAAAAAAAAAAAATATATATATATATATATATATATATATATATCAGAAATGAAAGAGGAGATATTACAACTGACATCACAGAAATACAAAGGCTCATAAAAGACTACCTCAAAAGAGAAGAAGAACAGTGTGAAGAGAAGTGAACAGCTATATGGCAAAAAATTGGGTAACCTGGAAGAAGTGGATAAATTCCTAGATGCATACATCCTACCAAGACTAAACAATGAAAAAGTAGAAAATATGAAAATATGAACTGACCAACAAGGGGATTGAATCAGTAATAAAAAGTATCCCATCAAAGAACAGCCCAGGACCTGATGGTTCACTGCTAATTTTTACCAAACTTTTAAAGAACTAATACCAATTCTTCTCAAACTCTTCCCAAAAATTAAAGAGGAGGGAATACTTCCAAATTCATTTTACAAGGCCAGTATCACCCTGGTAACAAAGCCAGACAAGGACACTACAAGAAAAGAAAATTGCAGGCCAATATTCTTGATGAACATAGATGCAAACATCCTCAATAAAATACTGGCAAACCAAATTAAATAGCACATTAAAAAGATCATTCAACATGATCACGTGGGATTCATACCTGGGATGCAAGGGTGACTCAATATATCCAAATCTATAAATGGCATTAATGGAATTAACAACAAAAACCATATGTTCATCTCAATAGATGAATAAAAGGCATTCAGCAAAATTCAACATCCTTTCAGGATAAAAACTCTCAGCAAATTAGGTATATAAGAAATGAGCCTCAACATACAGACACAAAACCCATATCTGACAAGACCACAGCTAACATTATATTCAATGGTGAAAAGCTGAAAGCTTCCTTTAAGATCAGTACCAAAGTAAGGATGTCCACTCTCACCACGTCTATTCAACTTAACACTGGACATCCTAGCCAGAGAAATTAGGCAAGAAAATGAAATGAAAAGCATCTAAATCAGAAAAGAATAAGTTAAATTATCTGTTTGCACATGACATGATTTTCTACGTATAAAACCCTAAAGACTCCACCAAAAACTGTTGGAATTGATGAATGAATTCAGTAAAACTGTGGATACAAAATGAACATAGAAAAATCAGCTGTGTTTCTATACTCCAACAACAAACTATGTGAAAAAGAAGTCAATCCCATTTACGATAGAATCAGAAAGAATAAAATACTTAGGATTAAATCTAACCAAGTAGGTGAAAGATCTATTTCACATTGGATAATTTGACCAAGGAGGTGATGCAATCCCTATCAAAACTCCCATGACTTTTTTCATAGAAAAAGAAAACACAATCCTAAAATTTATAAGAAACCACAAAAGACCCTGAATAGCAAAAGCAACCTTGAGAAAGAAGAACAAAGCAGGAAGCATCACATTCCCTGATTGCAAACTATAGGACAAAGATATAGTAATCAAAACAGCATGGTACTGGCATAATAAAAACAGTCACATAGACTAATAGAACAGAGTATAGCCGAGAAATAAGTTCACACATACAGGGTCAACTAATCTTTGACAAGGGCACCAAGAATACACAATGATGAAAGGAATGTGTCTTCAATAAATAGTGTTGGGAAAACTGAATATCCACATGCAAAAAAAAATGAAATTGGACCATTGTTTCATACCATATTCAAAAATTAATTCAAATGCATTAAAGACTTAAACATAAAATCTGAATCCGTAAACCTCCCAGAAGATGACATAGGGAAAAAGCTCCTTGACATGGGTCTTGGCAATTTTTTTTTGATATGACTCCAAAAGCAAAGGCAACTAAAGCAAAAATAAACAAGTAGAATTACATCAAACTAAAAAATTTCTGCATGGCAAAGGAAACAACAAAATGAAAAGGCAACCTATGGGATGAGAGAGAATATCTGCAAACCACATAGCTGATAAAGAGTTAACATCCAAAACATGTAAGGAACTCACACCATGCAATAGGAAAAAAAAAAAAAACCCAAACAACTCAATAAAAAATAGCAAAGAACCTGAATTGGTACTTTCCAAAGAAGATATAAAAATGGCCAACAGTATAGTGTAGGAAAAGGTGCTCAATATCACTAATCATAAGGAAATGCAAATCAAAATCACAGTGAGATATCACCACACAGCTGTAAGGATGGCTATTATCAAAAAGACAAGAGGTAACAGGTGTTACCAAGTATGTAAAGAAAAGGGAACTTTTGTACACTGTTGCTGGGAAAGTAACTTGGTACAGCCATTATGGAAAACAGTATGGAGATTCTTCAAAAAATTAAAAATTGAACTACCATACAATACAGCAATCCCATTTCAAGGTATATATTCAAAGGAAATGAAATCAGTATCTTGAAGGAATATCTGCATTCCCATGTTCATTACAGCATTACTCAAAATAGCCAAAATATGGAATAAACGTAACTGTTTATCAGTGAATGAATGGATATAAAAAATGTGGTGTGTGTGTGTGTATATATAATATGTCACATAATATATACATATATATATTATTCGGCCATAAACAAGAAGGAAATACCGCCATTTGCAACAACATGGATGAACCTAGAAGACATTAGCAGTGAAATAAGTCAGACACAGAAAGAAAAATATTGCATGATCTCACTTACATGTAAAATCTTAAAAGGTCAAACTCATAGAAGCTGAATAGAGCAGTGGTTGCCAGAGGCTAGAAAGTCAGGGAAATAGGAAGGTGTTGATCAAAGGGCATAAATTTTCAGTTTTAAGATGAACAAGTTCTGGGAATCTAGAATAAAGCATGAGTGGTGATGGATGTGTTATAATTTGATTGTGATAATCATTACATAATGTATAGGTATGTCAAATCTTCACATTGTACAACTTAAATATGTAGAATCTTTGTTAATGAAATATTTTTTAAAAAATAAAGTTTAATAATATTATCACTACTTGGTGTTACATTTCCAGATATTCTCTCTGGTAATCATGCTATTATGCTTTTGTTTTTGTTTTTGTTTTTGTTTTTGTTTTTGAGACAGAGTCTCATTCTGTCAACTAGGCTGGAGTGCAGTGGCATGATATTGGCTCACTGCAACCTCTGCCTCCCAGGTTCAAGCAATCTTCCCACCTCAACCTTCCAAGTAGCTTGGATTACAGGAGTGCACCACCATGTCTGGCTAATTGGGTTTTGTTGTTGTTGTTGTTGTATTTTTAGTAGAGTTGGGGCTTCACCATGTTGGCCAGGCTGGTCTCGAACTCCTGACCTCAGGTGATCTACCCACCTCAGCCTCCCAAAGTGCTGGGATTACAGGCATGAGCCACTGTGCTACTATGTTAATGTCAGTAGCATTACAATGACAGAATGAAGGCAAGTGGGAATGGACAACTAAAATTTGTTTAAGGCCTACTAGATGCTACACATGTGGTAGGTTGTAATTTTCAGACTTTCACTCTTCAAATCATCAGAGCAATGCTCTGAGGTTGGCATCCTTTTTACCTATGGGGAGATAGGCTCAGAGAGCAAAATACATGCTCCAGGAATTCTAGGAAGGCATCAAATGGACTGAGGTCAACTTGAGGGGCTTCCACTGGCCAATTCTGGAATAATTTGAGCATCAAATAAATATTTATAATAACAAATGTTATATCTTTGAGCAAAACAGGAATCTATGAATCACAGTAATATAAATAAATAGCTGGGTGTGGTGGCTCACACCTGTAATCCCAGCACTTTGGGAGGCCGAGACAGGTGGATCACCTGCAGTCAGTAGTTCGAGACCAGCCTGGCCAACATGGGGAAACCCCGTCTCTACTAAACATACAAAAATTCACTGGGCATGGTGGCGGGTGCTTGTAATCCCAGCTACTCAGGAGGCTGAGGCAGGAGAATAATTTGAACCTAGGAGGCGGAGGTTGCAGTGAGCCAAGATCGCGCCATTGCACTCCAGCCTGGGCGACAAGAGCGAAACTCTGTCTCAAAAAAAAAAAAAAAAAAAAAAACCATATATATCTAACAGTCAAATGTCAATTAATAAATCTAAACAAAGTGACAGAATTATAAAAGCAACCCTGACAACTATCACAGTAGTAAATGATTCAAGCAAGAATCGTAAATAGATTTTCATTCTGCACCAAATCCCATAGCAATCACTGAGTCACCATGGTAACCATGCTGGCCAGGGAAAGCTGGGAGGAAAAAACAAAACAAAACAAAAAACCAACCACCTCCTCGATCTTATTCCTAACATGTGCTAAGAACTGAATAGGACTGACATGATGCACAGTAATTAACCTCAATTTTTTCTCACAATAAACATTCCCGGCAGCTTCAGCAATATACACCTTCATACATACCTAGATACCCACATACATACATGCTCTCTCCCTCTTTTTCTCATCACCCAAGTATCCAAGAATTCATCAAGGTAGATTTGTTTGGGAGTATAAAAAGAAAACTCCACAATTAAAATCTACCCACACACAAAGTCAAGAGCTACAAAACTATTTTATTTTAGTAATTCATTTTTCTGGAGATGATCTTTAGAAAAATGTCTCAGTGACATTTTCTCCCTGGTTTCAGTATATTACCAATGACTTATAAAAGCTGATAGTGGAAACACTGGCAAATGTATGCTGTGATGACTAATTTTATGTGTCAACTTGGCTGGGTCATAATGCCCAGATATTTGGTCAAACGTTATTTTGGATGTTTCTGTGAGGGTGTTTTTGGATGAAATTTACATTTAAATTGGCAGACTAAGTAAAGCAGATTGCCCTCCCCAGTGTGGGTGGGCCTCATCCAGTCAGCTGGAGTCCTAAATAGAATAAAAAGCTGATATCCTCCAAAGAAGAGGGAATTCTGCCAGCTCACTCTTCAGATTTCATCTGTAATATTGGCTCTTCCTGGTTTATCAGTACACCGCCTTTGGACTTTAACTTCAACTCTTTCCTGAGTCTGAAGCCTGCTGGACTCCCCCATCAAATTTTGGACTCACCAAGCGTCCAAAATCACATACACCAGTTCCTTAAAATAAATATCTTTATATGTATATATATAAAGATACATATATAAAGATATATGGATATATAGATATCTTATTGGTTCTATTTCTCTGGAGAACCTTGACTAATACAGACATTAAGTATTAAGCATCTTTTCTATCCTAGAGTAGCCTGTGCTTTCAACCAAAAAGGTTCCCCAGCAGCTAGTATTAAACACTCAGCTTCTGACAATTCAGTAAAAATATAATACATTGAAATTGCAATTGAAAATACTACCATTAGGCCAGGCATGGTGGCTCATGCCTATAATACCGGCACTTTGGGAGGCCAAGGTGGGAGGATTGCTTGGGACCAGGAGTTTGGGACCCACCTGGACAACAAAGCAAGACCCTACCTCTATTAAAAAAATTTTTTTTAATTTTTTAATTAGCCAGGCATGGTGGCATGCACTTGTGGTCCCACCTGCTCGGTAGGCTGAGATGGGTGGATCACTTGAGCCCAGAAGCCCAAAGCTATAGTGAGCTGTGATCATACCACTGCACTCTAGCCTAAAAAAAGAAATACTGCCATTTATAATAGCATCAAAAAGTGTAAAATACCTGAGGATAATCTGTCCACATGTGTGCAAGGCCTGTACATTGAACACCACAAAACATTGAGGAGAGAAGTTAAAGAAGACCTAAATAAATGGAGAGAAATGCCATCATCATGAGTCAGAACACTCAGTATTGTTAAGATATCTACTCTCCTCAAACTGATGTATAGATTCTATGCAACTCCAATAGAAATGTTAGCATATATTTTTAAGAAGAAATCAATAAACTTATTCCAGAAATCATGTGGAAATGCAAATGACCCTAAACTATGAAAAACAACATTGTAAAAGAACAAAGTTGGAGGAAAAACACTACCTAATTTAAGCTTCATTATAAACTTACATTAACCAAAACAGTGCACTATTGCCTTCAAGGAAGAAATGTATATCAAAGGAACAAAGTATAGAGTCCAGAAATAGACCCACAAATATAAGGACAACTGATTTTTGACAACAATGCAAAGACAATTCAGTGCAGAAAGATCATCCTTTCAACAACTTGTGCTGGAACAGGTAGATAACAAAAATAAGCTTTTATCTATACACCACATCATAAAAAACTCAAAGTGGATCATAAAAGAAGATTTAAATTTAAAAGCTAGAACTATAAATTTTCAAGAAGAAAACACAAGAGAAAATTGTTGCAGTCTTGGCTTCAGAGAAGATTTCTTAGATATGACACAAACAGCAACATCCAAAGCATAACAAATTTGGAACTATTCATATATACAACAATATGGATAAATCTAAAAATAATTAGGTCAAATATGTAAAATAACATGAAATTTCAGGATTCCCAAATTCATCATGCCAAGGGAAAAGTTAAGCCTGGGAAATGAATTGTGCAACATTACCAACCTTTGTCCCCAGATAACTGTAATTTCACAACCCTGTGTCATAGCGTAATACATAATCCAGATTCCCACAACAGTAAAAGGCATTATACCTTCCCAGATGACCTTCCTCAAATATTGCTCACAAGGAAATTCCTTGCTAGCCCCTAAATCTTTCAGGATACATATCCCCCTATAAAACCAGCACATGCCAATTGTAACCTTAAGTCTGCAACCTAAGTTTAACTCCTAAAACTGAGTTTTGTTAAATCTTACACTGACAGTGTCAGTTACAAGCTTATCTTTCCAGAACAAAGACAAGATCAATCACTCTTCCACCTACCCTGAAACGAATACATAATTGACTCTTTCCTCTCTCTTTTCAAATCTTATCTTATGTAAAACTCAGATTTACTGACCGCTAATTAGAGCCTCACAAGAATGTAACCATTTGCCTCACTGCCTACCCTCTCTCCCTTTTTCCCTCTTGCTTGCTCTCTGCCCTTAAATACTGAGTTCCCAAACCCCTCTTTGTAAAGCACAAGTCAGAGATGCTCCTGTGACTTGCAGTTTTCCCAGGCATGTCCTCAAACTTTGGCTCAATAAACCTCTAGTGATTGAGACACTTGCCTCAGTCACTTTTTTTGGGGTTAACAAATGAATTAGGTCAGACAAAGGAGAATAAGCATCCTATGATTCCATTTACTTAAAAGGGCAAGAAACAAAAACTAATCTATGGTAAGAGGAGACCAGTGATTGTCCGGGAATGGGACAGGTTGGCATGGAGAGGGAAGCTAGAGACAGATGGAGAGGATTACAAAGGTGCATAAGGAAGCTTTTTGAGGTGATGAATATGTTCATTATCTTGACTATAATATTGGATTCACCAGAGAGAGCATACATATGTTAAAACTTATTAAACTATATATTTTAAACATGTACGGTATATCGTATGTCAACATGGCTCAAAGAAAGTATTTGAAATACATTTGTATAAGTTTTTGATGCAATTAAATCATCCAAAAGATTCCAACTACTACACTCTTGTTATATTACCAGATCATTACTATGTCTGATCAAATTGTTCTGCACTACATACAACCATAATAATCACTTGCAGTGTTTAAATATTTTTGGAAAAGTGGATGTTCATTTCTTTTTGAAGTACAAAAATAAAAATATTACATTCTAAGAAAATAATGATGATGATACTTAAGAGTAACTGTTTACTTTAGGGAACATGGCTTAGTATCATTATAATAGAGCGAATTCTAGGGTAATTCTTATTTCTGAAACTATTAAGGTATAGTAACTGACATTTTAACTAACACTTGCAAAATTTCTGGCTTAAAAAATCATTATAGGATGGAAAAATACCATGGTCACCAGGAGATAATTTATATAATTTATATTACAATCTCAAAATGCTAGAAAGACCTAACGACTGCATATTTCCATATCCATTTGAGAGATACATAGGAATCACTGATGATTATTTATATAGGCAGAAAAATATATGTAAATCTATAGCAAATGCATGTTAAACATCCAGTTGCTTCCCCAAATGAACTATTCATTGCTTTGTGACAATGAAAGGCATCTTTAACATGGGCCTCAGAAGCTACCACAAAGCACATAGCTGCTGATGGAAGGAAATTCCACCTGCTAAACCTCTTCTCCAATGATGAGATCAAAGGAATTTCTCTGCTTGTAGGCTATTTTATAAACCTCACAGAGCTATTCCACAACATGCTTCTGTCCAGATCTATGAGCTCACTTGAGCCAGGTGTCATATCCCACCAGGGATGGAAGTGTTGGGGGTCTCCTTAGTACTGCTGCCCTTCAAATCTGGAGTAGAAGCTTCAGCAGCCATCACGACCCTGATCCTCAAAACCTACCTTCTTCAGACACCTGATATGAGCTCAATCACCTGATGAAGAGCTGCACAGGGACAGAGAGAAGCCAGCAATCACTGTGCTTTCTTGGAGTAACTATGTGCCAGGCATTAAGCTAGGCACTGAGTCAGTGACCAGTGACAATAATACAACTGGGTAGTGATCATAACAACCAGAGATACAATGGGATTCTCACCAGGGCCTTTTTCTTCTCCTTTTCCCATCTGTCTCCCAATAACAAATTTGAAAAGGAATAAGAGGCCTGAATTCATACAGACATTCACCATCCTGCAATAACCACAGGGCTACCTACCGGCTTGCACCTGTATCACTGAAGCTTCCAGCAATCCTGTGGGTGAGCATTTTTATCCCCATTTCACAGAGGAAGACGCTAGGCTCAGAGAGAGTGTTTACCTGTCTCATTTTTTGGCACCTTGCCTTTACTTGGAAAGTAGCTCCGGGACACCCCTGGAGCAGGACACCACATTCACTGGGGCCAAGGGAGTCCTACTTCTCCCTGCCTCATCAGACAGCGAGGGCAACTTGTCCCAAAGCGGGAACAAGGCAACTTGGATATGGGATCTCTTCCTCTCTCTACATCGCAGAGCACCCGCAGCCACAGTTGAGTCTAAACACCTGAAGACGAAACCCTGCTCTCCTCACCAGGCCAAGTCGGTCTCCATTAAAAAGTCGTCATGGTTGTCACAGTCGCCAAAATGACGTCAGGTTACTATGGTAACCGCGATGCGCAGGCTTGTCCTCCACACCGAAAATGCTTCTGCACGACCCTCCCCTTCAAGCCTTCGCCTTTCCCTGGAAGCGAAACACCTTCATTCTTCAAGCCACCACCTGAGAAAATTTAATAGTAATAATTAGAGGAACTAGGCTGGGACCCAAGCAATTGGAGGAATTTTACAGGTTGTGGAAACAAAGCACGTCTCTGTTGTCAGGAATTTTACTTGCTTACAAGTGACAGTAGAGGAGTATCATCAGTACACAGAGACCCAGGGAGCCATTCTAAGGCTCTCGGTGATGAGATGGCCCTCTGAGGGGGAACAGGTACAACTCACAGATCATGCTAAGCAGACATCTGTGGCAGAAAACTAAGAGACTGCCTATAATCATGTGACTGAATGACCTAGAGACACCAAAATATGTCATTTAAGAAATCTCAGAGTTATTTCAAGGAATCAGGACAAGAATATTATACTTACTTAGTAGGCAGAAACTTATTCAATTGAATCATATACAGATGCTCTTCAACTTAGGATGGGGCTATATCCTGACAATCCTATCTTTAGGTTGAAAATATCATAATTCAAAAATGCATTTAATACATCACTAAACCTATTATAAAGTGGAAAAACCGTAAGTTGAACCACCATAAGTCAGGGACCGTTGGTATTGAGTTACCCTGGGAGATTCTTACCCTCCATTTCTGATATTTTCATCCATGTGGTGGGGCATCCATGACAAAAGCAATTCCATCCTCTCTGCACACTCACTCCTTCTCTATCACAGGAATCAGCTACTTGATTAGCAAGTTGAGAAGGAGAACCACGGGTTGCACAGCCAAGGCCCTTTCCCTTTAAAACTCTTGGTACGAAAGAAATAAGTTCTAATGTTTTATAGCAGAGAAGGGTGACTATAGTTAACAACAATGTATTACATATTTCAAAATAGCTAGAAGAAAGGACTTGAAATGTTCCCAACATATAGATATGATAAATACTCGAGGTGATGGATACCCTAAATACCCTGACTTGATCATTACATATTCTATGCATGTAACAAAATATCACATGTACCCCATAAACATGTACAATATTATGTATTAACTTTTTGAAAATGTGTTCTGCTCTGCCCTCAGGAGTGGGTCTTCCAATAGGCTCAAATCTCTCCTTCCATTTTCTGGGTCTCACTGGCTTCCCAACTGTTTCTATGATCTTGCTCCAAAATGCTCGGGTCTTTAAGCGGCCTCCAAAATAACTGCCACTCCAAGTTTGAGCTCTAAACCAACTAAGAGTTATGGCAAAAGCATAAGGAGAATAGTACATCAACTTTATTCCCTGTAAAGGTGAGATTGGAGAATGTGTCTTAGATGTGCTGGCATGTGGGCTTCCTATTAATGAGCTACAGAATTGGACAGACTTATCTACCCAGCAGGGCTATGCTGAGACAGCCACAAACGTCAAGAACTAAAATGCATATTCCATCTGCTATCTGCTGAAGGAGTCCTGCCTTTGTGTGCCCAAGGAAAGTGACTTCCTTGCTAAAGGCTATCTCTATAGGAGGAGAAAATATTCCAGGACACCTTCTTTGAGGAACATTTCTCAAAGTGAATAAACACCTCTCTGTTCTGATTGTATACTCACCAAGCAAACTTCTGAGGATATGGTTTTCCATATGGCCTGCAGAGCCATTTATGACAACACTTTCTTACTCCCTTAACAAGCATGATTACAGTGGAGGCTCACCTTATGGAAAAGGATTGGAATTGATTTCTAAATTCCAAGAGTAGAATGAAAATCATACATCAGAAAAATTTATCTTGGAAATCTCTTCAAGAAGGAATTGATGGAATGTTCAGAAGTTTATACTCACACATTAACCCACAGACAGACTATATCTAAAATTATAACAAAGTCCTACCAAGGCTTCTAGAATAAGGGAATACCTGTATTACCCAATGATAGAAAAAGTACACTCAAATGGCATGTTTTGAATATCCATTTCTGCTTAACCAAACACCCCAAAACAATAGCTACTTATCTCTCAGGATTCTGTGTGTTCACTGAGCTCTGCTGGTTGTTTTTTGCTCCATGTGGTGTCTGTCACCTGGGCTGTGGTCATGGAGGCTACACTTGGCTGGGATATCTGAGAGTGCTGACTCACATGAATGACAACTGGCGCAGGTGTGTGCTGGGAGCTCAGTGGTGGCTGTTGACTGTAGCCCTTTGGTTCTACTTCACAGAGTCCTCCATGTGTATGGTTGCCAGATTCAATTTATTCTAAGCCAGTTAAATTTGAATTTCAGATGAACAACAAATAATTTTTAGTCTGATGCAATATTGTTTTGTTTATCTGAAATTCAAATACAATTGGGTGTCCTGGATGTATGCTTATTTGTTAAATCTGGCAGCCCTAGGGGAGGAGAATGTTAATCTATAAGCTTAACGACCCTCTGGGATGACTCATGCAGTGGGGCAGATCTGGAAAAAATGAGCAGATTACATTGGCAATAAAGAAAATACCTGGTGCTGATGGTATGAAGGGGAAACAATCACATACAGTGTTGGTATCAAATGGGCATATCACTTTTCTGAGGCCCATATTATTATGGATTAATAACTTGAATGCCTTTTGATACAGAAGTCCTGTTTCCACCAACAAGTGACATTCAACTGAGGGTTTAGAAAAGGATACCACTCGGATTCTGACCTGCAATCTAGTTAAGGAGTCCTGGCTGAGGGGGCAGTTCAGGAGCCACATGAGTTCCCTGTTCCAGGGAGGAAAGACAGATACTTATGGAGCAGAGTGTTTAGAGGATCCAGCTTTAGGTTCTTCATGTTAGTGTCTGGATTTAATCTCATGACAGCCCTGCTAGTGAGGTGTCAGTATCCTCTCTTCATGGATGTCTGTGACTCCAAAGCATATGCTCCTAACCACAGAGCTAGATGGCAAAGAGGTTTCTCATCAGGCCTCTGCCAGAGCCAGAGATAGAACCTGGCAGCCTGAACCCCTTTATTGGCTAATTGCATAGCTTTAGCAAATATATCAGGACACGTATTGTTGAGGTGGTTAATCTCTATTCTCCCTGTGTTTATCCTCCTTGCATCAGGGAGTGCCCCTTCCCCTTGCCTAAAGAGAAGTTTATGGCAGAGATGGAAGCAGAAGCTATCTGAAATCAGTGTTTCTTCCATCCTTTATGAAAACTTAAATTTATAGAAATGATTGGGTTGTTTTTACCTGGTAGGGAAGAGAGGACCTCTGAAGACACAGTGAGGGTAAGGAAGGGAAATTTCTTCCAGACAGGGATGAGGTTAGAGGTCTACAGTCTCCTCCAGGAGTAGGGACCTGAGCACTGCTCCATATCAACACTTGAGGTAGCTCTGTGGATGGTTTATTGAGGCTGAGCATCTGGTCATGATATATTTTCTAGTATGGACCAAGAGATGGATGGAGGAGGAATAGGGTTCCAAATTTTGTCCTAATCACAATATACCATGCGTTCTCAATATATGTGGCATTATGCCCAAGGGGCCAAAAATTAGATTTTTGGGGTAGGGTTTTCATAGATATTACAATAATCTTTGACCCTCCAAAGGACCACAGTACATAAACATATATACACTACATCTGTGGTATTAAAAATCTCACCTTCTGCAGTTGAGAGGGGTTGATTAGGAAAAAAATGTTTGAAAAGCCTCCTGGAGTTAGGGGGAAGTAAGAATGAAAGAACATTGACAAACACTTCACATACATAACAACCTCTTATGTAGATGATGGGCTACAGGAACTTAGGGACTGATTATTTTATACTTCCTCATGGATACGCACTCAGCAACCTCTTTTGGGGGTTGATGGTGGTGGTGGTGATGATAATGATGATGACAATATAAATGAAATCCTGCCCCTGGAGCTAAGAGGCCTGGATATGGTGATTATTTGAATTGACTGGTTGTTAAGGTGGTAGACAGAAAGTGCTCAGTCAGAAAAACTGATATTTCCTCTGAGAAAAATGATCTTGATAGTGGAAAATTAATGTTTACAAAAGTAATATAAATAAGTGGTACTCTAAATTTTATAAATTATAAAATTTATATATATTCTTTAATCTTAACACTTATTCAAGTTACCTATTTAATTCTATAATTCAGATCAGGGTATAGAAAGTTAGGGCAGATTAAGTACTTCAGGGAAACTGCTTTAAATGCCTGCTCAGTAGTGGAACCTTGAATTATTCTAAAGCTTTTCCCATTGTGTCCTGAAATTGCCAGGGCTCTGAATACTCTAATCTTTCTGGGCACTGGCCTTTGATGCTGCCCAGGATACCGTTTAAATTTCTATTAATGACTTATATTGCTTTTAAATTATAATATTATTGACTATTTTTAAACAGTGAATGGCAAATTTCTCATTCTTGCTCATTTCTGCCCCAATTTGGGACTCTAAGGAATTCTAACGAGGAAGTAAATATGAAGATATAGCTGAATAGGTTTCCAAAAGCATGAGAAATGTTGGAAAACCACAGCAAAATATAATATTGACTGATGGGGTTCTAAATAATTTATATATAATAGATATTTATGTATGTTTCAACATAGATATAATTTATAAGGAAACTATAGCATAAAGCAGGGAGGGTAAGGGGACTTTTTAAGGTGAGGTTTCCACATATTAATTGAAGTGGTAAAACAATAATTCCAAATAGGCTGTAAAAAGTTAAGTAGGTAGATTGTAATTTATAGAGTAACCACAAAAATGTTATATTATACAAAGAGATATATTCAAAATCACAATAGAAAAATTAAAATGGGGTACTAAAAAGTGTTCAAATCCAAGGAATGCAAGAAAGAGGAAACAAAGTAATGAAAATCAGACGGGGTATAAAGTAGTAGACCTAAATGGAAACATATCAATAATTACATTAAATGTTAATGGTAAAACACATATTAGATGAGGTTATCAGAATGGATTTTTTAAAAACAACAAAAATAAAAACAGCCCAACTACACACTGTCTACAAGAAACTCACTTCAAATATAAATGATATAGATAGTTCAAAAGTAATAGAATGATTGAAGAAATACCATGCAAACATTGATCAAAAAGAAGCTGGTGCATCTATATTATCAAACAAAGTAGACTTGAAAATAAACAAAATTACTAGGAATAAAAAAGGCCAATTAAGCAAGAAGATATAACAATTCTAAGTGCATATATTTATATAGATATGCATATCTATATAGATATAGATATATATCATCAGAGCCTCAAAATACATGAAGCAAAAGCTGACAGAACTGAAAGAGAAATAGATAAATTATAATGGGAGGTCTTCAACACTCTTCTCTCAGTAATAGATAGAATTAGTAAACCAAAAATCAGTAAAGTTATAGATGAACTGAACAACACCATCAACCAACTGCATCTAATTAACATTTACTGGACACTCCACCCCAAAACAGCAGAACACACACTCTTTCCAAGTGCACACGAAACACTCAGCAAGACAGACTACATCCTAGATCATAAAACCAACTTTAACAAATTGAAACTGAATAGAATGTGTTATCTCACAATAGTGAATAAAACTAGAAATCAACAACAAAAGACAACAGAAAAGTCTCCAAGAACTTGGAAATTAAACACATATCTAGTTAATTTATGAGTCAATGAGGAAGCCTCAAGGGAAATAAAAAATACATAGAACAGAATTAAAATGAAAATGCAAAATGAAAACCTACAGCTATCAAAATTGGAGGGTCAGAAAACAAATAGTTCATTGCCAGGGTTGGGGTGTGGAGAACAGGCTGATTGCAAAGGGGCACAGGATGCCCCTTTTTGGAGTGATGCAACTGTTGTATGGCTTGATTTTGGTAATACTTACACAACTGTATGCACTTTTCAAGACTTGAAGAACTGTACATTAAAGAGAGTGAATTTTACTTTACCTAAATAATAGCTTAATGAAAATGATTTTTTAAAGTGTGCACCTTGTTATGTGAAGAACACAACTAGCACATCAGTGTTATTCTGTGATTGCAGTTTGGTATCTTAAAAATAAATAAATCAGTGTAGCAGTGGTTACCTTTAGAGAGTAAGATGGGGGAATGTTGGTCAGGAAACAGAATTTCACTTTGTCTAGCTATGGGGACATTTTCAGCCACATGTAAATTATTTATAATCTATTACAAACCAGTATCTATGGAAGATATTCTGATAAGCAGTAAGGGTACAGAGGAGAATAAAAGTGATTTTCATATACACTTAAAACACCCTTGTCTCTTTGTTCCATTAAAATTAATTTAGGAATGATAAGTAGTTCCATATGATTTATGATGTAAAAACACAAAAATTATGTTCAGTAGGATACAGCTAAAAGTTTAAATAAATGTGATCTATGCTCCTTCTGAATTATAATTCATTAAGGGAAATGGTTATGCTCTGGTGAATAATAATATCTTTTAAACAATATCAGAATGATCAAGAATTGTGGCTGGATATGATTATAATAGGGAAAATATAATGGAAGAATATGGGCCTTTTGTCACAAACAGAAGAATTTCTAGGTGTTTCAGCTTTTTAAAATCCTATACGAGGGGCCAGGTGTGGTGGCTTCAAGCCTGTAATCCCAGCACTTGGGGAGGCCAGGGTGGGAGAATGACTTTAGCCCAGGAGTTCAAGACCAGCCAGGGCAACATAGTAAGACCTTGTCTCTACAAAAAATAAAAAGGAAATTAGCTGGGCATGGTGGCATGCACTTGTGGTCCCAGCTACACAGGAGGCTGAGGTGGGAGGATTGCTCAAGTCTAGGAGCTGGAGCTTTGATCGTCGCTGCATTCCAGCCTGGGGGACAGAGTGAGACCCTGTCTCAAAATATATATATAATATATGTTTATATATGTATAATATATATATTTTATATATTATATAAAATAATTATATATTTTATATATTATATAAAATAATTATATATTTTATATATTATATAAAATAATTATATATTTATATATAATTTATATATAAAATATTTATATATTATATTATATATTTATAGATAATATATTTTATATGTATATATATATATAAACATTTTAAAAGACCTATATGAAGGAAGTGGGACCATGTATCTCAGTGACCTTTGTCCTCTCTTAATATGGTTAGAGCCAGACCTAAATTCTGTGAGGGATCAACTGCCCTCCAAGCCTCTTCACCTCGGGCAACACACTCACTGGAGTAGAGGAATGAGGAGAGTCCCACCGGCCAGCCCCACGTCCTGTCACATGTCCTCATTACCACTGTCACCAGCCCAATGTTAGGTTTCCACAGTAAACAGGACAGACTTCTGTCACTTCAGCAGCAGAGGCTCCATCCACAGGGTTACTCCTCATGGCTGCTCTGCTTCATTCAACTCTGAGAGCAGTATTTTTACCCTCAGCGTCCAACACCTTCCAGGCTGCCAAAAGCAAATGGGATCACATGTGTTTACAACTCTCCATGCCTTGCCAGAACTCAGCAGGTAAAATGCAGACTCTGTATTATATAGCCTGCAGAGACCTGTTCACTCTGCCCAGTGTTCCTTACTACCCTCATCTAAGGCCACTCCTCTCTCACTCACTCTGCTACACAGGCCTCCCCCCAGCCCAGATGGGCCAAGCTACTTCCCACCTCAGGGCCTTTGCACATGCTGCTCCCACTGCCTGGGAATCTCTCCCACCCTAGCTTTCTCCTATTCACACTTCAGGCTGCCATTTAAAGGTAATTTCTCACAAGGGATTTCTGTGCCCCCTCGCATCTAAATTAGATTCCCAATGTTGTTCTCTGGGATGCTGGACTTTGCTTCATGAAGGCCACTTGAGTAAAAGTACTTGACTAAAAGAGAGAAACGCAAATAATGCAAATGGTACAGTGCTTGGAACATAGCAAATCCTCAGTCTAGGTACCAGACTCCCATTGACTTGGCTCCCTGGTGTTATCCTCTTTGGTAGCTGAGGAGAGGAGAGAGGAAATGACTCACCTGATGTCCTGTCAACAGTGAAGGCTCGGGCACTGAAATTCAGGCAGAGCTCCTGATTCTTGTTCCAGTGTCCCTCCCTGCAGATCCACAGTCACCAAATGCCTAGTGTTTCTGGAACTCCAAGAAGATCCCAGACTCTTAAATCATGGGAACACCTGAATTGAAACTATTGGACCCACAAAGCCACAAAGACCACAGGGAAGGTACAACCATTCAATAGGAAAGTGTGCACTTTTTTCCTACCTGTTTTTATCAGACAACTCATTCTATAACATTCTGTCTCACAGAAATGGCCTTGAATCTGTTACATAAGTACATGAGCGTGTTTATTTTTTCTTCTCCTTTTAACATTCCCAAAATGCTAAGACATAGCGATGATCTTGAGGTTAAAAATAAAATCTCTCTTTAAAAAAGATAGAATGGGAAGGAAACAGACAAATGCTGTCTTTCTATATGTTCTAGATATTCTATTTGGTATCAGGATTTCCTTTTACAGATTATAAGACTGAGTTTCAGAGAGGTTAAGTACAGGTTCCAGGGTAACACAGCTTCTAAGAGAAAGAGCTGCTATCTCAATCCCCATGTGCTTGACTAAAAGGCCTGTGTTTGGAATCAGGCACTCAACCTCCTCTTTAGATGAACAAGGTAGACCAATGAGACCTTCCATACACAATTGGTTAGATTGTGACCTGGCATACATATAGACTTTGCAGAACATTTTGGTCATATCTAGCAGACTGTACCTATTTGATAACACCTCAAATGGACTCACAGATATATATATATATATGGTAGATGTATACAAGGAGATTTGTACAAAATGACCTCTGTACCACTCTTTTTTAAAAACCTTTTTATTAGGGAAAATTTCAAATATATACAAAAGTAGAGAAAATAGTCTATTAAACACCCATTTCTCATCACCTAATTCCAAGAATTATCAATTCACAGCCATATACTCCACATTTTCCCACCTCCACCATTTTGAAGCAAATAATATATTTTCATCCATAAGTATTTCAGTATGAATCTCTAAAAGATGAGAGCTCTTTTAAACATAAGCACAATACCATTGTCACACCTAGAAAAAATTTGATAGTAACTCATTAATATCAAATATCAATATCAATTGTTGCACAAATGCTTTTTGTACAGTTGGTTTGTTCCAATTATGGTCCAAACAAGGGCCCCATATTGCACTTGGTTGATATGTTTCTTAAGTGTCACAGACATGTTGAGCAAAAGAAAGTTGAACTCATGGAAATAGAGAGTAGAAGGATGGTTACCAGAGGCTGGAGAAGGTAGTGGAAGGATGAAGGGGAAGGAGGGATGGTTAACGGGCACAAAAAGTAGTCAGAATGAATAAGACCTAGTATTTGGTAGCACAACAGGGAGATTATAGTCAATAGTAATTTTAGTATACATTTTAAAATAACTAAAAGAGTATAATTGGATTGTTTGTAACACAGGGGATAAATGCTTGAGGGAATGGATACTTCATGTTCTGTGATGTGATTATTTCACATTGTATAACTGTACCAAAACATCTCATGTATCCCATAAATATATACATCTACTAGGCACCCGCAGAAATTAAAAATTTTAAATTTAAAAAAACACAAAAGAAGCCAAGCAAAAACAGGGAATACTGTATAATCCCACTGGTATGTTTAAAAAACAGGTAAAATTAATATTTGTGCACCACTGTTTTTAACAGCACAAATCCGAAAACAATTGAAATGTCCATCAACAGATTATTCTGGATAAATCATACTACAATCATACAATGGAATACAATATACCAGTAAAAATGAATGTACTAAAGCTACAGCAATTAGAATGTAGATAAATTTCAGAAACAATATTTGGTGAAAATTGCAAGTTACACAGTGATACCTAGTTAAACCTGTGTACATACATCTGTAAAATATTTCCTATGAGGCTTTACTAAATTATAGATGTTTAGGATCTACTCTGGACTTACTGAATCTCAACTTGATATTCTATTGGTATATATTACTACTGAATTCTTAATATACTCATGGTATATTATGTACATTGTGTGTTCTTGAATTATTAAATCCAAATATTTTTCCTTTATAAAAATTATGTTCATCTTTTTTGTAAATCAGATGTAATATTCACTGTCTTCACTGAAAATCTGTATAATGACTATCTTTAAATACATTGTGTTTAAAACTTTGTGGATTAACTTTATTACCTTTGTGTCACAGAAATAACCAAATTTTCTGTCGATTGCATTATTCCTGTTATAGACACATCAGTTCTTTCACTTCCGAAAATTACCATCAAAAAATTAACCACAGTCCCATTTTAAGCCTTTGTCATCCACAAATAGTTTTTGTTTTACTCTGAAGCTTGCCAGAAGACTCTGCAATCAGTCACAGGCTGGAGTTTGTCTCCTCAAGAAAGGAGGACTGTCTCAGAGCCCTGCGGAAATGGATGTCAACACTGAGCAGGGTGGTAGATTTGGTCAGTAAAGAAACAATTAGCCCTTATCCGATTCAGAGAGTTTATTACTTACATACATATTTTTTAATGAGTAGCAAATTGTCCCCTGCATTGGGCAAAATAAAAGGGGCCAAATGACTGCAACATGCGTGAGAGGACATCCTGTTCCTAAGAAGTCAGTGCTGTACTACAGCCACAGTTTTTTAAAATTAATTTTTATTTATAATTGGCACATGATAATTGTATATATTTATGGGCTACAATGTGATGTTTTGGTGCACGTATAAATAGTATAATGATCAAATTGGGGTAGTCAGTTACAGTTAGGCAGGAAGAATAAGCTGGGTGTTCTATTAGACAGTAGGGTGACTTATAGCAAATACCAATGTATTGTATAGTTCAAGATTACTAACAGAGTAGGTTGTGAATGTTGCCACCACAAAAAAAAAATGATAAATGCAGCTAAAAAGTTTTACAGCCTGCAGCTGTAATCCAAAGGAGTAGGGCAGAATGACTCACACCTCATCAGAATCCAAGAGGCAATAAGAAACTCTCATGATAGTCTCCTGCTAGATAGGGAGGCAAGTGAGAAATGGTGTGGTTAACAGCTGCTCAGAGACTTGCCATGCTTTCATGCTCAAGCAAGACCAAAAAGGTATTATTCCAAGATTTAGATGAGCAGGGGTTCAAACTTTGCCTACATGGCCTATGTCAATACATGTAAAGATGTTAGGGTGCTGGAAAGGAGCTGTATCCCTCCCCCCAAAACTATGCTATGTATTTTAGTCTTTTGACACATGAAAGGTACTGGCTGCTGCTTCTCTTTTTTTTTTTTTTTTTTTTTTTTTTTGAGATGGGGGTCTCGCTCTGTCACCAAGGCTGGAGTGCATTGTTGTGATCATAGCTCACTGCAGCCTCTAATTCCTGGGCTCAAGCAATCCTCCTGCCTCAGGCTCACAAGTAGCTGGAATGGCAGGTGTGCACCACAATGCCGGGCTGAGGTGTTTTTGTTGTTGTTGTTGTCGTTGTTGGTTGGTTGGTTGGTTGTTTTTTGCAGAGATGGAGGTCTATTTTGGCCAGGCTGGTCTCTAATTCCTGGCCTCAAGCAATCCTCTCACCTGAGCCTCCCTAACTGCTGGGATTACAGGCATGAGCCACTGCGCCTGGCTAACTTCTGAAGTCACTGCTTCAGCAACTTAAAAACCATACCAATAGACTGAGGATTTCCAGAATTTTTTTAAATTGAGAAGCAGATGGATTCATGAGACTGCTAACCCCAAATCCATCAGAACAAGAGTTAATCATATATGACTGAATTATCTGATGAGGGATTATTGTAGTTTTTTTTAAATATTGCTGATGTTGTTCTATGTTCTGGATATATAATGCAGACTTGTCTTTCTTACATATCTTTAACCCATAACAATTTAGTAGACTTGGCATTTGTAAACTGAAACAAAATATTTGCAAATTATCTTTTTCTCTCTGATACCCCCACCATCTGTAGAATTCACAAATTCAAATTAGGTATTCTACTTTTCATGGTAATATAGTGATCTATACAGGTTCAATAAGAACTTGTCCTCCTTTTAACCAGGATATATTAATAATTGGCAAATTTGGTTATGCAAATAAGGCCTTGTCTGAAATATCATATTTGAGAATGATGCTCACTTAATCAAGTATAACCAGCTACAGTTAGAGAATTAAAATTTAAACTAGAAAGCCCACTGAGGAAAACTGACTTAGTACCTGGCTTTCAGGGTCCCAGCCTTATAGGTGAGAAACGAAGGCCAGGACCTCTGAGATAGTTTGATAACCTCAAGAAGAAAGAATTGGCCCAAATTATATATAGTGCAGGTGAAATCCAGTGAGAAAAGTTTCTTGAGTTTCCTTCATAGCCTCAGGATGAGCAAATAATAAGAGGCTTTTAAAAATCCAATGTGAAAAACCCACAGCTAACATCAAATTCAATGGTGAAAGCCTGAAAGCCTTTCCTTTAAGATCAGGAACAAGACACCTGCATTCAAAATAATTTTGGAAGTTCTAGACAAAGCAATTACATGAAGAAAAAGAAGCATTCAAATTATAAAGAAAGTAAAATTATTTCTGTTCACAGGTGACATTACCTAGTTTGTAGAAAAATTTAAGGATTCCACAAAAGAACTGTTCGAACTAATAAATTCCGCAATGTTGTAGGATACAAAACCAACACATAAAAATCAGTTGCATTTTTATACATTGACAGTGAACAACCCAAAAAGAAAATTAAGAAAACAATTCCATTTTCAATAGCATCAAAAAGAATATAATAATTAGGAATAAACTTAACTAAGGAGGCAAAAGACATCTGCACTGAGAACTACAAAATGTTGATGAAAGAAAATTTAAAAGACAGAAATAAATGGAAATGCATTCTGTGTTCATGGATTGAAAGACTTAATATTGTTAAGATGTCAGTACTAACAAAAGTGATCTATAGATTCAATCCCTATCAAAATCTCAATGATGCAATGATGTTTTTTGCAGGAATAGAAAAATGCATCCTAAAATTCATATGGAATCTCAAGGGATACTGAATAACTAAAACAATCTTGAGAAAGAAGAACAAAGTTGGAGGTCTCACACTACCAGATTTTAAAACTTACCAAAAATCTACAGTAATCAAAATAGTATGGTACTGGCATTAAAGACAGACAAATAAACTAATGAGATAGAATAGAGAGCCTAGAAATAAACTCTCACTTATATGATAATTGATTTTTGACAAGGGTGCCAAGACCATTCCATGAGGGAAAGGACAGTCTCTTTAATGAATATGTGAGGAAAACTGAATATCCACATGCCAAAGAATGAATTTAGATACTTCCCTTACACCATATACAAAAATAAACTCAAAATAGATCAAAGCCCTAAATGTAAATCTAAAACTATCAAACTCTTAGAAGAAAACATGGGGGGGAACCTTCATGACATTAGTTTTGGCAATGATTTCTTGGATAACAAAAGCACAGGCAACAAAAAATAGATAAATTGGATTTATCAAAATAAACTTATGTGCATCAAAGGACACTAACAACATGGTGAAAATGCAATCCATGCAATGGGAGAAAATATTTGCAAATCATATATCTCATAAGGGACTAATATTTAGAATATATAAATAACTCCTACAACTCAACAATAAAAAAAATAATCGAATTAAAAACTCGGCAAAGGACCTGAATGACTATTACTCCAAAGGAGATATACAGATTGCCAATAAGTACACGAAAAGATGCTCAACATCACTAATTAGTAAGGAAATGCAAATCAAACCACACAATGAGATACCACTTCACATTCATTAGGATGGCTATTATACGAGAAAAAAAAAATAACAAGTATTGGCAAGGATGCAGAGAAACTGGAACCCTTGTGCATTGTTGATGGAAATGTAAAATGGTACAGCCACTGTGGAAAACAGCATGGCAATTCCTCAAAAAATTAAACATACAATTAATATATGATCCATCAATTCCACTTTGAGTACATATCCAAAAGAATTGAAAGCAGGAGCTTGAATAGATATTGTATGCCAATGGTCAATAACAGCATTATTCACAATAGCCAAAAGATGGAAACAACCCAAGTGTCCACCAAGGGATGAATAAATAAATAAAATGTGATATAGACATACAATGGAATATTATTCAACCTTAGAAAGGAATAAAATTCTGATACATGCTATAACATGGATGAACCTTGAAGACATTATGCTAAGTGATATAAGCCAGACACAAAAGACAAATATTGTATGATTCCATTTATATGGGGTACCTAGAGTAGTCAAATTCATAGAGACAGAAAGTAGAATGGTGGTTACCAGGGACTGGGTTTTGGGGGGAATGGGAGGTTGTTGTTTAATGGGTACAGCTTCAGTTTGGGAAGATGAAAAAGTCTGGAGACAGATGGTGATAATGGTTGCACAACAATGTGAATATATTTCATGTCACTAAACTGTACACCAAAAATGATCTATATGGTAAATTTTGTTTTTTATATATATATATATATAAATACAGTAAAAAAGTCCAATGTCATCATTATGAAAACTCTTAGCAATGCATACTAAAGAAGGACTATATAGTAAATTAGGATTTCTGCTGTACCTGTGTAAATAAACAAGCCAAATCTAATGAGTTCAGCCTCATTTTGTGGTCAAGAATAACCATACTTTGAAATTAATGTTTATCAAAAATAGAAAAACTATAGGAAAAATGTTCTTCAAAGGAAAATTGTGTGTTATTTATAGTACACCCTTCTGGGTTGTTTGATTCTGATTCTATGGGAGCAATATTATAGCTCTGTACACTTTTAGTTACTTAAAGAAATGGAAATAATTCCAGTCTATAAATATGCAAATGAATTTTGTACAGTGAGGGTGTGGAAAAGAATGGCCTTCCTCTCTTGCGGCAAAGCCTGAGAAAGAGGTTATTTTCAGTTTAAAAATAATGAAGCTTTAAAATTTCATGCAGTCATATCTGTTAATATTTATTATATTAAATAGTAAAACAGAAATTTTTAATATATTTATATTAATTCATGTTAAACTTACAATAAAATATCCATTACATTCTGTAAACCTACATTGTAAATTTATATGAAAAATATGTTTTCTAAAACAAGTCATAAGGAGATGGACTTTTTATTTGAAAATCTCTTTAATATTTATTCTAACAGAAGTCTGTTGAATTCTTATATATGTTCCTGCAATTAATCTGTTGAATATAATATATAAGGTATCTCTGGAAAATTTCAGCATATATTTGTGAGGGAATGAGAATGAAAAATATAGATAACATCTTACAGGTCCCGTGAATGGCTTACCTACAAAAATAACTAAAAGAACTGATTCGTTAGTAAAGTGGTATAATGCAACATTATTAAGTATAACCCACTATTTTATTTTTTAAACAAATTGGACCATAGATACATTAAACTAAAATTGATAATATCTAGTTTGTTGTAAAAAAAATGTTTTAAAATTAGCAGGACATCACACTTCAAGAACTAAAGTAGATTCAATGTTACTGGAACATGGTTCTTACCTTTGGTTTTCAATACAGCGTGTTTGTGGATATCCCCAGACAGCATCAGGCTCGGGTGGTCTGGATCTCTCTGGAGGTGATAGTGGAGCACTCAGTGTAGCAACCTGGCAGCCAGCCTTGGTGGTGATGTGCTCAAAGATGTCGATAAGAAAATCATTCATGATGCCCAAGAAATTTAATGTAGTGCTGATATCAGGATGAAATTGCTTCAGAACCCTGTAAACATAGATGTAAATATAGACAGTTACTCAACTGTCTCCATAGCATCTCTTTTCACATCTTCCCCTTCTGTGTTTTGGAAATGACTTTCTTAAAGCCCTTTTTATTAAAGTCAGATTTAGAAGAATGCTCAGCCATGACGGACATTGTTTTCAATACCTTGAAATGAAAAAGATAGTGGTTGGTGACAGGGTGGTGCCCATGTATAGGCCCTGTATTCAAATGAAGTACTGGGTACACACACAATTTCTAATTAGATGAAATGTAATTCGAGGAAACCCTGCCAATAAACCACACAATGGCAAATGTGATTGGATAGTTCTATGTGGCACAGTCCAATGAGAAGGCATGAAACGGTCAGGCTGACTGAAAGCTTCCTGTAGGCTCCACCAAGAGCACTTTGAAGATACCATCTACAGCAGCTAAATTGGAGCAATTTCAGCTTCAACTTGTTGAGTGATTCTGATCTCCATAACCCGGTCCGTAATGCCAGAGGAATGATGCTGGCCACGTTCGGGCCATTTGTCCAGTAACCCAGAATCTAATGTCACCCTGGGCTAAGCCACTGTGGCTTGAGCAGGAATCCTCCCACATGGGAGAGGAGCTCGTGGAAAACAAGAGACCTGGCTAACAAACCACTGCCTCCCATTCTTATCAAAAACCTCAATGACTCAAGGAAAGATGACAAAACTATGGTCTCCAAACAACACACACAAAAAACAGGAATATTTATTAAAATGTAAAATATTCATGAGCAATAAACAATTTAAAAATAGTTTTCTTGACAATACTTAGGTCCTAGAAACATACTTTAAACTGTATAATTTGTGGATAAATATCAGGGCTCTTGGCTGAAAAAAGTTACTAAACTAAACATCTAACTAAACTCCTTAGGGAGAAAAGGGAAATAATGTAGGAAATATTATTCAATGGAAAGGATATCTCTTTTAAATATCTATGATAATACAACTGAAAATATTGAATGAATGTATAAATTTGTGGAAAATATAAATGACAGAAACTAAACCCACTCTCCTCCCCACAAAAGAGATTTAAGGACTAAGAAGAATAGAAGAAATCGAGGTCACCAGTGAGCTACCATCCCAAAAGGCCAGGCTTCCAAAAGTATTTCATGTCAAACCACTAAGGAACAGGTGTTCTTTTCTCTTAATGGAACGGTGTCAGATTACGAAGGGAAAAAATATCATTTTGATGTAAGGAAAATATGCCAAAAAGAGTTCTGACCAGTGACATTTATAAGCGAGAATATAAAATCCTACATAAAATATTAGCAATTACATCTGGCATCATAGTTAATGATGAACAAAAAGGGACAAAGCAGGATTCATCCAAAAATACAAAGATGTTCCAGTAAAATACAAGTATGATTCACCTTATGATGTTAAAGGAAAAAAGGGTAATCTTCAGTTAATCTCAGTACATGATTTAACTTCCTTTGCTAATATAATGAGTTATACAATGTTTGTTTCATGGTAAAATACTAGCATTACCATCATTAGAGTCAGGATTCAGAAAAATTGAGCCCTCTCATCAAGACTATTATTTATCAAGATCTGGTGTATTTTTAAAAATCTTATAAAAGGACTTGAAAAAGGATTTTACTGCAGAGGAGACCTGGAAAACTACAACAAAATAATCTGCAAGTAAACTGCCCAAAGAGGTACCACATGATTGACTTACACATTTGGGACAACATTTTGGGAAACCAAGGCTTTTTTCAGAGCCATGTGTGGCTTGAAAAAAAGGCTTTCTCTTTCAGAGAAAGAGCTGTGGACATATTTGTAAAAAAACATTTCATTAAGTCACTTAATTTATATCATGCTGCTTCAAAATGCCAATGTCTGTCAGTGTGCCATACAAATGTTTTACCAAAATTATTCTAGCATATTGGTCTCATACACATTGTATTATGGAAAAAGGCATTTTTAATATATCAAATCCATGAGGACAGTTATAGCGCTTTTGCCATTTTCCTCTTGTAAATTCAGAAAGTAAATAGAAACATTAGTGAAAGAACATTAAAAATGCGTTATAATTTGGCTGAGAGTGCAGGGGTGATTGAGATAGATGAATCTGGTAAGTAAAGAAAAAAAACAAGGCTTGATGCTGAAAGGCTAGATGGGGCAATGAGTACATCTGATTATTAACCTGGTGGGTGCATGACGAACAAGGAGACTGGGCAAGAGTGCTCTAATTCTGTGTTAAAAAAAAAAAGACTAAGGGAAACAGCTTTAACTGCTGTAAATAACGTACTATAAGCAGGACTCCTGGGGAAACAGTGTTACTGGAATAAAAATATCACAAGCTTTTTTTGAATTCATGTTAATACATGATGAAAACAAAAAGCACAGAAATATATATCATAAATTTCAAGAAACAGTCCAATCCCCTTACCAAGCTCTCTGGACTCTGAAATTTGTATTCTATTTCATTGAGGCTTATTCAGTTCTGTTCTTTCCCAGTCAAAAGTCTTTTTAAAAATCATAAATCTTAATGAGCTGCAATTATGCCTGACTCAGATGATGTGAGCATTCAATGAGTGCAGCTCATACCCCACTCTCTGCTGGGTCAGCCAATGTAGGACCCGCAGCCCCTGAGCTATTGGCCCAGAGTGTGGGGAGGTGACCCTGCTGAACCAATAAGAGCCTTCCTGGGATGTTCAGCCTTGGATGTTGAAGAGGAAACTGGTGTGGCTCTTTGCTTAGGTTTGGTAGCTTTATTGTCTAATCTTTTGCTCCCAATCATGGAGATTTAAGGATATAAATTCAGGGCTAGTAGTTGTGGACATAATTCCTGCCTCATACATCATGTTAGTCCATTTGTGCTGCTAAATACCTGAGACTGGGTAATTTATAAGGAACAGAAAGTTATTTCTCACAATTCAGGAGGCACCAGCAAGTTTGATATCTGGTTGAAGGATCAGGTTCTGCTTCCAAGAAAGCATCTTGTTGCTGCATCCTCATTTGGAGGAAAGTGTAGGGACAAAAGGGGCCTACGCAGTTCCCTCCAGCCCTTTTATAAAGTCGTTTATCCTGTTCATGAGGGCAGAGCCCTCATAGCCTAATCACCTGCTAGGGCCCCCACCTCTGAATACCATTACATTGGATATTAAGTTTCAACATGAATTTTGGAGTAGACACAAACATTCAAACCATAGCACATGGCAACTGATTAAGAAAAATAATGTGACACACACACACACACACACACACACACACACACACAAGCTAAATGAATGTTATCTTATTTTTTTCACTTCCAAGCACATATGCCTGAAAATAAAACCCACCACCTCAACTTGGAAGGATGAAATCCCAGCTCCCAGTGCAGTCACCAGTACAATGGGTTTGGTCCTTATTCCTGGCCCCTTACTGCCCATCTCCTCTTTGATCCTGGCCTGTTACTACTGGATAAGAGGAGAATAAGGATGGTGTGAGGAGGAGAAAGTTTGAAAAAGTAGCCACTCTTTCCCCTTATCTTGAGGGACTTTAAAAACAAATCTAGGGTCATCGGCAGGTTTTGCCCAGTCCCTGAGGAGGACATTAGGGGAACATGAGAGCACCCAGACTTCTCTTTAGTGGGTCATCAGTCCAGTCCTTGCATGCTGACCCGTGGTCCATCTGAGAGATGTGATAGGCCAGCCCTGCCCCTCATGGCTTCTACTATTACTAAGTAATACCAAAACCCATCCATAATTTAACTACCTCTGCTTCCAAGATCTTTCCACACAGAGGTAAGTGTGAACAACATCAGCCTTTGGAGGTTGAAACTAGGCAGGGACCATATGGCTTTGGGTGGACCTGATGCTTGATCAGATATTTTGTCATGCACTATAAGGAATCTTGTTTTAAGAATAAATAATATGCATAGTCATTACACTTGTTAAAATAATTGTGAATAGTGAATTCTGTCCCTTCTAGTAACTGAGAGTCCTTTCCCAGATGGAATCTTCTCACAGAACTGAAGGACCTTACCCATGGCCGGGTAGGTTTTGGGTTAGGTCTGACACCAGAACCCAGGACGATCTCTTGAATTTCACTCCAGCGTCTGCTCTATCAGACATGGCATTAGACTGAGTGTTTGAGCCTATCAGAGACTCATAGAAACTGTGCCTCTCTGCATTAACCTGCTTGCCAAGAAATACGTTAAAATAAAATCTAAATGCTATGTTGATTTGCTTGATCTCCCTCAATATTCACTTGGTTAATTAATTCAAATTAAAATGTGTAAGCACATTTTTCTCTTAACAAACTCCAACAACTGGGGATATCAGCAATCATGCTGAATTCCAGGGGCTGCTTCTCCTTTTCACTGTCTTTGAATTTCTTCTTGTGGCCTCAAACCTGAACCCATTTTCAACTCCATAGGTATGTGGTTTTGTAGACAGGAGGGTGACAGAGGGATTACAATGGAAGTAGCAGTGCTATATTTGTGTTTTTATCCCATGTTGTTTGAAGCTGTAATTTGTTCATTTTCATTTCTGTGTTGTAATGCATTATAGGACTATAACACTATTCTTCTGTTGATGAACATTTGCATTGCTTTATGTTTTGTACTTAATGATCAATCTTGTTCACATCTTTTGGTGGACATAAAAACTCATTTCTGTTGCATATATACCAGGAGTGCAACTACTGAGTCAGAGCATACATGAATGTTTAACCTTAGTAAATACTGACAGCTTTCCAAAGTGCTTTTTCAATTTGTAGTTCCAGCCAGAATGTATATGTGGGTTCTAGTTACTCTGTATCCTTACCAACTCTCCACATTATTTGTATTTCAACTATTATATGCCCATTTCACAGATGGGCTAACCCCTGGGCCTAGAAGAGGTTACTTTTCTAAAGTAAATACCAAGTCTGAATTCTAGATTCTTTCCACTATGCCAGGTTTTCAACTTTTAGATTATGAGTTTCCAGTACTCAAGTATTGGTTGTTCCAATTACACAGGATAACACTTTTGTAACTTTAAAATTATATGTATTTTGGCCGGGTGCAGTGGCTCATACCTGTAATCCCAGCACTTTGGGAGGTCGAGTCAGGTGGATCACTTGAAGTCAAGTGTTCAAGACCAGCCTGTCCAACATAGGAAACCCCATCTGTACTAAAATACAAAAATTAGCCAGGTATGGTGGCACATGCCTGTGATCCCAGCTACTCAGGAGGCTGAGGCACAAGAATTGCTTGAACCCAGGACGCAGAGTTGCATGAGCCGAGATGGTGCCACCGCACTCCAGCCTGGGTGACAGAGTGAGACTCTGTCTCAAAAATAAAAAATAAAAAAAAATTACATGCATTTTGAGTTACCCCCACAAATGAATAGAATGATACCTGTACCCTGATATGCATCTATATTAGTAGTCACTCAACATCACATCTCAATGATGACGATTGTTGTGGTGGTTGAGGTTAAATTGTTTCCTTTGGTCTAAGACATGGGCTGACAAACTTTTTCCATAAAGGGCCAGAAAGTAAATATTTCAGGCTTTGTGGGATATCTATTTATGATTTATTTTACTCCTAGTATTATTTCATCTTTTATACAGGTTATTAAGGTTAGTATTGCTGCATAACAAATTACTCCAAAATTTAATCATTTATATTCAAGAAGAGTTCAGCTGCTAGGTTCTTATTTTGGGACTCTCATGATGCTGAGGTCAAGATGCCAGCTGGAGGCCAGGCGCCGCAGCTCACGCCTGTAATCCCAGCGTTTTGGGAGGCCAGGGTGAGTAGATCACCTGAGGTCAGGAGTTTGAGGCCAGCCTGGCCAACATGGTGAAACCCCGTCTCTGCTAAAAATATAAAAATTAGCCTGGTGTGGTGGCATGCCCCTATAATCCCAGCTACTCAGGAGGCTGAAGCAGGAGAATCGTTTGAACCCAGGAGGTGGAGGTTGCAGTGAGCTGATATTGCACCACTGCACTCCAGCCTGGGTGACAGAGCGAGACTGTCTCAATCAATCAATCAGTCAATAAAATATGTCATCTAGGACAGCAATCATCTTTAAGTTGGACTAGGATGGAAATCCAAGAGGGCTCACTAAGAGGGATGGCAGTTATTGCTGGCTTTTGGATTACAACACAGCTGGAGCTGTCAATCAAAGAGCAAATATATGGCCTTTTCAGCATGGTGGTTTCAGGGTAGGAAGAATTGTTACATGGCAGCTGCTTCTCCAAGAGTGAATATTCCAAAAATGCCAGGCAGATCTTTGTGGGGTGTTTTGACCTAACCTCAAAAGTCACACAAAGTGATTTACACTGTATTATACTGATCAAAATAGTCGCAGGGCCTCCCAAATTCAAA
Organism: Homo sapiens; assembly: GCF_000001405.40. Taxonomy (NCBI): domain Eukaryota; kingdom Metazoa; phylum Chordata; class Mammalia; order Primates; family Hominidae; genus Homo; species Homo sapiens. The sequence continues at coordinate 103,577,111 of NC_000023.11, forward strand.
AGGAAGAGACAAAGTCCACATCTGTCAATGCGAAGAATGGAAAGGTCACATATCATATGTGGAGCGGGACATAACAACTTCGGAAATTAAATCTCTTCCCCAGGTAAATAAATGGATGCAATATGCATATAGATATTCAATAGATCAATGTTGTTAATAGTAAAAGTATGGAACATTTCTAATGCTAATCAATGGAGAATTGATTAAATAAACTTTGGTAACTCTAAAGAGTAGAATATTATGCAACCATTAAAATGTATAAGGTAGTCCTATGTAGACTGACATGGGAATGTTCTGAAGATATAGTTTTAAGTGAAAGAATCAAGTAGCAGAACAGTATATACAGTACAATTTCATTAAATATACAAATTGTATATGAAATAAGCATAGAAAAATTTAGTAAAATATAGCATACAACCCCACCCTCTACATTATATGTATGTTTGATTTTCTGTAGTTTTTATAATTAACAACATAGTAAACATTTAGCTACATATATCAATAAATCTTAAAATTCTCATAACTTTTGATCCATTAATTCAAGTTCTTAGAATAAATCCAAATAAAATAATCAAGGAAATGTACTAACATATAAATATTAAAACATGCATAATAGAGAAAAATTATGTGACTTTAATTCAATCCATTATAGTGAAAATCTGCATATATAATACTTTGAAATAATCAATATTATGACAGATTTTTATCACAGCTTTATTGAGATATAATTCTCATGCCATATAATTCGCCTATTTAGGGTGCATAATCCAATGGTTTTTTAATATACTCACAGAGTTGTGCAACCATCATCACAATCAACCTTAGAACATTTTCATCACCTCAAAAAGAAATCTCATGCCCATTAGCAGTCACTAACATTTTCCCTTCAATTTCCCACCCCTAGCCCTATGCTACTACTAATTTACCTTCTGTCTCTATGGATATACCAATTCTAAATGTTGCATATTAATGGACTAATACAATATGTAATAATTTGTGACTGGATTATTTCACTTGGCACAAGGTTTTCAAGGTTCATTCATGTTTTAGCATGTATCAGCACTTTGTTCCATTTTTTTGCCAAATAATATTCCATTGTACAGACATACCATATTTTATATATCTATTCATTGAGTGATAGGTATTTAAGATATTTCTACTTTCTAACTATAATGAATAATGCTGCCAGGAACATACACATTCAAGTTTTGTGTAGGCATATTGTTTCATTTGCCTTGGGGATATACTTAGGAGTGGATTGTTGCGTCATAAGGTAATGCCATGTTTAACATTTTGAGGAACTGCCCAACTGTTTTCCACAGTAGTGTGCCATTTGATGTTCCCACCTATAGTATGTGATGTTTCCAATTTCTCTACATTTTTGCAAACACCTGTCATTATATTTCTTGTTTATTATATCCATCCTAGTGGGTATAAAGTGGTATCTCATTATGGCTTTGATTTGCATTTTCCTGATGGCTAATGATGTTGGGCACATTTTCATGTATTTATTGGCCATTTGTATATTTTCTTTGGAGAAATACCTATTCAGATCCTTTGCCCATTTTAAAATTGGGTTTTTAAAATTATTTAGTTGTAAGTATTCTCTATGTATTATAGATACAAGTCCCTTATCAGATACATTACTCGCAAAAATTTTTCCTATTCTGTTAGTTGTCTTCTCACTTTCCTGATGATGTCCTTTGAATCATAAAAATTGTGCATTTTGATGGAGCCTCATTTATCTATATTTCTTTTGTTTCTTGAGCTTTTGTTGTCATATCTAAAAAACCATTGCCTAATCCAAGGTCATAAAGAATTACACCTAAGTTTTCTTCTAAGAATTTGATAGTTTTAGCTCTTACAATTAGGACTTTAATCTATTTTGAATTGTTTTGTAGATGGTGTGAAAAAGAGGCCCAAATTCATTTTTTCTGCAGGTAGATATCCATTTGTCTCAGCACCATTTGTTAAAAAGACTATTCTTTCATAGTTGAATTTTCTTGGCACAACTGTAGGTATGAGGGCTTATTTCTGGACTCTCAATTATATTCCATTGATCTATATGTCCTTATGCCAGTACCACACTGCCTTGATAGAAATCTGGAAGTGTGAGACCTCCAATGTTTTCCTTTTTTTTAAATATTGTTTTGTATATTCTGGGTTTCCTGCATTTTCATGTGGATTTTGGGATCAGCTTACCAATTTCTGCAAAGAAGCCAGATAAGATTTTGATAGAGATTACACTGATTCTATGGATCAATTTTGGAAATACTAAGTCTTCAGATCTATGAATATAGAATGGTTTTCCATTTATTTAGGTATTCTTTTATTTCTTTCAACAATTTTTTTTAGTTTTTGGTGTACAAGTCTTGGACCTTTTATTGAATTTATTTCTAAGTGTTTTATTATCTTTATGCTATTTTAAGTGGAATTGTTTTCTTACTTTCCTCTTTGAATAGTTCATTGCTAGCACATAAAATACAATTAATTTTTGTATATCAATCATATATTCAGCCACATTGCTGAACTCATTTGTTAGTTCCTACAGTTCTTTAGTGAATTATTTGGGATGTTCTATATGCAAGATCACATCACCTGCAAATAGATAGTTTTACTTCTTTCCTTTCAACCCGGATGCCTTTTATTTCATGTCTCTTGCCCACCCTGAAGATATCTGAATGTATGTCAGAAAATAAAGCTCTTCATTTTCCCTCAAATATTTAACTAATTATACAAATATAGTTTCTATAATAGCCTATTTTTTACTACTGATCAGAAATGTTTCCCTATCACACACTAAAAACTTGTATATTTGGGTGTGTTAGTGGGCTTTCTTGTTTTATTTCTCTTATTGTGCTTATTTCAGTACTATATTGGTTAAAATTGTAGCCTTATAAGTCATTCTGCTTCCTTGAAGTGTGAATTGTCCCACCAGGGATAAATGAAATAGCACGCCAGATAAGACAATGTAGCTAGCACAGTGCTGCTAACGTAAGTGGCATCTCTAGAGGGCAATATCACTTACTTGTGGCTGTCCTTTGTGTCCCGCCACACATAATAGTGTCACTATCAATTGGGTTGATGAACAGTTAATAAAGAATTATTTTTACTGTGTATTAAGTGCCCAATATATAAGGATTAATTATTTTTATAAACCAAACACCCAAAGATAACCAGATTAAACGGGTATACTAAGAAGATTATGTAACTAAACCTGTAATGATGGACATTTGTGCTGTTCCATTTTTTTTAAATTATAAACTAAGCCAATGGAATCACTATTGTAGTTATAATACAAACAAAGAATAAGTGTTCAATAAATAATTGCTATGGGAATCTTTTTAACATAAATTTTTTGAGACAGGGTCTGGCTCTTTCACCGAGGCTGGAGTGCAATGGCACAGTCACAGCTCACTGCAGCCTCTACCTCCCGAGAGCAATCAATCAATTCTCCCACCTCAGCCTCCCAAGTAGCTGGGACTACCGGTGTGCGCCACCACACTGGGCTAAATTTTGTAATTTTTGCGGAAACAGGGTTTTGCCATGTTGCCCAGGCTGGTCTCAAACTCCTGGGCTCAAGCAATCCACCCACCTTGGCTTCTCAAAGTGAAAATTTGAAATATAAGACTACTTTAGCACTGTATTAATTATCTCTGTGGGTACATCAAAAAGCTAGAAAGATATCAAGTTAACAACCTAACATCACAACTAAAAGAGCTAGAGAACCAAGAGCAAACAAACCCTAAAGCTAGCAGAAGACAAGAAATAGTCAAAATGATAGCTGAACTGAAGGAGATAGAGCTATGAAAAACCCTTCAAAAAATCAATGAATCCAGGAGCTGGTTTTTGGAAAAAATAAAATAGATAGACTGCTAGCCAGACTAATGAATAAAAGAAAAAAATCAAATAAACACAATCAGAAATGATAGGGGGATATCACCACTGACCCCACAGAAATATAAAAACCATCAGATAATACTACAAACACCTTTATGCACATAAACTGGAAAACCTAAAAGAAATGGATAAATTCCTGGACACATACAGCCTCCCAAGATTGAACCAGGAAGAAATTGAATCCCTGAATAGGCCAATAACAAGTTCTGAAATTGAGGTAGTAATAAATAGCCTACTAACAGCAACAACAACAAAAAAGCCCAGGACCAGACATATTCACAGCTGAATTTTACCAGAGGTACAAAGAACAGCTGGGATAGTTTCTATTGAAACTATTCCGAAAAAATTGAAAAGGAAAGACTCCTCCTTAATTCATATTAAGAGGTCAGCATCATCCTAATACCAAAACCTAGCAGAGATACAACAAAAAAGAGAAAACTTCAGGCAAATATCTTTGAAGAACATTGATGCAAAAATCCTCTATAAAATACTGGCAAACCAAATCCAGCAACACATCAAAAAGCTTATCCATCACGATCAAGTTGGCTTCATCCCCGAGATGCAAGGTTGGTTAAACATATGCAAATCAATAAATGTGATTAATCATATAAACAGCACTAAAGACAAAAACCACATGATTATCGCAATAGATGTAGAAAAGCCCTTTGATAAAATTCAGTATCCCTTTATGTTAAAAACTCTCAATAAACTACATATTGAAAGAACATACCTCAAAATAATAACATCCGTATATGACAAACCCACAGTCAATATCAGACTGAATGGGCAAAAGCTGGAGGCATTCCCCTTGAAAACCAGCACAAGACAAGGATGCTCTCTCTCTCACCACTCCTATTCAACATAGTATTGGAAGTTCTGGCCAGGACAATCAGGCAAAAGAAAGAAATAAAGGGTATTCTAATAGGAAGAGAGGTAGTCAAATTATCTTTGTTTGCAGATGAAATTCTCCTATATCTAGAAAACGCCATTGTCTAAGCCCAAAAGCTTCTTAAGCTGATAAGCAACTTCAACAAAGTCTCAGGATATAAAATCAATGTGCAAATATTGCTAGCATTCCTATATACCAACAATAGGCAAGCTGAGAGCTGAATAATAAATGAACTTCCATTCACAATTGCTACAAAAAGAATAAAATTCCTAGGAATATAGCTAACAAGGGAAGTGAAGGACCTCTTCAAGGAGAACTACAAACCACTAATAAAGGAAATCAGAGAGGATTTCAGTGAGGACCCAAACAAATGGAAAACATTCCATTCTCATGGATAGAAAGAATCAATATCATGAAAATGGCCATACTGCCCAAAGAAATTTATAGATTCAATGCTATTTCCATTAAACTACCATTGACATTCTTCACAGAATTGAAAAAAACTATTTTAAAACTCATATGGAACCAAAAAAGAGCCCAAATAGCCAAGACAATCCTAAGCAAATAGAACAAAGTTGGAGGCATCACACTACCTGACTTCTAACTATACTACAAGGCTACAGTAAACAAAACAGCATGGTACTGGTACAACAACAGACATATAGACTAACAGAACATAATAGAGAACTCATAAATAAGACCACACACCTAGAACTATCTGATCTTCAATAAATCTGACAAAAACTAGCAATGGGGAAAGGATTCCCTATTTAATAAATAGTGCTGGGAGAAATGGCTAGCAATATGCAGAGAATTGAAACTGGACCCCTTCCTTATACCATATATAAATATTAACTCAAGATGGATTAAAGACTTAAATGTAAAACCCAAAACTACAAAAACCCTATTAGAAAATCCTAGGCAATACCATTCAGGACATAGGCACAGGCAATTGCAACAAAAGCAACAATTGACAAATGAGATCTAATTAAACTAACGAGCTTCTACACAGCAAACAAAACTCATCAGAGTGAACAGACAACCTACAGAACGGGATAAAATTTTTGCAATTTATCCATCTGACAAAGGTCTAATATCCAGTCTCCAAGAAGCTTAAACAAATTTACAAGAAAAAAACAGCCCATTAAAAAGTAGGCAAAGACATGAACACACACTTCTCAAAAGAAGACATACATGAGGCCAAAAAACATGTGAAAAAAACCTCAACATCACTGATAGAGAAATGCAAATCATAACCACAATGATATACCATCTTAAGCTAGTCAGAATGGCTATTATTAAAAAGTCAAAAAACAACAGATGCTGGTGAGGCTGCAGAGAAAAAGAAACACTTTTACACTGTTGGTGGGAGTATAAATCAGCAACCATTGTGGAAGACTGTGGCGATTCCTCAAAGACCTGGAACCAGAAATATCATTTGACTGAGCAATCTCATTACTGGGTATATACCCAAAGGAATATAAATCATTCTGTTATAAGGATACATGCACCCGTATGTTCATTGCAGCACTAATCACAATAGCAAAGATATGGAATCAACTGAAATGCCCATCAATGATAGACTAGATAAAGAAAATGTGGTACATATACACCATGGAATACTATGCAGCCATAAAAAGGAATGAGATCATGTCTTTTGCAGGCACATGGATGGAGCTAGAAGCCATTATTCTCAGCAAACTAATGCAGGAACAGAAAACCAAACACCATGTGTTCTCACTGGGAGCTGAATGATGAGAACACATGGACACATGTCAGGGAACAACACACACAGGGGCCTGCTGGGGGCAGGGAGGGAGAGCATAAGGAAGAATAGCTGGTGGCTGCCAGGCTTAATACCTGGGTGATGAGATGATCTATACAGCAAACCACCATGGCACATGTTTATCTACATAACAAACCTTCACATCCTGCACATGTGCCCCTGAGCTTAAAATAAAAGTTGAAGAAAGAAAATTATCATTGTGGGTAACTATTAGAAGTGAAATTACTGGCACAAAAGATCAAATATTAATTTTTTTTTTTGAGACGAAGTCTCACTCTGTCGCCCAGACTGGAGTGCAATGGCGTGATCTCGGCTCACTGCAACCTCTGCCTCTCGGGTTCAAGCAATTCTCCTGCCTCAGCCTACCGAGTAGCTGGGATTACAGGCGCCCACCACCACGCCCAGCTAGTTTTGGTATTTTTAGTAGAGATGGGGTTTCACCATCCTGGTCAGGCTGGTCTTGAACTCCTGACCTCAGGTGATCCACCCGCCTCAGCTTCCCAAAGCGCTGGGATTACAGGTGTGAGCCACCGTGCCTGGCCGATATTTTTATTTTTAAATAATTTACAAAGTTGATCTTCAGAAAAATTTCACCAACATATTCAATAAGAGCAGGGGAGAGTGCATGTGTCCCCAGTCCTTCAACAAATCTGTTAAAAATTTTCATGTAATCTAATCTATCAGCATTTGTCTCTTTGTTGTACAGTCACACTGCGTATCGATTGGTCAACGACAACGGACAGCATAGAATACGATAGGCTATAGTATGTAGCCTAGGAGTGTAGTAGGCTATACCATATAGATTTGTATAACTACACTCTACGATGTTCGCACCACCACGAAATTGCCTGATGCATTTCTCAGAACATATCCCCGTTATTAAGTGGCACGTGACTATAAAGGCCTTCCACACCAAAAGCTTATGTGGAGATAAACGGAGTCTACCCATAAGAGAACAAACAAGTGCTACTTATTCACAGCTTTTTTATAGCAAGGAAGTCAAGCCACCATCATTTGAGTCTGGCAGAGATTCAAAGACAGGCAGGGGAGTGGGAAAGCTTTATAGTGGAAAACAAAAACACAAAGACTTCAGCTACGCTCTGATTGGATGTTGTTGACGTGAGGAAGCTAGAGGCAGGCCAACTAGAGGCAAGCATCCTATGTGATTGAATATGGGTTCATATTTGGGTTTTTCTTGTTTGTCATCAGGTCAAAAAAATTAAAAAGGCCAGAAAGGCTAGCAAATTGATTAAAGTCCTGAACATTTCTGCAGATGCTATACTTTGGCTTTTTGAGCTGCTTGCAGCAAAGGTTGTGGGTCACAGTTCTATTTTCGTATGTGGTCTGGTCATTGTATATTCAGTTTCTCACTTAAGATAAATTAATCGTTGTTTTATTTTGCTTCAAATATAACTTTATTTTTTATTCATTTGAAAATTTATGTTTGTACATGTCAGGAAAAAGGGACAATTTCATTTATTTTGGAAAATTTTTCTTAAGTTTTTTCTAAAGGGCAATATTCTATTCTTTATACAGTACTTAAGTTCACATTCATACGATTTTATCGGGTGGGTCTACGTTATTTCAGTGGAATTTAAGAGCAACATTATCAAGACTCCTCTTCTGGACCGCCCAACTCATTAAAAAAAAAACTGTGATTTTCATTAAGATTCTTTCTTTGATTAATTTCTTAACAAGAAAAAAAGGACAAAAGGGCCCAGGGAGGTAAGAGGGTACCTGCTGGAGAGGTGGTGGGTGGCTGGAAGCGGCTGGCTAGGAGGCGGGGCGTGGGGCGGTGGAACTCCTGGGCTGCGGCATTCACGTGATCTGCACGGGCGCAGATGTAGGCACCGGTCCGAGTGCCTGCCCTCTGTCCCCGCGGCTGGGTCTCGTCTGCTCCGGTTCCTGGGCTCCTAATTCTTGGTCCAGCTTCTTCCAGGTCAGTGTGCGGGCCTTCCACGCTGCCAGCGGAACACTGGAATGGCGGAAGGGGAACGGGTACGGCAGGGGGAAAGGCTGGGGGTGGGGTCGGGTCGAGTCGAGGGAAGCTGGCCCGAGTGTGGACAGAGATGGCGGTGGGAAAACGGCTAGGGGTGGCTGAGGGGGAGCACGTAGGCAGTGGGCAGAGGGTGAGGAAGGCGAGCACCCCCAAGTATCCATGCTCGCTTTCCAGGCACATCCTCTTCTCTGCCCTCCGTCCATTTTGGAGCCGGAGATGGTGGGCTGGGGCCGCCCCAGTAGTGAGACAGTGGAAGTAAACCCCATCTGCCGTTCCCGTGCGTAGAGAAAAACGTTGACCGCGAGGCTGGGGAGGAGAGTTGCCTCTGAGGAAGAAGGGCACAGAGACCCAAAATTAGTTTGGAAAGCATCCTGATTTGGTGCCCGAGGCCTGGAAAGAAATGGCGGCTGGGGTGCGGCGGAGGTAGGGGAGGAAAACGTTGGATGAGAAGGGCCTGGACTCAGGAAAGGGAACCGCGTCCGTGTGAGCCCGCTGAGCGCGCAGACCCTGCCCCTGTCTCCTGTCTGTCTGCAGGTCTGCGCGTCTGTTGTTCCCAGCGCTCTGCGAAGCCTGAAAAGGAGGAGCAACCTGTCCAGAATCCCCGCAGGTCCGTGAAAGTACGGGGCTGCATGGACAGGGGCCCACAAGGGTTGAGAGTGTGGAGGGCCCGGCCAGGGCCGAATTGGGGCCTTTCCCATTCCCCCACCCACATGAACACACACCTTACCAGGCTGAACCAGTGCAGAGAAAGTGGCAGAGCCTGTCAGGCAATGGCTGGCTCACGTGTGTGGGAGGAGTGGCGGGCTACGTGGTGGGCAGAAGGCCCTCTTGGAGGCCTGGCCAGCTTAGGGGAACCCTCATCAGGGGTGAGATGCAAGTACTATCCAGACCTGCATTCCACCCCATGCACTCAGTCTCCCATGTCTCCTCTTTGTCTCCTCTTTCCTCCACCCCCATCCCCCAGGACAGGAAAAGGAGGGGAAATCTCGACATGGAAAAACTCTACAGTGAAAATGAAGGAATGGCTTCAAACCAAGGAAAGATGGAAAATGAAGAACAGCCACAAGACGAGAGAAAGCCAGAAGTAACTTGTACTCTGGAAGACAAGAAGTTAGAAAACGAGGGAAAGACAGAAAACAAGGGCAAAACAGGAGATGAGGAAATGTTAAAGGATAAAGGAAAGCCAGAGAGTGAGGGAGAGGCAAAAGAAGGAAAGTCAGAGAGGGAGGGAGAGTCAGAGATGGAGGGAGGATCAGAGAGAGAGGGAAAACCAGAGATAGAGGGAAAGCCAGAGAGTGAAGGAGAGCCAGGGAGTGAAACAAGGGCTGCAGGAAAGCGCCCAGCTGAGGATGATGTACCCAGGAAAGCCAAAAGAAAAACTAATAAGGGGCTGGCTCATTACCTCAAGGAGTATAAAGAGGCCATACATGATATGAATTTCAGCAATGAGGACATGATAAGAGAATTTGACAATATGGCTAAGGTGCAGGATGAGAAGAGAAAAAGCAAACAGAAATTGGGGGCGTTTTTGTGGATGCAAAGAAATTTACAGGACCCCTTCTACCCTAGAGGTCCAAGGGAATTCAGGGGTGGCTGCAGGGCCCCACGAAGGGACATTGAAGACATTCCTTATGTGTAGTGTCCCTGGCAGGCATTTACCAGGCCATGTGCTTTAACGTTACGGTAATACTTTACTTTAGGCATCCCTCCTGTTGCTAGCAGCCTTTTGACCTATCTGCAATGCAGTGTTCTCAGTAGGAAATGTTCATCTGTTACATGGAAAAAATGTTGATGGTGCATTGTAAAATTAAAAAACACAACTTGCAGAACCAAATATATGGCATCAGTACATTTTTGTAAAACTACAAAGATACTTACCTAGTAATATAGTATAGAAAACAATTCTGAAAGCTGTGTCCACTAAAAGATTAACAGTGGTTATCTCTGGGTGATTTTTTCTGTTCTTTTTTGTTCATCTGTCCATTTTTCTCCTAAAAACAGATTTCTTTAGTCATAAAAATAATAAAATATAAAGTATTGGAAAACAGTGAATATTTGAATTTCATTCATTTGAATAAGCATTCAAATGAACTGCCCAGTGAACTTATAAAGACAGTGGATATACTTAAAATTCTTGTGAGGACATAAAATGATAGGTAAAAGTTGCATTACCTCTGGGACTGGAAGCTGGAGGAGTCAACTCGATGGTTATTACAGAGCCATTGCTGTAAGGGACAGCCTTGACATCTGTGAAATGGGGATAAAATTAGCCTAGACATGTGGAGAAGATCAAATGAGGTATTGAGTGTGTGAGCTGTGTTAGGCTGGCTCCTACTCTCTCCCCTTGCACTAGCAGAACCAGTGCCCAGTCAGATACTTGGGAAGGGCTGAAGGAGGGTCTCACCTGTGCCCAGAAATAAGTCCAGACAGCTGAGAGATGGGTGCCACTCTTCCTGGGTAATGCCATACTTGAAAGGTAGTGTGCCCCTTCTCATGGATCCTGCACCCTCCTAAGGCCCCAGCTGCTGCTGGTGGGCTGAAGACCATGATGGACTAAGCAACACTGTCCCAACAGAAAAGTGGAGAATTCCCTCTCTACCTACAATAGAATTATCCTAACTCAGGTTGTTAGTACCCAATTGTCACTTGGGCCTTGATGTTTTATGAAGTTTTTACAAAACACTGCTTTCCATGTTTTTTGTTGATTTGTGTATATTTTTGCATATAGCCGTTTCCACCGGATTTAGATAGTGGAGATTGAGCCAGGAGGAAAAGCTGAGTGACGAGATGGTGTGCTATTCTCATTTGTTAATCTCTAGTCTGCTAACACTTTTTTCTTAGGAATTGTCTCCCAGGAAATTTCTGTTAAGCCCTGCTTTACTATTTCAACAGACCCATCTACCTATGTGATTTTTTCCCCCTGGCTCTTGAGTAGCTTTTTATTTCCTTACAGTATTTTTTTTTAATAAACTTTTAGGATGGTTTTAGATCTACACAATTATTGCAAAGATAGTACAGAGTATCCCATATGCACTGTCCCCTATTATTAACATCTTACATTAGTATGGTACATTTGTCACTGTTAACCAATATTGATACATTATTATTAACTAAAGTACGTACTTTATTTGGATTTCCCTTAATGTCCTTTTTCTGTTCCAGGATCCCATTCAGGTTACATTTAGTCGTCATGTCTCCATAGGCTCCACTTAGCTGTGAGAGTTTTTCAGACTTTGCCTGTTTTTGATGACCTTGACACTTCTACGAAGTATTGGTCAGGTATTTTGTATAATGTCCCAAAACTTGGGTTTGCTTGTCTTGTGATTACACAGGCATTATGTGTTTTGGGAAGAAGACCAGAGGTAAAATGCCATTCTCATCATATAAAGGGGACATACCATCAATATATTTACCACTGTTCTTATCCTTGGTAACCTGACTGAAGTAGTGTTTGTCAGGTTTCTCCAAGGTTAAGTTTTATTTTTCCCTTTCCATACTGTATTCTTTGGAATAAAGTCACTATTGGCAGCCCACACTTAAGGAGTAGGGCATTATTACCTCCTTGAAGGCAGAGTATTGACAAAAATTATTTGGAATCCTTCTGCAGAGGATATTTGACTCTTATTCCCCACTTATTTATATATTCAGTTTATTTGTATCAATGTAGACTCATGACTATTTTATACTTTGGATTAACGCAATACTACTTTACATGTTTTTGCTCAAATTGTTCCAGCTTTGGTCATTGGGAGCTTTCAGTTGGCTCCTGTATTCATTTGACACGCTTCCATTGTTATGTTGTAGAGGGTTTTTTTTTTTTTTTAGTATTTACTTACATTCTGGCACTACAAGATGCTATAGCTTTATCTTTCATATTGCCCAAGTCCTAGAATTAGCCATTTCTCCAAGTAGCCCTGGTATCTTATGTTGGAGAATGGTGTTAGAAAAACAAGATCTGGGTGCTAGACATACTGATTGCTGCTGAAATATAATTGCTTCTAGGCCCTCTCAGTTGACATAGCAAAAAGATATATGTGTATATAATACCCATACATATATAAAGTATTTATGGAAATATAAATATTTCTGTATATAACCATCTGTATTTATATAAGGCTAAACATAAATTTATACTAGTGTCTCCAACTACAGTCTATTACTGCATGGATCATTCTAGCCTCCCCTTGCTTATTTGTAACCTTCTACTCCAACTGTGAGAAACCTGTCTCCTACTATCTGCCATCCATTTTACTAATTGTTTATTAATTATATAAATATATAGTGGCTTCAAAATTGTAAACCTGTGCCCCTGTGGAAAACAACTTTATCAACTGGAGTAGAGTGCTATGTACAGTTCCTTTTGCCTTTGGTCTTACAGACTCCACTCATTTCCAAATTTACCTATGTCAGTACCTTATTCCCCCATCCCTTTCAGTGAGATTGTTTCATACATTTGTGATACATTAAAATTCTTTTCTCACATTCTGCATTTGGGGACTGCTATTGTAAATGGTACTTTTACATTTCAAGTTCTAATTGTTCATTACTAGTATATAGGAAAGCAACTGACTTTTGTATATTAATCTTGTATGCTGGGACTTTGCACCAGGCATTTGTCAGTTCTTTGGCAGCCATGTCAACTGCAGATAAAGACAGTTTATTTCTTCCTTTCCCATCTGTATATGTTTTATTTCCCTTAAAAAAATTTATTTTGTAGAATTGGTACATTTCATCTATATTAACAAATTTGTAGGCATAGAGTTGTTCATATTAACTTCTTAATGTCCATGGGATCAATAATGATAACTCCACCTTCATTTCTTTTTTTAAATTTTTTGTAGAGCTATGTTGCCCAGGCTGGTCTCAAACACCTGAGCCAAAGCGATCCTCCAGCCTCAGCCTCCCAAAGTGCTGAGATTAGAGGTATGAGCCACAACGCTTGGCCTCATTTCTGATATTGTTAATTTGTCGTCTGTCTTTGTTCTTGGTTAGCTTGGCAAGTAATCTGTCAATTTTATTTACGCTTTTTGAAGAACCAGCTTGTGGTTTCATTGATTTCCTCTGTTGTTTTCCTGTTTTCAGGTTCATTTATTTCTTCTCTAATTTTTACTATATCTTTTGTTTGCTCTAGGCTTAAATTACTTCTCTTTCTCTAGTTTCCTAATTTGAAAGCTTAGATTATTGATTGTAGATTTTTCCTTTCTCATATATGCGTTTAAGCTAGAAATTTTCCCCTAAGCACTGCTTTAGGGAATCCCACAAATTTGGTATGTTGTATTTTCATTTACTTCAAAATACTTTTACATTTCTCTTGAGGATTCTTCTTTGAATTGTGTTATTTAGAAGTATGTTTAACTTCCAGGCCGGGTGCGGTGGCTCACGCCTGTAATCCCAGCACTTTGGGAGGCCGAGGCGGGTGGATCACGAGGTCGGGAGATGGAGACCATCCTGGCTAACACGGTGAAACCTCGTCTCCACTAAAAATATAAAAAATTAGCCAGGTGCGGTGGCAGGCGCCTGTAGTCCCAGCTACTCAGGAGGCTGAGGCAGGAGAATGGTGTGAACCTGGGAGGCAGAGCTTGCAGTGAGCCGAGATCGTGCCATTGCACTCCAGCCTGGGCAACAGAGCGAGACTCTGTCTCAAAAAAAAAAAAAAAAGTATGTTTAATTTCCAGATATTTGAGTTTTCCATCTACCTTTCTGTTATTGATTTCTAGTTTAATTTTATTGAGAGCATACTTGTGATTTCTATCATTTGCTATATCATATTTTTCCACAAATTTGATGTTATATTTTCATTTAGTTCAAAATATTTTGCAAAGTAATTAAATGTTTATTAATAACAACTAGGTACAGATGAACCTATACTGAATCATAGCTTCCCTGTGGATTTTTTTTTATGATTCTACAAAAAGAACATTTATATACTACAGCAAATTCTCCATTTCTCTCCTTTACACCTTTCTTGCACATTGTGAGTGCTTTTTCACTTCTCTAATTCTAAATTCTTGAAAAATTCCTTCTCTAATCTCCTGCTCTCATGGTTTTAACTCGTTCTATGTTTTCCTCCTCAGTATTAATAAACAGATTGGCAAATTATTTTGCTAAGTCACCCCCTTTCTCTATTACCAATCTGCTCCTGTTTTCCACCCATAACCATCAATTTTTCATTAGCCCAAAAGAACAAATCTGTCCAGAAAGGACCATCTTCAAAGAATGGGTAAGGGGAAGAAAATAAAGTAGCAAAGTAACAAGTTTCTTTAATGTTGGAGGGTAAGGTAAAAATTGGCAAAAATCCATACATTAACCATACCAGTCTGTTCGGGTTGCTATAATAAAATACCATAGTCTGGGTGGCTTATAAACAACAGCAATATTTTTTTCCTCACAGTTCTGGAAGTCTGGAAGTCCAAGATCAGGTACCAGCATGGTTGGGTTCTTGTGAGGGTCCTCTTTCAAGTTGCAGACTGTGAACTTCTTGCTGTGTCTTTTTTTTTTTTTACTACTTTAAGTTCTGGGGTACATAAGCAGAACGTGCAGGTTTGTTACATAGGTATACATGTTCCATGGTGGTTTGCCACACCCATCAACCCGTTACCTATATTAGGTATTTCTCCTAATGCTATCCCTCCCTTACCCCCCACCTCCTGACAGGCCCTGGTGTGTGATGCTGCCCTCCCTGTGTCCATGTGTTCTCATTGATCAACTCCCACTTATAAGTGAGAACATGCAGTATTTGGTTTTCTGTTCTTGTGTTAGTTTGCTGAGAATGATGGTTTCAGGCATCATCCATGTCCCTGCAAAGGACATGAACTCATCCTTTTTTATGGGTGCATAGTATTCTATGGTGTATATGTGTCACATTTTCTTAATCCAGTCTATCATTGATGGGCATTTGGGTTGGTTCATTTCTTTTGAGAGCTCTTTTTGAGCTGTGTTATTTAGACGTATCTTTAATTTCCAGATATTTGTTTTCCATCTATCTTTCTGTTACTGATTTTTAGTTTAATTTTATTGAGAGCATACTTGTGATTTCTCTTATTTTTAGTTTGTCATGGTATCTTTTATGGACCAGAATATGTTCTCTCTTGGTGAATTTTCTATGTGAGCTTGAAAAAAATGGTGTTCTGCTGTTGGGGTGTTCTGTAAATTAGATGAAGTGTCATTTAGCTAAAGTTGATTAGTATGCCTTTCAGATCAACTATATCCATATTGATTTTCTGCCTGCTTAATCTATCAATTACTGAGTGGCAGGAGGGGTTATTGAAGTCTGCAACTCTAATAATGGATTTTTGTCTATTTCTCCTTTCATTTCTATTAGTGTTTGCCTCACATATGTTGACACTCTATTGTTAGGTACATAACTAATTATAATTATTATGTGTTGGAGAATTGTTCCCTTTATCATTATGTAATGCCCCTTTTTATCTCTGATAATTGTCTTTGTTCTGAAGTCAGTTCTGTCTAAAATTATATAGCTACTCCAGCTTTCTTTTCATTAGTGTAGTAGGATATATCTTTCTCTATTGCTTTATGTTTAACCTCTCAGTCTTATGTTTAAAGTGGGCTTCTTGTAGACAACAGGTAGTTGGGTTTTTTCTTTTTTTTGAGATAGGGTCTCATTCTGTCACCTAGGCTGGAGTGCAGTAGCATGATCATGGCTCACTGCAGCTTTGGCCTCCTGGGCTCAATCGAGCCTCCTACCCCAGCCTCCTGAGTAGCTGTGACCATAGACACATGCCACCACACCTGGCAAATTTTTGTATTTTTTGTAGAGATGGGGTTTCACCATGTTTCCTAGGCTGGTCTCAAACTCCTGGGCTCAAGTGATCTGCTCACCTCGGCCTCCCAAAGTGCTAGGATTACTGGCGTGAGCCACTGTGCTTGGCCTAGTTGGTTTTTTTTAAAATTCACTCTGACAAATTTTGTCTTCAATTGGTGTATTTTGACTACTCACATTTAGAGTGTTTCTTGATATATTTGGATTAATATCAACCATGTTCGTAACAGTTTTCTATTTGTTGTCCAAGGTTTCTTTTTCTGCCTTCTCTGGTTTTAATTATTTTACATGGTTTCATTTTGTCTCCTCTCTTAGAGTATCAGTTATACTTTTTTAAACAACTTTTACTGATTTCTCTTGAGTTTACTACATATTTTAACCAATCTAAGTCCACTTTCTTTTTTTTTCTTTTGAGACGGAGTCTCACTCTGTTGCCCAGGCTGGAGGGCAATGGTGCGACCTTGGCTCACTGCAACCTCCACCTCCTGGGTTCATGTGATTCTCCTGCTTCAGCCTCCCGAGTAGCTGGGACTACAGGCATGTGCCACCACGCCGGCTAATTTTTTTTTTTTTTTTGAGACAGAGTCTCGCTCTGTCGCCCAGGCTGGAGTGCAGTGGCGCAATCTCGGCTCACTGCAAGCTCTGCCTCCTGGGTTCACACCATTCTCCTGCTTCAGCCTCCTGAGTAGCTGGGACTATAGGTGCCCACCACCTTGCCCGGCTAATTTTTTTTTTTGTATATTTAGTAGAGACAAGGTTTCACTGTGTTAGCCAGGATGGTCTTGATCTCCTGACCTCGTGATCCACCTGCCTCGGCCTCCCAAAGTGCTGGGATTATAGGCGTGAGCCACCGTGCCCAGCCAAGTCCACTTTCAGATAACACTCTTATGCTTAACTTGTATGTAGTGCACATACCTTAATGCAGAGCATTTGTCATTCATTTCAATTACTCATACACTATAATCACTCAGTATATTGTTGCTATTATTTCTTCAGACAGTTATCTTTTAGATCAATTAAGAATAAGAAAAATAAATATTTTTCTTTACTTTCATTTATTTCATTTCTAATCCTCTTTCATTCTTTATGTAGATCTCAGTTGCCTGAAGAAAATCTTTTAACATTTCTTAAAGTGCAGGTTTGCTGGTGCTGAATTCCATCAGTTTTTATTTGTCTGAGAAAGTACTTATTTCATTTCTCCTTCACTTTTGAAGGATAATTTTGCTGGATATAGAATTTTAGGCTGGACACAGTGGTGCACAACTGTAATCCCAGCACTGTGGGAGGCCAAGGCAGGTGGATCACTTAGCTCAGCAGTTTGAGACCAGCCTAGGCAAAATGTAGAAACTCTGTCTTTACAAAAAGATACAAAAATTAGCCTGGCATGGTGACATGTGCCTGTAGTCCCAGCTACTCAGGAGGCCGAGGTGGGAGGATAGCTTGAGCCCAGGAGGTCTAGGCTGCAGGGGGCCATGATTGCACCACCGCTCTCTAGCCCGAGCCAGGGTGAGACCCTGTCTCAAAAAAAAAAAAAAAAAAAAAAGAATTTTAGGTTGGTTGTTTTTTCTTTGAACAGTTTAAATATTTCACTTCACTGTCTTCTTGCTTGCATGGTTTCTGGTGACAATTCCACTGCAGTTCTTATCCTTGTTCTTCCACAGGTAAGGTGTTTTTTTCCCCTCTGGTTTCTTTCATTATTTCCTGCTGGGGATAGGCCCCCAAATCTGGCCATAAACTGGCCATAAACAAAATCTCTGCAAGACTGTGACATGTTCATGATGGCCATGATGCCCACGCTGAAGGTTGTGGGTTTACCGGAATGAGGGCAAGGAACACCTAGCCCACCCAGGGCGGAAAACCGCTTAAAGGCGTTCCTAAGCCACAAACAATAGCATGAGCAATCTGTGCCTTAAGGATATGTTCCTGCTGCAGAGAACTAGCCAGAGCCCATCCCTTTGTTTCTGCCCATCCCTTTGTTTCCCGTAAGGAATACTTTTAGTAAATCTATAATCTATAGAACAATGCTTATCACTGGCTTGCTGTCAGTAAATATGTGGGTAAATCTCTGTTTGGAGCTCTCAGCTCTGAAGGCTGTGAGAACCCTGATTTCCCACTCCACATGCCATATTTCTGTGTGTGTGTCTTTAATTCCTCTAGCGCCACTGGGCTAGGGTCTCCATGACTGAGCTGGTCTCGGCAATTTCCTCTTTGTTTTTGGTTTTATGCAGTTTGAATATTATATGCCTAGGTGTAGTGGTGTTTTCTTTTGGTATTTATTCTGCCCATTGTCCACTGAACTTCTTGGATGTATTGTTTGGTGTCTATTAATTTTGGAAAGTTATCTGCCATTATTACTTCAAATATTTCTTCTGCTTCATTCTCTATTCCTTCTTCTGGTATTCCAATTTAGCACATGTTACTTGTGTTGAAATTGTCCCATAGTTCTTGGATATTCTCTTCTGTTTTATTTTTTAGTCTTTTTTTTCTATTTGCATTTCAGTTTGAGAGGTTTCTACTGACATATCTTTAGCTCATTGATCTTTTTCCTCAGCTGTGTCCAGTCCATTGATGAACCTATCAAAGGCATTCCTTGTTTCTGTTAGTTTTCTTTTTAATTTCTAGTATTTTCTTTTGAGTCTTTATTGGCATTTCCTTCTCTCTAGCTTCATTATCCATCTATTCTGGCATGTTGTCTACTTTTTCCATTAGTGCCCTTAATGTATTGATCATAGTTATTTTATTATTATTTTTATTTTTTTAGAGACAAGATATTGCTCTGCTGCCCAGACTGGCATGTGGTGGCATGATCACAGCTCACTGTAGCCTCAAACTCCTGGGCTCAAGCAATCCTTCTGCCTCAGCGTCCCAAGTAGCTAGGACTACAGGCAGGCACCACCATGCCCAGCTAATTTTTTTTTTTTTTTAAGAGACGAAGTCTTGCTCTGTTGCCCAGACTGGTCTTGAACTCCTGGCCTCAACAATCCTCCTACCTTGGCCTTCCAAAGTGCTAGAATTACAGGCATGAGCCACCACACCCATTCTGATCATAGTTATTTTAAATTCCTTGTCTTACAATTTCAAAAACTGTATCATATCTGAGTCTGGTTCTGAAGCTTGCTTTGTTTCTTCAGAACTTTTTTTCCCCTTGCTTTTGCTGTCTTGTAATTTTTTGTTAAAAACTAGACATGCTATATCAGGTATATAGGAACTGAGGTAAATAAGGTAAATAAGCCTCTAGTGTAAGGAGCTATGTTAATCTGGCTAGGAGTTGTGATTTGATTAATGTTTGCTATTGCTATAGGTGCTAGAGGCATCAAATTTCTCAGTGTTCCTGTTTTTGTCTCCCCTCTTGACTTTGGGCTTCCCAAACAGAAACACTCTGGTTTTTGCAGCTCTTTCCATTGTAATTTACTATTATACTAGAGCCCTGATGGTGTAGTGATAAGACATTGGGGATAGGGAGTATTCTATAATCTTCCAATTAAATCTCCATCTTTTAGTGGACCTATGTCTCTGGCCTGTGACCTTCGCAAGTGTTTCTTTTTGTATAGCGTCGATCCTCCCCTTAGATGACACAAGAAGTGTAGAGGGTGATGGAGCTAGGTAATCACTGTTACCCCACAGCTCTGAGACAGAGCTCTGGTAAAATCTTTCCCCCTAGAGAGTAGACATTTGTTATGAAAAAAGCTCTGAGATGTAGAGAGCAGGGCCTTCTTAAATTACACAGGCCAGTCATTGAGTTTACTGAGAATAGAGTCCACAGACTTAGGGTCCAGGACCAGCTGTCTTTTTATCTTCAAAATGGAGCACAAAGTAGCTGACTCCTGCCCATCACCACACATACAACTCACAGGATATGAGAGATGCAGTCTAGCAGAGTATCTTAAGATCATGGACTATTGGGGTCATGAGTTCCAGTTACTACTGGAACTTACTATCAGCTCTTTGATCTTGGAAACATTTTTTGACCACTCCAAATATCAATTATCCCATATTTACAGTAGATTTGATGACTCTCCTTTCACTTGTGACCCCCACTAGTTATATTGGGCCAAAAAGTATGCCCCTCATAGAGCCTGAATTCTCTAACACCAAATCAAATTCTCTTAGTACAAAATGCCAGGAGGAATGATGTGAGAAAAGGGCAAAAATATTCCCAAATATGGAAGTTTTCTAGTTTTCTTTTTGTTATTAATTATTGATTTCTGTATAGGTGTATTGAGGGTCAGAGAACATGTGTATAACTGCAATCCTTTTGTATTTATTGTGACATCTTTATGACCTAATAATTAATTTTTGTAAAAATGTTTCATGCCTACATTTACTGGGTTCAGAGTTCTGTATACGTCCTTTAGAAAAGTTTGTCAAATTGTTCCAAGCTTCTTTATCATTTCTGAATTTTTATCTGCTTGCTCTATCAGTTACTGATAACAATTTAAACTTAACATATTAAGTTTCTCATTATGGTTGTGAATTTGTTTCTCCTGTGGTTCTGCCATTTTAACATTTGATCATGAAAGATAGCACACATATAGAGTCACACACATTCACAAGATGTAGAGCTAAATTATTTATTACAAAATGAAAAACTGGGTAATCACCACTCATGTCAAGAAGTAGAATACTGTTAGCAGTCCAGAAATGCCATTGATGTCCCCTTCAGTCATCCCCCTTCCTTACCACTAGAGCTAATAATAATCCTGAAATTTATGGTAACCCTTTCCTTGTTTTTCTTTATATTTTATATCCTAAGCAGTACAGTTTAGGATATTGCCTGTTTTGTGAACTGTATATAAATGGAACTATACAGCATGTATTTTTTATGGCTGGCATATTTTATTCAATACTATATACAATGAAACTGAATGTTTATGTCCCTCCCCCAAAAAATTATATGTTGAAATCCAAACTTCCAAGGTGATAGTATTAGGAGTTGGGGCCACTGGGAGGGATTAGTGCCCTTATGAAAGAGACCCCAGAGAGCTCCCTCACTCTTCTACCATGTGAGGTTACAGTGAAAAACAGCCATCTGTGAGGAAGAGGGCCCTCACCAGACACTGAATCTATCACCTTGATCCTGTACTTCCCAGCCTCCAGAACTATGAGAAATAAATTTGCTTTTTATAAGCCATAGTATTTTGTTATAGCAGCCTGAGCTAAAATGTTATGTTTATGGTATGAATCCATGTTTCTATGTTTAGATTTAATTAATTTATTTGCATTGATGTGTAGTATACAATTATTGAACATATCACAGTTTATGCTATTGTTTTGTTCTTTATATAAATTTAGGTTATTTCCAGCTTTTCAATATTATATATAATGCGGCTATGAAAATTCTTATATATACCTCTCAGTATACACGTACACAAATTTCTGTTGGGTAGCTATCTATGAGGAGAATTGCATGTTCAACTGTAATATATGATGCCAAACTTCCAAATTGGTTGTATCAGTTTACACTTCCATCAGTAGTGATAACAGTTCTTGGTGCTGTACATCACCACCATTGCTTGTTATTATCTGCCTTTTTCATTTCACTGATAACTAATGAAGCTGAGCACACTTTCATTTTTTTGGACAATTTAGATATCCTCTTTTACGAAGTGGTTGTATTATTCCCATTCTACTATTGGCTTATGTGTCTTTTTCACATTAATTTGTAGGATTTTAAAAATATATTCTGCATCTGAGCTCTTTGTCAGTGAAATGTATTGCAAATAGCTCACCAACTTTGTGGCATGTCTTTTTACTCTCTTTGTGGTGTCATTTGACTAATGGAATGTCTTAATTTCAATGGAATGATAGTTATGATAAGTACTCTGTGTCCAGTTTAAAAAGTCTGTGCCTACATCATAGTTATAAAGATATTCTATATTATTTTCTAGAAGACAGATGTATAATTGACCACAAATTAGTTTTTGTGTATTGCATTAGGGTTTTTCAGAGAAACAGAACCAATCCATAGCAAATATATATAGCACATATATATATATATATATACACACACACATATATATATATATACATATACGCACACACATATATATACACAGAGAGAGAGAGAGAGAGAGAGAGAGAGAGATTACAAGGAATTGGCTCATGTGATTATGGAGGCTAAGAAGTCCCAAGATCTATAGTCAGCAAGTTCGAGACAGGCTCAAGACCCAAGGACAGTTGATTTTTCTGTTCAAGTTTGAAGTCAAGAAAAGACCAATGTCCCAGTTCAAACAATCAGACAGAAGTTCCCTCTTACTCAGCCTTTGTATTCTATTGAGGTCTTCAATTGGTTGGATGAGGCCCACCTATGTTAGGAAGGGCAATTTGTTTTATTCTGTCTACCAATTTAAATGTTAATCTCATCCAGAAATACCCCAGGATAACATTTGAACAAATGTCTGGGCATTCTGTGGCCCAGTTAAGTTAACACAAAAAATTAACCCATCACATGTTTAATGTGAGGTAGGGGTCAAGATTTACATTTTCCATATTATATATTGCAGTTCATTCAGTGTCATTTGATAAAAGTTATCCTTTCCTCCAGTGCTTAACAATGCACGTTTATTGTAAATCAGCAATCCATAATGCATGGGTCTGTTTCTGGGATCTCTCTTTGATTCCATTGGTCTCTTTGGCTATCCTTGGATTAGTATCACACTAAACTACTATGACTTTATAACGTGTCAATATTTAGATTTTATAATAAGTTTTGGTATTTAGTAGACAGAGCAAAGTCCTCCAGATTGGGATTTTTTCAATAATGTGTAAGTTATTCTTGACTTTTTGTGTTTGTATATAATCTTTAGAATCAGCTTGTCAAGTGCCATGAAAGGAAGGAAGAAGGGAAGGAGAGAATGAAGGAGGAGTTTTGTTTAGGATTGCATTGTAATTATAGGTCAGTTAGAAGAGAATTGACATCTTCCTAACACTGAGTCTTCCAACCCATGACCATGGTATATATTCCATTTATTTATTTAA
This sequence comes from Homo sapiens, assembly GCF_000001405.40. Classification (NCBI taxonomy): domain Eukaryota; kingdom Metazoa; phylum Chordata; class Mammalia; order Primates; family Hominidae; genus Homo; species Homo sapiens. The sequence goes on from NC_000023.11 coordinate 103,600,443, forward strand.
AGATCTCAGTAACATTCATCATGTATTGGATTTAAAACTTCCATTTTGTAACTGTTTTTTTGCTGATTAAGAAATGCAACTGAATTTTGTATATTGTCATATCCAGAACACTTGATGAACTCATTTATTCATTCCAAAATTTTTATATATGGACTCTTTTAGATTTCCTAAATTACAGTCATGTTGTCTGTGCATGACAGTTTCATTTCTTCCTTTCCAATTCTCTACCTTTTCTTTCTTCTTCCCTTCCTTCCTTCCTTTTGCCTTCCTGCCTTCATCTTTTTATTTTCACTGGCCTGGGACCTACAGTCAAATTTTAAAAAGATCTGGGGCTTCCTAATCTCAGCTTCAGCTTCAAAGAGAAAGCTTTCTATACTCATCATTATATTTTATGTTTGCTATATGTTTTTTATAAACATATTCTAACAAATCAAGGAAGTCCCTTTCTGTCTCTTCCCATTTAATAAGGGCTTCTATTATAAATACTTTTTTCTTCATCTATTAAAATAATCATATGATTGTTAGACTTTATTCTCTTAATGTGGTAAATTACATTAATTGATTTTCAAATATTATACCAATCTTTCATTTCTGGAATACCTTAACTTGTATGTAGTATATTATTATTCTCATATATGGTCAGGTTCTTTCTTCTTTAAATTTTTTTTCAGTTATGTCAATGAGTTACATTGACCTATATTTTTCTTTTCCCATAATGACCTTGTCGGGTTTTGATATTAAGGTTATACCAAATCTTAAAATGACTTGCAGAGTATTCTCTCTTTTTTAATTATCTGGAAGACTGTGTTGGATGGATATTATTTTCTTCACTAGTGAAGTTATCTGGGCCTAAAATTTTCCTGGTCGGAAACATTTTGGAAGATTTTAAATATGAATTTTATTTATTTATTTCTTATTTATTTATATTGAAATCTTCAAGATGAGGTTTTATCTGAATACAGTAAGTATTGTGGTTTAATAATCTGTACCTGATAAATCAAATAATTCAAATCATATTGATCTATTTGTGTTGCCTGTTGTTTCTATTTGTTACTCATAACGTATTTTTTTCGTGCACCTGGTTATCTTTGTGTGTGGATATTGTATTTCAGCAATTGTTGTAATAATCTAAGGCCTAAGATGATAAAAATCTTACTCTAGAGAAGATTTTATTTGCATTGGTCAGGCCCATAAGAGTGCCTCCTGGCCAGGTGCGGTGGCTCACGCCTGTAATCCCAGCACTTTGGGAGGCCAAGGTGGGTGGATCACAAGGTCAGGAGTTTGAGACCAGCCTGAACAACATGGCGAAACCCTGTCTCTACTAAAAATACAAAAATATTAGCCAGGCGTGGTGGTGCATGCCTGTAATCCCAGCTACTCAGGAGGCTGAAGCATAAGAATTGCTTGAACCTGGGAGATGGAAGTTGCAGTGAGCTGAGATTGCGCCATTGCACTCCAGCCTGGGCAACAGAGTGAGACTCTGTCTAAAAAAAAAAAAAAAAAAAAAAAAAAAAAAAAATGCTTCCTGTTTGTTACCACCATAATATTTGTTCAGAACTTACAGTTCACTAGTCCACCCAGATGATGCAAAGCCAAGCTACAAGACTTTGTAAGGGCTAGTATATTTTTTGATTACAATTACCCTGAAGGTATAAACATTTGCGGTTCCCAGCATACTATGGGTGATGGTTTGTCAGGAAACACTCCACCCCTTTTGATGGGCCTTGGGCTCTGACTTCTGTTACTATAGTGCCTTGAATGTGCCATAAGTTCCACGCAGTTTAGCACAGGCTTATTACTCAACCACAGATACCTTCAATAAAAATATAGTTTTAAGTCCTAGGCTTACCTCTCTGGATGCTTCTGTTCTCTTGTAGTATAACCTAGCAATTCCTCACAATTGTATTAATTTTGTAGCCTTTTAGAGATCTGACGTTTTGTAGTTCTTTTCAATGGGTGGGTTGCTCTAAATCATCTAGTCCGCCATTACCAGAAGCAGATACACACACACACACACATATATACATATACACACACACACACACACACACACACACACACACACACACACACACATATATATACCTGTTTTCATCAATGGGATATTTGAATAATCATGCAAGAGGATGCAAAGATGAATATGGCACAGTCTCCATCTTTAGGGGGCTTATAGGGGGATACAGAAATGGAAAGAGCCAATTACAAAACCTAATGAGTGTTAACAATGGGGAAATAAAGGTGCTAAAAGAACAGATAAGGGATCTAGACTTGAGAGTTCAGGGATGGCTCTTCTTTCAGAATGTGATTAATTTCTTTTTATATCAAAAGCCCATTAAACAGAAGAGGAGTTAAACCTCTACTCCAACCTTTGTGAACACAGAAAGCAGGTTCAGCTATGAGCCAATTGGAAAACAGCTTCTTCGGAGACTGAGATTTTCTGAGCAAATCACCATGTATCAGCATAGGGACCATAGAAGACAAGATCATATCTGATGTCCCACATCTGACCACCTCCCTGATGAGCTACCACTATTTCTCCCAGTGCACACGTGCACACACACACACACACACACACACAAACGTGGAAAGGTACAAGGATATATGGTACAAAAACCTTTGTTAAGGGCAACATGAAAGGTAGAGACCCTGTGCAACAGGGGAAGGAAAGATCACTTCCAGCTAGGGTGGCTTCAGAGGCTGAGTGATGAGGGTTGGCCTCTAAGAATGGGCAGGACTAGGACCTCTAGGGGGAATAAGAAGGCAGTTGGCAGGAAGTAAATGACACATAAGGACAATGAGAGGGAAGAATAAGGCATACTTGGGGCACATTGAGTGAGGGCAGAGAAGTGCATGACTAGGTTGAGAATGTGTGTCCTGGGGCTCAATTCTGATGGATGCTGAATGTCAGGATGAAGAGTGCAGAATTTACTCTGTGGGTGGTAGGTTTACCGTCAGCGCCTTCAAGCAGGAGAATGGCAGTTAAAAGCAGGGAAGAGTAAAGTTTAATTTGATGGTAATGTACAAGATTTATCTTAAGGAAGGGGCAGGGCTGGAAGCAGGAAAACTAGAGAAGAGATTATTCTAAGAGTTCAAATGAGAAATGGTGAAGCTCTAAGGTAGTGACAGATTCAGGAGATACAGCGAAGCAGGAAGGAGAGCTTTGTCTGTGGGAGAGGGACAAATCAGATGAGACCTTGATTTCAAGTTGGGGCAACCTGACCATTTAATAAAGATAGGCCAGTATAATTAATGTAAGACCAGGAACTATAGTCAAACAGCTGAGTTTTCCCTCCCTACCTCCTTGTAGGTCCCGCCTATCATCTGAGGCCCAAGTCAAGGTCCTTTTCCTCCTTGAAGCTTTCTCTGTCTATTTCCAGCAAACCTGGCCATTGCCTTCTCTGAGCTCCTATTGGCCCATTGACAGTGGCCCAAAGTCACTGGCCTAGTGACTTTTCCTTTAGCTCTTTCTTCAAGTGGCCTCATGTGAAGAGGCTCTCTGCCTACCCAGAGAGCATATCATTCACCAAGGTGAAAGATCTTCCTCCTCTGATACCTAGCCCTTTTCTCTTAAAGAACACAGTAAAGTGTTAGACATCGGTAGGTCCCTGAGAAATAATTATTGACTCATCAGTGATCACAGGGAAGGAAGTTGAGTAGAGAAAATGGGAGATAACATAGGGACACATTGAGATAGTAGTCCTCATTCTAAGACCTAGGTTGGTTCTCAGGCTTGGCAGTAACCAGCTTGTGTAACCTTGAACAGTTTACTTAAATCTCTCTGAGCCTTGGGTTTCTCATTCATCTAATGGGGCAAAGACTCTTTACTCACAGGCTGTTGAGAGGGTACTTGGGATATCCCACTGTCCCACATAAAGCAGCTATCCCCGTGTAGGGCACATCCAGGCACTCAGTTAATAGTGAGGTTCCCAAAGGTCTCTAGAGGAAAGTATTGTTTCCTTGTGGTTGGCCTTTGTCTCCCTCATCCTGACATACCCCAGTAGATATACAAGAAATAATTATGATTGCCTTTTGTTGAGTGCCCAAGATGTGAAGATCTTGGTGTGTTACAGAGGTGATGTCAGCACATTAGGAGTGACTTACCCAAGGACACACAGTAGTGATGATTCTGTCTCTGGGGACTCAGAGAGGTCTCCTGACTCCAGTTTTCTGTCCAGACAGAAGAGGCATCCACAGTGCCTTGTGTTTCTGTGCCTCATATACCTGTGCTTCCCAGATGTTTATCTAGAAGTTAAAATAATGGGGCAGAAGAGCAGCTGATAGTGCAGTGTTTTTTTCCATCTCATAATCTATTGATCTGATATCACTGAAGCTCATATAGTATATATAGTTCCTCTTATTATATTTCCAAATGATGCCTCTGATAGCTATGCAATTTTTTTTTTTTTTTGAGACAGAGTCTCGCTCTGTCACCAAGGCTGGAGTGCAGTGGCGCGATCTCGGTTCACTGCAAGCTCCACCTCCTGAGTTCATGCCATTCTCCTGCCTCAGCCTCCAGAGTAGCTGGGACTACAGGCGCCCACCACCATGCCCGGCTAATTTTTTGTATTTTTAGTAGAGACAGGGTTTCACCATGTTAGCCAGGATGGTCTCGATCTCCTGACCTCATAATCTACCCGCCTCGGCCTCCCAAAGTGCTGGGATTACAGGCGTGAGCCACCGTGCCCAGCCAGCTATGCAAATTTTTATTGCAAAATCATGTCTTTTATGGGAGGTTGAAGGAACTATTTATTGAAGGTCTACTATGTGTTAAACACTTTATATAGCAATTGTTATTTATAATTCACAATAATCCTGATACAGAAAATCTTACTCCCATTTTCTAGAAGAGAAAACTAAAGTTCACAGAATTTTAGTAACTTTTCTAGGTTGACACAACTAAGAAGTGACAAAGCTGGTATTTTAGCTCTTGATCTCCACAGTAAGTAATTAGACTGGTTGCTATAGTATATGTTATATGGTGACCATGTGATGTCATGCACATAAAGGAATTCAACAACACCTGTTGATGAGGATGATAATAAACATGAAATAATCTCTCTTGGGTTTAGACACCTGGGTTGTGGTGTTCATATGAATTTAGTTAGAGCAAAAATTCAATGTATTGTACTCACTAAAGCCTAGCCCAGCTTTTGCACTAGGTTGAAATGCCATCTAATCTGTATATTAAAAGCTCATTAAAACCTAGGTGTGTAGAAGAGCATTCTTGTCTTTTCTTTGCTAAATTTCTATTTTTGGACCTGTGCCATACTGCTTGGATTATTACGAGCTCTCATATGTTAAACAACTAGAACCCCTTTATTGTGACTTTTATTAATTTCTTGCCTATCCTTTTCCATTTGATTTTTTTCAAGAGACCTTTGAAGGAAAATCTACCAAACTTCCAAATGCCGGCAGGGTTGGGGGCAGGAGTGATAAAATTCACAGCTTTACAAGACTGAATCATCCCATCCAGGAATCTGGCATCCTAACTGTCTAATTATCCAACAGGCACATTTCTTTTCAATTATTTCAAAATTCAGAATTTACTTTAGATCTTCAATAACTGCTAAAAGTTGATCTGAAAATAATCAGGCTAAAGACCAAGGCCCTTTTTAACCTGGCCTGTGGAGTGGTTTCTATATAAGAGGTAATTAGTGACCTACCTACTTCAAGTACTGTAATGAAGATGAAACAGAAAAAGGCAGTGGGACAATATGATATATATTAAGGAGAGCAAGACTTGAGGTAGCAAAACCAGAAAGGGATCTTCCACCATAGACCAGGAGTGGGGAGTTGTTTGCCTAAAAAAATGTAGCAAGAGTGGAGATGGAAGAAAAGTGGGAAAATCCAGATATTTAGAAGAGAAGGTCAAGATTACTTGGTGGGAGGGAGGAAGAGGGAATGAGGGATGATTCCCAGATTTCTTGCTTGGGCAACAGTGTGGGTTCTGGAGCCATCTATTAAGATAAGAGAAATGAAGAGGAGGGAGTTTTGTGTGTGGAAAAGATCAAGGAAGGATGGTAAAATCACTTGGGACATATTGCATTTGAGGTCCTTCAGGGACATTCAGGTGGATATATCTAATCGTTAATTAAAACGGATCTGAATCAAATTTATGCTGAAGTTCATGTAGAAAAACAAACATACAAGAATGTGTTGGAAAAAAGAGAATCTACTGAGGGGACCTAGCTCTACCAGATATATGAAATTATATATCCTCTATAATTCAACTGGTATATGGATAGCAAACAGACCAATGAAATAGAATAAAAAGCCCAGAAGGTTTTCCAAGTACATATGGATATTTGATATGTAATAAAGGTGGTATCTCAAATCCCTAAAGCAAAGATGGACTTTCTGATGCCAGAACAACTGAGAAACCGATTGGAAAAAGAAAACAAAAGATCCATCAATACTTTATGCCATACACAAATATAAACTCTAAATGTAAAGAAAACCATATGAATACTAGAAGAAAACATGGGTGAATGCTTCTTGGACCTTATGTAGGAAAAGATTTCTTAACTATGAATCGAAATCTAGAGGCAATAAAAGTTAAATAAATTTGACTACTTTTTTTAATGCATGGCAGAAAAACACCATAAACAAAGCCAAAAAGCAACTGACAAACTGGAGAGAAAATTGCAACATATATAACAGTTAATGTATTAAGAAAACTTGAAAATTGAGGTGAGAAGGACCAACAACCCACTAGAAAAATGTGGAAAAGACATGAACCGACAATTCACAAAGAAAGATATTTAAATTGTCCTTAAACACAGATAAGGCAAAATAAAATGCCATTGAGATATTACTTCTCAACTATCATATCAGTGAACATTTAAAAGTATGTCATAGGTTATGTTGGGAAGGGCATTGGGAAACAAAACACTCCCCTATATTTCTGATGGGAATGCAAAAATAGGTCTGAGATTCTGGGGAGGGAATAGCCTGGAGATGTAAATCTGGAAGTCATTGGTCTTTACTGGAAATGAATGAGATCAAACAGGGAGACAGAACTTGAGGACTGAGGAGAGAGGAGGCCCAGGACAGAACCCTAGGAACACTGCCACTCAAGGTGGCAGCTCAGCTTCCTGGCAGGCAGCACCACCCTGGGCTCTGGAGTCAGGCAGAGACAGTCTTGAAAGCGGGCTCTGGAGTTCTGGGGCTGAGCGCTCTTGGCAAAGTCGGGTACCCTCTTTGATCAGCTGTCACACCTGGCGATAATGGCATCAGAGAGAGATACCCTGCGAGGATGCCGTGAGATGCGCCAGGTAAAGCACCTGGGGTCAGAAAGCCACCCCCTCCTCCTCTTCTCCGTGACCCCCCTTTGCTACACAAACACACCCCGACCCCGACCGTCCCCAGCCTCCCGGTCCTTCGGGGTTGGATGGTGAGGTGGGTCAGGCAAGGGGGGCCGAGCTCGGGTGACGCGGCGCTCACGTGACCCGCCGGGCGCCTACGTGGGCACCAGCCCCCGCGCCCGCCCGCCCGCCCTGCGGTCCGGTCCTGGCGCCCGCGCAGAACCAGCTGTCTGAGCTGCCCGGGCAGCGGGGGAGCAGCGAGCGGGCTTCCGCGAGCCGGAGAAGGCACAGGCCTGTCCCGGGTCCCGGCAGGTCAGTGTGAAGGTGGGCGCTGCCGGCGGAACCACGGAAGGGGTGGAGGTGGCTGGCAGTAGGAGTAGGGAGGGGCGGAGAAAGGATCCGGGAGACTGGTGAGGAGGGGGAAGCGGAGCGGTCGGAGGCAAGGGCGGGGGAGCCTGGCCCGCCTTCTCGACGACCCCCTGCACTGAGCCGTCCATCCATTTTAGTACTGGAAATGGAGTACGGGGGGGCAACCCCGCAGTGCAACAGTGAAACGTAGACATATTCTGGAAATAACCGCCTCTCACAATCTGCTCCCATGGAAACATCTGACCTCCGCAAAAACGGGGTGGCGCTGGGACAGGTTGCCTCCAGGGGAAGGGGACACAGAGACAAACGCAGTTTGGAAAGCATCCTGGTTTGGTGCCCGAGGCCTGGAAAGAAATGGCGGCTGGGGTGCGGGGGATGTAGGGGAGGAAAACGTTGGGTAAGCAGGGCCTGGACTCAGGAAAGGGAACCGAGTCCCTGTGAGACCGCTGACTGCGCAGCCCCTACCCCTGTCTCCTGTCTGTCCGCAGGTCTGCGCGTCTGTTCCCAGCGCTCTGCGAGGCCTAAAAAGGAGGAGCAACCTGTCCAGAATCCCTGCAGGTCTGTGAAGGTGGTTGTGGGGGAGCTCAATGGACAGGGCCCTATAAGGGTTGAGAGTGTGGAGGGCCCGGCCAGGGCCGAACTGGGGCCCCTGCCCATCCCCCACTCACATGAACACACACCTTACCAGGCTGAACCAGTGCAGAGAAGGTGGCAGGGACTGCCAGGGAATGGCTGGCTCACGTGTGTGGGAGGAGTGGCAGGCTACGTGGTGGGCAGAAGGCCCTCTTGGGGGCCCTGCCAGCTTAGGGGAACCCTCACCAGGGGTGAGATGCAAGTACTATCCAGACCTGCATTCCACCCCATGCCCTCAGTCTCCCATGTCTCTTATTTGTCTCCTCTTCCCTCCATTCCCATCCCCCAGGACAGGAAAAGGAGGGGAAATCTCGACATGGAAAAACCCTACAATAAAAATGAAGGAAACCTGGAAAACGAGGGAAAGCCAGAAGATGAAGTAGAGCCTGATGATGAAGGAAAGTCAGACGAGGAAGAAAAGCCAGACGTGGAGGGGAAGACAGAATGCGAGGGAAAGAGAGAGGATGAGGGAGAGCCAGGTGATGAGGGACAACTGGAAGATGAGGGAAGCCAGGAAAAGCAGGGCAGGTCCGAAGGTGAGGGCAAGCCACAAGGCGAGGGCAAGCCAGCCTCCCAGGCAAAGCCAGAGAGCCAGCCGCGGGCCGCCGAAAAGCGCCCGGCTGAAGATTATGTGCCCCGGAAAGCAAAAAGAAAAACGGACAGGGGGACGGACGATTCCCCCAAGGACTCTCAGGAGGACTTACAGGAAAGGCATCTGAGCAGTGAGGAGATGATGAGAGAATGTGGAGATGTGTCAAGGGCTCAAGAGGAGCTAAGGAAAAAACAGAAAATGGGTGGTTTTCATTGGATGCAAAGAGATGTACAGGATCCATTCGCCCCAAGGGGACAACGGGGTGTCAGGGGAGTGAGGGGTGGAGGTAGGGGCCAGAGGGGCTTACACGATATCCCATACCTTTAATGCCTTTGGCCTTCCATTCTGATTTCTCTGATGAGAATATTGCTGGCCCTGCTTTCCCTGGTAGGTATTTGCCAGGCCCAATGCTTTAACCTTAAGCTGATACTTTGCTTTAGATGTCAGTCTCGTTACCAGCAGCCTTTTGACCCAACTACGGCGCTCTATATTTTAGTAGAGGATTTTCACCCATGTGCATGGAAAAGATGTTCATGGTACATTGTAAAAAAATAAAATTAAAATTAAAAAAAGTTTGCAGAACCGCATATACAGTATCAGCCCGTTTTTATAAAAATGTAAATGTTTGCATAATGCATTTGTGCACAAAGAAAACTCTGAAAGCATGTACACTAAAAAGCAGCCAATGGTTATTCCTGAATGGTATCCAAAAATGAGTTCAATCACTTGCTGGGTAGGTACCTCCATGCCATTCTGCTGTTGTTGTGCCCATCCTCATGTCTTCCCTAGGTGTAACTACGTGAGTGGGCACTGCTACCCCTTCTCCTGGGTCCTTTACCATCCTATGGCTCCCCCATAGGATGCGATTCTTTTTCTTTTCTTTGCTCTCACTCATCTCTACCTTTTCTTAAAGGATATGTCCTTTTGTCATAACAATAATTTTAAAAACTAAACGAGAAAACAATACATAAACAATTGAACTGTTCAATGAGCTTATGAGGGTAATAAAGACACTTAAAATTTCTGTTGCCAGAACATAAAATGATAAGTAAAATTCATATTACCTCTGAGACTAACAGCTAGAGGTATCAACCTGGCAGTTATAACAAATCCATTGCTGTAAGGGTCAGTCTTGCCATCTGTGAAATGGGGATAATACTTATCTCACAGGACTGCCCAGTGGATCAGATGAGGTATTGAACATGTGAGCTGTCCTTACAGGAGCAGGACCCAGCACCCTGTCAGACACTTAAAAGAAGAGCTGAAGGTAGGTTTCACCTGTCCCCAGGAACAACTCCAAGCAGCTGAGTAGAGGGTGCCATCCTTCTCTGGATACTATCATATCTGCTGGGCACTTCTGTTCTGCTATGCCCTGTATATGTACTGTCTGCTGACAGCCACTGATATAATGGAGTACTCATGGTGACAAAGCCCTTCTGATTCCCTACAGTCCCCAAAGGGCCACAGTCCCAATTGCAGGTGGTTCTACTCTAGGGCTTCTTGGAGCCCACTGTATTACACAGTTCTTAGCAAAGTAGCCATTAACATTTTTAGTTCATTTTATATTTGCTTACAGCTTCATTTCTCTTCTTAGGATTTGAGACATTTTGGGTCTACTTGGGACTGTGTCCTGAGTCTAACCTATTGGCTAGATAATGAACTGTGTTTGCACCAAACACCCTACCCCAGTACCACAGGTGAACCCTATCTAAATTTTTATACCTTTCTAAGTGTGAGTTTTCTCTAAAAAGCCTCATTGACTGGCCTACTATACAAAATCAAGGGACTTATCCATATATAATCACAGAGATAACCCTGTGTGAAACATCCCTTCCCATTCTAAACCACTTGCAACTGAAAGAGGTACAGTGCTCTTAAAAATATTAAAAACTCTTAGGCATTTTTATTTAGCCCACCAGTATATTCCCTTATCAAAACAGACTTTTAAAAAATTCATCCTGATATCCGTTGCACTGTACTTGACACATATATTTAACAATTACTTGATTATGACTGAGTCAGGAGCCTTGAGTTTTTGACCCAGTGTATCCTTGGGCAAGTAATTTCACTTGTCAAAAATACAACTTGAAATTCAAAAATAAATAATACAGGAGAAGTGATAATTCTAAATCCAGCTCATAAACCATTTTAACAATGTATAAAAATGATTTTTTTCAAAATACGTTCAAAATATGTTAAACGACTCCCTGGGAACCTCCCTGGTCCCTGGCACAAACCCAGAATTTCTAGGAATATGGCTCTAGAACCTGCAATTTCCACAAACTCCCCAGGTGATTCTGATGTACAGTGAAGTTTTACACATTGCATGATCTCAATTACATTAAATATAAACCATAAAAAAGTAGGAGGAAGTATAAGGAAATGTTTATCTGAATTCAGTAGGCACAAAGCACATATGTACCAACATGTTTTAAAAAATCAAACTATGTGCTAGATTTGTACATTGACAACTACAAAACATTGATGAGAGAAATTAAGATTTAAATAAATGGAAAGATACATTGTTCATGGATTAGAATGGCTGCAAAGAAACAGTGGCACAGGACTCCCTCAAGGTGGATGCCCTAACCAAGGTTCTGCCTGTTTTTACCTTTTGGGAGGGTCTTGAAATCTAAAGACTACCAGGCCACATTCCCTTCTAAATAGTCCATATCTGTTTATTCAGGTAGTGAGTGTACCCACTGGGGGCATCCACTGCAGAGGCAACTATCAATAATTGGGAGGAAAAAATGACCATCTCTGTAGATATCATTCAGCCTCCCCATTCCCCTGCCACTGCTATCCCAATGTTTGCTCAATGGGCCCTTGTACAAAGTGGCCACAGAAACAGAAATAGAACTATGTGAGAGCTCAACAATATTGACTTCCCATACCAACCTGATCTGACTACTCTCATAGCTGAGTATGAAACCTGCCAACAGCAGAGGCCATTGCTGAGACCCTAATATGGTATCATTTCCAGAAGGAATGTCGATTACATTACTTTGTGCCCTATAAATATATACAATTATAAATTGTCAATTAACAATAATTATTTAAACTATGAGAAATAATACACAAGTACAATGTAGCAAGATGTAATATCAATATACAAAATCAATTGTATTTCTTTATAGTAGAAATTAACAATCTGAAATGAACTTAAGAAAATGATTCCATTTACAATGGTATCAAAAAGAAAAACAATCTTGGGAATAAATTTAACAAAACAAATGCCAGACTTGTATATGGAAAAGTACAAAATGTTGTCAAAAGAAACTAAAGACAACCTAAATAAATGGAAATAAATTCAATGTTCATTGATTGAAAGACTTAACATTGTTCAGATGGCAATATTCCCTAATTGATTTACAGACTTAAGGCAATCACTATCAAAATCTCCCCTGGCTTCTTTGCAGATAATAACAAAGTGATCCTAAATTATAATGACCCAAAACAGACAAAACAATCTTGAAAAACAATAACAAATGGAGTTCTTACACTTTCTAACTTCAAAACTTACCACAAAGCAATAGTAATCAAGACAGGGTGGTCCTACCATAAGGATAGATATATAAATCAATGGAATAGAATTGGGAATCCAGAAGTAAACTCTCACTTTTATGCTCAATGGATTTTCAACAAGTCTGCCAAGACAATTCAAAGGGAAGATAATAGTTTTTAAACAAATTGTGATGAAACCATTAGATATCCACATGCCAAAGAATGAATTTAGAACATTATGTCACACCCTACATCAAAGTGAACTCAACACAGATCATAAATATAAATGAAAGAGCTAAAACTATACAGCTCTTAGAAGAAAACATATGCATAAATATTCATGACCTTGAGTTAGGCAATTTTACTTAGATACAATAACAAAATCATATATGACAAAAGATACATTCTACTTCATGAAAATGGAAACGTTTTGTGCTTCAAATGATAACATCGAGAAAATGAAAAGATGATCCACCAGATGGGAGAAAATAACTGCAAATAATACATTTGATAAGGAGCTAATTTCCAGAATATATAAAAAACTCTTACAACTCAACCATTAAAAAAAAAGAGAACCCAATTTTAAAATGGGCAAATGATTTGAATAGATATTTCTCCCAAGAAGATATACAAATGTCCAATAGGCATATGAAAAGAAGCTCAACTGTATTAGTCACTAGGGAATGTAAACCAGAACCACAAAGTGATACCACTTCACACACAGTAGGATGGCTAAAACGAAAGAGATAGAAAATAAGTTTTGGTGAGGATGGGGAGAAACAAGTCCTCATACATTGCTGATGGGAATGCATTTGCTTGGGATAACAAATTGGCAATTCTTTAAAATGTTAAACATAATGTGTCATATGACCCAGCAATTCCATTCCTAGGTATATACACAAGAGAAATGAAAACATACAGTCATGCAAAATGTATACACAAATGTTCATAGCAGTATTGTTCATAATAGCCAAAATATAGAAAAAAAATCCATGAACTGGTGAATAAACAAATATGGTATATTATACAATGTATTTGGCAATAAAAAGGAAGAAGTACTGATACATGGCATAGCATGGATGAACCTTGAAAACATTATGCTAAGTGAAAGTAGGCAGTCACAAAAGACCACATAGTTTATTATCCAATTTATAATAAATGGACATATCAACAAATCTATAGAGAAAGTAGATTCGTGGTTGCATGGGGCTTGCAGAAGGGCAGGAATGAAAAATGGTAATAGGAAGGTTTTCTTTAGGGGTGATGAAAATGTAAAATTGGATAGTGGTGATGGTTGCCCACCTCCATAAATATTCTAAAAACCATTGAATTGTGCACTTTACATGGGTGAATTATAAGGCATATGAATTATATCTCAATAAAGCTGTTAAAGAGAAATAATTATCTACAATAAAAATAAGAACAATGTGTTACATGGCTTGTAACATATGTAGAAGTAAAATGTACAATGTGGTGGTTAATACTGAGTGTCAACTTGATTGGATTGAAGGATGCAAAATATTGTTCCTGGGTGTGCCTGTGAGGGTACTGCCTAAGGAGATTAACATTTGAGTCACCGAACTGGGAGACGAAGACCCACCCTCAATCTGGGTAGGCACTATCTAATCAGCTGCTAGCCTGACTAGGATAAAAGTAGGCAGAGGAACGTGGAAAGACTAGAATGGCTTAGTCTTCTGGCCTACATCTTTCTCCCGTGCTGGATGCTTCCTGCCCTCAAACATCAGACTCCAAGTTCTTCAGTTTTTGGACTCTTGGACCTTCGATCACAGACTAAAGGCTACACTGTCAGCTTCCCTACTTTTGAGGTTTTGGGACTCAGACTGGCTTCCTTGCTCTTCAACTTGCAGACGGCCTATTGTGGGACTTCACCTGGTGACTGTCTGAGTCAATACTCCTTAATAAATTCCCCTTTATATATACATCCATCCTATTAGTTCTGTCCCTCTAGAGAACCCTGACTAATACGTACAACAATAGAAAAAAAGATGGGAGGGGGAATGCACAGTTGTAGGGTTCTTCGATTATCCATGAAATCATTTACAGTTGACCCTTGAACAACACAGGTTTGACCTGTGTTTTTTGATGTGGATTTTTCCAACCAAACTGAGATGGAAAATACTGTACTTGTGGGATGTGAAGTCTGCCTATAGCGAGGGCTGACTTTTCACAAAGATGGGTTCTGCAGAGCCAACTCCAGGACCCACCTAGGTATACATAGATTTGTATATCCTGGGGAGTGGTGGGTCCTGGAACCAATCCCCTAAGTATACTGAGAGATAGCTATCATATTATTTGAAGGTAGACTGTGATAATCTATGATACATATTACAAATACCAGAGCCATGGCTCAGAGATTTTGCCTGAGGGAAGGGAGGGAAGCAGGATGTAAAATGGAGAGTTCTAAATTTTTTCCCAAAGGAAAGGAATTCATTTGCAACAGAATATGGAGAAGTCCAAGTTCAAGGGAGCTCTCAAAAACAGTGGAGGCTCTGGTGCATGATATATTAAAATATATATTACAGTATATATTTGGTCAATGTCCCCAGTTCCTGGCACAGAGCTCCTAAAACCTTTGGGATTTTCTGAATGATAGGAGTGTCTTTTGTTATTCATAATGAGCCCCTTTTGACTACTCCTGAATTTATGCTAATGAGGTGACTTAGGGTAAGACCCCTAGATAGCTTCAGGATGGGGACTGGACACCAGAAAGACCAAATACATGATTACAGGATGGGAACTTTCTGCCTTGCTCCTGACCTCCAGGGATTGGAGAGGGGATAAAAATTGAGTTCAATTACCAGTGGCCAATGATTACATAAATCATTCCTATACGATAAAACCTCCATTAAAATCCCTAAATGATGGGGCTCGGGAGCTTCTGGGTTGGGAATACATTGATGTACTGATCAGATGGAGCACCCAGAAAAGGCATGGAAGCTCTGTGCCAAATATACCCCATATCTTACCTTATGCATGTCTTCCATTAGGCTCTTCCTGAGTTGTATCCTTTACAATAAACTGGTAATAGTAAGCAAAGCACTTTTCTAAGTTCTGTGAGTCATTCCAGTAAATTACTGAACTCAAGAAGGGAGTCATGAGAACTGTGAATAAAAAATAGACTCTCAGGACCCCAAACTCACTATGGCAAAAGGGAAATTAAGCTTGGGAACTGAGTCATCCAAAAACTGCCTTCCATTTGTTCCCAAATAGCTGTAATTTCACATGCTTACTTTATCTTATGTAAAATGTAGATGTACTGAGCATGAGATGAATGCATAATTGACTTTTCCTCTACTCCTTTCTTTTTACATGTAAAATGTAGATTCACTGAGTGCTAATCAGAGCCTCACAAGAATGTAACCACTTGCCTCATTGCCTACCCATCCTCCTTTTTTTTCTTCCCCTCTTGCTTGCTCTTTCTCCTTTAAATACTGAAGTTCCCAAAGCCCTCTGTGGGAAAACCACAGGTCACCAATCCTACTGTGACTTGTGTTTCATTTTCCTAGGTGTGTCCTCAACCTTGGCAAAATAAACCTCTAATCAATTGAGATCTGCCTCAGTCACTTTTTGGTTTACAGAACCCTCAAATTTGTACTAGCCCAGGCTGAAGTGTGGGTAGGTTGGGCACCCCATTTGCAGCTGCCATCTGAAGTGGAGGGCAGTCTTATACTTAAAAGCCCTTAAACTGTAGGGTCTGCACTAACTCTGAGGAATTAATATCAGAATTAAATTGAATTGTAGGACACCCAGTTGGTGCCAGAGAATCAGAGAATTGGTAGGTGTTAGAAAACACCACACATTTGATGTCAGAAATAGTGCCAGAAAACACCACACGTGGTGAAAGGCAATTGAGAGGACATTGGTAGATTCATTGGAGATGCAGACTAAGCTGTAGGCCCACTAGTTTGCTGGAGACAACCTGGGACAGAGAAAGCTGGGAGGAGACCCACTGGGATTAGAACAAATCTGTCTGTGGAATCATTTATGCCCCAGGGCATTGTTGAAAACAATAGGGCAATCAGCAGGTAATTAGTGGAGCTAAACAGCTGGGTATGGTCAGGGAAAAAAACAGTCAAGGAAAGCCCTGCCAAAGGTGACTGTGGGCACAACCAAGGCTGAGCCTTCTGGTGAGCAACATAACAGGCTTCACATTGTGCAAGCACAGAGTTTACTAAAATAATCTAGCTAATCACTAAATAAATAAATATGCAAATATCAGTAAAAAGCTCCAGATGGGGAAGAGGAAAATAGTACCCAGAGGTGCTACAATATATTATCCAAAATGCTCAGTTTTCAACAAAAAATTATGAGATTTGCAGGGAAACAGGAAAGTATAACCCATATACCAGAAAAAGGCAGACACTAGGAGCTCCTTGTGAGAGTGGCCAGATGTCAGTTTGAACAAAGACTTCAAAGTAGCTATTATTAATATGTTCACAGAACTACAAGAAACCATGATTAAAGAAGTAAAGAAAGATATGATGATGTTGCATCAAATATAAAATATCAAAGACATAGAAATTATTTTTAAAACAAATTGAAATTCTGGGATTCAAAAGTACAATAACTAAAATGAAAAATTCAGTATTACACTTGAACTGCCAAAAGAATCAGTAAACTTGAAGGTAAATTGATAGAAATTATGCAATCTGAATAACCAAGAGAAGAAAAGACTAAATACAAATGTACAGTGCCTCAGAGAAATGTGGAACACCATTAAGTATTACATTAGCAAAGGAATTACTCCCAACAAGAAATCCATAGGAACCAACTGAAGAGATCTAAAAATGATATCTAAGAAGGTCAAAACCTATTAACATATACTCGTTCTCCTCTCTTCTCTCAGCTTCTTTAAAATACATAAGTTCATATAAAGCAATAATTATAATAATGTATTGTTGAGTTTGTCAGATGTATAGTTGTAACATACATAACAATAATATGACAAAAATGGAGAAGGAAATAGAATGATATAGAAATAACATTTCTATATCTCACTGGAATTAAGTTAGTATAAATCTGAAGCTGATTCTGATAAGCTAATATGTATATGGTAAGTCTAGAGCAACCACTAAGGAAATAACTAAAAAATATGGTTTAAAAATCATTTTAAAAATTAAAACGCTATATTAGAGAATATTCAGTTAATGCAAAAGAAAGTGGTAAAGGAAGATTCGAGGAAGACAGGAGACCTACAGAAAACAAAAAGTAAAATGGCAGGTATAAATCCAACTAAATCAATAATAACATTAAGTCTGAATGGGTTAAACTATCCAATAAAAGACAGTTGTTAAAATGGAAATTAAAAAACCAAGATCAAACCATTTGCTGTCTATAGCAGACAAACTTCAGATTCAAAGATACAATAGACTGAAAGTAAAAGGATGAAAAAAGATACATCATTTTGTCTGATTTTACTATAGCCAGCTTTCTGGAGTGGCCACAGTAATATTAGACAAAACAGAGTTTAAGAAAAAAAAAAGTGTTAGTAGAGATAAAGAAGGACATTGTATAATGATAAAAGGGTTAATCCATCAGGCAGATATAACAATTATAAACATATATGCACCTAACAAAAGAGCACCAGAGGGCTGGGCACAGTGGCTCACACCTGTAATTCCAGCACTTTGGGAGGCCGAGGTGGGTGGATCACCTGAGGTCAGGAGTTTGAGACCAGCCTGACCAACATGGTGAAACCCCATCTCTACTAAAAATACAAAAATTAGCCGAGTGTGGTGGCACACACCTGTAATCCCAGCTACTTGGGAGGCTGAGGGAGGAGAATCACTTGAACCTGGGAGGTGGAGGTTGCAGTGAGCCAAGATTGTGCTGTTACACTCCAGCCTGTGCAATAAAAGCAAAACTCTGTCTAAAGAAAAAACAAAACAAAACAAAAACAAAGGAAAAAAACCACACCAGAATACCTGAAGCAATTTACAGAAATGAAGAGATAAATAGACCACTCAACAATAATAGTTGGGATAGTTGGGGACTTTCAACTTTTAATAATGGATAGAAGAACTAGGCAGAAGATCAACAAGGAAATAGAAGACTTGAACAACACTATAAACCAACTAGACCAAACAGACATATATGGAACATTCCACCCAACAAAAGAATATACATTCTTCTCAAATGCACATGGGACATACTCCAGAATAGACCATATGCTAGGCAATAAAACAAACCACAATAAATTTGAAAGATTAGAGATAATTCTAAGTATTTCCCCTAGCATAGAATGAAAGTAAAAAACAATAACAGAAATAAATTTGGGAAACTCACAAATATGTGGAAATTAAACAACACACTCCTAAATCACTAACGGATCAAAGATAAAATAAAGAGGAAAATTAGAAAATATGTTAAGACTAATGAAAATGAAGATACAAAATACCAAACCTTACAGCATGCGTCTAAACCAATGCTTAGAAAGACATTTATAGCTGTAAATGCCTACAGTAAAAAAGAAGGCTGGGCACAGTGACATGTGTCAGTAGTCCCAGCTACTTGGGAGGCTGAGGTGAGAGGATAACCTGAGCCCAGGAGTTTGAGACCAGCCTGGGTAACGTAACAAGGCTCTATCTTCAAGAAAAAAAAGGAAGAAAGATCTCATATCAATAACCTAACCTTCCACCTTAAGACACTGAAAAAGAAGAGCAAACTAAACCTAAAGCAAGCAGAAGGAAGGGAATAATAAAAACTAGAGTGGAAATTAATAAAATAAAGAATAGAAAAATAATAGGAAAAGTCAATAAAAACAAAAGCTGGTTCTCTGTAAGGATCAACAAAATGAACAAACATTTAAATTGATTAGCCTGGAAAAAAAAAGAGAAGACTCAAACAACTAGAGTCAAAAACGAAAGAGGGTACATTACTATTGACTTTACAGAAATAAGAGGATTATGGAGGAACACTATGAATAACTGTATGCCAATAAATTACATAACTTAGATTAAATAAATGGATTCCTAGAAAGACACTACCAAAACTGACTCCTGGATAAATACAGAATCTGAATAGACCTATAACAAATAAAGAGAATGAACTACCAATGAAGGAACATCCAGGCCAAGATGGCTTCATTGGTGAATTCTACCAAACATGTAAATAAAAATTAATATTCGCTTTTCACAAACTTTTACAAAAAAAGAAGAGGAGAGAACATTTCTCCACTCATTATATGAGGCCAGTGTTACTCTGTTACCAAAACTATACAAAGACACCACATGAAAACTACAAGGCAATATCTCTTATGCTGTAGATTTTTTTGAGGATGCAAAAATCCTCAAAAAATATTTCAAACAAATCCAGCATCATATAGAAAGAATTATACAATATGACCAAGTGAGGTTTATCCCAGGAATGCAAAGTTGATTTAACATTCAAAAATCGATCAATGTAATACACCATATGAATAGAATAAAGCACAAAAACTACATGATGATCTCAAAAGATGAAGAAAAAAATGTTCAACAAAATTCAACATCATTTCATGATAAAAACACACAACAAATGAGGAATACAAGCAAAATTCCTTAACCTGACAAAGGGTATATATGAAAAAGACACAGTTAACAACATACTTAATGATGAAAGACTGGATGCTTTCCCCTTAAGATCAGGAACAAGACAAGAATGTCTGTTCTCTCCACTTCCATTCAACTTTGCACTAGAGGTTCTAGCCGCGGAGGTTAGACCAAAAAAAAGAAAGAAAAGACATCCAGATTGGAAAGGAAGAAGTAAAACAACCTCTGTCTTAGTCCATTCAGGCTGCTATAACAAAATACCATACACTGGGTAGCTTATAAACAACAGAATTTTATTTCTCACAGCTCTGGAGGCTGGAAGTTCAAGAACATGGTGCCAGCAGATTTGGTGCCTGATTAGGGCTGAATCTCTGGTTCACAGATAGCACCTTCTAGCTGTGTACTCACATGGTAGAAGGGGCAAATAAGTTCCCTCAGGCCTCCTTATAAGAGCACTAATCCCTTATAATGCTCTACCCTCACAGAGCACTTCATCAGACTTGTAATTTACCAGAAATAAACAATCCAAATAATAACAAGTATTGGTGAGGATGAGGAGAAATGGAAACCCTCATACGCTGCTGGTGGAAATGTAAAATGACAGTTCCTCAAAATGTTAAACACGGAGTAATCATATGACCCAGCAATTCCAGACCTAGTTACATACCCAAGAGAAAAAAAACCCACAAATACATGTCCACACAAAAACTTACATGAATGTTTATAGCAGCATTATTCATAATAGCCAAAAGGTGAAAAGAATCTAAATGTCTATCAACTGATGAATGCATAAACAAAATGTGGTATATTTAGATGATGGAAAACTATTTGGTCATTAAAAATAAAGTTTTGATACATGCTACAATATGGATGGGCCTTGAAAACATTATGCTAAGTGAAAGAAGCCAATCACAAAAGACCATATATTGCATGATTCCATTTATATGAAATACAGAGAATAGGCAATTCCATAGAGACAAGGAGTAGATTAATGGTTGGCTAGGGTTGGGGAGGATGGAGGGTAGAGAGTCTTAACCAAAGGGTATAAACTTTCTTTATGAGGTGATGAAAATGTTCTAAAATTGATTGTAGTGATGGTTACACATATCTCTTAATATACTAAAAGCCACTGAACTGTACACTTTCAATGGGTGAACTCTATGTCATGTGAACAACAACTTAATAAAACTGTTTTTTTTAAAAAAAAAAAGAATGAAAAGGGGTCATTATTACAGATCCTCTAAGAACGTAAGGGACAGTATGGTAGTATTATGAATAACTTTATGCCAATAAATGCAATAATGTAGATAAAATGGTCAAATTTCTTGAAAGATACAAATTACCAAGCTCACTCAAAAAATAAATAGAAAACCTGAACAGAAGAGTGGTGTTTAACCACCAGGTCTCTGAAAGAAATTAAAAACCCTGATTCATAGAGTATCTGACTTCTAAAGTGTAAACCATGGCCAATTTTAATCAATCAATGTATCATCACTGAATGTAGATTTGATAAGAGATAGTGACAATCAGCTCTCAATAGCTGGCACAGGCCAGTTCCAGTATACAACTGTCTATATCTTTTTTTTTTTTTTTTTGAGACGGAGTCTCACACTCTCGCCCAGGCTGGAGTGCAGTGGCACGATCTCGGCTCACTGCAAGCTCCGCCCCCCGGGTTCACGTCATTCTCCTGCCTCAGCCTCCTGAGTAGCTGGGATTACAGGCGCCCGCCACCACGCCCCGCTAATTTTTTTGTATTTTTAGTAGAGACGGGGTTTCACCATGTTAGGCAGGATGGTCTGGATCTCCTGACCTCGTGATCCGCCCGCCTCCGCCTCCCAGAGTGCTGGGATTACAGGCGTGAGCCACGGCGCCCGGCCCTACCACTGTCTATATCTGTAGAATAAAATTAATTTGTTATTAAAAACTTTCCAAGAAAACTCCAGACCCAGATGTCTTCACTAGTGAATTCTATCAAACATTTAAAGCTGAAATAACACAAATGTTAAACAAACTCTCAGAAAGTAAAGGAAAAGGCCTCCTCTCTACATAATGAGGCCTGAATTACCCTGATGCCAATACAAAAACATTACAAGAAAACTATAGACATTATGTTTATAGATGCAAAAATTCTTAACAAAATTTTGGGAATTTGAATCCAGCAATAAATAAAAAGTATATATATATTTATCATGACCAAGTGAGGTTTATCACAAAAATGCAAAGTTGGTCAAGTACTTGGAAGTCAATTTAATTAAACATATTAACAAAATAAGGAGAAAAATATGACCACCTCAATAGATACAGAAACAGCATTTGATAAAAGTCAATAAAATCTCTCAGGAAACAATTAGAAAGGAACTTCCTTAACCTGAAATAGGGTATCTATTAAAAAAAAAATCACAGCTGACATAACACTTAATAGTGAAAGAATGATTTCCTCTTATGATAGGGGATCATGCAAGGATGTCAGTTCTCACCACTGTTATTCAACTATGTACTGGAAATCCTAGTTAGTGCAATAAGGCAAGGAGAAAAGGTATGTAGAGGCCAGGCACGGTGGCTCACGCCTGTAATACCAGCACTTTGGGAGGACAATGCCGAAGGATCACCTGAGGTCAGGAGTTTGAGACCAGCCTGGTCAACATGGTAAAACCCCATCTCTACTAAAAATACAAAAAATAGTTGTGCGTGGTCATGCGTGCCTGTAATCCCAGCTACTCGGGAGGCTGAGGCAGGAGAATCACTTGAGCCCGGGAGGCAGAGGTTGCAGTGAGCTGAGATCGTGCCATTGCACTCCAGCCTGGGCAACAAGAGCGAAACTCCATCTCAAAAAAAAAAAAAAAAAAAAAGAAAGAAAAAAAAAGAAATGCAGATAGGAAAGGAAGAAGTAAAAATGTATTCATAGAAGAATCATGATCATGTACATAGAATGCCTTAAGAATCTACAAAAAGTTATTGGAATTACTAAGTGAATTTAGCATGATCTAAAGATAAAAGGTCAATATACAAAAATCAAGTATATATTTTATATACTAGAAATAAACAATTAGAAGACAAAAAATTTAAAGTACCACTTGCAAAGGCATCAAAAAGCATGAAATAATTAGAAATAAAGTTTATTAAATATGTGGAGATTTTATATTGAAAATTATAATACATTACTGAGAGTAATTATGGAAGACCTAAATAAATGAAGTATAATACCATGTTCACGTATCAGAAGACTCAGTATTGTGAAAGTGGCAATTCTCCTCAGATTGATCCATTTATTCAGTGTAATTCCAGTTAAGATCACAGCCAAGAAAAGCCTAAGACAGCTTACCAACTAAAAGTGATATAGTATTCTAGATGGCATCCTGGAACAGAAAAAAAGGATATCAGGTAAAAATGAAGAAAATGGGAATAAAGTATGGGCTTTAGTTAAAGACAATGTCTCAATATTGGTTTGTTAATTATAACAAATGCACCATAGTAATGTAAGATGTTAAAAATAGAGGAAACAGGGTTTGGGATATATAGACACTGTATTATTTTCTAGATTTTTTGGTAAATCTAAAACTATTCTAAAAAAAAGAATTATATTTTTAAAATAAAAAAACACGACGTTAAAAAAAAGGCAACAGGAGAAAAAAACGCTTTATATTTTATTACCTAAAATGGTACTTTTTTTTCTTGCTTTTTGAATAGAGGCCTTGCATTGTCTTTTACACTGGGCCCTGCAAATTATGGAGCCAGCCCTGCCTCTGTCCCAGCCTCCTTCCCAGGCCTCAGGCTGAGGTTGTTCTGGGTGCTTGTAAAAGTCCCTGAAAGGCCAAGGCTAAGCTGTGGCTCTGTTGCAGCCCAGCAGGGAAGGCCAAAATAGAATGAGTTATGTGCTCTGAGCTTGTCTGGATTCTGGGAAATGCAGCAGCAGCCACAGTCCGCAGGTGGTCCCCACTCAGGCCAAATCGTGTTCGTAAGCAAAGGCCCTCCCACCTCAGTATGGTGGGCAGTATGGAATCATTGCTTCCTAGAGCTAGAAGGGACCTCATTCATGGTTCTACCACAGCCCTCGCCCCCACCATTTAGGGAGAAAAATGATACAAATAGAGGCAAGGAGAGGGGTAGGAGGCTGCCACACCTCCAGAGCCTCCAGGGAGTGAATGACAGCATAAGTCTTGCCCAGACCCAAGCCTAGTACTGTCTCTCTTCAGCCCAGGTCTGGACCCACCTTCCCTGTCCCTGTGCATTTCCAACAGCCTGAGTTGCTACTTAGCCTTTCCTCAGAGCCCCTTCCTTGTTTCTCTGAGCATATACAGGGTGTGTGTGTGTGTGTGTGTGTGTGTGTGTGTGTGTGCGTGTGTGCGTGTGTGTGTTTGAGCCCCAGTTAGGATGAGGCCACAAGCAGAAACAGAAAAGAGGAGGCTCCTGTCATTGCTTTTCCTACTTGGGAATTTCCCCTGGGGCAGGGGTAGGGGAGGAGCCCATGAGAGTCACAGGCTGGACAGGGCCTGCTGCAGTCAACAGGTCCAGGTCTGAGAGCAGGTACTGCCATTAGTGCCATTAGGAAAGAATGCAGAGGCAGCAGCCACAGAGGGAACGTCTGGGCTGGAGAGGGCAGAACTCCTCAAGTCCAGGCAGACAGAGCCTGCAAAGTGAAACCAAGGGGACTCGCAAAGAAGGAGGGTTCTGTTCCTGCCACAGAAGTGCAGCCTCCCCAGCAACAGGAATCCCTGGAGGAGAAACCCACCCTGGGCTTTCTCAGATCCCCCAGAGAAAGGCCACACCACTTGGAGACTGTTGTCATGGCAGCAGCTGCCCAGTGCTGTGTGTAAATGTGGGTGGAGCCCACTGCCCAGGAGCAGTTTTACATAGTGGTTAAAGGTACAATCTCTCATGCCACACTGCCTATGTTTTGTTTTTTTTGTTTTCTTTTGTTTTCAGATGGAATCTCTTATTGGCCAGGCTGGAGTACAGTGGCACAATCACGGCTCACTGAAGCCTTGAGTTCCCAGGCCTCTAACCTCGGCCTCCCAAGGAACTGGACCACCTGGGACCGCAGGTGTGCACCACCATGCCTGGCTAATTTTTATCGTTTCTAGAGACAGGATCTCACTATGTTACCCAGGCTGGTCTTGAATTCCTGGGCTCAAGCTATTCTCCCATCATGGCCTCCCAAAGTGTTGGGATTACAGGCGTGAGCCACTGCACCTAGCCTTAGGTTTTAAATCCCATCTCAGCTACTTACTATCATCTGTGTTTCCATGGGAACAATTTGTCACCTCCCAGAGCTCAGTTGTCACACTTTTGAAATGGGTTTCAAAACAAACACTCATTAGTAATAATGGACCAAGCAATATACCCTCATAGGACCCTAAATCAAGGGTATCAAATCAAATCCATCAGAAGGACAGCCCCACCCCAACCCCAACCCTACACAAACAAGTAGCAGATCACACTTCTTTGTAACAAATGATTGTCATTTGGTAGCAGAATCACCTTTACCTTATTCCCTCTTGAGAGTCCTTTCTCTTAAGGGAACCCGAGATCAGCTACTGCTGGGCAGACTTAGAGCCCACATGGAGACTCGGTCTTCATTCCTCCTCTCCTGCTTCTATTTCCTCACACCTCCTTATCTGCCCTCCATATTTACTAAGTTCTCATCAAAGTTTAATTTATACCGGTGCAGGAGCTTTCAGGGACTATAGTGTCTTCTATTAGCAGCACTAGAAAGCAAGCAATCTGAGAAGCCACATGAGAGATGAGAGGAAGGGAACTAGCTCGGCAGGGCATACTCCTGGTTTCACATGCAATAAGGAAAAGAAATTTTTTTCACTTGGAGTCAGAACTCTCTGCTGAGATACCTATAGATCTTT
This sequence comes from Homo sapiens, assembly GCF_000001405.40. NCBI lineage: Eukaryota > Metazoa > Chordata > Mammalia > Primates > Hominidae > Homo > Homo sapiens. The sequence continues at coordinate 103,626,250 of NC_000023.11, forward strand.
CCCGAGTTTGCTGACTTTATCACCCTATTTAGTACTAGTGGCATGCTTTAAATTAATGATTTGCAGCTAATATACAGAATGATAGAATCTGGATTCAAAGATTGAGGGAGTGAATCTAATGAGACAAAATTTAACCCAGAAAAAATTAGAAGCTTCTATACTTGAGTTAAAACTAAAAAGATTTACAGAAGTGGATTAACAGCTTGAAGTATGAAATAAGGGAGGGGTCTAGTTGACTGCAACTTAAACTGGATTCAATTGTGTGATATGGCATTCACAAAATCTACTATAATTTTAGGATGCATCCATAGATGTATAGCACCTATTCTAAAATGAAGGAGGTGGTAAGATCACTCCATTCTGCACTAGGCAGTATATTCAGTGTTTTCAGAGACATTTACACATTCAGGAATGTGTAGAATAATGAATGACTTTGAAAAAATATGTCACATCAGAAATGGCTGAAATAACTGGGGAGGTTAAACCCCCCAAAAAAGTCTTGGTGAGAACATAATTCTTTAAGGATTATGTGAGATGGCATATTGAAAATACTTAGTGCAATGCCTGGCATAAAGTACACAATTAATCTTAATATTAAAAGGATGTTAATTAGTAGTATTGTTAGCACTGTGTCATACTATTATTATTACTATTATTATAGTTAATGCTTATAGAGTGCTTTCTATGTGCTAGGCTCTATTCCAGATCCTTTACATAGGTTGACTCATTGACTCAGTTATTCCTCTTACAATTCTATGAGGTAGGTACTATTATTGTCTCCAATGTTGTAGATGAGGAAGCTGAGTCACAGAAGATTGAGTAGATTGCCTAGTGTGTCTCACAGAATGGAAGGGGAAAGAACCAGAATAGAAGCTGTGGCAATTTTAAGCTGTCAAGGATGAAAGGTACTTTTATTATTTTATACCTGTTCTGTACCACTCCACAGGGCAGAGCCAGGACCAATGTGTGTAAACTACTGGGAGGCAGATTTTAACTCAACAGAAGCAAAAATCAATTAATTAATTAATTTTAAAACTCTGAATGATTAGAACTTTCTGAGATTTCAGTGAGATATCTTATAAGGCAGTGAGTTCTCCATCACAGGATTTAAGAAGAATAAGGATAGAAATGAATGAAATGGGACTTCTCTAGGAAAGAAACTATACAAATGAGAAACCAACCCTTGATGAAAAAATAAGAAGGCATAGTGAAACTTGGTTTTAAAGACACATCTCACAGAGAAATTGGAAAGTAAAACAGTTATAAAAAAGATATGAAGGTAAACTAATATTTGTCTAAATGCTATCTCAACACAAAGTTAATCAGATATCAGAGAAAAGCAACAAACAGTTCTTAAAAGGGGAAATTTCACATGAATTTCTGTTCAGAAACTTACTAAACAGCCTGGCTTTAAAACAAAATCCCAGGATCCTCACAGATCAGATGGTCATCTACCCTGAAAGTGTAAAACACAGAGGGAAGGGAAGTAGTATGCTCTGTAGGGGAAAGAGCATCTGCATAAGAAAGTAGCATCCAGGCTGATGTGAGTAGATGAGAGGCAGGCATAAGGTTAAAGATCATAAAATACTGTTAGATAAAAAAAAATACATATTGCAATGACAATTGAAAATGCTAGCATAATTGTAGTCCTGCTATTCAGTATGTGGTCAACAGAATTATTGCATAGTTTAATATGGAATGCCCTCCCTGCTGCATCTATCTTTTGGGGTCCAGCAGTCCCAGAACTCAAATATTTGTTGATTTAGTGAATTAATATAAACTTCCTCAACCAGAAGCACCAAGAGGTGGCTGGTTAAGGATTGAGAGTCCCAGTAAAATCTATTTATTCTATTATGAATAACTACTGAATAATTTATATATATGTACACATGTATATAAATATATTTTATAATCTATTCAGTGTGTATACATGCATATATATGCGTGTATATATATACACGCATATATATGTGTGTATATATATACACACATAGAGAGAATAATGCCAAGCTCTCCACCAAGGACTATCCCATTTCAGATAATAAGTGTTCTGGACTGTTTGTACTTAGATGGACAAATACGTATTTGATTTATGAAAATCAAAGTATTCATTCTTTTTAGATCTACAAACTTTACAAACTCAACTCTTTCTACAGGTCTCGAACTGAATGATTACCAATTTAGATCTGGGGGCTCAAAAAAACAAAATGTGATGTCAAGAAAAAGTGAAAGATTGTCTCCCATGAAAGTGACAAGAGATGAAACATGCTGAATGAGCCTAAATGGACATGATGGAGATACGGATGTGGATTAAAACTGAGAGTGTTGGGATATAAGGATATAATACTGATTTATGAAGGTGAACAGTCAAACGTCAGTGCAGGATCTGAACTGCAGGGGAAATAAGGGGCCTTGGTGGCTAAGGAAGGGAGGAGGGGAGAAAGAGGTGGTACTAGGGGAAGTAGCACAGAGGAAGAGGCAATACTACCCGAGACTAGATGCGGACCGTCTCTGGCAACCAGGAAAAGGCAAATACAAAGAGAGGTGAGTGACAATGCCTGGTGTGTCTCGGGTCAGAGAACACTAGCAGGCACTAGCAGGTGGCTGCGGCAGGGCCGCAGATCAAAGTGGTAACTGGGGATCTGAGTTCGGCAGTGACGCGCGTCCCTCACGTGACCAGGAGCCTCTATGTGCCCAAGTCCCTCTCGTCCCGGTCTTTTTTTTGCCTGTCCACCATCTCCCTATTACCCTTTGGTCGAGAGGGAAAGCAGAAGAAGTAAGTTCCCTCTACCCTCTTAAATCGGTGTGAGTGTCGGCGCTGCCTAGTAACCCGGGGAATGGGGTTGACAGAATCGGGATGGCGGAGTCCAGGCCTTTCCCTAAGCTCCAGCCCCGCCCCCCGCGCCCACATTTCTGTGCAAAATATGGTGGTCTTTGGGGCGGGGTGGGGAGGCGAGTACCTCCCCCGTCCCCCGGGAGGGGGGTACAGACATTTGGAAATAGTTTCTAAAAATGCTTCGCTTCCACTTCTCATCTGAAAAGAAATGGCAAGCTTTGCGGGGTGGGGAGGTGGGAGCACGGAGGACGAAGCTTGACGCAGGGGCTGAGACGAAAAGAGAACCCGAGAGCTAGGGGAGCGTGCAGGCAGTGGCTGGTGCCCAGAAAGTGGGGGGTGGGGGGTGTCAGTCAGTCCGTCCCTCCTCCCCACTCCCCGCCCCCTACCCTGTCTTGCGTCTGTGTGCAGGTCTGCTGGTCACAGCGGGGCACCTCGAGGAGAGGACGACTAGGAGCACACGGCCCGGAAAGGTCCAGGTCAGGGAAGGGGTACGCAGTGGGCCGGGACTGGGGCGCGAGGGTGGACGCCGAAAGGCATGGAGTCTGCAGGCCGCACTGTCCCGCCCCTGTCACTGCGGGCGAGGCCTGTAGCAAAGCCTGCTGGGAAAATGGTGGGCTTTCGGGAAGGAGGGGGCGACCGGGAAGCGGCGGAGTCGGGAGAGCCGGAGAGCCTCTGGGAAAGCGCAAGGTTGAGGACCTGGCCCCCGAATCAGGAAAAGGCAGGTATTGGAACCCACGGCCTGGGTGTTAGTCCAGCCGCTTAGTATTCTGACTCTATTCTGCCTTTCTTGTCTCCTAAGAATAACTGTGCTTGAAGAAGAAAATTCCCAACATGGACAAACCACGCAAAGAAAATGAAGAAGAGCCGCAGAGCGCGCCCAAGACCGATGAGGAGAGGCCTCCGGTGGAGCACTCTCCCGAAAAGCAGTCCCCCGAGGAGCAGTCTTCGGAGGAGCAGTCCTCGGAGGAGGAGTTCTTTCCTGAGGAGCTCTTGCCTGAGCTCCTGCCTGAGATGCTCCTCTCGGAGGAGCGCCCTCCGCAGGAGGGTCTTTCCAGGAAGGACCTGTTTGAGGGGCGCCCTCCCATGGAGCAGCCTCCTTGTGGAGTAGGAAAACATAAGCTTGAAGAAGGAAGCTTTAAAGAAAGGTTGGCTCGTTCTCGCCCGCAATTTAGAGGGGACATACATGGCAGAAATTTAAGCAATGAGGAGATGATACAGGCAGCAGATGAGCTAGAAGAGATGAAAAGAGTAAGAAACAAACTGATGATAATGCACTGGAAGGCAAAACGGAGCCGTCCTTATCCTATTTAATGTGTTCGGCCTTTAATTCTGTTTTGCCTGCTAATAGTATTGCCATTGCCACCTGGACTTTCTGTTTGCATTTTCTTAATGCCTTTTCCCATATTCTGAATTTTAACTTTTTGTGAGGCTTTATTTTAGATGTTTAGCATGTAACTCGCTTAAAGTTGAGGTTTCCCCCTAAAATCTACAAGTTTCCCTCTTTCAGTCATGAGCCCTACACATTTGCATGAAAGATGTACATTATATATTGTGAAACGAAAAAAGCAATTTTCAAATGGTATATATTGTATCCCATTTTTGTAAAAAAAATGTATATTTATATATTAATATGCAAAGAAAAAGCTAAAAGTATAGACTTCAAAGGCATAACAGTGGTTGTGTGGTAAGATAATAGGTGATTTTTTAAATTTTTGTTTTATCTGAATTTCTCATTTTTTCAGGACAAACGTTTTACTTGTGTTGCAAAAATATATAATGAAAAAATCACACAATTTTGAAGAAAACTGTCAATCAGCTTATAACGACAATGTGGCACTTAATAAATACTTGTCAGAACTTTAAAAAAAGTGAATCCTATGTTTTTTTCTGAATCTCTTAGGCACAAATATTAGCCAGATATGGATTATATTTAATAGTCATTTTGTTCTCATTTAAATAGGAATAATACTTGCTTTACAGTGCTACTGTGGGACCAGATGAGAAAAAGGTTGTGTGAGCTATGTTCGGGGTCTTTATTCCACCTGCACAGGCAGGACCCCAACCCCTATAGATTCCCTGCAGACATAGGGAAGGTACCCAAAGGAGATCTCACTTGTGCTCACAAACAATTCCGGTGAGATTCCAAGTGAGTGCCACATTCTATTCATGTCCTGCTGTACTCTCAGATACCTACCGTATCTGCTAGGCACAGCTGCTCCTTCTCCTGGGTCCTGATCCTTCCACTGGCTCTCATCCCTGCTGACGTGCTGGACTGCTTAAGGTACAAAGCCTCACTGATTGCTCTGGAGTCCCTGGTGGGCCCAAGCTGAATTGTGTCTCCTGCAGATATATGAATGCCCTTCTTCCAGCTTTAATATTGCACTTAGCTAGGAGGCTACCATCTCAATGCTGCTTAGACCTCAATGTCTTTAAAAAATGCTTAGTAAGGCCAGGCGCGGTGGCTCACGCCTGTAATCTAGCATTTTGGGAGGCCGAGGCAGGCAGATCACGAGGTCAGGAGATCGAGACCATCCTGGGGAACACGGTGAGACCCCATCCCTACTAAAAATACAAAAAAAAAATTAACCGGGTGTGGTGGCGGGCGCCTGTAGTCCCAGCCACTCGGGAGGCTGAGGCAGGAGAATGGCTTGAACCCGGGGGACAGAGCTTGCAGTGAGCCAAGATCGCGCCACTGCATTCCAGCCTGGGAGACAGCAAGACTCCGTCTCAAAAAAAAAAAAAATGCTTAGTAAAATAGTTCTTCCATTTTTTTTTTTTTTCCATTTAGGACCTTCCTTTTCTCCACTGGACTCAAACATGATTCCACCTTTTCTCCACCTGACTCAAACATGATTCCACTAGGTCCTGGGCTAGGAGACAAAATTATTGAGCCAGACACCATGCTGTGTACTCAGAATTGGAACTTCCCTCCCAAATATCCAAGGATAACTATCATTTTAATTGTCTAACTTGCCTTAAGATGAGTTCTCTCTCAGGGGCTTCTGGCAAGCTTGCCTTGCCAATTCAGCTGACTTGCTCAACTTGTATAAATTAAAGAGGAAGATAATGCTTAGGCTCAAACTAAGACATTCCCCCTTCTACACTGCTCCATATCAGCAAGACACATGCAAAACTACTTTCTACAACATTAAAGTACTATATATGTATATGTACATAAACATATATATTAGATATGATTTCTCTACTAAGCTACCTTTATAAATCCTAAGATTTTGTTTTATTGATTCTGTTAGTGCTAGAGATACAGAGTGGTTAATAATGATTAAAAATCATGACCCAGTCATGAATTCTGAGATTCTCTTTGATTGACTATATAAGCTTTACTGTGTTGACTTCTCTAGAGCTATGATTTGCAATTCCAAAAGGAACGTGGTGAAGGAGGGATTGTTAACTGAAATTCAACATTAAAATTATTTAAATATTTTATATATCAGTGTTTCCCTTATAAAAAATGCAGAAACCCGTTTTCTACGCCAGACCCAGTAAATCTGCTTTTTCATAAATTAGCACACTAAAAGTTGGACAGCCACTGGCATATATGGTATACTTCTGATTTTATTGAGAATAAACTATGATGTAAATGGAAGAAAATACAGATAATTGTGTCAGAATTAAAAGGGTGAAAGCCTCATCCAAGCATATTTTTAAGTAAGCAACTAAAGATAGTCATACAAATTTTATAACATAAAATTTAGATTTCTTACAGCAAAGCAAGACCTTACACAAAATTAAAACCTAAGAGACAACTTAATAGAAATGTATTTTCCATGACTGATGTTATATAATACCTTACATTCCATACTTTCAATATGAGTAAAATGCATCAGAAGTAAATTCAAAGTTCTCCTTTAGTAATGATCTCAAAAAAACGGTTGAGCCAGCCCTGTACCCTTGGCTTTCTTTTGTTTTTATATTTTTACCATACAATGCCATTTGGAGGAGGTCTTCATGTCTCCAGAACACTCTTCAAGGCCAATGACAGCCTGATGGGTGCTGGTAAAACTGGAATTCTGGCTGGAGTGAGATCAGGTTCCAGGCTCACTGGAATTAGTTTTATAAGAGAGGATAAATCCATCCCCCTAACGCTAAGAGTGGTGGTGCTTAGGCAGGAGGTGGAAGGGCTCACTCAGGCCACATTCCCCTCTGGGGTGGGTCTGACTTTTGTTTCTCTGCTCCAGCCTACAGCAGGCACAGGGCCCTCTTAGGCTAATGGCCAAGCTGCCCTGCACAGACACACCTGGAGGAGGAGAACTGACTGCCCTATTGCAGGTCAGAGCACTTTGCCTTTCCCTCCTTTTCCCTCTCTCTTTTAGGGAACATTTTGTAGGGGAGGAGATAAAGCCCCAAAGTGTCCTGACAGGAAACATTCATTGGGATAGTCTTTGAGCAAGCAGATGTCTGTACAGATCTGACCAGGTAACTTGGGGTTGAAGCAGAAGGGGCTGACCCGTCTCTCAGAGTCCAGTGAAGTAGCCCCCAAGAAGACTGGGGCAAACATAGAATTAAGACAGCACACAAAACCTCACCCATCCCTCTCCCACCCACCTTGCTCAGAGTCCCAGAAGGGCCTTGATGTGCCCTGGCCTGTTTGGTTGGTTCTGCAAAGACTTTAGCTCTGTGTCTGCCTGGTGCACTATATTTGATGTCTGAGTCAGCACAGACCCTGAACTAGAGGAGACCCCAGATAAAGGGAACTTGCAAAGACATGTGGTCCTACAACTCAGGAGAAAAGTGGTGTTGCCTCCTATCTGAAAACCCTCATGCACTGCAGGCCCAGCTCACGACTTGGGAGCCAGGACAGTCAAGCTGTGAATTGGTGTGAAGATGCTTTTTAAGGCATTGGTGGTGGAGGGTCAGCAGCATCCAGAGCCCCTGGGCCTCTGCTATGATTGAACGTGTTTCCCACAATTCATATGCTGGAAACTTAATCCTCAATGCAACAGGGGATGTGGGATATGGGGCTTAATGGGAGGTTTTTAGGTCATGAGGGCTGTACTCTCATGAATGGATTAATGCCATCATAAAAAGGGCTTGCAGGAGTGGGTTCTCTCCCATTCTTCTGCCTCATGAAAACACAGAGTTCCTCTTTCTTGCCTTCTGCCTTCCTGCGTGTAAGAATGCAATAGGAAGGCCCATCCCAGATGCCAGTGCCTTGATCTTGGACTTCCCAGCCTCCAAAACTGTAAGATAATAAGTTTCTATTCTTTATCAATTATCCTAGAGCTGGGCACGGTGGCTCATGCCTGTAATCCCAACACTTTAGGAGGCCAAGGCAGAAGGATCGCTTGAGCCCAGGAGTTCAATACCAGCCTAGGCAACATAGTGAGATGCCATCTCTACAAAAAATAGGAAAAAAAAAAGCTGGGCATGGTGGAGTGTGCCTGTAGTCCCACTCACTTGGGAGGCTGAAGTGGGAAGATTGCTTGAGCCCAGGAAGTCGAGGCTGCAGTGAGCCATGACGGTGCCACTGTACTCCAGCCTGAGCAACAGAGACCCTGTCTCAAAAAAAAAAAAAAAAAAAAAAAGTTATCCAGTCTCAGGTATTCTGTTATAACAGCAGAAAATGGACTAAGACAGCCTCTCCCCACCTTCCTGTCCACACAGAAGGCTGGTATCTCTATCACATGTCCAAACAGCAACTTGCCTGGCCAACTCCGGAGCAGAAAGCATTGAGGGTCCAGGACCATGGAGAGAGAGCCCTCTGCTAACCAGGGTCCCCCTGCTCTTAGGAAACAATGCATACGACTGCAAACTCCCAGGAGTGGTGAAGCAGCATAGATGGGATCAGGCTCAGGGTCCCTAGAAAAGGACCAGAGACAACTCCTTCCCCCATTACGAAACACTAATCTAAACAAATAATTATTTTTACAAATGAAGGATAATATTTTGCAGATAAATAGGAGGCAAATCCTGTGTTCTAACTCAGATTTGTTTGCATCAAATTCTGTGTTCTTCCCACTCTACCACACGGCCACCAATTTAGATAGTAGCTTTTCAGGGCTTAGGGCATCATTGATTTAGACTTGCTGAGTATGGTATTCTTGTTGGTTTGTGGATTTGAGTGAGTTTTCTCATTTTTATCTCAATCCAGGTAGAAATGTCTAGTAGGCAGTTAGATATGTGTTTGAAGTTTGGAAAAGAGATTAGAATGGAAATATCAATTTTGGCTTATGATACCAGGAACATAGCAAGTGGCCCAGGAGTATTTGTTGAATTAAATGAATGAATGAAGAATGCAATTGTATACTCTTCTATCCTTTTCTATGAATATGTATTTTTCAAACAGAAGTGGGATTCTACTGAACACACTGGTTCATATCCTGTGTGTAAAAAAAATAAACTTTTTCTTTAAACTTTCTTTTTACCAAGATAATACCTGTTTCAGGAGAATGTTTACATATTGAGGTAAGTGCCACCCGGTGATCAGAGTCAGGATTGTGGGTCAAACATGGCTAACAAAGGAGAGCAGGGAGGAGAGAAACTATGAGAGGAGAGCTGGTGGAGAGGCTTGATATTTGGGAAGGGAATGTCTCAACCCTGACTCACACTGGAACCACACAAGTATCAGGCTCTTCTTGGGGATTGAGGTGGCCCAAGAAGCAACATATAGTTAGGTGGTTTTTCCTTGTCTCAAGTCAAGATAAGCGTGTGCATCTATGTGTGCATATGTATGTGTGTTTAAGCTGAATTGTCTTATACTATTTTCACTTTTTCTCTGATTGTAGAAGTTATATATTTCTACTAGAAAATATATGGAAATGCAGAAAAGTGTAAGAAGAAGATGCCTACAGTTCCCAATATTGAGGAGCATGTACTTACATTGTGTGTGTATATCTCCTTTTATGTATTCTATCCATTTACTTTGTTATAAAGTAAACATATATATTATATTACATATATAATACATTTAAATGCCTTTATGTATTCATTTTTATATATGTAATTATATCTTACAGAGCATATGTTTTCTTTTCTTTTTTTTTTTTTTTTTTTTTTTTTTGCTCTGTCACCCAGGCTGGAGTACAGTGGCACGATCTCGGCTCACTGCGACCTCCACCTCCTGGGTGCAAGCGATTCTCCTGCCTCAGCCTCCCAAGTAGCTGGGACTACAGAGGCATGCCACCATGCCTGGCTAATTTTCTTTTTCTTTTGTATTTTTAGTAGAGATGGGGTTTCACTGTGTTAGCCAGGATGGTCTTGATCTCCTGACCTCGTTTTCCACCCACCTTGGCCTCCCAAAGTGTTGGGATTACAGGCGTGAGCCACTGCGCCCAGCCTATTTTCTTTATTCTCTTACTTTTATTTACATATGTGCCATGACATTCATCTGTATGAGTATTCCATCAACCACACTTCTTGATGGTGATGTCAATGATGAAAATAAAATTGTGCTCTTTGGTCTCAGGGACCTATGTCTGAGGGCCACATGTATGGATGGGCTCCCCAAAAAGCATAAGGCAAGGGAAAGATCACTGGCTTTGTTTGGAGTTGAGGAAAGAAATTTAAAATGGTCAAGCACCTGCTTTGGGACAGATACTTCATACTTGGAGTTTCCTTTAATCCTTTTAACACTTTTAGGAAGGTATTGCTTATTATAGATGAGAAAACTGAAGCCCCGAAAAGTTTAGGTGGCTTACACAGGGTCACACAGCCAGTCAATGGAGGAACTTTATTTGAACTCAAATTTGTCTGACTCTTAAGTCTGACCTTTTAACCATTATGCTTTGCTTGCTCCTAAAATTTCACACTTTCTCTCTCATTGCCAAATCTAGTGGCATTCATCTTTTAGATGTCAGAAAATTTGTGAACACTCTGCTATTCTCATGCCCCACTGTTATAGGGTTTGAATTTTTATGCTACAAGCATGCTTCTGCAATCAGAAAAATTAATAAAGAATTATCTTTCAAAATATTTAAAGTAAAAAATGTATCTCAAAGAATATTAAATGGCACATGAGAAACTGTAATGAAATATTTAAACATATATTATAGATTTAGACATAATATCTTTTAAAAGTAAAAAACTCTGCTCACCCAATAGAAAATGGGCAAAGTACATGGAGCAGTAACTCACATAAGAAACTATATACATACATATATATACACACATATATATGTGTATATATATGTATATATGTATATATACACACATATATGTGTATATATGTATATATGTACATATATACTTATATACTATATGTTATAATAAAAACATATTAATAGATGCCATGTATACATATATAATATACTTACACATACATAAATATAAATACATATATAGTCATAGGCTCTAAATGACATTACGTAAATGGCATCCTATCCTATGTTTCATTCAGCAAAATGTTCTTTTTTTCATTCAATAGTATGTCCTGGAAATCTATCCATATTATTACCTATAGATCTAGTTCATATGTAGCTGCTGCACCTATTGCAGACTCTGAACATACTGCAATGTATTCCCTAATTATAGAGATTTAGGTTTCCAGTGCTTTACTGTTATAAACACGCTGAAATGGCCTTTCTTGTTCATGCCTCCTTGTATATCTGTGTATTTCTTAGGATTGGTGACTAGAAGTGGAATTGTTGGGTCATGAGGTGCATTTAGGGGCACTGCCAAACTGGCTTCTCTAATGGACATTTGTCATCTGAATTCTTGTGAGACTTTGACTGGTCTGGTCTAGTCAAGCCTTTGAGGCTAAGCCTGCATGCCTTTGCTGATGCTGCTACTTCTGTCTAGACTGCCCTTCCCTTCTCTGCTCAGCAAAATTCTATTAAATCATTAAAACTCAACTAAAGTACCACTTACTCTCAGATGAGTTAAGTGTTCTTTCCTGGTTCTCCTGAAGTATCCGGTGACTTAGACTTCATTATCATGTACTAAAACTATGTTTAAGCATGTATATCCTTTATAAGTTAATGAACTGCTCAAAGACATTTGTGGCTTATTCATCAGCATATACAGGACAAAGGACAGAACACTCATTCAATATATGTTTGTTGAACCAAATATCAAGGACTGACTCATCTCCTCTGTTCCAACCTCTGTCACCCATACCTCAGACTGAGGTTGTTATTGGCCCTTTAAAGAGTACCTGAAGTGAAGACTAAGCTGTGACTGTGTTGGAGCACAGCAGGGAAGGCCAAAATAGAATGAGTTATGTGCTCTGAGCTTGTCTGGATTCTGGGAAATGCAGCAGCAGCCACAGTCTGCAGGTGGTCCCCATTCAGGCCAAATGGTGTTCATCCCTCCTCAGCATGGTGGGCACGATGGAATCATAGCTTCCTAGAGCTAGAAGGGACCTCATTCATGGTTCTACCACAGCCCTCGCCCCCACCATTTAGGGAGAAAAATGATGCAAATAGAGGCAAGGAGAGGGGTAGGAGGCTGCCACACCTCCAGAGCCTCCAGGGAGTGAATGACAGCATAAGTCTTGCCCAGACCCAAGCCTGGTACTGTCTCCCTTCAGCCCAGGTCTGGACCCACCTTCCCTGTCCTTGTACGTTTCCAACAGCTTGAGTTGCTACCTGGCCTTTCCTCAGAGCCCCTTCCTTGTTACTCTGAGCATATACAGTGTGTGTGTGTGTGTGTGTGTGTGTGTGTGTTTGGGCCCCAGTTAGGATGAGGCCACAGGCAGAAACAGAAAAGAGGAGGCTCCTGTCATTGCTTTTCCTACTTGGGAATTTCCCCTGGGGCAGGGGTAGGGGAGGAGCCCATGAGAGTCACAGGCTGGACAGGGCCTGCTGCAGTCAACAGGTCCAGGTCTGAGAGCAGGTACTGCCATTAGTGCCATTAGGAAAGAATGCAGAGGCAGCAGCCACAGAGGGAACGTCTGGGCTGGAGAGGGCAGAACTCCTCAAGTCCAGGCAGACAGGGCCTGCAAAGTGAAACCAAGGGGACTCGCAAAGAAGGAGGGTTCTGTTCCTGCCACAGAAGTGCAGCCTCCCCAGCAACAGGAATCCCTGGAGAAGAAACCCACCCTGGGCTTTCTCAGATCCCCCAGAGAAAGGCCACACCCCCTGGATACTGTTGTCATGGCAGCAGCTGCCCAGTGCTAACTCCCTTCTCCCTTTCCTGCATGGCTGTCCTGCCTGCGTTCTGATACTTTCAGCTCCTGCTTCCTGAAAAGATCTGTGCTGCCCACCCTGGCAGTATGCAAACGTGGCTGGAGCCCACTTTCCTGGGAGCAGCTTTCAACAGGGGCCGAACCTTGAAACACATTCTGAATAACTTTAGAAGGTGCAACATTGAGAGCAAGGCCCTCCTGAATTATACAGGCTCATTATGGAGTAAAATAAGAACAGCTGGGAATCCATAGATGTGGGTTCCAAGGCCAACCTTTTTCCTGCTAGATGAATTTAGCAGTTTATTTCATCTCTTTTTGTTTCTGTTTTCTCATCTGTAAATGAGTTCAACAGTAGATTTATAGAATTGTATCCTTATAGCACTTATGTATATATTTGTAAATTTTCAAAATCTATTCTGAATTCAGGGATGTGCAAAAATGACAATTGACTTCATTCAAACTGGTGTTAGGTTGGTTATTACTAAGGTGGCATATATGTGGCTGGGTGTGGTGGCTCACGCCTGTAATCCCAGCACTTTGGGAGGCCGAGGCAGGTGGATCGCTTGAGCTCATGAATTTGAGACCAGCCTGGGCAACATGGTGAAACCCTATTGCTACTAAAAATACAAAAATTAGCCTTGCGTGGTAGTGTGTGCCTGTAGTCCCAGCTACTCAGGAGGCTGAGGTGGGAGGATGGCTTGAGCACGGGAGGCAGAGGTTGCAATGAGTCAAAATCACACCACTGCACTCCACCCTGGACAGTAGAGACAGACCTTGTCTCAAAAAAAATAAAAATAAAAAAGTGGCAAATATGCAATGCAAAGAATATATAAGAGATGACAGTGCAAGTGATTGAATGCAGCAATTCATTGTGTATCTTGTATGTCATTATGGTCTTAACATTCTTTCTGTGACAGCACTGGGAATGTCTCTGCTCTGTGTTTATTCTACAGGGGAGACATTTTTTAATGCATGTCAGCTTAGGAGACTTTTGTGGACAAGGCTGGCTATAATCTTCTTCGGTAGGAAGGGAATTTTTCTACCTATGTTCAGTTTGGCAGAAGAAAAGTCCTTGTGTATTTATCCAAAGAACAAATGAAAAGAAATCGAGGAACTTATAGCATAAGAGGACGTGTAAGAAAGGATAGGAGAAGAGGTCAAAGATATTCAAAGTGAAGGAGATCTGTATGTACTATATCAAGTGATGAAACCAGACACAAACTACAAACAAATGGGTGTGTCATGTTCTGCAAGCATCCCTTTTTCACTAGCCTGAGCTATACTAGCTGGTTTTCTCCAGAAACATGATGATGTAAAGCCTGTGCTGTCATAGGGCTGGCTACTAACGGTTCTCAGAACCTGTGGTCTATTTTCATGCTCCTGAAATATCCCAAGGAGCAAAGCCTTTATGTGATATAGACCTTTATACTACCAGGCCTAGCAGAATTACTCATTCTAGGAGAATGGCACAGCAAGGGCACAGAAGGAAGTGTAAAGTATGTTTGAGTCACACTGATGGTGGGGGTCTCTTTTAGCTGGAGCAGAGGAAAAATGAATGACAAAGCTTAGAATCTGTGATTCAGGCTGGATTCTGAAGAGCCCTAAATGCCAGGGCCTTTGAGAACAGGAGAATGACAAGGCAAAATCAGGAAATAAAGCAGACTAATTTGGTCATTTACTTGTTCTTTGATTTTTTTGTTGTTGTTGAGACAGGGTGTTATTCTGTCACCCAGACTGGAGTGCAGTGGTATGATCATGGTTCACTGCAGCCTCGACCTCCCAGGCTCAATCATCCTCTTGAGTAGCTGGGACTACAAGCACATGCTTCCATGCCCAGCTAATTTTTGTATTTTTTGTAGAGATGGAATTTCGCCATGTAGCCCAGGCTGGTCTCAAATTCCTGGACTCAAATGATCTGCTGGCCTTGGCTTCCCAAAGTGCTGGGATTACAGACTACAGACGTGAGCCACCACACCCAGTCTGTTCTTTGAATTTTTCTCTAATAACTCCAGTCCACACTAGACATTATCTTCTCCAAATTACTATTTACCTGGTAACAATCCCTACCTCACACACTGGTGAGGGGACATAAGGGTTAGCCAGTCAGCCCACATAAAGCGGCTGTCCCCATGTGCGGCACATGGCAGATACTCAGTAATGGTGAGATTCCCAGAGGTTTCTAGAGAACAAGTACTCTTACCTTGCGGTTGGCCTATGTGTCTCTCCTAACCTGCCATACTTCAGTAGATATATGAGAAATCATTATGATTGCCTTTTATCGAGGGCCCAAGATGTGAATATCTATCATCTCCAATTTAGGTAAATGCTAAAAATCTTAGTAGCAAAAATAATGTCAGGAAATTAATCATGTAACTTCTGTTAGAATTGTAAGCAGTAACTAATCCATGATTATATATGAGTGAGGTTAGGAGCTCATTAGCAGAATACGTTTGCATGAGAGAAGTGAAAAAGTGAATGGGTGGAGGCAATACAGAGGCGAATTCACCTTGAAGCTAATGACACTTAAGTTTCAAGTCCCCTTGATTTATATGGGCGTCATCTAAGGCCTCTAAGGAAGATTGTGGTAGTCAAAATTTTAAGATGATCCCCTGTGATCTTCACAGTTGTATAATTACCTCTTCTTGTTTAAAGATGAAACCTATGAGTATGATGAGATGTCACTCCTATGATTATATTACATTTTTTGGCAAAAGGGATTTTGCAGATGCAATCGAAGTCTCAAATCATTGAGTTAATCTAAAGGGCAATTACTAGATGGGTCTGCTCTGATCATGTTAGTCCTTAAATTGATTAGTTTTTCCTTAAGTCAGAGAGATTTGAAGCATAAAAGATTTTCATTGTGAGGGAGATTTTCCATTCTGGCTTTGAAGATAAAGATAAAGAGGCCATGTGTCAAGGAATGTGAGTGATATCTGGGGAATGAGAGTGGCACCTGGCAGATAGCCAGGAGGAACGTAGGAACTCAGTTCTACAACTCCAAAAAAAAAAAAAAAAACCCTAAATTCTGCCACAACCATGTAAGCTTGGAAAAGGACCCCAAGCTCCAGATAAGACTGCAGCCTGATTGACACCTTTTCAATTTTAGCCTTACAAGACCCTCAGCAGAGAACCCAGTCACACCATGCCTGGACTTCTAACTTACCCATCTGTGAGCCAAAATCTGTGAGTGGGTTATTTTAAGCCACTGAGTTTGTGGTATTTTGTTACATGGAAATAGAAAACTAATGTAGAAGATATATGTCTCATATTTTTATTAGGTTAGTAACAGCAAGAATATTGATCAAAATTTGTCAACCTCAAATAATGAGGTTTGTAAAATATGATTAAGTATAGAGTTTATTTGAGCCCAAAGCTTTAGGATGGCCACGTTGGAGCATAGATTTAAGGTGTCCTGAATATACACTTCAATTAACAGGAATGACAAGAAGATTTTTAAGGAAAAAAGAAGAGGCAGTTTGCAGAGAGCAAAGCAGTACAGGGCTCAGCTGGCATCTGCACGCAGAGGTAGCATTTGAACCAGTGCTAGCCAGAGGGGAATCACCTATCCCAGCAGTCAGAACTGAAGTTTTGGCAAGCCTCACCACCTTGGGCTAAAGTGCTCTAGGGTCCTAGGTAAATTTGAAAGGCAGTCTAGGACACAAGGATTACAATTTCTAGACAAGTCCTAGTGCTGTGCTGGGCTTAGAGCCAGTGGACCAGGGCAACATAAGCCCTAAGGAGACAACAGCCAGAGCAGCTAGGGGAGTGTTTGCACCACCCCTCCCCTACCTCAGGTAGCTCAGCTTGCAGCAACGAAAGTGACTCCTTCTTTTCTGTTTGAATAAAAGAGAGTGAAAAGTAAAGAAGACTTTGTCTTCTGTATTGGATACCAGCTCAGTCACAATAGGACAGGGCACTGGACAGAGTCATGAGGCACCTATTCCATGCCCTAGCTCCAAAATGACATTTCTAGACGTATCCTTGGCCATAAAAGAACCTGCTCCCTTGAAGGGAAGGGCCCAATCCTGGCAGAATCCATCACCTGCTGACTAAAGAGCCCTTGGGCCCTTAATAGCCAACAGTGATACTCAGGTTGTATGCTGTGGGTCTTGGGTGAGACTCTGAGATGTGCTGGCCTCAAATTAAATTCAGCACATTCCATGCTGTGGTGACTACCATGAAAGACTCCTTCTGCTTCAGAAAAGCCGACGGAAATGTAAACAGGACTTTGCTTTGCACCTTACATACAAGCTCGGCCACAGTGGGATAGAGCACAAAGCAGACTTTTGGGGTCCCCAAGTCCAGACCTAGGCTCCTGGGACAGCATTTATGGACCTGCCCTGGGCCAGAGTGGAGCACACTGTCCTAAAGGGTGAGTCACAGACCTGGCAGCATTCACCAGAAGCTAAATGAAGAGCCCTTGAACTTTAAGTGAACATTGGTGGTGGTCTAGCAGAATTCCCCAGGGGCTGGTGGTGCTGGTGGCCACTGGGAGAGGGTCCTTTAGCTGCAGAAAGGGGAGAGAAAAGTGGTATGGACTTTGTCTTGTGGTTTGAAGGCAGGCTTACCCACAGTACAGTAGAGCACCAGGTAAATCTCTAAGGTTTTTTATTCCAATCCCTGGCTCCCAGACATCATCTCTGGACCTGCCTGGGGCCTGGAGGGAACTCATCACCCTGAAGGGAAGGACACAAACTTGGCTGGATTCTCCACCTGCTGATTGTAGATCCCTAAGGCCTTGAGTAAACATAGGCACTAGTCAGGTAGTGATCACAATGGGCCTTCAGTGAGACCCAGTGCTTCAGGTCTGACCCAGTACAGTCCCAGTGGTGGTGGCTACAGGGGAGCATGTATCATCCCACCCCCAGCTCTAGGTGGATTAGCACAAAGAGAAAGACTGTTTGTTTGGGACAAAGTAAGGGAAAAGAACAAGATCCTCAGCATGGTAATCCAGAGAATTCTTCCAGATCTTATCCAAGATCACCAAGGTAGTATCTGTAAAAGTCTGCAAAAACCACAGCATTATTGGGCTCAGGGCCTAAGTCCCTTCAAATACCTGGAAAGCCTTCCCAAGAAAGACAGGTGCAAACAAACCCAGACTGTGAAGACTACAACAAAAACCTATCTCTATGATTCCCAGACATCACCAAACAACCACAAGCACCAAGATCATCCAGGAAAACATGACCTCACTCAACTAAATACGGCACCAAGGACCTATACTGGAGAAACAGAGATATGTGACCTCTCAGAAAGAGAATTCAAAATAGCTGTATTCAGGAAACTCAAAAAAATTCAAGATAGCACAGAGAAGGAATTCAGAATTCTATCACATACATTTAACAAAGACAGTAAAATAATTTAAAAGAATAAAGCAGACATTCTAGAGTTGAAAAATGCAATTGACATATTGAAGAACGCATCAGAGTATTTTAATAGCAGAATTGATCAAGCAGAAGAATTAGTGAGCTTCAGTACAGGCTATTTGAAAATACACAGAGGAGACAAAAGAAAAAAGAATAAAAAAAGAATGAAGAATGCCTTCAAGATCTAAAAAATAGAAATTTGCCCTCAAAATGGCAAATCTAAGAGTTAGTGGCCTTAAAGAGGAGGTAGAGAAAGAGATAGGGGTAGAAAGCTTATTCAAAGGGATAATAACAGAGAAAATCCCAAACCTAGAGAAAGATATTAACATTCAAGTACAAGAAGGCTGTAGAACACCAATCAGATTTAACCTAAAGATGACTACTTCAAGGCATTTGATAATCAAACTCCCATAGGTCAAGGATAAAGAAAGGATTTTAAAAGTAGCAAGAGAAAAGAAACAAATAACATCCAATGGAGCTTCTATACATCTGGCACCAGACTTTTCAGTGGAAACCTTACAGGCCAGGAGAGATGCATAACATACTTAAAGTGCTGAAGGAAAAACCTTTTTACTCTAGAATAGTATATTCAGCAAAAATATCCTTCAAGTATGAAGGAGAAACAAAGACTTTCCCAGACAATCCAAAGCTGAGGGATGTCACAAACACCAGACCTGTTCTACAAGAAATGCTAAAGGGAGTTCTTCAATCCGAAAGAAAGGGATGTTAACAAGCAATAAGAAATAATCTGGGTTGGGTGCATTGGCTCACACCTGTAATCCCAGCACTTTGGAAGGCCAAGGCAGGAGAATTGTTTGAGCCCAGGAACTTGAGGCAAGCTTGTGCAACATAGCAAGACCCCATCTCTACGAAAAATTTAAAAATTAAGCAGGTGTATTGGCACATGCCTATAGTTTTAGTTAGTTGGGAGGCTGAAGCAGGAGGATCACTTGAGCCCAGGAGGGCATGGCTGCAGTGAGCCATGATCAAACCACACTCCAGCCTGGGCGACAGAGCAAGACCTTGTCTTGAAAAAACATAACAAAGGAAAAGAAAATCAATAATCTGAAGGTACAAAACTCACTGGTAATAGCAAGCACATAGAAAAACACGGAATATTATAACACTGTAATTGTGATGTATAACCTACTCTTCTCTTAAATACAAAGACTAAATGATGAACCAGTCAAAAATAATAATTAAAACAACTTTAAAAGGCATAGACAGTACAATAAGACATAAAGATAAATAATTAAAAGATAAAAAGAAGGGAAATGAAGGAAGTTAAAGTGTAGAGTTTTTATTATTTTCCTTTTTTTCTTTGTTTGTTTCTTTGTTTATGCAATTGGTGTTAAGTTGTCATCAGTTTAAAATAATGGGTTATAAGATAGTATTGGCAAGTTTCATGGTAACCTCAAGTCAAAAATGGATACACAAAAAATAAAAAGCAAGAAATTAAACCATACCACCAGAGAAAATTACCTTCATTAAAACAAAGACAGGAAGGAAGGAAACAAGGAATAGAAGATGACAAAACAAGAAGAAAACAAATAACAAAATGGCAGGAGTAAGTCCTTACTTATCAATAATAGCATTGAATGTAAATGGCTGAATGAATTAAAAATCAAGACCCAATGACCTGTTGCCTAGAAGAAACACACTTCACCTATAAAGATACACATAGACTGAAAATAAAGAGACATAAAAAGATATTTCATGCCAATGGAAACCAATAAAGAGGAGGAGTAGTTATATCAGACAAAATAGAATAAGACAAAAACAATAAGAGACAAAGAATGCCATTATATAATGATAAATCAAACTCCCAAAGGCCCCCTATAATGATAAAGGAGTCGATTCAGCAAAAGGATATAACAAGTATAAATATATATGCACCCAACACAGGAATACCCAGATATATAAAGCAAATATTATTAGAACTAAAGACAGATATAGACCTCAATACAATAATAGTTGGAGACTACAAACTCCACTTTCAGCATTGGACAGATCATCCAGACAGAAAACCAACAAAGAAACATTGGACTTAATCTGCAGTATAGAACAAATGAAACTAATAGATATTTACAGAAAATTTCATGCAACAACTGTAGACTACACTTTCTTTTTCTCAGTGCATAGATCATTCTCCAGGATAGGCCATATGTTAGGTCACAAAATAAGCCATAAAATATTCAAAAAAATTCAAATAACATCAAGCATCTTCTCTGAACAAAATAGAATAAAACTAGAAATAAATAACAATAGGAATTTTAGAAACAATGCAAACATGGAAATTAAACAATAGGCTCCTGATGACCAGAAGAAATTAATAAGGAAATTGAAAAATGTCTTTAAATAAATGATTCTGGAAACACAACATACCATAACCTATGGGATACAGTAAAAGCAGTACTAAGAAGGAAATTTATATCTCTAAGTGCCTACATCAAAAAAGAAGAAAAACTTCAAATAAACAACCTAATGATGCATCTTAAAGAATTAGAAAAGCAAGAGCAAACCAAACCCAAAATTAGTATAAGAAATAATAAACATCAGAGCAGAAATAAATGAAATTGAAATGAAGAATCTACAAAAGATCAATAAAAAAGTTATGTTTTTTGAAAAGATAAATAAAATTGACATACCTTTAGCCCAACCAAGAAAAAAAGAAAGAGATCCAAATGAATAAAATCAGAGATGAAAAAGGAAACATTATAACTGATACCACAGAAATTCAAGGGATCATTAGTGGCTACTATGAGCACTTATATGACAATAAATTGGAAAATCCAGAGGAAATGGATAAATTCCTAGGAACATAAAACTTACCAAGAATGTACAAGGAAGGAATCCAAAACCTGAACAGACCAATAACAAACAATGAGATTGAAGCCATAATAAAAATTTTCCCAGTAAACAAAAGCCCAGGACCTCGTAGCTTCACTGCTGAATTCCTACCAAACATTTAAAGAAGAACTAACATCAATTCTACTTAAACTATTTCAAAAAACAGAGGAGGGGGCAGTACTCACAAATTCATTTCACAAGGCCAGCATTACCCTGATACCAAAACCAGACAAACATAGATCCAAAAATAAAAATAAAAATAAAAAAGCTAGAGGCCAATATCTGTGATGAATATTGATGCAAAGATCCTCAACAAAACACCAGTAAAATGAATTCAACAACAGATTAAAAAATGATTAATCATGACCAAGTGAGATTTATCTCACAGATGCAAGCATGGTTCAACATATGTGAATTAATCAATGTGATGCATCATATCAACAGGATGAAGGATAAAAACCATATGATCATTTCAGTTGGTGCTGAAAAAGCATTTGATATAATCAACATCTCTTCATGATAAAAACCTTCAAAAAACTGAGTATAGAAGAAACATACCTCGATACAATTAAAGCCATATGTGACAGACCCACAGCTAGTATCATACTGAATGGGAAAAACTGGAAAGCCTTCCCTCTAAGATCTGGAACAAGAAAAGGATGCCCACTTTCACCATTGTTATTCAGCATAGTACTGTAAGTTTGAGCTAGAGCAATCAGAAAAGATAAAGAAATTAGCGGCATCCAAATTGGGAAGGAAAAAGTCAAATTATCCTTGTTTGTAGATATGATCTTATATTTGGAAAAACCTAAAGACACAACCAAAAAACTATAAAAACTGATAAATTAAATAAACTTGTAGGATATAAAATAAACACACAAAAATCAGAAGCATTTCTGTATGCCAACAGTGAACAATCTGAAAAAGAAATAAAAGAGTAATCCTGTTTACAGTACCCACAAATAAAATTAAATACATAGGAATAAACTTAACCAAAGAAATGAAAGATCTCTAAAATGAAAACTATAAAACACTGGTGAAAGACATTAAAGAGGACACCAAAAAATGGACAGACATTCCATGTACATGGATTGGAAGAATCATGTCTACACCACTCAAATCCACATACAGATTCCATGCAACCCCTATCAAAATACCAATGACATTCTTCACAGAAATGGAAAGAACAATCCTAAAATTTAGATGGAACCACAAAAGACCTGGAATAGTCAAAGCTATCCTAAACAAAAATAAATAAATAAATAAAATTGGAGGAATCACATTACCTGACTTCAAATTATACTACAGAGCTATAGTAACCAAAACAGCATGGTACTGGCATAAAAGCAAACACATAGACCAATGGAACAGAATAGAGATCCCAGAAACAAATACATACATCTATAGTGAACTCATTTTTGACAAAGGTGAAGAGAATATACATTGTGAAAAAAACAGTCTCTTCAATAAATGGTGCTGGGAAAATCGGATATCCATATGTAGAAGAATAAAACTAGACCCCTATCTCTTGCCATATATAAAAATCAAATCAAAATGAATTAAAGACTTAATTCTAAGACCTCAAGCTATGAAACTACTACAAGAACACATTGGGAAAATTCTCCAGGACATTGGCCTGGGCAAAAATTTCCTGAATAATACCCCATAATCACAAGCAACCAAAGCAAAAATGGACAAATGGGATCACATCAAGATGAAAAATCTTCTGCACAGCAAAGGAAACAATCAACTACTACTTCATTCCCCCCTCAGACAGTAGATATTCATCCTTAATCTTAATGGGGCTGCAGAAGGGCAGAAGTCCATCTTCTGTAACTGCTTCCTGCTGAGTTTATGGGAGTAGGCAGTGCCTAGCACCAGATGACTAAAAAATCTCTGGACACCTGATCTAAGTGGCCCAAGTCAGTATGACTTGGAGAATGAAAGCATCCTGCCTCTAGGCCCCTTATATCAGAGGGATGGGTTGGAAGCCTTGTGCCAGCATTGTCTTTACTTAGAACTGTTTTAACCTAGAAGACACAAACTTTACTAAGAGGTTAAAAAAGCAAGGGCCAAAAAAATATGATAACAACAGGACAGACGGGGTTTCTACTAAAAATGAAGACAGTGAAGAGACAACCCACAGAATAGGAGAAAATATTTTGCAAACTACCCATCTGATAAGGAATCAATAACCAGAATATATAAGGAGCTCAAACAACTCTATAGGAAAAAATCGAATAATCTGATTAAAAATAAGCAAAAGCTATTAATAGACATTTCTCAAAAAAAGACATAGAAATGGCAAACAGGCATATGAAAAGGTGCTAAACATCAGTGAACATCAGAGAAATGTAAATTAAAACTACATTATCATCTCATCCCGGTTAAAATGGCTTCTATTCAAAATATACGCAATAACAAATGTTGACGAGGATGTGGAGAAAAGGGCACACTCATACACCATTGGTGGGAATGTAAATTAATACAACCACTATGAGGAACAGTTCGGAGTTTCCTCAAAAAACTAAAAATTGAGCTACCATACAATCTAGCAATCCCACTGTTGGGTATATACCCAAAAGAAAGGAAATCCATGTATCAAAGAGATATCTGCACTCCCATGTTTGTTATGGCATTGTTCACAATAGCCAAGATTTGAAAGCAACTTAAGTGTCCATCAATAGATGAATGGATAAAGAAAATGTAGTGCATATACACAATGGAGTACTATTCAGCCACAAAACAGAATGAGATCCTGTCATTTGCTACAACATGGATGACACTGGATGTCATTTTGTTAAGTGAAATTAGCCAAGCACAGAAAGACAATCTTCACATGTTCTCACTTATTTGTGGGATATAAAAATCAAAACAATTGAATTCATGGAAATAGAGAGTAGAAGGAAATAGAGAGTAGAAGGATGCTTACTACAGGCTGTGGATGGTAGTAGGGGAGGTGGGGAGTGGGGATGGTTAAAGAGTAAAAAAAGTAGTTAGAAAGAATGTTATTCTTTTGTATATAAAGTATTTATTTTTATGCACATATTTACCTACAAAATTTACAAAAAATAAAACAAAGCAGAATATATAGAATACCCTCTTCAGACTTCTTACAGCAAAGCTGTATCACTTATTTGTTTTATTGCTACAGTTCAAAGAATTAAATTTTATCCATGTGAAAGCTAAGATCAACACATTTACGTGAAAGCCTTAAGCCTTGTTACAAAGTTTTTTATCCTGTTATTGAATTTTCAGTTTTACGTTAAATGAAATTTAAAAGATTGCTCATGAAATAATTTAAACCTTTTCAAAACCTTCTAATAAACAGGTAAAAGCACTTCCAGTACTTTAAAGTATTTATAGCCATCCCAATAGCTTAATTTTAAGGGTTAATATAGTACATGTAGTTATTATGCATACATGGCATGTCATTAACACTCTCTAAACAGTGAGAATTGTAGACTCTAGTTTGTGGCACCACTCCCATGTTATTCTGGTGATGGCGTAGGATGATCAATTACACCTGTGCAACACTAACGTCACAGTCTGTCTACCACAGCGTAAAATCCAGTTATCTAAAACAATGTCTATCAAAGTCCCAGACAATACATAATTTATAAGTAGACTTGTATATTCACAAGCCTTTGGGGTATTTAAAAAATTATTTTAAAATATTAAGGATATTTAGCACTCAATGAAAACAATGAACTGAAAAATATAACCACAATAGTTGCTGGAGTTCAATATCTGGTTTAACAAAAAGTGTTTATCAAAACACCTATAATTTCTTACAACATTATGGAGAGGAGTTTTCCTCAGTCTAAGCTGAATCCAATGTTTTTCCTACAGTATGATTAAAAGTGTAAGAATGAAAGGCACACATAATAGCCAGTTTTAAAGAGCTGTGGGGATGGCAAGCAGATGTTCCTGAAGTACTGGTGCAGGAGAACAAAGACCACACAACATTTTCCTCTTTGTTTACCATTGGCATTGATTTGCTATTTACAGTAGTTTGCAAAAGTACATTATAAAAACTGAATGAGGTTCTATTTTTAAGTTGAGCTTCATAACATATATACACACTTTATCTGCAAAAATCTTTGAAGGATCTGAAGTAATAAAGTGACACTAATACTGAAACACAGGTAATAAAAAGTACCAAAGCACTGATAATGTGAATCATCATCACCAAGATAATCTGGGTAAATATTGCACACATCTTGTCAGTTGTTGCTATGACCTTTACATATCCAACTGCAAAAGGAATCCTTTATGGCTTTTTGCTGTATCACTTATTCGAAGAAGGGCTGTTTTACGTCCAATAGCAATTAGTGAAGATTGGCATTGAACATGAGGCCTAGGTTTCAAAATTAGTTTTCCTGTATCATCACAAGACATATTGTATTCTGCTAATATCGTTTGACGTTGAGCAGCTATAATTGATGGTGCAACTACTCTCTTGTGTATTCCAGCAAAGAACAAGCCTATTAGAGTGATATAGCTAATGGTAAAAAATGGATGATTCCATAATGATGTGAAGAAGGACACCTTTTGTGTCTCTGGATCTATCAACCAGTTCCAGGCACCAGTAGCGTACAGACAGATACCACTAGAAGAAGCATTCTCCAACATCCAGTAGCAGGTTGCAAACAATGAATATATTCAGTAAGTCTCCTCTCAAAAGCCTTGAGCTCTTCTGCCTGCTCCAGCAAATTCATGTCAGGTGGCAGCTCAGGTCACCGCCATGGCCCTGTCCACCAGAAAGAATGTTATTCTTATTGACCTAGTATTTGGTAGCACAATAGCATGACTCTAGTCAATAATAATTTGATTATACATTTTAAAATAACTAAAAGAGTATAATTGGATAGTTTCTAACACAACAGATTTAAGGCATGCATACTGCATTTGCCGTGATGTGATTATTATGTATTGTGTGACTGTATCGAAGTATCTATACACTCCATATATATATATATATATATATATATATATATATATATATATATATATATATATACATACCTACTATGTACCCAAATATTTTTTTTTTGAGATGGAGTCTTGCTCTGTTGCCCAGGCTGGAGTGCAGTGGCATGATCTCAGCTCACTGCAAGATCCACCTCCCCAGTTCACGCCATTCTCCTGCCTCAGCCTCCCAAGTAGCTGGGACTACAGGTGCTCGCCACCACGCCTGGCTAATTTTTTGTATTTTTAGTAGAGACGGGGTTTCACCTTAGCCAGGATGGTCTCGATCCCCTGACCTTGTGATCTGCCCTCCTCAGCCTCTCAAAGTCCTGGGATTACAGGCGTGAGCTACTGTGCCTGGCCCCAAACATCTTTTAAGTGGACAAAAGACATAAACAGATACTTCTGAAAAAAAGGCATACACATAGCCAACAAGTGATGCAGGGCAGGCAAGACCCAAAATTGGGGCTTAGCCTGGGAGGGCTTTTGGCTTAGCCCAGGAAATAATTAAAGGGTAAGCCAGTGGTAAAAGTAAAAGTAGACAGCAACTTTTATTGAAGCAGCAGTGTACACCAGCAGCAGAGGTACTGCTCCTTGTGGAGCAGGGCTACCCCATAAGCAATGTACCCAGAGTAGCAGCTCAGAGGCAACTCTGTGGTCATATTTATATTGACTTTTACTTATATGCAAATTAAGTGGTGGATTATGCAGAAATTTCTAGAAAGACCGTAGTAACTTCTGGGTCACTGGGTCATTGCCATGGAAAGGGGCGGTAACTTTCAGGTGTTGCCATGGCAATGATAAACTGACATGGCAGACTGGTGGGCATGTCTTATGGAAAGCTACTTCTGCCCCATCCCTGTTTTAGCCAATCCTCAATTTGGTCGGGTGTCTGAGCCCCACCTCTGGAGTCAAGTCCTGCCTACTACTTCATTCCCCCCTCAAACAGTAGATATTCATCCTTAATCTTAATGGGGCTGCAGAAGGGCAGAAGTCCATCTTCTGTAACTGCTTCCTGCTGAGTTTATGGGAGTAGGCAGTGCCTAGCACCAGATGACTAAAAAATCTCTGGACACCTGATCTAAGTGGCCCAAGTCAGTATGACTTGGAGAATGAAAGCATCCTGCCTCTAGGCCCCTTATATCAGAGGGATGGGTTGGAAGCCTTGTGCCAGCATTGTCTTCACTTAGAACTGTTTTAACCTAGAAGACACAAACTTTACTAAGAGGTTAAACAAGCAAGGGCCAAAAAAATATAGTAACAACAGGACATCTATCCAAGGTCCTAGGAGAGGTAAAAACCAGGTGAAACTTGGGAAGGCACTTTTGATAGTCTACCTGATATAGTGGAGTCAGTGCCCTGGTTATATCTATGTAACCAGGTAGCTTGTTCATAGATTTTTTTGAATGTAACCTCAACTTGTCCAGAGTTGTTAATATATGTACAGCAGGTTTTATTAATAACTGCACATATTCCACCTTGTTCAGATAGTAAATAATTCAATGCTAGTCTATTATCAACAGCTACATTTGCAAAAGAGTCCAGAGACTCTTGAATTATCTTTAATGACTGACCTGTGTTGGCAACTAAGAATTCGAGTTCTTTAGGGTTGACTTATGGTAAGCAAAGCTGCCGCAGGGTGACGCTAGTCCTATTGCTGCCTCGATTTCCACCAGAATTAATCCTATTGCTCACTTATTTCTAGTGTTTGGGGGTCCTATGCAGTTATAGACTGTGACCCCTGGAGGGGCAAGGGTGGCCAACATACTTTCACCTCTGTCCCAAGTTATTGCTATACAAGGGAAAGCTACTTCTAAAAGGACAGATGGCTGCCTGGGGAGTCAGGAATGGTTATGGGACGTACCTTTTCTCCATTTGTGGCCACAAAAAAATGAGCCAAGTTGGGGCACAAATAGAGACACTATGGGGTGTGATGTGTATCCATTGCTGCCAAATTGGGCCTATAGAGATGTTCTTTCCCTGTTGCAATGGGGGTGGCCAAACAATCTTCTTTTCCAGAAGGGAATGGTACTCTCCGCTCCCAAGATTAGATAACTGTTTTCCCCTGTATGTTCTGATCTAGGAAAAGGCATCATATTTGCTCTCCTCACTTACAAATGGAATCCCATTTACCTCACTGCAGCCTCGAGAATTTGACAACTAAAGTTGCATCAGAGCATTGCAGGGAAACTTCTACTTTTGTGTCATTAACACAACAGTGAGTGCAAACGGTAGAAACATTAGTGCACTGGAGATAAAAATACCCAACTTCCCAGGTCTACATAATAGTGGTGGTGGGGAGTTCAGGTGGAATCTATTAACTGGGGGAGAGTTCCAGTTAACAAATAGGGGTTTGGGTACTTTGGGATCACCATGATTAGTCAGAAGGTCTGGAGAGATGGCCATGAGATTTTCTGGATAGGCCAGAAAACAGAACTGTCTACCCTGGAGATGTTAATGACAAATCCAGCAACCATAAAGATGATTCCCTGATGCTATAATTTTGAAATATTTACTATATAGTTTTGTTCCCATCCATACTGGATCAGGGTAATTGGGAGAGAAAAGAGGATTAACAGTGGCAGCATAGTGTACAGTTGGGCCTTAGATTGGCTGAACACCCAACAAGGACAAAAGAGATATTTCCCAGGAGGAGGCAGCTGGCTAAAGTGATAGAAAAGAAGTATTACAGTAAAAAAAAAAAAAAAAAAAAGAGGTAAAAATTAATGCTCCTATTCCCACCCACAGCATTAAGTTATCACTTCTGGCTGAGTGTTGATTCTTTTAAATGGGTAGGAGAGGTTTATAGATGTAGTGCATTAGTCCATTTTCATGCTGCTGATAAAGACATACCTGAGACTGGATAATTTATAAAGAAAAAGAGGTTTAATGGACTCACAGTTCTATGTGGCTGGGGAGGCCTCACAATCATGGCAGAAGGTGAAAGGCATGTATTACATGGCGGCAAGCAAGACAGAATGAGAACCAATTGAAAGGGGTTTCCCCTTATAAAACCATCAGATACCATGAGAATTACTCACTACCATGAGAACAGTATGGGGGAACCACCCCCATGATTCAATTATCTCCCACCGGGTTCCTCCCACAACATGTGGGAATTACGGGAGCTACAATTCAAGATAAGATTTGGGAGGAGACACAGCCAAACCATATCATGTAGGTTGTGCTGTCCTCCCTTTGTGCCTGTGACTCATAAGGAACATATTTAATCCCAAATAGGTGTATCCAAGTAGTTATTCCCTGAAGTTTAATGGTGGTGAGGGTATTTAACAATATCTGATAGGGGCCTCATATGGTTTGGATCTGTGCCCCCATCCAAATTTCATGTTGAATTGTAATCCCCAGTGTTGGAGGTGGGGCCTTGTGGGAGATGATTGGAGCATGGGGTCATATTTCTTGTGAATGGTTTTGTATCATCCCCTTGGTATTGTACTCATAACAGTGAGTGAGCTCTCATGACAGCTGGTCATTTAAAAGTGTGTGGAACTGGCCAGGCGCAGTGGCTCATGCCTGTAATCCCAACACTTTGGGAGGCTGAGATGGGCGGATCACGAGGTCAGGAGTTCGAGACCAGCCTGACCAACATGGTGAAACCCTGTCTCTACTAAAAATACAAAAATTAGCCAGGCGTGGCGGCACGCACTTGTAATCCCAGCTACTCAGGAGGCTGAGGCAGGAGAATCGCTTGAACCTGGGAGGCAGAGGTTGCAGTGAGCCAAGATCTTGCCATTGCACCCCAGCCTGGTGACAGAGTGAGATTCCAACTCAAAAAAAAGAAAAAGTGTGTGGAACCTCTGTATCTTGCTCCTGCTCTGGCTATGTGAAGTGCCTGCTCTCTCCCTTTGCCTTCCACCATGATTGTAAATTTCCTGAGGCCTCCCCGGAAGCCAAACAGATGCCAGCATCGCTTCCTGTGTAGCCCACAGAACCATAAGCCAATTAAACCTCCTTTCTTTATAAATTACCCAGTCTCAGGTATTTCTCTATAGCTACGTGAGAACAGCCTGATATAGGACCTTTTCATTTGGGTTGTAATTGATCTTCAGGGGATCCTTCTTTTTAGTAAGACTAAGTCTCCTGGTTAGAGGTGATACTTTATTTCTATATTCTTGAAGGGCCTTGTGAACAAAGCCTAAATTTCAAAGAGGGCATAGGGAGGTGTGTCCAACCTCCTGTTTCCCATCATGGCCTGAATTCTTTGTTTGTTTGTTTTAGACTTCTTTGGAATTTCCTTTGGCCAAGAGACTTAGAGTCAAAAAACTGCCATTGTGGGAAGCTGTCCATTGGGCCAAGGGTCCAACATTCCCAATAAACTTACTTGAGGAGGCAGCTCACTGGGGCTAGTAAAAGAAGGTTAGCTCTAATAGTGATGGGGAGCTTTTTTATGTGTCACCAGGGGCAGTTAGCACATTCTCATGCCAATGACCCTTTTGTTTATACTGGGCACGCTGATTCTGGCCTAGTGAATCAGTGGGCCAGTGAGTCAGGGCTCTTATCTGGGCATATCAGATGCCAATCTCGTGATGCTTTCTTGGGATGGGTAATTCTGACGTGGCAGGGGACTTAAAGCAACTGTTAATGATTGCACTTTTTGGCTATTTTTTGTTTTTGTTTTTGTTTTCTCACCTATTTTGCCCTGTCCCTATTGTTGTAAACTTTAAAGTCCTCATCTAAGATCTGGGTCTTAGGGGCTGGGTGCAGTAGCTCATGCCTATAATCCCAGCATTTTGGGAGGCTGAGGTGGGTGGATCACTTGAGGCCAGGAATTTGAGACTAGCCTGGTCAACATGCTGAAACCCTGTCTCCACTAAAAATGCAAAACTTAGCCAGGCATGGTGGCGGGTGCCTGTAATCCCAGCTATTCAGGAGGCTGAGGCATGAGAGTAGCTTGAACCCAGGAGGCGGAGATTGCAGTGAGTCAAGATGGCATCACTGCACTCCAGCCAGGACAACAGAGCAAGATTCTGTCTCAAAAAAATAAATAAATAAAGAGAGTTAGCTCATTGGGATTTGAGGTCTCATTGCTGCTTTTTGTATCTTCCTCCTAATGTCAGGTGCAGGATGAGTAATAAAATGTACACCCAGGAAAGCTTGCCCTTCTGGGGGGTCTGGGTCTGCACTGGTATATTTCCTGAGTCCCTCTATCAAACGACCCAGAAACAGAACAGGATTTTCGTCTTTTACCTGAGTTATATTTCTAGCTCTGTCATAATTGACTGGCTTAACCACAGATACTTCCCTCCACTTTTTTCCCACAGCACAGCGAACAGATAACAATATTTCTAAGTCATGACAAGTTAAATCAAAGAACATGGTCAACATAACACATGCCTGTATAAACTTTTCTGGATTTTCTGAAAACTGGCCAAATTTTTCCTCATATAAATCCAAATTAGATATAGAAAATGGCACATGTAACCCCATTTCCATTAGCTACCTCCTGCAATGGACACAGATTTTACTTTAGGGGCTAATATGAGGCTCCACTCCTGGTAGTATTGATTGGGCTTATTTTGGGGGAAATGGGGGTATAAGCTGGGGCTAGTTGGATGAGGGGGAGGAGTGTCTGATGACCTTGAGCTAGAATCCTTTGTTAGAGCACTGGCAGGACCCCCCTCAGAATTGGGGGACTGGGGAGACTCTGGGAAAGGCATAGGCCTTCTAGGAGAACCAGCAAGGAGGGGATCCTCAGATGGAGCTGTCTGGTGCCTGGAAGTAACATGAGCCAGTAAAGGGTCATAAAAGCCTGTACATAAGGGACCTCTTCCCATTTTCCTTCTTTTTTACAGAATAAGTCCAGTTGTAAATTATCATTACAATATATAGAACCATGTTTACGCCAAATTTGGTTTTCTAATTTGTACGGAACCCAAACCATGTTGCAATAGAAAATGAGTTTCTTTTTCATTAAACCAAATTTGAATTTGCTCCAATAGCCTAAAAGACATCCTAGTCGTGAGTCCTCTGAGACGCTCGTCATTGTCCCCATGGATACAGAAGTTTTAGAGGACGCAGAAGTCTTCCTAAGTCTAGCAAAAGGGAAAGCAACTGAGTCATTATTTTTCACTTTTAGATTCTCTCACTTCCTGCAGAGAAGGTGTAAGTATACATAGCAAGGCATTACAAAAGTGGATTACAAGCTACAAATGGACAGTAGAATGTTGAGCCTAAAATCCACAGTGAGGGTTAAGCAGAGAGGAGGGCTAAACAAATGGTGAATGGGAAGGGAGGAGGGGAAGAGGGAAACAGTATTACCCAAGGGGACACCTCAGAGGTATTGACTTGCTGGAGAACCTATCCAGCAGCGGAGACACCAAAATAAATGTTCAGGCAACCACTTTTCTACCGTTGTAGGTGGTTGTCTGTCAGGCCAGGAGCCTAGGAACTCCCTGTTCCTTCAGCTTAGAGAGGTTTGAGCAAGACAGTTGCTCAAGTCAGCACACAAGAAGGAGTCTGTGACTGCCTATTAGGGAAATAATAACTTCTAACTTCAGGGCAGAAAAAGGCAAGATCACTATTCCCCTAGGGCGAGGGATTATAACCCACAATCCTAGAGGGAATGTCAATGCTGAAAACCCCAGAGCATCTGGAAGGCAGCTGAAAATGCAAATGCTGAAAACCCAGAGTACCAGAGTTTCAGCCAGTGAGGGTCCCATCACCAAATGCCAGGGGCATCCATCCAGGGGGTGGCCAACAGTGAACCCAAACCCAAGTTGGGGTCACAGAACAATGTGACTCTGGTTTCCCAGAGTCAACACAATAGGGAGCCTCTCACAACCAAGTGTCCTGCCTTAAACAAATGCCCATATACAGTTATCAGAAAATCAAAGCAAACATAAGAGTGCAAACAAAACACACATTGCAGAAATGAAAATAAAACAACTGGTGGAGCAACAAAATGAAGTCATAAGAGAAAAGACTAGGGGAAGGGGTGACAAGGACGTGTTTCAGGGCAATCAAACAATGGGCGACTTTTAACTGAACACATAGCCAAAGGCTTTTATTCCCCAGCTTACCTAATATTGTGGGAGAGGGTGGAGGGAACACTCATTCATGCACAGTAGCCAAAATCATGATGACCAATGTTCTATGTGGGACCCGGGTGAAGGTCTCTCCAGGTTTCCTCAGCTTGGATGGTGATATGATTTGGCTCTGTGTCACCACCCAAATCTCATGCTGAATTATAATCCTCAATGTTGGGGGAGGGTCCTGGTGGGAGGTGATTGGATGATGTCATGATAGTGAGTGAGTTCTCATGAGATCTGGTTGTTTGAAAGTGTGTACCTCGCTCTTTCTTTCTTCCTTTCTTTCTTTCTCTTTCTTTCTTTCTTTCTTTCCTTCTTTCTTTCTTTCTTTCTTTCTTTCTTTCCTTCTTTCTTTCTCTCTCTCTTTCTCTCTCTTTCTCTCTCTCTCTCTCTCTCCTCCTGGCCATGTGAAGATGTGCTTTTTTTCCCCTTTGCCTTCTGCCATGATTGTAAGTTTCCGGAGGCCTCCCCAGCCATGGTTCCTGTACAACCTGTGGAACTGTGAGTCAATTAATCCTCTTTTCTTTATAAATTACTGAGTCTCAGGTAGTTCTTTATAGCAATGTGAGAACAGACTAATACAGGTGGGCTTGGCTGCCACATGGGGGCTGGAATGGACCAGTAACCCACCAGCCTGCTGGTCAGAATGGTGGGTCTCACATGAGACAGCAGCACTATGACCACTGGCTCATCTGCTCAGGTCCACCATCTGCCAGGGAAAATGATATCTCTGAAAAGAGCCTTTGGTTAGTGTTATAGCTCTGTAGTGTTAGCAGCTCTTTATTGTTACAGCTTTAGTGTTATAGCTCTTGCAGCTTCTCCATCTCTCGCCATTTCTCCACTTGTCTCACTGACTGCCATCTCTTGTCATTGTCTCTCACCAATTACCACCTCTCAGCTGATTACTGATTGCCACCAACTCTGTTGTCTTGCCATCTCACCTCTCCATCCATTGCTGCCATTTTCACTGCCTTTATCCCTTCATTGGTTGCCAAATGATGCAGGGCAGTTGAGCCCCAAAACTGGGGCTTAGCCAGGGAAAGTTCTTGGTAAGCCAGTGGTGTTAGACAGCAACTTTCATTGAAGTGGCAGCATACAGGAGCAGCATAGGTACTACTCCTTGTAGAGCAGGAATACTCCATAGGCAGTGTGCCCACAGTAGCAGCTCAGTAATTTTTACAGTAATGTTTATACTCACTTTTAATTATATGCAAATTGAGGGGCAGATTATGCAGATATTTCCAGAAAAAGGGTGGTAACCTCCAGGTGTTCCCATGGCATTGGTAAACTGACATGGCACATTGGTGGGCATCTCTTATGGAAAGCTACTTCCACCCTGTCCCTGTTTTAGCTAGTCCTCAATTTGGTCCAGTGTCTGAGCCCCACCTCCAGAGTCAAGTCCTACCTCCTAGTTCAGGATGCTTAGGATAATGGCCTCTAGGTCTATCCATGTTGCTGCAAAGGACATGAGCTTCTCAACATCACTAATCATGAGGGAAATGCAAATGAAAAAGACAACGAGATACCATCTTATACCAGTCAGAATAGTTATAATTAAAAAATCAAAAAATAACATGCTGGCAAGGTTGCTGAGAAAAGGGAACACTCATACACTGCTGGTGGGAATGTAAATTAGTTCAGCCATTGTGGAAAGCAGTTTGGAGACTTCTCAAAGAACTTAAACAACACTACCATTCGACCCAGCAATCCCATTACTGGGTATATACCCAAAGGAATATAAATCATTCTACCATAAAGACACATGTATGCATATGTTTATCATAGCACTGTTCACAATAGCAAAGATATGGAATCAACCTAGGTGCTCATTAGAGGTGACTGAATAAAAAAAAATGTGAGACATATACACTACGGAATACTATGCAGTCATAAAAAAGAAGTTCATGTCCTTTGCAGCAACATGGATAGAGCTAGAGGCCATTATCCTAAGCAAATTAGAAAACCAGATAATGCATGTTCTCACTTATAAGTGGGAGCTAAACAATGAGTATACATGGACGCAAAGAAAGAAACAATAGACACCAGGGCCTACCTGAGGGTGGGGTGTGGAAGGAGGGAGAGGATTTAAAAACTACCTATCAGGTACTAAACTCATTACCTGAGTGATGATATAATCTGTACACCAAACCCTCATGACATGGAATTTACCCATATAACAAATGTGTACATGTACCCCTTGAACCTAAAATAAAAGTTGGAAAGAAAAATAATTACTCCTCAGAGGATGGCAAGAATAGAATTTATAAAGTCTGTTATACAGTTCATTACAAGGTATGCTTAGCAGAATCATCTGTGCATGTTTTTGAAAATATAGTACTTGAGTCCCTAGCAACAAAGATTCTGACATAGTACAGCATAGGTACTACTCCTTGCAGAGCAGGAATACTCCATAGGCAGTGTGCCCACAGTAGCAGCTCAGTAATTTTTACAGTAATGTTTATACTCACTTTTAATTATATGAAAATTAATGGGCAGATTATGCAGATATTTCTAGAAAAAGGGTGGTAACTTCCAGGTGTTGCCATGGCAATGGTAAACTGACCTGGCACATTGGTGGGCATGACAGGTCTAGGATGACATTTGTGTTTTAAAAACCGTCTAAGGCAAGACGCTCAAAGTAAATAAAATTCTTGGAGCTCCTACAAGAAGGTTTTACTAATCTGAGTGAAATAAAAAAGAAAAAAGACTACTGTTTCTTTCTACTCCAATTACCCCTCCTCTTCTTGGTGATGAGATGGATGCCAGCATGTTAGAGAGCAAGCTAAGAGGAAAGTTGATTGGAATTACATTTAGTTTGATTTTAGTTGGATAATTTACTCATTTGTTTCTTAATCTCATGTATAATTAAGCAATTACCAGTGAGATTTCTCAAGGTAGCAGGTGGAAGCTCTAAGAGTCAAACGAGGGTTGTCAGACTCTAATGATAATGAGCCTAACACTATACTCTATTGTCTTTCATATGCTTAGTAAACCATTGAAAAATCTTAGACCTCACTTTAAAAGCATAGTGGTCTGTCATCGGCCTCCTGGCAGCATTTGATACTATTTCCTATTTCCTACCTGATTTTTTTAGTCTTAGTTCCCACTGCTGCCCAATAAGTAAGTATCATATGATTAATCAAAAATTGACTATTGGCCTTTTTTTTTTACACTAACCATGCCTGTGGCTTTGTCCAATCACATCTACATTAGTTCATATTAATTTCGTGAATGAATTGGCATGAAATACTGACACTGACTAAAATACCATAAAACACAAAATATACCACTACAATGAGGACATTAACATTACACTGATTTGTGTATGCTATTGAGTATAAAGATTAGTATCTGCACAAGAAAACTTGAAGTGTTCTGAATTCTTAAACTTGACAGAGGTTGACAGCAGTTTCCACAAATTTGACAAAACTAAAAATTCATCCATCGCCAATGATAAGTTGTAAAGCTGAAACTTTTATCAATAATAATTTTAAAATTGACTATGCCAAAGGAAAGATTGGAGTATCTTTTTTTTCTAGAAAATATGTTATTACAAAAAAAAAGAAAATATGTTATTACAAAAATGTCATAAGAAGAAAAGATCAAAGAATTCGTAGCCAAAAATTGTAGGGAAAAAAAAAATCACTGTAGAGGTATGCCAGGCAGTTAATTAAGACAATGTTATTTTTCTGGAAATTTTTAAAAAATATGTCAGCTGTTCAATTTTGTAATTTGTTGTGATTTCTCATAATAAGTAAATGTTGACTTTTGTACATAGTTGCTTGAAATGCTCATACTTTTTAATATTCTTTTTCTTAGAGTCCTCCGAATTATAAATTTCATTACCCACAACCCGAATCTGTCCCTGAGGTCATAAAAAGTAGGAGCTTCTGAGTTGGAATTGCAAAGGGTTAATAGGGATGTGGATGTGGTTGAGAACTGGGAAATATAGCAATTGTGGAAGTTGAATTAATATCATTTGTAAAGACCACAACATTATGACCAGCTACTGAAATCTGAAAATCCAAGGTGTCCTCAGTACTACGGGATTATGGGACCTCGGTGTCTGACTTCATGGAAAAGCCTCACACAACATAGTGGCCCCTCATAAGGGGAGCCTCCAGCTGCTCTGTACATTTCAAACATCCAAAATAGTGGCGCCTAGAGTATCTATATTTGTATTACCATTGAGCAGCAAAAACAGTTGGCTGGGTTATTTACCCACATGCATACTTGAATCTACCTCCTGCTTCCCATCTGAAAATAAATAGCTCTTTTCTATTTTCTAGTGACAAACAGGATGTAGGCTGTTAGTAATAATAGTAAAGATAATAACTATAAGGAACAGAACATACAAATAAATATTGAAAAGAATTGGTGAAAACCTCTCTCACTCTCACTCCCAGTCTTGTTTCCTGAGCCCCATTTCAGCGTCTGGACAGAACTGCCAGGGAACTGCTAGACTTTAGGGTCTTGGCGGACGGGAGTTGGAGAATTTAGAGACAGGAGAGGAAAAAAGAAGACAGGATCGATTAACTCTAAAAGGCTGATCCTCCCTGATAATCTGAGAAAGGCGAATAAATACTCCAGGAAGATGATACCCTTTCGGATTGTTAGGTTGGGCTGGGGATGGGCAACCCGGCTTCTGCTGAAGTGCTGTTGGGAGGATTAATTAGGGATCCGAGCTCACTGTTAACACACGGGCCTCACTGGACAAAGGGCTGAAGTGAATTGAAGTCAGTATGTAGTCTGAGTTCTCTTTCCATCCTGAGCACCATCTCCCTATTGCCTTAGAGGCAGGCGGGAGCGCTTCTTGCTGCTAAACAGAAAAGGAGAAGACTACTGTTGGCTGCGGATCTGAAAAGGTTCGAATGATTAAAGGCTATCTGAAGGCGAAGGAGAAGATCATAGCGCATGCAAGACTACATTGCCTATACCCCTTTCCGGCCCCTACTCCGATTTATTTTAGGGGAAAAAAAATGGTGGGCTTGGGGGAGGGATCTGGGATGGGGATGGCGGTCAGGTTTGGGTACCGTGCCCCTATTGTATTGAAAGCAAGCTGGCTTCTCGCTTAGGGAAAGGAGAGGAGAAAAATGTCCTGGCCCCCCGCCAAGTCGGTGTGAGGGTAGGAATCACCTGCAAACCTCTGGAATGGAAAACGGACACCGCAGCGGGTCTTGTACTGCAGTTCCCACAGCCACGCCCCCTGCCCATTTTGATTCAGAAAATGGTGGGCAGTGGGGAATGCTGGGGAGATGAGCAGAAACCCTGCATGGGTATTAGCTTCCTATTGCAGAGGATGTGGGAGTTTTGAGCGAAACATAGAAAAAGAGGTATGCACCCCGGATGCCTGAAGGTGGGCATGAGAGTGGTGGGTGGGGGCGGGTGCCCTTCTGAAACTGCATTCTCTACACTCCTGCCCTGCCTCCTCATTCCCTTTTGGGGAAAAAAATATCTCAGCAGCTTAACACAGCAAACGTTTATTTCTAGCTCACAATAAATGCCGAACATGTGTTGGTGAAGGTGTGGGGTGAAAGGGCCCTGGTCCCCAGTCTCTCAGGACCTCAGGCTGACAGAAGCTCTACAGCCTGGAACATCACTGATCACTATGGCAGGGGGAGAGAGTAATGGGAATCTCTCATCCCACTATAGGTTAGTCTAGAACTAACATGTTACTGCGGTTCACAGCTGATTAGCTAAAACTATCATATGGTCTCACCTCATAGCAAGGGGATAGAGGGGACAGGGGATTAGAAAGTATAGTTTTCTGTGTAGGGTGGGTGTAAAGTGAGAAAAAGAAACTATAATAAAATATTCATAAGAATTCAAGGGGAGAATGCCTTTCTAAAGTACTAAAGCGAAACAAAAAATTAAAAGTTCTGAAGAAAAAGTAGTAAATGTAATATAAGAAAATTAAGCTTCTATGGAGCAAAGCAAGAACGAATGTGACCTTGCTTTTGGTTTTCTCTGTGATGCCATTTTGGGAGCTCTTCATGTCTCCAGACCATTCTTCAAGGCCAGTGGCAGTGTGATGGGTGTTAGTCAAACTGGAATTCTGTCTGGAGTGAGATCAGGTTCCAGGCTCACTGGAATTAGTT
Organism: Homo sapiens; assembly: GCF_000001405.40. Taxonomy (NCBI): domain Eukaryota; kingdom Metazoa; phylum Chordata; class Mammalia; order Primates; family Hominidae; genus Homo; species Homo sapiens. Next base: position 103,665,501 of record NC_000023.11, read on the forward strand.
TTATAAGAGAGGATAAATCCATCCCCCTAACGCTAAGAGTGGTGGTGCTTAGGCAGGAGGTGGAAGGGCTCACTCAGGCCACATTCCCCTCTGGGGTGGGTCTGACTTTTGTTTCTCTGCCTGCAGCAGGCACAGGGCCCTTTTAGGCTAATGGCCAAGCTGCCCTGCACAGACACACCTGGAGGAGGAGAACCGACTGCCCTATTGCAGGTCAGAACACTTTGCCTTTCCCTCCTTTCCCCTCTCTCTTTTGGGGAACATTTTGTAGGGGAGGAGATAAAGCCCCAAAGTGTCCTGGCAGGAAACATTCATTGGGATAGTCTTTGAGCAAGCAGATGTCTGAACAGATCTGACCAGGTAACTTGAGGTTGAAGCAGAAGGGGCTGACCCTTCTCTCAGAGTCCAGTTAGCCCCCAAGAAGACTGGGGCACACAAAACCTCACCCATCCGTCTCCCACCCACCTTGCTCAGACTCCCAGAAGGGCTTTGATGTGCCCTGGCCTGTTTGGTTGGTTCTGCAAGGACTTTAGCTCTGTGTCTGCCTGGTGCAGTGCATCTGATGCCTCAGTCATCCCAAACCCAGAAATACAGAAGACCCCAGATAAAGGGAACTTGCAAAGACATGTGGTCCTACAACTCAGGAGAAAGGGGGTGTCACTTTCTATCTGAAAATCCCCATGCACTGCAGGCCCAGCTCATGACTTGGGAGCCAGGACAGTCAAGCTGTGAATTGGTATGAAGATGCTTTTTAAGGCATTGGTGGTGGAGGGTCAGCAGCATCCAGAGCCTGCTTCTGTGGGCCCCTCACCACCTGCCTACCCACACAGAAGGCTGGTATGTCAATCGCATATCCAAGCAGTGACTTATCTGGCCAATTCCAGAGCAGAAAGCACGGAACAGCCAGAACCTTGGAGAGAGAGCTCTGTGCTAACCAGGATCCCCCTGCTCTTAGGAGACAGTGCAAAAGAGTGTGAGCCCCTCTGGTGGGGCAGCATAGAAGGGATCAGGCTCAGGGTCTTTGCAAAATTTTCAGGGTTGAGTCAGCAGAAGGTAAGTGGACAGCAAGGAAGCAGTCACTGAGTCAGTCTACCCTTACATTCATGATTCGTGCTAAGGACACACTTTTCCCAGACTGCTCCCACACCATGACTTAGCACAGCTGAGCCACTAGAGCCATGCCATTTCTGCTCAATGGGAGACTTTTAATCTTTGCTTGTACTCCCCATTGGCCTGGTCCATAGCTTCTCAAATGAACTGAAGTCTGGGACTCTTTCTACCTAATTCTTCTTCCTTCCCTCTGCTTTCACAGATGTGACATGTGGATCACAGTCTAAAGGCTCTCCCCATCTTCTCTTGCTCTTTCTCCCTTTATCTATTGTGTTTCCCCAGTAAATCTATTTATGTCTAATCTTGTTTTGACATCAGCTTTTAGGTAGGCCTGTTATACAATCATGGTGCTTTCACAAATGAGATCTCATGTTTCACATTTCTCAAAACCTGCTCCTTTTCAGAGAGCCAGGATAGTACAGTAGCTAACAGCTGTCAAGAGTAGTCACTAACTGGGTTCAAATCCCAGATCTGCCACTCTTAGCTGTGTGTCCTTGGCCTCTGTGCCTCTTGTAAAATGGGGATAATTCCATTACTTCCTCTTAGGGTTGTTGTGAGGTTTACATAAATTATTACATAGTCCATTTAATGTCAACACATAGTAAGTAATAAATATCAGCTGTTTTTTGTTGTTGTTGTTGTTGTTGTTGTTGTGGGTTTTTTTTCCATCTCTGATAGGTGAAGTCAGAGAAGGGGGAAAGATCTCACCAGGCCCAGTAGCTATTAAAGGGTTTGGCACTGGAACTCTCATTCTAAAGTTCTGGAGCTCTAAGTACATATGCTTTATTGATTTTTAACCTATAAGCTAAAATTAAGTTTCAGGAAAACACATGAAACAGTTAAATAGCTTGATTATTGTTGCCCCCTACTTTCAACTTCACTGGATGTGTAACTCCCAAAATGAAAATGGTATGATGATATTGTTCCTTTTCCTGTAGGATCCATCAGACAGCTCATTCTGGAATACAGAAATGGCACTGAAGATCATACCTGCGTTTTCCCCTTCTTGTTATTACCTTTGCAAATGTTCTTTATAAAGTAAAGAATGTCAAAGGCATAACTTTCAAGGAAGGGAGGAAGCAGAATAGGAAGGGAACTAATATTTGTTTGAGTGTCCACTATGGGCCAGATGAAGTGTTTCATGTTTTAAGTTGGTTCTCTCTTTAATTCTCATAATTCTGTAGGCAGGCAGAATTGTTTTCTACCAAGGTAGGCAGCCGTATCTTCCCTAAACAAAGAAGTAAATGGAACTCAGAGGTTGAGTATATATTCCAAGGCCCTAAATCTAGTAAGTTTGAGAGCTTGGATTCAAACCCAGGTCTGTCACACTCCAAAACCCACACTCTCCCCCACTCTACCTTAAAAAAAAATTCTAATGTTATACTGTGATCTTCCAGGACTCAGGGACTAGTTGGTTTAAATTTCCATGACAGAATGTTAAATTAAAAGTTTCCTCTTAGGCATTAACATATAACAGATATGAAATCAAAGCCAGGTTTCCAAAGGAAATAACCAAGCGGCTCTAAAACCCACAAGGAGGATTAAAAGGGTCAAGAGAGGAGATATGAAAAAGGAAGTTTTGCGAGGAAGATTTCTTTGGGATGAGCTTCCAAGTTGGAAGAGTTGAGGTGCTTTCCTTTTCACTCCATGGATTCAACTGGACCCCCTAAAGCTTGATATGTGTCTCCTGGAGTTGGAAGGCACAGTGGAATGTGATCTACCTCCAGACTGAAAAATCTTCCTGGCTAGAGAATGTGGCTGTGGTGATGGTGGGAGTGGTAACTGTATTGTGATCTGTCCGCATTTCCAGTTTGTTGGGGGCAAAAGACAGATAGGTGTTTCCCATGTACAAGAAGTGGGCCACGAAGGAGAGCAAGCTGCTCTCAAAGAGAGCTGTTTGGGGGTGCTACAGATTCCAGCTGAAAAAACCCTATGGAATGGACAGCTGAAAAACTCAGAGCTGAAGGAGAAACAGCAATAGCATGTTTCTTTTTTTTTTTTTTTTTTTTTTTTTGAGACTGAGTCTCACACTCTCACCCAGGCTGGAGTGCAGTGGCGCGATCTTGGCAACCTCCACCTCCCAGGTTCACGCCATTCTCCTGCCTCAGCCTCCCGAGTAGCTGGGACTACAGGTGCTCGCCACCACGCCCGGTTAATTTTTTTTTTTTTTGTATTTTTAGTAGAGACGGGGTTTCACCGTGTTAGCCACGATGGTCTCAATTTCCTGACCTTGTGATCCGCCTACCTCAGCCTCCCAAAGTGCTGGGATACAGGCATGAGCCACCGCGCCCGGCTGCATGTTTCATTTTTGATACAGAGGTAGCAGTAAGGGAGCCTCTGATGAGAGTCCCCTTTAAACAGCTAGATCCGTAGAGAGTAAAGCCAACTTACTATATAACCAGACAATAATTTTCTGTTCCTTTCCCCCTTACTCTTTCCCTTCACTCTAACCGCGGACAGGCCTGAAGTCAAAATTAGCAAGCTGGGGAAGGAAGATGGGCAAAGAGAAGAAACTCAGTGCATCCCTTTGCTCAAATATGGGAGGTCACCTGAAGTTGGTGCTAGGCGAGCAGAGAAGGTCTAACTCTAAATCAAGTTCAGTGGCCCTTTATTATTTGGAACTTCGTGTTCTAATCACTGAATTCAGGCTCAATTTGTGATTTAAAGTGACTGTAAGGTGGCAGGAAAGCCATGGGGCCTGAGAGAAATGTAATTTTAAAAGTACAATATTAGAGACAAAAGTAAAGTTGCATTTTGATTGTATTTCACCAGTAGTTCTTGTTCAATATACTGACTACATTTGCTTGGTGCGTTGTTTGTGATGTGCCAAACTCCTGTGGATGAATACTACTACTGTTTTTGCATTAATTTTGCTACACCAGCTTTCTTTTGCTTAGTATTTGCCTGGTATATTTTTTCCATCCTTTTATTTTGAACTTTTCTGGATAATTCTAAGTGTGCCTCTGAGAAAAGGCATGAAACTAGATTCTGTGTCTTATAAAAAAAAAACAATCTGAGGTTTTCTTTTAATATGTGAGTTTAATCCACATATATTTATTATTACTGATCTATTATAGATATATTTCTACCTTTTTACTTTGTGTTTTCTATTTACCATGTATTTTTATTTGCATGTTTCCCTCCCCTCCTTTCCTGCCTCGTTAGACCAATGGAGTTTTCTTTGGAGTTTTGGAATTTACACATTGTCATGGCTTTAATGTGTCCCCCAAAGCTCATGTGTTGGAAACTTAATCTCCAATGCAAGAATGTTGAGAGGTGGGACCTTTAAGAGGTGATTAGGTCATGGGGCTCTTCCCTCATGAATGGATTCACACTGTTACTGTGGGAGTAGGTTTGTTATCTCAAGAGTGGGTTCCTGATAAAAGGATGAGTTCTGCTGCCTTCTTCCCCACCCCCTGCTCTTTTGACCTTCTGCTTCCACCATGGGATGAAGGCCCTCACCAGATGATAGCACCTTGATATTGGACCTCCCAGCCTCCAGAAACATAAGAAATACATCTCTATTTATGAATTATCCAGTCGTCTGTGGTATTCTGTTATAGTAGCACAAAATGGCTTAAGACACATGTTCCATTTTTAATCTTGTAGTGCTTATCCTAAGATTGTTTTCTGTTTTTTTTTTTGATGGAGTCTTGCTGTGTTGCCCAGGCTGGAGTGCAGTGGTGTGATCTCAGCTCACTGCAACCTCCACCTCCTGGGTTCCAGCAATTCTCCTGCCTCAGCCTCCCTAGTAGCTGGAATTACAAGCACATGCCACCATACCGGGCTAGTTTTTGTATTTTTAGTAGAGATAGGGTTTTGCCATATTGGCCAGGCTGGTCTCGAATTCCTGACCTCAGGTGATCCACCCTCCTTGGCCTCCCAAAGTGCTGGGGTTACAGGCGTGAGCCATCGCGCCTGGCCTCTTTTTTTTTTCTTTTTTTTAAGTTGTGGTTTTGCTATGTTGCCAAGGCTGTACTCAAACTGGTGGGCTCAAGAGAGCCTCCTGCCTCAGCCTCCCAAGCAGCTGGGATCACAGGTGCACACCACCACATCTGGCAGATTTTTCTAAATTATTTATCTAACTTTATATTTTTTAAACAAAATTTAGAGTATCTCCAACTTCTATCCTGTTCCTTATACATATTTTTTACATTTTGGAGATATATATATATATATACACACACACACACACACACAACTTATATACAAATATATATACAAAAATATATATACAACTTAAATACATATATATATACAACTTCTGATTATTGGCATTTGTATAAGCAAGCTAACTATTAATCATTATTATTACAATTCATAGTTAATAATACACTTTTAAATATATTATCTCATTTGATTCTAGAAAAAGTTCAGCTAAGTATTACCTCCATAATGAATTAGGAAGAAAAAAAGGAAGAAAGAAAGAAGAGACAAGATGGAAAGAGAAGAGAGCTCCTCAATTCTTAATGGTATCTTCTGGGGACCTCAGGCTGAGAACTACAGATCTTGGGAATATATTCTTTACCCTTTCCTTTTGGAAAGGGAGGAAGGAAAGAGAATTGTAATTTTTGAACATTTATTCTGTGTCAAAAACTTGCTGTAAGCAAGACAAACCTTACATTTACTAACTACTTTCCTTTTCAGGTGTTTCATGAGTGTCATGCAATTTATTTCACAACATGCTTCCGTACCAATCCACATACATTCTCCTGAATGAAAACAGGCTTATTTATGTTGATGATGAAGACATTGATAACAATAATAAATAACAGTTATAATAGCTATTTGTTATGGACCCACCTTGTTAGCTAGGCACTGAATGTCATGGGGGTAAATATACTCTTTAAACTGCCCTTCAGTTTTAGAAGGGAAGCCATCTAGATGTCTGGATAGATAAAGCGACATCATCTCTATAGTGTTAAAATAGAGAAACTTGCAAAATCAACAGAGTCCATGTGTGAATTTGTGTCCATGTGTCCACTTATGATAACTGCCCCCTTTTTTAAATCAATAGGATGGCCCAGTTTTGGATCTAATAAAGTACTTTATGACTTTCCTGAATATTCCTAAGATTTTTTTTAATGAAACAATTAACAAGAAGAAATCATCCAAAATAAAAGAAACTACCTATATGTTTAACTGGGACATATTAAATTATCAGTTTTTGAAATGTTACCAGCTACGTAGGAGGCTGAGGTGGATCGCTTGAGGCCAGGAGTTTGAGATCAGCCTGGGCAACATAGTAAGACCCCCATCTACAAAACAACAGCAACAAAAAAATTAGCCAGCCTTGGTGGCATACATCTTTAGCTCCAGCTACTTGAGAGGCTGAGGCAGGAGGATCCCTTGATCCCAGGAGTTCGAAGTTGCAGCGAGCTATAGTGGCACCACTGCACTCTAGCCTGGGTGACAGAGTGAGACCCCACCATCTCTAAAAAAAGAAAGAGAAATATATATTAACATGTATATTGTGTTCTTATATTTTTCTCTCCTCTCATTTCCAGCAGAGATCCAAGAGAGGGAGATTTGTGGCAGATCTGGAAGTAGAAGCTGCTTGAAGCCGGTGATTTTTTTTTTTTTCTTTAGACAGGGTCTTGCCCTGTCACTCAGGTTGGACTACAGTGGTACAATCATGGCTCACTGCAGACTCAAACTCCTGGGGTCAAGGGATCCTCCCACCTCAGCCTCCCAAGTAGCTGGGACTACAGGCACACATTAGCTAATTTTTTTTTTTTTTTTGTAGAAATTGGGTCTTGCTATGTTGCTCAGGCTTGTCTTGAACTCCTAGCCTCAAGCAATCCTCCTGCGACTTCCCAAAGTGCTGGGATTACAGGCACGAGCTACTGTGCCCAGCCCATATATTCTGAAAAGGATTATATTCATTGATGAAATCAAGCCAGATGTCCCTGGATGGGAATGGAGGGCATTTTAGGGCAGCAAGAGAATAGAGGTCAGGGTCTATACTTCCTTTCAGTGGCAGAGACATGAGCATTTCTTCATATCAGGACCCAAAGAAGACTCTGTGATGGGCCGGGGGAAGCTGGTTGCCTAGTCTTGGCAAACATTCCACTACCCAGAGGGTTGGATAGAAGCAGCAGGGACAAAGGAACTGAAGATACCATGCCAGTTCAGTAAATGAGCACCTCATCCCTAACCAGTGTGGACAGACAGCTGAAGACAGCAGGGATCTCCTCAGGCTTTGGTGCTAGATAAGACCATAGAATGCCTGTACAACTAATGGAGATGAGGAATCCCCAGTAATAAGTGATGTGGATTTCCCACTAGCATGCTAGGGTTTGGATATCAGAGTCATATTTATGTTCATTTAAAGGCGCTTTGAAAATGTGACATTTCTTATATGCTCAAGGGTGTGAACTAAGATCCATATCTGTTTGGTAGGCCTCCTATTCAAAATTTCATTAACAAATCCTTATTTTCTTTTGGAATGTTTTCATGAGTATCGTGGGCTATTTTACAACTGTCTTCTTAATGGGATAGGAGTCAAGAATTCAATTAGTTGGCTAGGCCCTAGATTCCACAGAGTATGAGGATGAGAGGCCCCAAGCCTGCCCATCTGGTCACCCATCATTCACTAATGCAAAATTTGAATCATTTCAGCCATCTGACACCAGGGATTTGCCTACTTAAATGAAGTATTCACTAAGACGCAAAGTCTAAGTAGTCTTCATTGAATACACATTTAATGAGCAACTTCTACATGCTAAGTACCAGTGTTAGAGAGATCTGATAATTAGGTTCAGTAATCAATGGGCTGCATATAATTATAAAACCTCCTTTCTTCTTTACATTGATCCTTTCTCCTGCCACTCTCCCACTACAGAATTTGGGGAAGAATAATTGACACCTGATGGGTCTAGTCATCACATGATGGTGTGATGGTCACAATGCAGCCAGCCTACAACGTAGCCTGGTTTCTGCTACTCTTGACAATATATTGACACCTAAAAGCATGTTCAATAACTTACTAGCACCTATTGCAAGGAGGATGACAACAGTGATAGAAAATACTTCATTATTTTAAGTATTTATGTCTAAGGAAAATGAACCTGTTTACTTGCAATTTGCAGTTCTTTTCAAAACTAGCCTATGTGCATCTATGGCCTATCTCCCTTGTCTCTTTTTAAATTTTAAAGATATTAACAATTTGTATTTATGTGTTTGACTATTCTACTGTGTTGCATACCTAATAATTCCCTTCATGTTGTTTTATAATAAAGTTATTTAAAGTATTTATGTATTAAAATCTATCCACCTTTTCCTGTAGGCATCCTGTCAATAATCTAATATTTAGAAAGGTCATCTGAGCCAAGATGATAAAATATCCTTCATTTTAAGCAAACAATCTATGGTTTCACTTATCAAATGTAAATCTTTAATTCGTTTGGAATGTACTTTGGAATAAAATGTAATGCAAAAGATCTAACATTCCCCTCCAATATTTTGACTATCCCATTCTTTCACTACTAATTCAAATATTACCTCTAACATAACTAATAAGTTAAACACACATACACAGACACAGATATTTCCATTCTGTTACCCTGATCTGTTTTGGTGCCCAAAATACACTTTTAGAGTACCATTTTATAACAAATTTTTCTATGTGGCAACTTCTCTTTAGTTTTCTCAGAATTTTTCCATTTTCATGTTTTATTTTCATTAAGTCATTTAAAAATAAACTAGTTTTATTAGCCTTGAACTTCCTTTGTATATCAATTTGGGGAGAAAAAGAAAACCATACATATGATCTGATCCCAATTTGTTTTAAAAATGTTGTATGATCTTTATTACAAATATTTACGTATACACATAATTCCAAGAATATCTGGTAAAGTATTAACTATTTCAGGTGTGTGCTAGGTATCTCCCATTTGTCCTCCTCCCACTTACCACCCGCAACTACCCTCCTCCACCCCCCTCCCCACCATCTACTTTCCTTCCTGCTCTGTGTCCCCCACACTTACCAACACAGACTATACAAAAGGTCTTCCTTGCCCTCTGGCTTCCAGTTTGGACAAAGGGAAATACCCAGCAGGCGATGTTCGGAAGAGAGCAAAGTCAAGCATTTATGCCCTCTCATTGCATTTTCTCTTCTCAGGGTCGCTGTGAGCTGACTGCATCCTGAAGATTACAGCTACTGTCAGGTGGACCTTTCCACACAGCTGTATACCATTCCAGTAACCCCTCCCTTCCTTCCCTCTGCTCCTCCCGTCCCTTCCCCTCTTCGTCTCCTTTGCAGAGGGGTAGTAACACTGTTATGCCCTGAATTGTGCACCCACCCCTCCCCACACCCGCCAAATTCATGTTGAAGTCCTAATCCCCAATACCTCAGATTGTGACTGTAGTTGGAAATAGGGTCTTTACAGAGATAACTAAATGAGGTCACTGGGGTGTGTCCTAATCCAATGAATAGTGTCCTTACAAGAGATTAGGATACAGATACACAGAAAAAGGCCATGTGATGACAAGGAGGACGGCCATGTAGAAGCCAAGGAGGCCTCAAAAAAATCCTCTGGCAACACCTTGATCTGACTTCTAACATCCAGAACTGTGAGAAAATAAACTTATTGTTTAAGCCACTCAGTCTGAGGTACTTACGGCAGCCTGAGCCAGCTAATATACACTACAACCCTACCCCTCTGGTGGCAACTCAGGGAAAAAATTCTTTAACTCTCCTCAAATCACCCATTTTTGAGTCCCATTTATTTGCTGGGACCTTGAAGGATCCAGTAGAATTACATGATTCTTATTTGCATTTGTTCTTACTATGTTTTCTAAAATTTCTACAATAACCACAGAATACCAACCTTATTTCTACAATAACCAGAATACCAACCAGTAACATGAAAGGCACACTACAAATTACTTGCTTTGAAATTTAGAAACAAATTTTATTTAAGATCTGAAATACAATTCCTAAAATATCAACTTTTCCAGAAAACCGTGGCTACACAATAATGCATTGCCTCTATCATGTTAGAACGTGCATTAGACTCAAATACAAAAACCATGAAACAAATCACCATCCTTCAACAATTTGAGCAAAGATAGAATGCCTAAGAACAACATAGATGGACTTGCAGAGGATGGGCTGTTTTACTTCAAGCACCATAAAAAAAAAAAAAGAGCACAAATGCATGGGTTTTCAGGTATATACATTAAGTTGAACCTTTGGCACTAGGAATCAGGGCGTTTTGTCACATAGCATTAACACATATTAGAAAATTGTGTAGTGTCAAAGGGATAGGAACCACCAGCATTCAAGCAATGTTGTCAACTAGGCAATAAAATGTTCTACTGAATGTTTCTTCTTTGTTCTAATTACTGCATACACTGGTAGCAACTTTGAAATGAGAAAAGGAGCTTACACTCCTTTTATTTTCTGTTTAAAACAGAACGGAAAACAAACTGAAACATAAGCCCTGTTATACATTAACGATTTTAAAGAACATCAATTTTACAAGAAAAAGACTAAGAACAAAAAGTGTTTACAGATACAGGACAAAAATGGTGAGCTGTCTGTAGACGCTCACAGGGCTTTGCGGTGGTACTCAGCAGAAGCCACTTTGTAATCACTGGCAGTAAAGAGAGATGCAGAATTCTTTGCCAGATATTTTAGGAAATCATGCAAATAGCCCAACAATAATGCAAGGCTTTTCTCATCAAGGGGCGTATAGGCCAACATTGCTCCAATTCTTACAAATAATCTCAGTAGGTGTGGTGCTCCATAAACCTGGGACATTGGAGCATCAGGGTGAGCCAAGAGGATTTCAGCATACTGGGGCCTCTCAAATTTGTAGAGCAGCTGAGTGCCCAACATCACATTGAAATATTCTTTTATTCCTGCCACAACTTCATTAACCGCATATTCCTTATTATCAACATTTCCCTGCGATTTCTTGCAATTTGCATACTCCTCCAGAATTGCATCTACATTTTTCTTGGCAGGGAGTTGAAACAGCTGCTTCTGCCTGGTAACTAAGTCCCAGTCCTCAACAAGCCATGGTTTTAATTCTTCAGGAATCTTCACTTTAACCTCCATTCTATTCTTAAACGCCTCCTCACTTTCAACAGTGGGGTCTGCCCGGGCCCTTTTCTTCCGAGGGGGCTGAGGTGCTTCGCTGGTACTGCCACCATCTCCGTTTCCAGGAGTCTTCTGCTTGTTCTTTCTGGTCTTCCTCACGGATCCTGAAGGGGGGTTCTCTGCAGAGCGACCACCCCATCTTCCTGGGAGAGCTGGTTCAAGATTTTTCTGCTGTGGACCAGCTGTCTTCTTTCCTGAGGAGGCCCCTCTCATTTTACTTCTCTGCATGTTGCTTCTAGTTGGTTTTTTGAAGTTCTCTTCTTCTGCAGATTGCTGTCCACGAGGTTGAGAACCCTGCTTTCTGGAACTCATTCAACCCTGTTTTTATTCCAACCACTGTAATATATAAAATATTTTACTTGGTTGTTTTCTATGGCAACCTTTAACTATGTTTCATAAAGGCCCATCAGAGAATAACACATTCTAACTCCCTTAAAATCTGGATTTCAAATCCTATTTCAGGACCCTTTATAAGTGATTTTTTATTTTTTTACCTCCTTTCCCTCTCTCTGATCCTCACTACCAGCCACTACTCTCATCTCACCCAAATACTCATCACAACTACCCATAAATTACTCTGTTGATGCCACTCACAAGATAGGAAAGCAATTTTCAAGAAAGAAGGAATTAAATGAAAAACTATAAAAGACAGTGGAGTTGAAATTTAAGACTTTTGAACAGGAGAAATGACAATATGGAATAGGGAAGGTTATATTTAATTGACTAAGGGCAAAATGAGTAACAGTAAAGGTTCTTGTATTAGTCCAGAAAGGCCTGAATTAGGATGATGACAGAGTCAAGAGAAACTGAAGAATACAGAAATCATGAAGAATATAGTAACCAAAGGAGGGAGGAATCTGCAATTTCAAGCCTGGGTAATTAATGAACTTAATGAAAGCACTGAATTTAGGGTTTAGTTTGGAATCAGAAATAAAATGACAGAACATAGGTAATTCATCCATTCATTAATCTATTCAGTTTGTCATTATACATTACTGCATATCTGCTTTGGGACAAGTACTATGGTAGTTGCTAGAGATCCAAATATCTAAAGTGACAATTATAAAACGATAAGGTTAGTATAATGACAGTTATAGGCACAAAATAGTTTGGGAGCAGACACAAGAAATGGTACATGACACCACTGTCAGTGATTGTTTAAGAAGGTAAAAAAAAGATTGGTGAGGGAGGAGTCAGTGATGACTCCCAGGTATGGGTGATTAGGTTATTAGTATTATCACCAAATGATAATACTCCTCCATTTACAGGTGGAGAAAATGGATTGGAGGAAAAGTTGTGTTGGGCCTATTGTGTGTGAGATGTACAGTTAAACATAAAATTGTAAAGCTCAGTTTTGTCCAGCTAACTGGGTACCCACCCCACAACCCAAAACAAAAAAAAAAAAATAAAGCTCGGGTGAGAAGTAAAAGCCAGAAATGGAGATCTGAGAGTAACATCACATAGCTGGTAGTGGACACTACGAGGGCCAATGAAATCAGGGAGAAGAGAGGAAGAACTTCAAGTATGGAATTCTGGAAAACCTAAGGACGAAAGGCATTTAAGGGATGCACAGAGACCACAAATGAAACAAAAATGTTAAGAGTAGCCATAACAGAATTAGAAGAATGTTATTTTGGATGCCAAAGATGATGAGCGTTCCAAGAAGAAAAAGGTATAATCTACAGTGTAAAGTGCAGCAGGGAGTGCTAGTAAGATAAGGATGCAAAAAATAGTCTTCCATTATTCTTATGGTGTGACAGAGGAAACAATTCCTTTGACTTACACAATCTTCCTTCTTTCCCTTCCAAGAACTCCTAGTGATTTCCCAGATGAAATCTTATAGATCTTCTGGGATGGTCTAGAAGGGTGAAGTGGGAGATACAACCTAGAAAGAAAGGCAGGTATCTGCAATGAAGATGAACTTTTGTGAAATCATCTAAGAAAAAGAAAAAAAATGAGTAATTTATAAACATGTGGTTTATATGTTTACATTTAAACACATATATGAATCATATACCACAATTGTAAATCGTGGTATCAGAGAAAATACTTGAGTTCTGCTGTCAGACAGATCTTTACTTCAATTAGGCTCCGTCATTTATGAGTTGTGAGACCTCAGGCAAGACATGTAAGCTCTCTTAGCCTTTTTCTCATCTGTGGAATGTGGCAAATTACCTATAGCCTTCACAGGTTCCTGTGAGAATTTCATAAAGGTGATGTGGCTGAACAGCTAGCACAGTATGTTGCGGGAATATTTGCACATGGATACAAAGATGTTCAATGTAGTGGTGTTTGCAATACTGAAGAACTGGAAAACACCTACCTATTCTTCAACAGGAAAATGATAACATAAATTATGTATGAATACTACAGAAGAACATTCAAATGAATTAAGCAGAGATCTGTGTACTGACATGGAAAGATGTTCAATATATATTATTAGGTAAATAGGCAGTGGCATAATACTACAGGATCCCAAATGCAATAGGATCTTAAAGAGACAGATAAGGCCGGGCGCAGTGGGTCACACCTGTGATCCCAGCACTTCGGGAGGCCAAGGCAGGCAGATCACGAGATCAGGAGTTTGAGACCAGCCTGGCCAACGTAGTGAAACCCTGTCTCTACTAAAAATACAAAAAAAAAAAAAAAAAAAAGTAGCAGGGCATGGTGGTGCACGCCTGTAGTCTCAGCTACTCAGGAGACTGAGGCAGGAGAATCGCTTGAACCCGAGAGGCAGAGGTTGCAGTGAGCTGAGATTGAGATCGTACCACTGCACTCTAGCCTGGGCGACAGAGACTCCATCTCCAAAAAAAAAAAGATAGTACAGGTAGAGAAATAAGCATTAGTGTGAAATAGTTTTTAGGAAGAGTGTGCTGTCATTTGTGTGTGTGTTTTAAACAGATGTCTATAAATATGCATGGAAATATCTAGACAGATAAATATCAGCCTGTTAAAATCAGGGTAACCTCTGAGAAAGGGATGATTGTAGACTAGCCTTAAACCAGGTTTCTCTAGTAACTACAACTTTCACCCACAGAAAAAGCCCAGCAGCCATTCTGTAGCCATTAACACTGTAGGCAGGTGTCAGGGAGGCTCTGAGAAGAAAATCAGAGATAAGAAATGTTTGTTAGTAGCACCTGTGGGCAAAAAAAAAAAAAAAAAAAAAAAAAGAAAAGAAAAGAAAACAAGGCCGGGCACGGTGGCTCACGCCTGTAATCCCAGCATTTTGGGTGGCCGAGGTGGCCAAATCTCTTGAGGTCAGGAGTTCAAGACCAGCCTGGCCAACATGGTGAAACCCTGTCCCTACTAAAAACACAAAAATTAGCCAGGCTTAGTGGTGCACACCTATAATCCCAGCTACTTGGGAGGCTGAGGCAGGAGAATCACTTGAACCTGGGAGATGGAGGTTGCAGTGAGCCAGGAGATCGTGCCACTGCACTCCAGCCTGGGTGACAGTGAGACTCTGTCAAACAAACAAACAAATAAATAAATATGCATGCATGCATGCTTGAAGACTAGATCCCTGAACCAGGAAAGCCAGTTATTGGGAAGAAAGGCCTGGATGCTAGTACTTTCACTAAGCAAACAATATCCTCTAACTGAAAAAGCACAAAGCTTTGAGCAGAAATTCAAGGGTAAAGTCAGTCTTCAGAAAGCATCAAAATTTGTAAATATGGAGACTGATCCCTGTGGGAATCAGAAACCTTCTGGCTGAGAGGGACACGGAGACACATCCTGTGAAGGATCAGACAGTGGTGATAGTGGCCACTGTATCATGGCATTAAATTGTAAGCTATCATGCTTCCAGAATAATGTTTCTAAAAGAATTGCTTTGTGACCAGGACAGACCAGATACAGTATCTGAAGACTTCAGAGAATTGTTAATACAGGTTGAGTATTCCTTATCCAAAATGCTTGGGATGAGAAGTGTTTCAGATATTGGAATATTTGCATATGTGTGAGAATATCTTGGGGATGGGACCCCAGTCTAAACAGGAAATTCATTTATGTTTCATATACACCTTATACACATGGTCTTGAAGGTAATTTTATACAGTATTTTAAACATTTCTTTGCACCTGTCACATGAGGTCAGATGTGGAATCATCTACTAGTGGCATGTTGGCACTCAGAAAGTTTCAGATTTTGGAGCATTTCAGATTAGGGTTACTGAACCTGCATGAGTAAATCCAGAAAGCCCATCTTGGGGCTCATAGTGCAGAGGTTCCATAAAACAAAGGGATGATAGTGAAAATACCACCTAAAGAAAGCAACATGACCTAGTGCCAACCAGACTGTGTAAAACACATTAAGTAGAGCCAAGCTGGACAAAAACCATTCTGGAAGTCACATTGGTCCCTGGTGGGTATATAATTGTGAATTGGGGTGGAGGGGGCTGTGACTCAACACATGGAGAAAATGAGGGCACAAATTAGGGACAACAGTCACCAACTATTTTGCCACCTGTTCCCTACAGGTCAGCTCTAGGGTAAGCCAGAAATTCAGAAAACACATTTGTACTTATGTTTGTCTTAGTTTTCTATCTTTAATTTTACACCAGTTTAATCTCTGTATAAATAATACATTTAAACAGAGGTGAGCTCATAAGGGCTATCAAATCTTAGATTTTTCCTTTTAAAAAATTTACTATGATAACCAATAATCTTCCCATGTTAAGGTTATTATATGCATCCATTTTGAGTCATATAATAGATATTCTGTCAAATGAGCATACCTTAATTTACTTAGCCACTCCTTCCCTGGAAATATCCAGTGCACACCTCCCACCAATATATTCTTTAATAATCAATGAAAACATTTTGTGTAAACATTTTTTTGCTCTCGCTTCCTTTTGTTCCTTTAAGACTCTCAGAAGCGGGCTTAGTGAGTCAAGAGATAGAACACTCTCAATACACTGCCAAATTACTCCCTCTGCACAAGTTGTGCCAATTTCTAATCCCACAAGCAGTGTGTAAAAATATTTACTATGCCTCATGCTCTGACCAGTACTGGGGATCATTTAAAAAATTTTTTTTCCTTTCATTTTTAAGTTTAAAAATTAAGAACAAATACTTTGATAGATTTCTTTTATAACTCCTTAATCCATCTAGTAGTTTGCAAGTCATGAACTGACAATCTTCGTTCACCTCAAGTAATTAGATCTTGTGGTACCATTTATATTTCCTTTTTATAACTATAGATAACAAATTATATAAAGATGTGAACATTCTTCCCTTATCACCTCCCCCTCTCCCACCCCAATCCTAGGAGTATCCTGAGTGAGCATGTATGCCTTCAAATCTTTTCATGTACATTCACATAAAATGTAACTTTAAAGACTCAATGTGTATATTATACACATAGGTATGTGAATATATAGCATGCATTTATTTAATTTGTTTTGACAAAGGTGAGATCCATACTGCTCTGCACCTTGCTTTGCTCACTTCTCATAGGCATCTTTCCATGTCAGTACATACCTACCTCTTCTTTTTAATATTCATAACACATTCTATAATGTTATGTACTATAACCAGTCTCTGAACATTTAGGTTGTTCCCAATATTTCATTATTACAAAAATACTGCAATGCACATCAGTGTATACAAATATTAGAGCATTAGTTAAGTACCTCTGAAGGATATATTCCAAGAGGAACTATTTAGCGAAAGGATTTGCTTATTTATAACTTTGATGAGATAGAGCCAAATTCACCTCACAAAGAACTGTTTTAATTTGTACTCCTAACAAAAATATAAAAGTTCATTTTTTCATGACTTCAAGAACACTGGAAAAACATCTTTTTGAAAAAAAAAGGAGAGCGACTTTTCTTGGGCCAATCTAACATGTAGTAAGATAATTTCATTTGAATTTGTGTGATATCATCCTTCACACATTCAATGGTCACGTTATCGTATATGAATATTTTTGTTCTCTCTTCTACCAGGTTGTTTGCTATTATTTTCTAATAATTAAATATTAGTTTTATTTTATGTTGGAAATTTTTTTCCAAACCATCACTTTCTTTTGTCTAACGGTGTCTTACTATGACTGTTGTATGTATATGTGCATACATCTCTCAATATCACAGACAAATCTATCAGTTTTTTCCCTTGTGACCTTTGGCTTTTATGTCATGCTTAAGGAAAATGCTCCAAAAATACTGCAGAAGTGATTTCCTACTCATTATTGGTACTTTTATAGTTTTCCTCAAATGTATAACTAACTTTTTCTAATATTCGTCACTGAAGAGTTTATCCTTTCCCCATTGGTATGAAATACGGTTTTGTAACATTCTAAATTCTCAGAGGTATATGGGTCTTTTAAGGTACTCTCTTCTGAATGATTTTTGATTATTTAACTTTTTTTTTTTTTCTTTTTTTGAGACGGAGTCTCGCTGTCACCTAGGCTGGAGTGCAGTGGCGCGATCTTGGCTCACTGCAACCTCCGCCTCCTGGGTTCAAGCAATTCTCTGCCTCAGCCTCCTGAGTAGCTGGGATTATAGGCGCCCACCTGTATTTTTAGTAGAGATGGGGTTTCACCATCTTGGCCAGGCTGGTCTTGAACTCCTGACCCCGTGATCCACACACCGCGGCCTCCCAAAGTGCTGGGATTACAGGCGTAAGCCACCGCGCTCAGCAATTATTTAACTTTTAAAGGTATCACTGTCTCTAGGCCATCTGTTCTGTCACAGTGGTATATCTGATAGTTCTCACCAGTATTAATTTAATTATCACAGTTTAAAGGCATAAATTTTGCTCTTGAAAATAACACTTGTAAATGGATGGCTACACTAAGAATATTTGATGCAGTATTATCTTAAATAGCAAAACACTAGGACCAATAGAAAAGGTTATCAATAGTGATTTCACATATTATGTGATTAACGTTTTATAATAAAATATATATATTTAAAACTCACACTGACTTTCTGATCTACTTTTATTCATGGATCTCACAAATGGCCAGCCCAATTTTTCAGTTAATCATCATTGCATATTGTATACTTTGTAGACATATCATTCAGACTGGGCTCATTCCCTCCTTCTAAGTTCTACCCATCCTCTGTGGCTCAGGTCCAGGTCCTCTTCCTCTGTGAGGCTTTTTTTTCTCTATTTCTGGTCACCCTGACCCTTGCTTTCTCTGAGTCCCTGTTGGCTTAACAGTCCACCCCTTACCTTTGGCCCCTAATCATTCTCTAAATGGTCTCATGTAAAGGTATTCTGTGCCTACCGATCTAATGCATCTCTTCCAGGAGGGCAGTGCCCTCCTCCGAAACCTACTTTTCAGAAGAGAGAAAAAAAAGGAAATTACAGTGACTCCATATGTAGCTGTCAAAAGGCTGAAAAACCTTCAAATCCTACTTCATCTCTCCACACAAGCAATGGGCCATTTGGGAATCAGACTGCAAATGCTAACATCTTTTGTGTATGCATGTGTCAGAAAAGAGTGTGAGTAACATTTTGTTGGAATAAACCTTTAAATGCACATATACCATATCAGTTACATTCATATCAATTTTCTCTTCTGGATCTTGAAACATTTCCATTACATGTAATAGATTTTTTTTTTTTAAGTCTGAGACAAAGGAGGAATGATACAAAAGCTGTTAGCAGACTGAATATTCAGTGAAAAGATTTGCTTATTTATAAATTTGGTTTGAACTGCTAGCTAAAATTATAGCTCCTGGAAATTCCCTCATAAATAAATATGATCAATATATTTGAAACCTTTCTAGATTGTTAAGACAAGCCAGAAGTCATAATTTCGGAATTCAGTTCTAGTGGTAACTGCTGCTTCTGGAAAATGAGGAGAGAAACCAACGGTATTAATTATTATTTTTTTTTTACACAATTCCAAAAAGAAATATATCCACTGCTTTTAGAAGTAGGTGTAAATGTGTAGATAAAACATGAGATTATCAGGACTAACAGAACCATAATTATTATTAAAGCAAATACTTACATGTGCCATGCACTGTCCTGGTACTTTACATGTAATCCTCTCAACAATCCTATGAAGTAGGAACTATTATTATCACCTCTGTTTCATATACGAGGAACTTAGGTATAAAGTGAGTAAATATCTTGCCCAAGATCACATAGTTAAGTGGCAGAGCCAGGATTTAAATTCAGGAAGTATTTGCTCTTAACCACTAAACTATGCTGCATATAGGATGCTCCAAGGAAAAATGTAATCTATGGAACTGTGGAACTACTACAGGAGATTGACTGTAGTATCTTTTATCAAGGGATGTAAGATTACAAAGCCCTCTGTTGCTTATGCACTTTCTATACTGGAACTATCAATGGACTTAGCTCCACCCTTCCCTTCTCAGAATTTAGACTACTTTCCCAGATAGGAGCTTATTAATTTTCAAAATATTCCTGGACAGTTAGGAAGGTTATGTGGTATTATCCTGTTTGAGAACTGAGGACAGAAGGGAGGCACTTACCCAAGATTCTGTAATCAGGGAAGGTTCTGCAATCAGGATCAGATCTCCTGATCCTCACTATACAGCAAACTTAGCTTTTCTGATGGTGACCTAGAAGGTCAAACAAAAGGACAAGAAAGAACATAAAATAAAAAGATATGAGATATGGCTTTCTTCTACATCAGCCAATGCAATTTCATCACACACAAAGGACACCAAAGCTGATAAATAATGTACAAGTGTTTCTTTTTCCTTTCTTGTGGCCACATTTTCAAATTTAATTTATTGTACATTTGTATAATTTCTGACAAATTTGTTTTTTAACTTTCCTTAAATATAATTTCAAATGGATGAAATAAAAAAGAAATAGTATTATAAACCTACACGAATCCATCATCCAGCTTTCAACAATTACCAACTGAAGGCCATCTTGTTTCATCTATAACCCCACCCACTGCTCCCCCCCACCCCCGACTTTTTCAAGCTCACCGGAATATCTGACTTCTGTATTTTATTATAGAAAAATTTAAACGTATACCAAGGAAAGCAGATTAATATACGCAACCCACTGCCTATCACTCAGCAAAAAAATATTATTAATTTAGGGCCAATTTTGTTTCATCTATACCCCTCCCCATTTCCCCCTACCGCTGAGATTATTTTGAAGCAAATCCTAGTCATTAATGTATTTAGAAGCCAATCCCAGACATTATTTAATCCGTAAATATTTTCGTATGTCTCTACAAAAAAGGACAATTTGAAAACATAATCACAATACTACTGTGACGCCTAAAAAAACTGACATCAATTCCCTAAAAAACATCAAATATCGAATCCGTGTCCCAATTTTCCCGATGCGTCTTAAACATATTTTTACAGTTGGTGTGTTCGATTCAGGATCCAAACAAGGCCTACTCATCGCATGTGGTTCATCTCCAGCTCGCTCTCGTTCTCCATCTCTTTCTTTCTTGCACTCCCCCCCCCCCCACCTTTTATTTAACTTTTCAATATAGGAAAATTACAATCTCTGCTATTTTGAGGCAATTCCCAAATAACAAATTATTTCATTGGTAAAAATTGGTATATCTATTTTATCTTTAATTTATTCTAGGAAAGAAGTTGATGGCAGAAAGGGCACTACAATTAGCGAATTTATATAATTTATAATTTTTCTCATTCTATTACGCGTATTATTTATCTCCATAACAATAGCTAATATCTTCAGGGGCCAGGCTTCACATTACGTGCCTTATACGCACTATTATACAGTACACGTCTCTGAGGTAGATACTATTATTATCACCATTTTACAAACATGGAAACCGAGACACAGAAAGAACAGGAGCCTTGCCCAAGCTGGGCGTTGGCGAGCAGGAATCTGAATCCAGCTCTGACCGATTGTGAAGGCACTAGGTAATCCCGTCTATACCCGACGAAAAAAGGAAATCATCGACCCTTTCTCCCCACCCCCACCCCGAAACCTGAAACGAGAATCCAGATCTTCCCAGCAGCCGACGTGTGATCACTGCCGTTCCTCCAACCGCCATAGTAAAGCCAGGTTTCTCTGGCAACTGATATCCATAGGCAGACACGTCACCCTGGAGGAGGGCGTATGCCCTTCAGCCAATCACAATCGTCTTGTCTAAGTTTTAGAATGTTCCATAATCAAATGATTGGACAACCACCCCCACGTCAGCAATGACACTTCGCCGCAGTAAAGGCGGGTGCTAGCAACCTGCTTCTTCACTGTTAAGGTCTACAGCAAACCAATCCTCTTCCTCCGTTAGTACGAGTTCCGGCCAATGACGTTCGCCCTCTTAGGTTTTTTTTTTTAGCCCGCCCTCCAAAAGCGTGACAGCCGTTGGGTCATAAGTCTACAGGGCAGAATGTTCACGTGGCCTATTTCACGACCCAGAGTTCCTCTGACCAGAGGGTTTTTTTTTTTCCTTTTCCTTTTTTTTTTTTTTCCTGCAGGGAGGCATTATGGGTTTGTGGTTTTTTTCCCCCCCCACTGGGAGAGGAAGTGTCTACGTGGCCTGCGGAAATAGGATAGGCGGAAATGAGCTAAGGTTCCCGCGAGTGGGGAAGCGCGAGGTCAAATCTGGGGCCACGCCCCCAGTCCTGTGGCGCAACTCCCCGAACACGGAAAAAAAAGGCGCAGTGGGGGTTCTGCTGTGTTTGCAAGTGAGGGTCGTGAGTGCAACGGGCGCAAGGCATTAAGGCCAGTGTGTTAGTGCGCGGGCAGGCTCGCGTGGTGCTGGGGTTGCTGTGTGAGCGGCCCTCGTGGCTCGGGAGGTGCTGTGTTTGCGCAGGCGTGCGCCCCTGGCGTCGGGACTGGTGAGAGCCACGGCGGGCGCGCGCGCGTGCGTGATGGTGGGGGCGGTGCAGGGAGGGGTTTGCTACTGCGCGCAGGTTGTTATCTATTTCTGTGTTATATTTGAAAATGTTCTAATGAAAAGGAAAATAAATAATTAAGGAAAGGCGACAATAACAGATAAAGGGGCACTGTCAGAAATATTTTGGCTTTCCGTACTGATTTAATTACTTTAAAAATACACTTCCTACGTTTTCCTCCGTGCCAAAATCCTATCGTAAACCACAGCCCTCCAATGATTCAGAGCCAAACCCTTCCATCGCCGCATTAGCAACTCCAAAGGGAGGCTTCTTTCAAGTTCTCTAGTATCGTCCTCCCTCCCCTCCTCCACACCTACCCCCTCCCTTCAAGGTTGCGTGCAGTTCTCTTGGCACAAATACAATTTTCCTGTGAGAATATCTATCTACGACAGCCTTCCCCTCCGTTAGGGACTCCGGATTTCTGTGGCGACTGAGGCGCTCTTACCTTTGCGTCCTGATCTCCAAGCAAGCACACTGACCTTCTTCAGGCAAATACGCACTGTTAATTTTCCAGAAAGTTCTGTGAGTAAGGTTTATACCTCTCGAGTCTGCCACTAGATGCCGCCAAATCCCAGCAAAGGATTGGCTGTTTGGTCCCTGGGATTCTGGGATTTTGTTTCCCTCCCCCCTCCCCTTTCTGATTTGCTGAACGGTAATATCTATAGGCATCATGGATATCGTTCATTCCTAGGAAAAAATAAAATCAACTTCTGTAAATAGCACTAGTAGGCAGGGGACTGTGACCCAAGATCCAAATAATTTTGCTCATTTCTTTCCTTTTCTCCTTGGGTTAAAAAAAAAAAAAGGCCCCTCTCCATCCCTCTTTTCTTTTGTCCTTGCCTTGTTTAATCAAAGAGTTAATGAATGACGCAAGCACTGATGCTGAAGATCCTAACCCTTTTTCCTCACCTTTTCAAATGCTCGCAACTCACCCAAACTGAAAATACAGATAGCTGTTCCGTCAGTAAAGATAGATAAGAACTCATCAGTAAAACCTGGACCCTGGTATTGAAAACTGATTTTCCTTTTCTCTTGAAATTTGTATCAGATATGTGTTTTTGCACCCTATTTTCTGTAGTGGTATTGGTAAACTTTATTGTGTCTTTGGAGTAAGAGAAAGAGACCTAATTGTAAACCTCATTCCACCACTTACTAGTCTCAGTACCCTGGGCAAATGATTTATGTTTTGTGATCCTCAGTTTTTTTGTATGCTTTCTATATTTTAGATGCTGTGTTATATCGTTCACGTTGATTTTTTTATTCATCACCAAGTCCTTATTAGATGAGCACTACTGGATCAAAGTCAAACAACAAAAATCATACCCCTTTCAATTATCTATCTTATATACTTGTACACCACACAGGAGGGATTTTTTTAGAGCAGTGGTTCCCAAGGTGTGTTTCCTGGATGTACCAGAAACATCAGCGTCACCTGAAAAGTTGTCAGAAATTCGGATTCTCAGGTCCCACCTCAAACTTAATGAATCAGAAGTTCGCAGGGTGGGGTTTAGTAATCTGTGTTATTACAAACTATCCCAGTGATTCCAGCACACACTGAAGTTTGAGAGCCACTGCTTTGGAGAGTAGAAATGCAATGCATATTTTTGTACACACCACTAGAGGGTGCTACAGAATGTAAAGCAAAATAATAAATGATGCACAGTATATGTTTTCAGACACCCTCTATATTATCAGTCCTATTTTACAGATTAAAAACTAATGTGTAGATATGTCAAATTATTTTCTTAGTGTACGCAACAAGTATGGGAACCAGGATTTGAACTTCACCTGCCTCTAGCCCAAGCCCCTAATAGTACTCTGTTGTTTAACCATGATGACTTGTCTTTCCAAGCCTCAAAATACATTAGAAATATCTTGTTCCCTGCTTTGGCTAATGTTGACTGGAGTGTCAAGAAGAGTGCAGGAAAGCAAACCAAGTAAGTGGAAATATTTCGATGTTTCATTCTCATACCCTTCCTCATCTCCATTCTATAATAGCATATCACATCAAGGCTTCTAAATGTTTTCTTTCTTGTTTTTTAATTCCCCAAATAATGTTCTCTTTACTCTGCAGTTGCCTTTTTTATTTATGTCTAAATCTCTTTTTTTTTTTAACGGAATTTCTCTCTGTCGCCCAGGCTGGAGTGAAGTGGCGCGATCTCAGCTCACTGCAATCTCAGCTCACTGCAATCTCCGCCCTCCCCTCCACCCAACCCCAACCCTGGTTCAAGCAATTCTCCCGCCTCAGCCTCCCGAGTAGCTGGGATTACAGGCATGTGCCACCACGCCCGGCTAATTTTTCTATTTTTAGTAGAGATGGGGTTTCACCATGTTGGCCAGGCTGGTCTCAAACTCCTGACCTCAGGTGATCCACCCGCCTCGCCTCCCAAAGTGCTGGGATTACAGGTGTGAGCCACTGCACCCAGCCATATGTCTAAATCTCTTCTATGTGTGTTGAAGTTATCAGGGTGGTGAGGAAACAGTTATTGAAAACCTGTTATGGGCCACACACTCTATACACCCATTAATCTCAACAATAGGCCTGCAAATTGGGTGATATCATCATTATTTTATAGATAATGAAAGTGAATTCTGCAGTGTGTAATTACTTATCTTTGGTCATATAACTTGTAAATAGTGGAACCTGGATAATTCCTGGCATATCTGCCCATATTATTTTACTAAGCTTTCTACTTTTTGGCTTTGAAGCTGGTTTAGTTATTTACTTGTTAAGTGACTTTAAGTTATTTAACTTTTCTAAGCCTCAGTGTCACATATTAAATGGGAACAAATATTTCTATTTCATAATCTTAGAGCCACACTATCCAATACTGTAGCCATTAGTCATATGTGACTATTTAAATTTAAATGCAGTAAAATTTAAAAATTTAGATCCTCAGTTGCACTAGTCTCATTCCAGGAGCTCGATAGCTACTTACAGTTAGTGGCTACCATATTAGACAGTGCAGATACAGAACATTTCCACCACCACAGAAAGTTCTACTGGACAGTGCTGATTTAGAGGATATAAGGTATATAAAAGGGCCTAACACGGTGCATATCTCATGGCAGATGCCCGAGAAAAGTGATCTCGTCTGCTTTTTTCTTTCAGCATCAGAGCTAGGGGTGTTCTCCTGTTTTATTGATGGAGTTGGGAGAGGGAAGTAACTTACCCAAGGTAGTGTGATAGGGGATATATCTGGCACCGGGACCCACATCTCCTAACTCTTGCTCTAACATTCTGTCTAGTATACCCATCATTATGCTTTACTCTACTGAGTGAGGTTTCAAGGCCAAGCATGTGAACAGTGTGAATTAACTTTGGAATCAGGGTGGTAGCAGAAAAAGGCATAGGAACTGAATGTCTCCTGTGTGCCACATAGCACTGTGCCCAGCTTTTTACATCTGGTATCTTAGCAAATCCTCAGTGAAGCCCAGAGAATAAATACCCCAAGTTGCTCAGCAAGTAAATGGCAGACCAAGCCCAGGCTTTTTCCCATTATGTCATGCTACTCCCTCAAATGTGAATACTCCCCTGCCACCTCCACTTACTAGTGGGTCCTCAGAAAATGGGAATTACTCCTCTTTTGAATGTATAGCTGAACCGCTGTCTTCACAGTCTGTTTCAACTGGAATGGAAAAATAGCTTAGGTCAATGTTTGTTTGGCTCCAAGGCCAGACAGAGAATATTTATGGTCCCAGCCTTCAAAGGACAGGCAATGCTCTGAGAACCCTGTGTTAATTTTCAAGGCCACCATTAGCTCATACCTTGCTTTTGTGCTAATTAGAAAAGCATGTCACCTGGGGGGCAGAGAAATTGTAGAGAAGGGCCCATTCCAGTGGAACAATGAGAAAAATAACTTTTCTTTCTGTAGGCTGTTGCAACCTCACCAGAACAGCTGAAGAATGAATTTCAGCCTGGACTCTACCTTATTAGTTGGGCACCCTTGGGGAGGGTGCAACCTGCCCAACATTTTCTGCTGGCCCTGTCTTACCTCATGACTAAGAGAGCCTTCCTAGGTCTGGAAGGTAGCAGTCAGTCTGTTCTGGAGGGTGGAGAGAGACACCAGTGTTTTCCCATGGTTTCTGGGTAGTAGATAAAATTGGTCTATTCTAAGGTTAATTTGATATTTTAAAATTTTGATTCTGACTAGCTTATTGGATTTTTTTGAATAATGTTTGATTAATGTAAAGGTTAAAAATAAAACCTAATATTTCAGCTAAGCAAATGGTATTTCTTTAATAAGGACGTATTTCTATCTATTTATACCTGCCTCATTCCATAGGAATTTTATAAAGCCAGTCCAGGAATGTAGTCTGAATCAATCTAGTTTGCTAGCCTGTGAGACCAGGGCAAAGATGAAAATAGTCATGGGAAAGTTTTATCCTTTTAGGGGTATCTGTCTTCTTCTAGTTCCTCTCTCCTCCTTTGACAAATCCCCACCCCGAGACTGACCTACCCATTTGACAGAATGAGATTACTTCTTCAAATGACCCAAAACACTGAGATCCTGAACCTAATCAATAATGTCCTTGGATGACCTTGGGATGCCAGATTCACACATAATTCCTTGTTGTCCCCTTCCTGAGTTAATAGTTTAGCATACAATTTACCAAAATTTGTAGTTTCCTGAGCCACAGACTTCACTTGGAATGATCATATAAAGTCATCCATGCTACATACCAACCCACAGAAATGAGGACCGCTTTCCTCCAGTGTATGCTGAGTCCTACAATCTGAGCACTGCTTCAAGAGGATGCCTTGAGTCATTTTTCCAGAGTTAAATTTGCTTATGCTTCTAACCTCCACCTACAGTCCCCGTTACACTGGGAATGATAAAAACTATGCCTTTTGAAAATATAAGCTGTCATGTTATTAAAGATGACAAACCAGTAGTAGTTAAAGTGCTGCATCTAAATTGTTGAAGCTTGTTACGTGGGAGTTCATTAGACTGTTTTTCCTACTTTTGTGTATTTTTGAAGTTTTCCATAATAAAACATTTAAAAAGACAAAAAATGTTTTAAAGTGCTTCATCAGTCCTGAGGAAGAGAACGCACATGGGTTTCTCTTTAGAAGAGTACTTATTAACCAAGGGGTTAGGTAGAATGTACACCCTTTAGTAGAGACATACCCTGTAAAAATCTGGGGAGGGGGGCGTTTTAGATTGAAAAAGCCTCTTTGCCAAAAATTCTGGTTAGGTCTTCTAGAAGGGAAATATCCTTCTGCCTGCAATCCCCCTCCACCAAACCCCACAAGTAAGTCTTGCTGTAATGAACCACTATTGGTGAAAGAAGTATATCATATCCCTTGGGCGATTGAGAGTGGAGGGAGCTTGAAAACCATGGAAACAGACCTCAGCTAATTGGCAAAAACTGTTAGCCAGCAGGAAGAGAAGCACAGGCAAAGGGAGTATTGGGGCAGGAGATGGAACTTGGAGTGTAATGGGGCTTCATTCTCACCCCAGGTGAGTGCTGGAGAGGACAAAGCTGCTAATGACAGAGGACACCAGGGAGCAGAATATGTGGCAAAGAGGTCCTTACTGAGGACCTCAGGGTATTCTTGGAAGGCTCTGGGCCCCATCTGACTTGCAGGTTTTTGTTTTGTTTCTTTGTTTTTCGTTTTTGAGACAGAGTTTCACTCTTATCGCCCAGGCTAGAGTGCAGTGGCGGATCTCAGCTCACTGCAACCTCCACCTCCTGGGTTCAAGCGATTCTCCTTCCTCAGCCTCCCAAGTAGCTGGGATTACAGGCGCCGGCCACCACGCCCAGCTAACTTTTTGTATTTTTAGTAGAGACGGGGTTTCGCCATGTTGGGCAGGCTGGTCTTGAACTCCTGACTTAGGTGATCTGCCCGCCTTGGCCTCTCAAAGTGCTGGGATTACAGGCGTGAGCTATCATGCCCAGCTGACCTGCAGTTTTTAAAACAGTGGGGTGGATCCCTGTCTCTCACCATACACAAAAATCAACAACAACAACAATAAAACAATGGGAAAGCTGCCTGAAGGCAAAGATCACACACACACACACACACACACACACACACACACACACACACACACTCTTTCAAGGACTTGGAACCTGACTGTTCCAGGTCCAACCTGAACCTGCTTGGAAAGGCGGGTTCCATAGAGTACCCATTGAAAACTATGTGGTTTTGTTCGTTCTTTGTTGTGTTTTCACTGTGTAACTAAGCAAATGACGGGGTTTGTACACTGCTGGGAGTGAGCAGATATGGTTGGAGAGGTGGGGCACTGTTTAGGGCATGGGGAAATCAGAGCACATGTTCTCTCAAGGTCCTGAGGTTGAGATAAAATGGTTTGAAACTGGGGACAGAGAAGGGAGCAAGGGCAGTTCCTAAAAGGTACAAAGCCGAGATTCACCCCGCTGCTTCCAGGCCAGAGTTCTGGGTAGGACGTCAATGAGACCCAGGCCGGTACAGCCAGCTTTCAATAGAGCTGGTCTGTGAAACTTGGCCGAGAGGACAGAGGAAGATTGATGTTTGCTCCAGAGTGGGGCTGTCAGCTGTGCTCACCACCTCACCATGCTCCCAGCTGTAAACAAAAGTCCTGGCCCTTCATGGCACTGCAGAGCAGTCCAGGCTGGCGTAAGTCTCTGAGGACAGCTAGACCATTTTCTCATCCTGGCTGAGAACCAGAAGACAGAAGAAACAATAGAAGGTGGTGGGTAGGGGTGGGCAGGATTGCAAGGGGGTGAGAATCAGTGACCAGAGGGAAGGAGCTGTCAATTTCAGATCTTAGGTTTGTGCATCCAAGTACTTAGTACAAATCTTATAGGGAAAGCAGACCCCTTTCCTTGTCAGCTTCACAGATAATAGTGAACTACCAAAGGAGGCTTGCAGGGACTCTAGTGCCTCATTCATTCATTCATTCTTTCAGTGAATACCTCATGTGCCTGTCACTGGGCTAGATACTCTGGGTGATGCCAAAGTAATACAAGACAGCTCGTAAATTCAAGGAACTTACAAGAAGTTTGTAAACGTGTAACCTTAAGTCACAATACCAATAGTAAGACTTTAAATCCTAAGTGACAGACATAGAATAAGAGTTTAGAAACGAGAGTAGTCATATCTGGTCATCATCAGAGAAAATGGAGTTTGAGAGGGCTATAGAAAGATAGACACAATTTGGCCAAGGGAAAAAAGATACCAGGCATTCCAGGCTAGGACCAAATTGTTAGTAACAATGAGGCCTGCCTTCGCGAAGGCAGAAAGTTAGTATGACACAGACTCTCTTCAGTCTTCACCCCGTCATGTTCCTCACCACAGCTAACCCAGTCTTCAAAACTCACTTAAATGTCACTTCCTCAGGGAGGCCTTCCCTGATCTCCAGGGCCAGATTAAGTACTCTTGCTTTATGTTCCCATAGCACCCATTACTTTCCCCTTTCTAAGACACCACTATTTTCACCTGATGACCTACTCATGTCTCCCTACAATTTGTTCTCCACTCTGCAGCCGGAGTTTTTTTGCAAATGCAAATCTGTTACATCACTTCCCTCTTGGAAACTCTCCTACCTCTAACATCTTCCTTCTCCTTTGCCTTCCTGGTCCTTCTTGCCTCTTTCCATCTTACTTTTCCTTCTGGTCACTTCTTAAATGTCTCTATCTAAGTTTGTCTCCCCTGCCAGAATGTCAGCCCTCTGAGGGCAGGAGTTATGTTTCTTCCTCACCATGTATCTGTGTATTTAGCACAGTGCCTGGCATATTGTGTTAGGCACTCCACAAAAATTTGTGAATAAATCCAAGGGAGATAAGGCAATATTAGTAGCCAACTGAAGGATTAATCTTACACTTCTGTGCAAAGGGAAATCTTTAAAAGTTTTTAAATAGGGGTATAAAAAAAATCATGAGAGAACCCTGCCTTCTGACAAAACAAACAGAACAAAGCAAAAAATGATCAAACAAAACCCAGAGAACTCCAACCTCAGCTTACCCTAAACCCGGCCTCCCAATGATCTTGTAGACTCATGTTCTCTTCCTTTCTGTTTCCCCCACCACTGCCTCCTCCAAAAACACAAGAAAACTTACTCATTGATCCTTCCAACCAGAGAAATTTGGCAGTATGGCCAAATACACTTACTTCCACATTTGTAGTTGTTCGTTGGGCTAGCATTTATTGCCCACCTCCATTGTTCCAAGTGCTGTGCTCATAGCTACAGATGGAGACTTTTTTCTTACCTCGATGGTGCTCACAACTGAGTGAACCCCTTACACTTACCACTCACTTCGTGACTTCAAATTTCTAGTGAAGGGCTTTGCTTTACCTGGGCTCAGTGATGGAGACTTTTCAGGGTACTGGAGCCTGCAAAAGACCTCAATTTCAGGACCATCTGTAAAACTGGGGACTCAGTGAGACTCAGAGGATGGATAAGTATATCCGTTTACACTAGACTGTTACCTTTCTGTGAGGAGGCTAAATGGCAGGGTGGTGAATATCCGGAAGGGTGGTTAGGCATCAGCCATTTCTTAACCTTATTAGGTTGGGCTTACTAAGGCAAACAGGCCACCAAGGTGCACCTCTTGAGTGAAGCAGCATGGAAAAACTCAAGGAATGACAGGAGAAAGAATTGGATTTCTCATTAAAAATAGAGGCACTGCCTTGCACTTTGAGGGGGGCTGAAATAAGAATGCAACTCCAAGAAACCTTCCAAAGATAATCAGAGGACACCCACTCACCCTGAGGTAGCCCTTAATGCCAGGGTATGGTTTTTTCATCTCAGATTCAGTTCCCAGCTAATTAGGGGGTAGCAAATTAAGACATCAGAGAGCCAGTGCACGTTCACCCCTTCACACCCCCCACCCCCAAAGAAGGGTGAAGGAAAGAAATAGATACTATTTTGTAGCTGAAGTCCTAACTGGATATCTCTTGGCTGAAGAATAACATCATACATGGTATCAGTGACACTTTAAAGATATAGTCATTAGTTTTGACCCTCTCTTTCCCCCTTGAATCCTTTACCCTAAACATGAATCCACCACCAGGATGTTAGGGAGAGAGACTATATGTAGCAGATGGAGACAAATGAGATTAACTTCCATGATTCATTACTTTTGCCTGTTAGGTAGCCTTGGGTGAAGACAGTTCATACACCTGGAATTTGACATCCTAATGAGATGGGACAGGAAGGGTTAACTCCAAAATCAGTGAAGTATATTTCATAGGAGAATAACAACACATTCACGAGAAACCATATTGTCTCCTTCCTTAATAGACCAACCTGAAGCTTAGGCCAATCAAATGATGATAACAGGTTGTGTTTCTGCTACGCAAAGACTAAAAGAAGTGTAAGTCTAAGGGATTAACAAATTCACAAAGAAACCCTGGTGAAAGAAATCCTGAATTTCTGCTATTTGGAGCTTGGCATGACCATTGCACACCTGTAATATCATTGTAACTGTTGCCAAGATTTTTGCTATATCCCGTTTCTGTGGGGACTGTGAATATCTAATATGAGTGTCGTCAACAGATGAACAGGGCAGAGGTTGGGAACTGAATGTTCATCACAGAAACAGTTTTTTCCCTTGCAGATTACCTTTGGCCTTGAATCTGTTGCTGTCTACAAGTCAGAGCCATCCCAGAAGTGAGCCTCTGGAGCTAATAAATGATGACACACTCTAGTCTTTCCCTTCCTGTTCTATTCTTTCCTTTCACAGCTTCAACTAAGTTGAGAAAAAAGGGGGACTACACTGAGGGCCTGAGCTTTGCCCAATCAAGCCCTCAGTATCCCCATGTTGTCTGATGAGCAGACTAGACTAAATGATCTGGGAAGGCCCTTCTAGCTCTGCTGTGCCAGGTTCTAAAATTCTTTTTTTTTTTTTTTTTTTTTTGAGACGGAGTCTCGCTCTGTCACCCAGGCTGGAGTGCAGTGGCGTGATCTTGGCTCACTGCAAGCTCCGCCTCCCAGGTTCATGTCATTCTCCTGCCTCAGCCTCCCAAGTACCTGGGACTACAGGCGCCCGCCACCACGCCCAGCTAATTTTTTGTATTTTTAGTGGAGAAGGGGTTTCACCGTGTTAGCCAGGATGGTCTCGATCTCCTGACCTCGTGATCCACCTGCCTCGGCCTTCCAAAGTGCTGGGATTACAGGCGTGAGCCACTGTGCTCAGCCGCCAGTTTCTAAAATTCTAAGACATTGTTATCTGTTGAGCCAGTTGTCTTATGGGAAATCCCATGAGACATTTGTTTTCTAAAAGAGCCAACTGTTTATTTCTCTGCATGGGCATATTGGTGAGAGTTAAATGCAGTCAGGATAGCAAATGTGTTGCTGTGGCCAATTGTCTTAAGCATTCTTGCCCTTCTGATGGTCAGGGCTGTCTTTGTAACAATGATTCTCATTGTCTGAAGTAGTTAAGGATTAGCATTAAACTGAGGACTGATAAGACTGAGGTCATTAGCCAGGCATTGTTAGTAAGTAAAAGGGGAGGTAGGGTGACAAGTATTCAGGACTTCTGTAGGTTGATAACTTGAAGAGGGGCTTAGAGTCAGAAAGATGCCCAATTGTTAGATTCCTTTGTCATCATAGCCCTTGACTTTAGCCTATTCTCAAAAAATGATCTTTCTATAATATTGCCAAATAATACAGCTGAAACATCCCTTGACCTGTTAAATGGCTTAAATTGAAAGTTATAGATGATGCAGTTTTGATTTTCAAATTTTTTAAAGAAGCAGTAAACTCTTCTCATCCTCTCTCCTCACTCCAAAGAAAATATTATGGTAAAGCAAGTATATAAACTGAGAGTGGAGTTATGCAGATTGAAACGTCTGTATATATGTGTGGGGGATGGGTATGGCTGCCTGTCCTTCCTTCCCTTCCCATGAAACCCTAGGACTCCTTGAAAATGACTTTGAAAATCCTTTGCCAAATAGATAAATTATTGTACTGTACTGAGAAATAGGTAACTTTGGGTAAGTCCCTTAAGGTCTCTCAGCCTCATTTCCTCACCTGTTACATGGATACCTGGTTATCTTACCTCAAGTTTGCTTTGAGGATGACATGGCACTTAAGAGCTTTGAAAAGGGGGGAAAAAAAAACCACAAAGATACTTGTTACCTTGATAGTGTAGTACTTCATGACACGACCCTTGCAAAGAAAGTATAGTTAGTGAGAACTAGCACAGCAATTGGGTGGTTAAAAATTTTTTTGAACTACAGTACTCATGACTTTTAAAAACTTATATAGTAAACACTAATTCATTTCTTGCTATGAGCTTGGTATGAGGAATACAAAGATAAATACCTTATAATCCCTGACCTCAAACTCATTTATCTGTGAGGGAAATAGACAAAAGAACAGTATCTAATCTTACAAGTACAAATATAGAGCTATGTACAGGGCATTATCAGATAACCTAAATCTATCTGGATGTTAGGGTCATAGCAGTTTGAGAATGCCTCACAGAAAACATGATATCTGGCGAGAGCCTTGACAGATGAATAGAATACCTCAGGTGGTCAAGGGAAGGCGTTGAAAGGCTAAGGAACAGCATGTGCAAAGGCACAGAGCATTAGACAGGATCCGGCTTGCTGGGTTCAGGGATCTGTGGGTGGATCAGCAAGGCCAAATTAAGGATGCATTTAGTGGAGTGAGGGGAGTGATGAGAGAAGAGGCTGGAGTCACTGGCAGGAGCCAGAGAAGAAAATTTCTGGTAGGCCAACTTAAGCCACTTGGGCTTTTTCCTGAGGCAATAGGGAGCCGTTGAAGGATTCAAAGCAAGGAAGTGTCATAAATAGACAGTTTTAGAAAGGCCAAATTGGCAATAGTGTGGAGGATAGGAAACCACACTGGAGTCAAAGATTGAACCAAGATGAAGTCAGGGAGTATAGAGAAGGAGGCAGGAGTTTCAGAAATATTTGAACGGTAAACACAGCAGGACTTGGTAATTGATTTTATCTGAGGGCTGTGGAAGAACTAGTTTTCAAGGACGACTCCCAAGTTTCTGGCTTAGATGATTCATCAAGATTAGGAAAGTTGAAGGACAGAGTGGCAGAGAAAGTTTGAAGGAGGTTGTGAGTTTTTTGGCTTTTTTTTTTTTTTTTTTTTTTGAGACGAAGTTGCGATCTTGTTCCCCAGGCTGGAGTATGATGGAGCGATCTCCGCTCACTGCAACCTCCGCCTCCCGGGTTCAAGTGATTCTCCTGCCTCAGCCCCCTGAGTAGCTGTTACAGGCGCCTGCCACCACGCCTGGCTAATTTTTGTATTTTAAGTAGAGACGGGGTTTTACCATGTTGGCCGGGCTGGTCTAGAACTCCTGACCTCAGGTGATCCGCCTACCTCGGCCTCCCAAAGTGCTGGGATTACAGGCGTGAGCCACCACGCCCGGCCATTTTTTGGCTCTTGAGGTACCCATGGGATGAAGTCAGAAATGTAAGAATCATCAGCACATAGGTTATCACAACCATGGAAACAGTCAAGAACAGCCAAGCAGTAGGCGTGTGGTGAGGAGAAGTGAAATCAGGAGATTAAATCCTGGAGAATAAGAACACATAAGAAGGTATGGCAGAGGGTCAAGAGAAGAAATTAGAGAATGAAGTCCATGAGAGAAGAGAATCTCAAAGAAGGTGTGACAACTCTGACAAATGTTACAGAGAAATCATGGAAGGTTAGGGCAGAAAAGTGTTGACTTGACATGGCGATTAAGAAGGTAGTATGAGGAGGCCGGGCACGGTGGCTCACGCTTGTAATCCCAGTACTTTGGGAGGCCAAGGCGGATGGATCACAAGGTCAGGAGATCGAGACCATCCAGGCTAATACGGTGAAACCCGTCTCTACTAAAAAACCCCGTCTCTACTAAAAAATACAAAACATTAGCCAGGTGTGGTGGTGGGCGCCTGTAGTCCCAGCTACTCAGGAGGCTGAGGCAGGAGAATGGCGTGAACCCAGGAGGTGGAGCTTGCAGTGAGCCGAGACCGTGCCACTGCACTCCAGCCTGGGCAACAGAGCAAGACTCCGTCTCAAAAAAAAAAAAAAAGAAGGTAGTATGAGGAATATGGGAAAAGCATTTGAGGGGTGGGTAGGGGGAAGAAGGCGGAAGATAGATTACAGTGTGTTAAGAAGTAAATGGTAGAAGTGACAATGTGGAAATGGCTAGTAAGGACATTTCTTTTAAGAAACTTGGGCCGGGTGTGGTGGCTCACACTTGTAATCCCAGCACTTTGGGAGGCAGAGGCAGGTAGATCACTTGAGGTCAGGAGTTCAAGACCAGCCTGATCAACATGGCAAAACCCCATTTCTACTAAAAATACAAAAATTAGCCGGGCATGGTGGCACACACCTGTAGTCCCAGCTACTTGGGAGGCTGAGGCAGGAGAATCTCTTGAACCTGGGAGGCACAGGCTGCAGTGAGCTGAGATCACGCCACTGCATTCCAGCCTGGGCAACAGAGAGACTCCATCTCAAAAAAAAAAAAAAAAAAAAAAACCAACAACAAAGAAAAAAGAAACTTGGTGGTGAATAAAAAGAGGGCAATAGGTCAATTAGGTCAATGGAGAGAAATTCAAGGTCCAATGGAGAGTAGTTTGTCTCCTTATTTTTTCTTTTAGATGGAAGACTCACTTCTTCCTCTTTTTCTTTTTCTCCTCCCCCTCTCCCTCCTCCTTTTCCTTCTTCCTTTTCTTCCCCGCACCTGAAAAAGCTGAGGCTAAGAGAGATTAAGCCATTTTCCATGGTTGTATAGTTTTTAAACACGTTTTATGCCAGCAGGAAGAACCTAGTGTCAGTTGAGAAACAAAATATAAAGAGAAGTGATTTTAGCTTGACCCTTTTTGTGAGCGTGGGCTTAGCAAGTGAGACTCACAGCATGGAATTTGAAGAGAGATTATGATGATGTAGTCTGGTCATGTAAAAGCTAACTTTAATTGAGCACTTACTATTTGCCAAGCACTGACTTAAGCACTTTACCAGCCGGGCGCGGTGGCTCACGCCTGTAATCCCAGCACTTTGGGAGGCCGAGGAGGTGGATCACGAGGTCAGGAGATCGAGACCATCCTGGCTAACACGGTGAAAGCCCGTCTTTACTAAAAATACAAAAAAAATAGCTGGGCGTGGTGGCAGGTGCCTGTA
Source organism: Homo sapiens (assembly GCF_000001405.40). Classification (NCBI taxonomy): domain Eukaryota; kingdom Metazoa; phylum Chordata; class Mammalia; order Primates; family Hominidae; genus Homo; species Homo sapiens. Next base: position 103,701,622 of record NC_000023.11, read on the forward strand.
GTCCCAGCTACTCAGGAGGCTGAGGCAGGAGAATGGCGCGAACCCTGGAGGCGGAGCTTGTAGTGAGCCGAGATCGCGCCACTGCACTCCAGCCTGGGCGACAGAGCGAGACTCCTTCTCAAAAAAACAAAACAAAACAAAACAAACAAACAAAAAAGCACTTTACCTGCATTATCTCTTGCTTTCTCTCTTTTTTTTTTTTTTTTTTTTTTTTTGAGTCAGGGTCTTGCTCTGTCACTCAGGCTAGAGTACAGTGGTGCAATCACAGCTCACTGTAACCTCAAACTCCTGGGCTCAAGCAATCCTCCCACCTCAGCCTCCCAAGTAGCTAGGACTACAGATGTGCACCACCATGCCCAGCTAATTTTTACATTTTTTTTGTAGAGACAGGATCTCTCTATGTTCCCCAGGCTGGTATTGAACTCCTAGCCTCAAGCAATTCTCCTGCATCAGTCTCTCAAAGTGCTGGGATTACAGGCGTGAGCCACTGTGCCCAGACTGCATTATCTCATTTAATTCCCACAACAACCCTATGAGGTAGGTATTGTTATTGCTTTCATTTAACAGATGCAAAAGCTGAAGCACAGAAAAATTTGATGATTTACTCAAGGCCACATAGTTACTGCATGCTGGATATTTCAGAGCCTTCAAATGTCCCTTTAGAGGAGGAAACTGAGACTGAGGGAGGTGAAGTCATTTGTCCAAGAACCCATATCTAGTAAGTGCTGGAATTGTAATTCAAACCCAGGCTCTGTCTGGTACCAAAGCCACCAGTAATCACTACACTGTCATGAATAGAAGCTATTAAAATAAAGAATATGTGTGCATTTTTCTCGATCCAGCTCTGTAAGGCTAAATGTTCCTTGAATTTAGATGATGGTAAGAATTTTCCCTATTCCATAAAATTGATAGTGAGAGCATGTACTTCCTTGGTAATGCCCCATACGGTATAGTGCAACCAGGATATTTGTAGAAAGCCTCATGGTGAAAGCAGAGACTGAGAAAAACAGAGCTACACAGGCAGAGTGACAATAGCTGAGTTCTCATGTGACTTCTTCAGGTGGCTCCCTGACATAAGATTTACTTCATCATCCTTCCATGAAGAGAATGCTTTGTGAGGGAGAAAGCCCCTGGCTCAGATGCCCTTCTAGGATTTCCTAACAAGCTGTTCTGATACCACCAGCCCAAGTTCATAGACTGTACGCATTATCCTAGTTGTGAAGTCTCATCATGTAGCGAAGAGTGTGAGCTGAGAAGACCAGCTTAATTGCTATCCCCTCAGAGATGACTGGCTTTCCAGTGAGAACAATGTGTGGAGCATGCAGAGGCCAAAATCCCTGCTACTGTACTCACTAGTCACTGCCAGGGCTTTTATCGGGTGATTGGTTTTTGAAATATAGCTTGATACTAGTCTTCAGATTTGGAATATTACTAATGTTTAATCAGAACATTATCATTTTTTTTCAGAGCAGGAGTGGAAGTTTATTAAAAAGCTTTAAAGCAGGAAATAAAGTGCACTTTGAAGAGATCCAAGTGGGCGACTTGAAGAACAAGTGCCCCGTTTAACCATGATCCTAGGACTTTATAGGCTGGCCCACCTCCGGTGTCTTGCGCCCCTTTCCCATGATTCTTCCCTTAGGGTGGGCTGCCTGCATGCACAGTGCCCTCCTTACCCTCGGGAAGTGAGCATGTGCAGTGTGTTTAGGAAGTTGTACGCTTGAGAACATTGTCATTCTTAATTCAGGGATACAATTTACAAGGTTCTGCTGTCTTCTTAGCTTTGGTTCTGTTACACCCAAAGAGCAGTTTGTGTGTGTGGTATGTATGCATGCATGTGTGTGTGTGTGAACTCTATCTGGTTTTATAAAATCTCTTTTTGGTCTATTTTTTCTGTGACCAATAAGTTCACAGAAAGAGAATGAATGTAGTATACAGTAAACCGAATGGGAAGTCACACTATCATTCTACATGTACCTACTGAGTGTTGCTAGGTACCAGGAGCTATGTGAGCTAAAAAGTTGTATGATTGTCAGGCATGGTGGCTCACCCATGTAATCCCAGCACTTTGGAAGGCCAAGGGGGAAGGATCCCTTGAGCTCAGGAGTTCAAGACCGGCCTGGGCAACAGAGTGAGACCCTGTCTCTACAAAAAAAAAAAAGGTGTATAAGACACAGTCCTTGCCGTCAAAGAGCTTATTCTACATTTCCTCCACTGAGCAGATGATAATGCTACCTGGCTTCCTAATTCCCTAGTGGTTCCCATGCTTGGTTGATTTTGTCTTTCATTAGCAGCACAGCCTAGGAAGACCATTAATCCTAACATAGTGAAATCAAATTTAAGATTTTGATAGCAAGAAATGATAAGATAATAATATTCCATTGAGAGTGCAGAGAGGCAAGTGGGAACACACAGGAAGATTCCCAAGAGGTGATATGTTCTGGACAAAGTTGAGATAGTTGCATGGCCCAGTGAAAAGAGAAAATAACTTCAAGAGTCAAATAACCTTTCAACTAGAAGCATGCCCATTCTTTGGTGACAGGTAGGGAAAAATGCTTATGGGAGAAAGCTAAAGGAATAAATTTTCTTCACTACCTTTCTTCCATGTAGAAAGCTCTTTTTGCTTTGCCTGTGAATTCTGGGAGAACAAGAGGCTGTGCTTGTAGAATGAGGCAATAAAAGATGACAGACCAGTGGTTTTCCAGAGAGCAGAGCAAACCAAAGGGAAGATGGAGGGACTGATAGCCTTAACAACAACTGAATAAATAAAGCGCTTTCCCTGGAAAAATATATGTATAAAATATTTAGCTGGCATTAAATATTAAAAATGAATTAATGAAAACACCCAAAACACTTTATTTATGTAGGAAGTTTTTCCTCTTTAAAAAATGCTGTTCTAAATCTCAACATCACTTCAGATGTGATCTAGGCAGAAGGTAGTGTGGTCTCTGGAGGGGTAAGTACTATAAGAATGATGATAAATGGAAGCAACCTCCAAGTGAGCCTCCTGTGACCTCCTGCCAATTCACTGTGGTAAGAAGGGTTCAATTTTTATTGTATGATTGAGAGATTGCTAGGTGACAGATGCTCCCAGTGAGACCCAGTATTTCCCAGCCCCTGTACATATGTGGGAAGGGTGAGGAAAATGAAAGTCATCTGCACCTGATTCTGACACCATGCATCTCCCTTCCCTGCTTGGGGGCTCCAATGGGGAGGAATAGCACCTTCCACCTGGCATTGCCTCTGAGTGGCTTTGTGTGCTCCTGTGGGCTATTATGTTGGTTGGTACTTTGGCTTCTTTGGCTCCCAGCACCAGCTGATGCCCTGATCTGAGTCCCAGTTGGGCAGGCTCTATTGCTCAGTGCTGTAGCTGTCTCCAGGGCATTGTTCTTGAGACTTCCAACAGGGCAGATTTGTGCAGTTGGCCCATCTGGACAAGATCTATAACAAGTAGAGCTCTGTGCAATAAGCTCATCTCCATAGTCCACCCTCCCCGCTACCCCCGCCTTCGGGCTGCAGCAGCCTGACACCCCAGCCCCTCCATGGAGAGTATCAAAGAGATGCTCTCTGCTCCTTTCAAAGGAGTATTGCTTGTGGCCTCTCATTGATTGGCACTACCTGGGCAGAAATAGGAAAACAGGGGTTTTCTGCCCTTCTCAATTCAATCTGCTCCCTTATGCCAGTTATTTTGTTTTAAATCTGCTTGGCACCAGAGTTATAATATTGCCAATAAAAATAATTTCTAGACCAGCTACCCTGGTCAGCTCAGAATGCTCTCCTCAAAACTAAGAGACAGACAAGAGGAGTATCTCAGTGAACAGGAAAGAGCAGACAAGTGCAATAGGAAAAGGGATAAAGACAAATCAAGCTCTTGGTTTGATTATAGGATTAGCTTTGGCCATTGGATTTATTGACTTTCAATTTGGATCACCATATGGAGGGAGGGAGGGAGGGAAGGAGGAAGAGAGAGAGAAAAGGAGAGAGAAAGAGAGAAGCAGAGAGAGAGACTGGACTTATGTGCTTAATTATTCTAGGTCCAGAGAAAAGGACAAGATGTCTAAGAGATCATTTGATCACTTCTTTCTTCCAGTGTCAGTCCCACACTTTAATCTCTCCTGTTTCAGTTACTCACAGTTGGTCACTTCAAAGGTCTCAGTGTGCCAGGCACATGCTTCCCCATGTCCCAGTGGTATGTCAGGCCTGAAGTGGGCTCTTCCACACCAACTCTCTCTATTCTGACGTTTCTGGTAGCTTCAACTGACTGCTACACCTACTCACTGCTTCTCCTTGTGGAGCAAGAAGGGTGAAGAAACAACTCTGAATTATGGCTCTTTAACTTCTACAACTTCTACCCTGATGTTGGTCAAATCAATGTTGATCTAGTATAGGGGTCTTCTACGTGCCTAGTTCCTCCCCAGCAAACCTGAAGCCCATTCTATCCTTAACAAGGTTGCAGCGGCACCTTTATTTGCACACCAAAAGGAGGTGAAAGACCAGGTTGGAAATGAAGGGCCCTGGAAAATAGACTTTGGTGAGAAAGAAGAAACAAATGAAAGCCCAGCCAACAAAAGACACTCTGAGAATAGTTTCTCTATTCTACTCCTCCTGGGTTCCACTACCTTGGATCTCACTTTTCTCAAAAGTTTTCTAGCATCATAAAGTAAGTTTCTTAAAGAACAAGTATTTTTCTTTTTTTACACTCCCCAGCTGTCCAACAGATCCTGCCATCATGCTAGTTAATTAGGGAACGGAACGAATATTTCTGAGACCAGAATGTTCAGGTGGATCTGGAAGGTTAGTCTTTTTGAGAACCCAAAGTCTCTGCCCCAATTCTGACAGTAATTTCTGAACCAGCTACCCTGGTCAGCTCAGAACGCTCTCCTCAAAACTAAGAGACAGACAAGAGGAGTATCTCAGTGAACAGGAAAGAGCAGACAAGCGCAATAGGAAAAGGGATGAAGACAAAGTGTGGGGCTTCCCAAGAGACTTGAACACCTCTCTGTTGGGCCATATAGTCGCTAGCCCAGTGCAGCCTATGACTGTTCCAACCCTCTCGAGAGGTGGGGAACTTGCGGCTTTGCCTTCCTCTCACTTCAAGGAAACCTGACTAGGCCCCACAGGGCAGCACTTGTGGATAGGAGAAACTCACCATTTGAATCTGCAGCAGGAGGGACAGAGGACAGAGTAATGGCCAGGCTCTGGGTGGGAGGTGGCAGGGGGAGAAGTGGTGCAGATTAAGATGACAAATGCCAGAATCTAGCAGCAGTGTTCTGAATACTCTCCACTGGAGTATTGGAAAACAGGGAGGCTCCAGCAAGGGCAGAAGGTCATCCTGGCCCCAGGAATGTGGCCAAACCTTAGTCTCATGAGAAATGGGAAAGTATGGAGAAAATATGGACTAGGGTAGATAAGCCATCTTTATAAGTACAGCCACCATTGGCACCATGCAATATAGGCCCACATAGCTTTGGGACTGGTAGTTGAAGTTCTGAGTGGGAGATCAGGAAGGAACTGTCCAAACCCCTAATGGAGTCTAACTGAGGGAGAAAGCCCACCCAGGAGGAAGCAGGAGGCCAGCAGCAGGACTCTATAGCTCCCACCCTATTCACAGAGCCTGGTGGATATCTTCTGACCATAGCACTTTATAGACAACCCAGTAGAAGATATTGAAGATGAGGAAAGTGAAAGGGAAGACAGCCCGGGAGATGGTGTCAATTCTCTTGGCTCAGTCCACGTAGAGTTTCCGCGTGGTTTCTCCTTCCCTTAGAAGAGGGGCTGGAGGTTGGGGACTATAAATGCCAGAACCTTCCATTGGACCTCCATCTCTTGCCTGCAGGCAGTGGCCCAAGCCATAGCCACGGAAATAGAAACGACTTTCTTGGATGATATCTTCCTCCTGGAATTACAAGGAAGAAACGGCAGAATTTGAGGTCAAAGCTCAAAGGCAGAGGGATAGAGAACAGACCACCCATCAATATCTCATAGGGAATGTTATGCAGACAAGGTGCCTTGGGTACACAGGCCCATTGCATGCTTTTTATGGTCACAACACTACTCATGAGATAGATGTATGCTAAGCAGCTCTACGTGCTATATATAGTGTATGTCATGATTCCATGGCAGATAGGCTCTAAGCTACCCATGTAAAATGCAAAACATCATTTAGAGTTATCTAAAATCCAGTGAAGTGCCGGCCACTGTGAGAGGACATCTCAATGTCAAGTTATCTCTGACTGGTAATAAACAAAACAACAAAACTATTAGATAGTGAAGTTGAGATATTCAGTCTTAGTAAACTTGACTTTAATGACTTTCAAAAGCTTCAGAATTCATTCCCCTTTTGAATCGTATCTTTTAAAATTTATCTCAACTTAAAACTGAAAATTCCAAAAGTTTTAAATAACCCAATGAGTTATCCAAATTAGGATAAACACATGCCCAGTGAGGGGTAAATTTTATATAAGCACTAAGTAATGCGGCAGACTGCCAAAAGTCCATTTTCCAATAGTTAGCTGACAACCTTTAGTAGCTAAACGCAGCTAGGAGCCAGGAAGTAGGGACAGAAAGATAAAGTTGAGAGAGAAAGAGAGCAAGAGAGAGCGAGAGAGAGAGAGAGAGAGAGAGAGAGAGAACCAAAACCTCTGAGTGTCAATAGAGAGAGCTTTACTTATATGAGGCCCTCAGGCCCCCATTCACAGCCTATTTAGTCTTATTTTATATGCAACCCTAACAAGCCTAATTTTATTTACTTCTAAAGGACAGGGTTGAGAAATGCTTCCTTCAAAGATGGTGGTAATTTCTTAAAGTATTCATGGTTTTAGAGTCAAAGTTTCAGGTATCTAAGAAATCACCTGAAGTGCAATGGCCTCTTGGAGGACGATGCAAACTGTCATCTCGGTTTGTCCAGAACGGAAGGTGTTCCTAAGACTTGGGTCTTTCAGGGCTGAAACTGGGGAAGTGCAAGGCAAATCAGGAAGAGCTGGTCATCCTGTGGCTACCTGAGGTATTTATTATAAGTTATAAGAAAAAAATATGTGTATATTGTATAGGTATGACATAGATATATACAAAATGTGGATAAAGTAGATTTTAAACACTCTGTCTCTCTCAGTTAGAGGGACACCACAGGGTCTTTATCGTGGGACCTCTGCAGCTATGGCAACACACTGAAAAGTGGCTTTGCCAGGCACGGTGGCTCACACCTGTAATCCCAACACTTTGAGAGGCCGAAGCTGGCGGATCACGAAGTCAGGAGTTCGAGACCAGCCTGACCAATATGGTGAAACCTCTTCTCTACTAAAAATACAAAAATTAGTCAGGCGTGGTGGCGGGCACCTGTAATCCCAGCTACTCAGTAGGCTGAGGCAGGAGAATCGCTTGAACCCACGAGGCGGAGGTTGCAGTGAGCAGAGATTGCGCTATTGCACTCTAGCCTGGGTGACAGAGCGAGACTCCATCTCAAAAAAAAAAAAAGAAAAAGAAAAAAAAAAAGAAAAGTGGCTTTGTGTATGAGATGTTGGTGTTGTAGGTCCTAGTAACCCTTGATAATGACATGACTAGAAACTGACCTGTCATCATAAAGACAGGCCTTGGTTCACCTCACATGTACTCTGTAATTCATTTTTACACTATTCTGACAAAGGAGGTTGTGCTGGACCCATTTTCGAGGTGAAGAACCAGAGGCAAACAAAATATTTTGCAATAATTTTAAAATGAGGGGAGTAAGTAAAATGGTTTTCTCCTTTGATTTCCAGTTCAGGGTCCCTCAGATGACCCTGTTGCCCAGTACTCACCCTGATCCCCTGAGCCCTACCCTGGCTAGAGGATGTAAGCAAAGGATGTTGGCAAAAAAGCTCTGAGGGGGAAAGTTGGATCCAACTGCTATTTCTGTTTCTATAGATCTAATTATTTTCCCTTTTCTCCAATCATAATAAATCTAAAGGGAGTTATTTGGACACATTTCCCAGGCTGGAAAAAGCCATTTCACACAGGAGAGAAAATATGGCCAACAGAGTAAGCTGGTCTTGGCTTTTTGTGACTTTAACATACTGCACCTGTTGTAGCTGGAGGAGCAAAGATGAATGGCTTGAAATCCAGGGGTGGGGCATCCTGCATTTGGGTATTCTCTATTTAGGCCAAATTCTGAGGGGTGTTTGTGTGTGGGGTGTGTGTGTGTGTGTGTGTGTGCTGGAAAGGAACATTGGAGCCTTAAATACCACTTTGTGGCTTACATGCCTATTAAAATAGAACTTTTTTTCCCCTGGCTATCTATAGGGGAGAAGGACTGAGAAGCTAGAGAGGGAAGATATCTCAAAACCACGCTAAGGAGGGAATGCACAGTGTAGGAGGTAAAGTGTGGAGATGGGAAAGAGTGATTTGTATTGAAGTGAGAGGGGCTAGAAAAAAAGGGATTAGAGAATGGGGAATGAAGAGGGTGCTGGAGGATGAAGAGAGGTGGGCAGGGTTCTGGGACCAAGCCCTTGAGAGGACTGGGCAGTATTTTGAAATTTCTTCCAGTTATCAAGTTATTCTATTGATCATGGCAAAGCTTTTGCTCTGTCCAGTTTGAAAGACAGTCCTCTCCAATCAGCCTGTAAAAGTTGGTGAGCTGGGTTACATGACTGCTGTGTCCAGAGCCTGGTGCTAAGGCCTGCTGAGGAGATGAAAAAGAGCTTCCCTTTCCTGGGGAAGCTTATGGACTAGCCGGGAAGACAGTGTAGGATTGCATGGGTAAAAAGTAAACCACTTTAGGCAGTGACATGAAAGGGGGCCACCATGCTATGGAGTTGTTGGTTGAGGAGAGAGTTGAGAAGAAAAGATGTGAATGGCTGGCTGGTTCCTAGAACACTCCTAACTGACTCTTGGCTAAGGGTTCCCTGGAGATCACATGGATTTTCTCCCTGCCCTCTCAGACTGAAGAATTCTTTTTCCCTAGCTGGAGCAGTAGGGCCCGGACAGAGGTTCTAGAAATGGATGAACTCTCCAACAATTTTTTCAGCCTGCTTGGTGCCTCCAAAATACCTGCTACAGGTCCTGGGATAACAGTGACTTTAGAAGACTCAAAAAAGGACATGACGAATGGCACGGGTTTGATTTTCAGTTTTATTCACGTTAATAATAATAATAATTCACGTTAAAAAAAGCCTCAGCCCACTTTTAGGCAGGCCCCAGAGTCCTAAGCAAGGCCCAGGCTGCTGTTGTAACTTTGTAATAATTGAGCACTGGTCATGACAGACTCCATTATGAGCTCAGGATCAGCCTATATATATGAGCAGGAGGGGACAGGCTGCAGGCAGTTGCGGGTTGCAGGAGTTCAGGAAAGGAGGTGGGACTAGAGTCAACCTGGAATAGCTCTACAGTAACAATGGCAGCCTTTTTGTTGCTGGGACATCCATACAGGCAACTTAGCTGGTGAAAGGACTCTGGATTGGTTGGCAGTCTGCTTTTTTTTTTCCAAGGTAGGCATTGAGAAGGCACCAAGATCAAAACTCCTATAAAGATAAGATCTTGGTACCTGCAGGCAGATTTGTTCGACACAGCTAAAGAGGGGGTGGGGACAGTTAGCTTAGAAAATGGAGTGTCCTGGCCGGGCGCGGGGGCTCACGCCTGTAATCTCAGCACTTTGCGAGGCCGAGGCGGGCGGATCACGAGGTCAGGATATCGAGACCATCCTGGCTAACACGGTGAAACCCTGTCTCTACTAAAAATACAGAAAATTAGCCGGGCGTGGTGGCGGGCGCCTGTAGTCCCAGCTACTCAGGAGGCTGACGCAGGAGAATGGCGTGAACCCGGGAGGCGGAGCTTGCAGTGAGCCCAGATCACGCCACTGCACTACAGCCTGGGCGACAGAGCGAGACTCCGTCTCAAAAAAAAAAAAAAAAAGAAAAAAGAAAATGGAGTGTCCTTTTTTCTTGCCCTTCTGCTAGGTGTATACACATATTTTTCTAACCCTTGGTATGGGTTAGGAAATGCTTTTAGGTTTCTTGAAGAATGAGTCCTACTCGAGGACATGTAGTTGTGGATTAGTCCACTAGAGGGCGTACTGCCCAGGGACCAACTAAAGGACTAAAGGGTAGGGACTGATAAATTCAAACCACTAGATGAGACAGGAGCCCTGCCCTCAGCAGAAAGGAACCTTAGCAAGGGACATGAAACCAAGGAGGTAGTTTGTGAGATATTTTTAGTGCGGACATACGGTAGGGGTGCCCCTGGAGCAGCTGAGGTGGGAGGTGGTGTGTTGAGGAGAGAACATTCCTTGTGCTAGTGTGGCCCAGACAAGCTAGAGTCAGGATTTTAAGAGTGGGTTCACAGCATTGTTTCCCATCCCCCAGAGGTCATTATGCTCTTGCCTCTCTGGCTTTAGAGCCTCCAGATTAGACAGAAAACATGGAGTCAGAGCTGAAGACAGACCAGAACTCTGTGTCTCTAATGGTTAAGCAACCAGTATGTAGCTCAGTTAAGCCTTTCAGCTTTGCTCATAATTGGACACTTGCTTCTGTGAGGCTGGCCCAGGCACCTCTGTTGTCATGACAACTTACCTAGCACCTATTGTCTGGGCAATTGGGGGTAAACTGCCTCTGTTGTCATGACGACAAGATTTCTTTTATATTTCCCCAGGTGATCACTTTACTGTAGAAGAAATGAGGTTAACAGAAAAGAGTGAGGGAGAACAACAACTCAAGCCCAACAACTCTAATGCACCCAATGAAGATCAAGAAGAAGAAATCCAACAGTCAGAACAGGCAAGTGGTGGTTTCTCAATTCCAACTTAGTTATGGGGGTCCTCTTATAATGCTCCCCTAGAAAGACACCAATGCCTGATTGTTGAATTCTTAACCACCAATTAGTGTATGACAACCTGGGCTACCTTCCTCCCGGTTGTGGGGGAGCAATTACTACTCAAAGCAATCTCTTTTTATTTATT